>NC_000023.11:25887488-27137488 GCF_000001405.40 Homo sapiens | reverse complement strand
TTCAAAATATTTAAGAGCCACTTGTAAATTAAAGAGACAGAGAGAAAACAATGAAAAGGAAAACACAAATATTGCACACATACGCACAAACTCACCAATGATTTAGGAATGGTGTTAAAAATATAACACTCACCAGATTGCCAATTTTTTCCAAAGTCTGTAGAAGAGTTTCGATAAGAATTTGGGAAGTCAAAAGCCCTCAATATGCTGCCATGGTAGTGGAAAATTGTAAGTCACTTAAAAGAGCAATTCAGCAAGCTTTACAATAATTAAGTATGTTTACACCTTAAGATTAACTACTCAATTTACAGGAATGTATCTTAGAGATACTAGAAAATGTAACATGGGGAAACATTTGCACAATTATTTAAAACAACATTGTTCATAATCATGAAAAATTAGAAGCAATATACTGCCTATACATAGAAAAGTAGATCAATAAATCATATATTTCTTCAATGAAGTACTCAGTAGAAGTTGAGGTAAATGAGTAAGTACTCGTGTATTAAGAGTCAGGATTGTGATGTTATACAACTCCTGAATTGTGTATGTGTTATTAACACTAAAATTTAAAAACATAAAGTTGAGAGAAACTCAAGTTTCAGAAAGATACAATAATATTACATCACTTATACGAAGCTTCAAAAGACAAAAATGTATAACATTATTTATGGATCCTTACAAATGTAAGGAAATAGAAAACTTAGAAAATATACATACAACTTTCTGGATAGTGAGTACCTTTGGGGAGAAAGTTAAGAAGTGTTATCAGCTAGAGATCCAAAAAGATTTATTTCTTTGAAAACAAGGACTTAGAGTAAATGTGACACAATGCTAACTAACCTGTTTGGAAAATAAAATCCCTGCCTCCTAGAATTTCGGTTATAGATGGAGAAATGAAAGATTTGCATCTCAAAAAAAAATTCTACCAAATAGACAGGGAGACCATGGCTGTCAAACTGCACACTCATCAAAAACAGAAATGAATAATTTTTTTAAATGGAAAAACAATCTAAAATGGATTAAATGTGGACTTTATGTAAGGGAGCCTGCCTGTGTTTCCTCTGAAAAGTATTGGATCCTTCCTAAGATTATTGCCTAGTTGAAGAATATGACCCTAGCCTAAAAATAGGAACTGAGGAAATTGTCTTAAACTGCCAGCCAGAGTAGAGATATTTGCAAAGTTAGGAGTGATGAACTTAAATGGCTCCAGTTGGAATAGTTCTCAATCATTCTCACAAACACAGAAAAGCACTCCATGTAATAATAATTGATGTTAAGAATCTGCCATACCTAGAGGAAATCATAAAGGAAAGACATCATTTAAGCAAAAGTTTTATTGATCTTATAGGCTGCCCATTTGGGAACGAGAGTGAGGAAAGAAACAGAAATTTAAGGCAGTGTAGGGATGATGAAGATGAAGAACCACATAATACCCAAGAGTGATGTAGGACTGGAGCAAGCAAGACAATCATCTCCTAATTCAGTAACACGGTGGTATTTTGATAATTTTAGTAAACTGGACGTTTTAGTTGTAAAAATGAGACTGTTTATGACTAAATGTGGCCAAAGATCTTTTCATTATCTAATAGTAATCTAAATTTTATAAGATGTGCCTGAAATTTCATTCTAGGCCGTGGAAGAAATAGCCCTACAGCTGGTGTAAAGGGTCAGTGAGATGAACAGATATTTTATACTTATGCCTTAAAAGATGTTATTTGTACGTTAAAAGGAGTAATTGTTATTTTACATAAAATAAACAGGGCACAAAGAAACATGTATATTCCATATAGTAGTTGAAATACAGACTTTAATCTACTCCTTGATCATTTGCAGGTATCATTATAATAAACTAGGAAAGGAAGGTTGAATTTCATGATTATCTGTACCATCAACTACTTGACAGATCTGATATAATTAGAATTTCCAGAGTTTTTCCTATTTTTCTGCTAATTATTATTTAATACACATTCCAATCATGTACTTGTTTTGAGGTAAACATCTAGGAAATGCAACACTGGAAACAGAAAAAAGAATTAGGGGATCATTCATGTAACATAGAGACAATGTGTTGGCTAAGCTTGTTTTTTTCTTTTGGTCTGAATTGTTTAGATAAATTCCTTCATCCCTAATGTTTGAGGCTCTTTAAATGATAAACCATAATTAATGCAATAATTCTCAGGATAAACTTCAATAATTATCCCACGAGCCTGACGCAGAAATAATGCTTATGTGAGTTATTTGGTTGATGCAATATTTACTGCAAAAGGGTCTATTATATATAACATTAGGTGATATCTAAGTAATCTTGATATCTAAGTGATCTCTATATCTCTATCAATTTGGGAAATATGAAGAATATAAGGTCATAACATTGATAACTATTAGCATGATAGGACATGTCAACAGCTCAAAGAACCCAGAACATATGTTCTACCTATAAGATTGAATTATTAGCAGTAGAATGATCTATATCAAAATATCAACGTGGGTTCTCAAACTGGGGACCAGTAAAAGCACTGTATGTCCCATCTTGTTGCACATACTGCCATGTTCTTCTCCTTTTAAAGAAATGCTTCAAAACTGGGGCTTAGCCCAGGCAGGTTCTTGGTTTTGCCTAGGTAAGAATTTAAGGATAAACTGGTGGTATTAGAATCTTTTATTAAATGGTACTGCTCCTTGTGGGGCAGGGCTAAGTCAAAGGCAGTGTGCCCAGAGTAGACAACATACTGGCTATTGTTAATTTTGTTTATATCCACTTAAACTCACTTCCATTTACATGCAAATTAAGGAGTGGGTCAATGCAAATTGTGCGGTTGGTTATTTAGAACATTCTTGGAAGGGGATGATAACTTCCATGTTGTTGCCCTGAAAAGGGGTGTAACTTCTGGGTTGTTGTCATGGCATTTGTAAACTGTCATGGCACTGGTGGTAGTGTCTTATGCTAAAAAGCAATGAGGGCAGCTAGGTATCCCTTTTGTCACCATCTACTAGTTCCTGCTGGTTTATTTACTTTATCCTGTCTGGACCAGATCCTACTTTGCATCTACTCATTCCAGCAGGAACCAGTAGATCATGCACTCTTATCAGTATCACTTTCCTGTATATCACGCATACACACATATTTTATTTTTAAATTTATTTTATTTTTAAATTTTTAAATTTCATACTTGTACCATGTTCCATTATACTGTTAATTACAAAATAGATGCAAATATTAAAAATGTAAAAGTTTTGAAATTAAGATCAAATAAGCAGTATTTCCACAAAGATGTTTTGCAAGAGTGTTCAGCCAGGCTAAACTTCATTAGATTCTGGCTTTGAAATTCTTCTGTTTGAAGTAAAAAAAAAATACATATATATACACACAAACACATATATATACATATATACATATAATATATATATACACACACATATATATACATATATACATATTATATATATATATAAAAATGTATATATATATATATAATGTAGAAGACGTCATTTTGGAAGTCTGATGATTGTGGAATTTGGTAACCAGAGGAATGCATGTCATAGAAATTAGCAGTTCTTCAAAAATAATCCAAGTAGCTGATTATACAATCAGGCATAAATCAAGAAAATATTGAATACAAACATATGGAAGGATAGGATAGTGTTAGTGATATGTATTGGAAAAGAAAATATTAAAACAGTTACCTGCCTCTAAGATGTGGAAGGGAACATTATTATAGTGCATTTGTGGGACAGACACATAGGGAATCTTCAATTACACTAGCATTATTCTAATAATTAATTTGCAAGACGAAAGGTAGAGCCATTGACTTCTGCTTAAAGGAGGCTTTCCTATCCTCTAAAAGTAGTATGGAAATACAGTATAATTAACACCTTGTTCAGATGAGTGCTCATGGCAGACAGGAGAGTCTGTAACATAGAGGAAGTAGACAGAGAGAAACTTGTCCTGGGTAACCAGACACATGGATTCACATAAATCATGTTGAATCACTCATGCATTTGTATAAACATGTACAGTGACTATTGAGAATAACCATGGTTGTTCAACTTTTGATTAAGTGTAGAGACTGAAAATTCCCTCACTAGAAATTTCATAAAAGATAGCAGCCTTTGCAGTACAAATTTGCAAGGAAGGTGAAAAAAAGGGCGGGGGCGGGGGGAGATAATTATAAGACACTAAAGCAATGTGAAAAAAATAAAGATTGTAAATAGGTCCTATACATAATCACTTCTCTGGGTTATTACTGGAGAAGGTTCTGAGCTATTTATTGAAAGAGTTTGGAGGTTAAAATAAAAATCTGACTGCAGCATTCTGTATTCCTGGAACCACAGCTTCAAAAGAAATAAATCTGCACTCCACAATGAAGAATGTTATGTGGACAGATAATCTAGGGCAGACATCAGCAAATTCCAGTAGTGGGTCAAATTGAGTCCATTGCCTGTTTTTGTAAGTAAAATTTTATTGGAACAGAGCCACTTCCATTTACTTATGTATTGTCTGTGACTGCTTTCACAACATAATAGCAGACTTGACTAGTTACAATACAATTCGTATGTCCTGTGAAGGCTAAAATATTTGCTCTCCTGTCTTCTATAGAAAAAAATTGTAATTTATAGTCCCCTGGAGAAAAAAAAAACACTATTAAAATAGTCTCTGAAAAGACCTGTAATTAGTATCAACATATTTAATTATTAAATATACATATTTACTTCATAGAAAAATAATTTTACATACATTTAAACATTTTGTTGATATCCTGAATTTATGTTATATGTGTATGTGTGTAGACCTATTTGGTAGATAACATAGAATTCATTCCAGAATGTACCTCTGGGCATTCTCCATCAGTCATCTGGGGTTTCTTTATTCTGTTTTAAAAGAAATTTTGTCTCCAACAATATACCTTTTTGATGTTTCTTCAGACACCAGATCTAGAATATATGTAATAAAACTGAAAATTTCTATTAAGATTCTTGAAGGTAGAGAAGTAGACTAAATAAGAAACAACATTTCCAAGAGATTGCATTAGCTGCTTTTGCCCTGGGCTGTTGTGCTATTTATCACACATGAATGATGTGCAAAGGGCACAGAAGACCATACACCATTCAGTTCAGCTTTTATTTCAAAAGTAGAGTTTATCTCATGAGAATATCTGAAATAATTTATCTGGACATTTCTTTTTTATATTGGAGCTTCTGCTGTCTCCTTAGTAAAATGTTCCTATATACCACTACTTTGCATCTCTCTTCAAGTCAGAATGTCTTTGCATACATGTCCTTGTCTTTTAATGCTATTTTATGTCAATAGACATAAAGAATGATCTTTTTCACAACAATTTTCTCTCTACTAGCTGTTACCAAAATGTCAGGGATTGACTCTAGGTCCCATTGCTTGCCAAACAGAAAGCTAATCATTGAGACAATGAGTATTTCCAGGGAAGAAGGCTTTATTCTGGTGCTGCAGCTGAGTAGAATGGTAGATAACTGATATGGGTTGGCTGTGTCCCCACCCAAATCTCATCTTGAATTGTAGCTCCCATAATTCCCACATGTTGTGGGAGGGACCTGGTGGGAGAGAATTGAATCATGGGGGCGGTTTCTCTCATACTGTTCTCATGGTAGTGGATAAGTCTCACAAGATCTGATGTTTTATAAGGGGTTTCCCCTTTGGCTTGGCTCTCATTCTCTCTTGTCTGCCACTATGTAAGACGTGGCTTTCACCTTCTGCCATGATTGTGAGGCCTCTCCAGCCATGTGGAACTGTGAGTCCAATAAACCTCTTTTTCTTTATAAATTACCCAGTCTCAGGTGTGTCTTTATTAGCACTGTGAAAACAGGCTAATACCAGGTAGTGGGGCACTGCTGTAAAGATACCTGAAAATGTGGAAGTGACTTTGGAACTGGGTAACAGGCAGACGTAGGGACAGTTTGGGGGGCTCAGAAGAAGATAGGAGGATGTGGGAAAGTTTGGAACTTCCTAGAGACTTGTTGAATGGTTTTCCCCAAAATTCTGATAGTGATATGGACAATAAGGTCCAGGCTGAGGTGATCTCAGATGGAGATGAGGAACTTGTTGGGAACTGGAGTAAAGGTGACCCTTGCTATACAAAGAGACTGGTGGATTTTTGCCCCTGCCCTAGAGATATGGGGAACTTTGAACTTGAGAGAGATGATTTGGGGTATCTGGCAGAAGAAATTTCTAAGTGGCAAAGCATTCAAGAGGAAGCAGAGCAAAAAAGTTTGGAAAATTTGCAACCTGAGGATGCAATAGAAAAGTAAACCTCATTTTCTGGGGAAAAGTTCAAGCAGGCTGCAGAAATTTGCATAAGTAATGAATATTCCAATGTGAATCACCACAACAATGGGGAAAATGTCTCCAGGGCATGTCAGAGACCTTCACAGCAGCCCCTCCCATCACAGGACCGGAGGCCTACGAAGGAAAAATGGTTTCATGGGAAAGATGGTTTCCTGGGCTGGGTCCAGGGCCCTCCTGCTGTGTGCAGCCTAGGGACTTGATTACCTGTGTCCTATCCACTCCAGCCATGGCTAAAAGGGGTCAAGGTATAGCTCGGGCCATGGCTTCAGAGGGTGCAAGCCCAAACCTTGGCAGCTTCCATGTGGTGTTGAATCTGTAGGTGCACAGAAGTTGAAGATTGAGGTTTGGGAACCTCCGACTAGCTTTCAAAGGCTATATGGAAATGCCTGAATTTCTAGCTGCAGGGGTGGGGCCCTCATGGAGAACCTCTGCTAGGGCAGTGTGGCAGGGAAATGTGGAGTTGGAGCCCCCACACAGAGTCCCCACAGGGATGCTGCCTAGTGGAGCTGTGAGAAGAGGGCCACCATCCTCCAGACCCCAGAATGGTAGATCCACCTACAGCTTGCACTGTACACCTAGAAAAGCTGCAAACACTCAAAACCAGCTCATGAAAGCAGCCAGGAGAAGAGCTGTACCCTGCAAAGCCACAGGGGTGGGACTGCTCAAGGCCATGGGATCCCACCTCTTCCATCAGTGCACCTTGGATGTGAGACATGGAGTCAAAGGAGATTATTTCAGAACTCTAAGATTTGACTGCTTTGCTGGATTTCAGACTTGAGTGGGGCCTGTAGCCCTTTTGCTTTGGCCAATTTCTCACATTTGGAATGGCTGTATTTACCCAATGCCTGTACCCCCATTGTATCTAGGAAGTAGCTAACTTGCTTTTAATTTTACAGGCTCATAAGCAGAAGGGACTTGTCTTGTCTCAGATGAGACTTTGGACTGTGGACTTTTGAGTTAATGCTGAAATGAGTTAAGACTTTGGGGGACTGTTGAGAAGGCATGATTGGTTTTGAAATGTGATGACATGAGATTTGGGAAGGGCCAGAGTTGGAATGATATGGTTTGACTGTTTCCCCACCCAAATCTCATTTTGAATTGTAGCTCCCATAATTCCTATGTGTTGTGGGAGGGACCTGGTGAAAGATAATTGAATCAGGGCGGCAGTTTCCTCCACACTGTTCTCATGGTAGTAAGTAAGTCTCATGAGATCTGATGGTTTTATAAGGGGTTTCCCTTTTCACTTGGCTCTCATGTCTCTTGCCTGCTGCCATGTAAGACATGCCTTTCACCTTCTGCCATGATTGCGAGGCCTCCCCAGCCACGTGGAACTGTGAATACATTAAACCTCTTTTTCTTTATAAATTACCCAGGCTAAGGTATATCTTTATCAGCAGCATGAAAATTGACTAACACAATAAGTCTCAAGTCCATCTCCCCAAATTTTAGTATAATTGTAGTCTAATTTTAGTCTCAAAACTGCCTAAAATGAGGGTTTTATATAGCGGGAAGAAATGTAACCATGTGTGTAAGAAAGCATGAATTAGGGTAAGGGAGGAGAGGAGTTCATTGACAGGAAGCAGATGGTCAATGAGGAAGTCATGATGGGTGAGGGGTCTGGTATTTCATTGTCCAGATGCAGTGACGTAGTGAGTTTCAGTCCCTTGATATTATCGGGGAGGCCTGAGTGTTGGTTTGCTGAGAAAGAAACTCAGATAAGACAAATATAACTTTCTCAAGTTTTGAGACTGGGAAGGTAAATTTACCTGTTTATTCAAAGGAAACAATAAATATCAGTTCTATGAGACAGTTGTACAGGTTTAAGCTACATTATTTTCATGAATCAAGTTCTGAGTAGACAACATTTCTGTGTGATTGAGAGGAGTGGATATATGTATAGTGTCAATAATAAACAACTTTGGCAATAAATTTGTCCTAACTGTTCTGTCCCAGTCTGCACCAATGCTTCCTTCAGTTCAATTTTAGATATTTATTCATTTCATGTATTGTTTATAATAGATTATCTAAAAATGAACGTGCCACTAGTAGAGATGACTTTATAATATTTGTATATGAGCTAATATCATAAATTAGAGTGGTCCTGAGGAACTGGTAGGTGTTATAGCAGTAGTTTTTCAACAACAATGGATACAAATGGCAGAATTAAGTTCAGGGTACAATGTGGAGCAGGGGAATAATGGGTACTGAGATGGATGGATAGCACAGAAAAGCTAAAGTATTTAGTAAAAATGATGCACATAATCTTCCCTACTTTATGATTCTGCCTAGGGCCAGGTCTGCTCAGCAACTCAGTATGTTGACTTTATTTCCTGAGAGAGAAACAGAGAGAAGAAAAGAAAGAGGAGGAAAGGAAAAGGAGGAGGAGGAAGAAGAGGAGGAGAAAAGAGAAGAAACTCTGCCCCTAAGTAGTTGTTCACTTCTTTAGGAATTTTTAACCAATGGATCCAAATTACTATATCCTATCCCGAGACTGTGTTTTTGCTTCCCCCTCCCCACTACCCACGACCACATATTATCTTCTGTCTATTATTTAATGAAGAGTTTCTTCAGAAGGGTGTTCTTTTAAATGTAACTGATACAGGAGTGCTGGGTAGGGAAGAACGTGGTCCCTTTAAATGATACGGAACGGGGGAAGGGAAGTGCTGGGTAGAGGAAGGCATAGTCCCTGGCTAGGGCTCTACCACTACAGACCTAGGTGAGGACCGGTATTTCTGTTTTGCTGCCCAAATGTTGCATTTTCCAAGCCCACCCTGGCCCGCCACGCCCCCATCCTGGGCCTATAAAAACCCGAGACCCTAGCAAGGTAGAGACACAAGCTGCTGGACATGAAGAGGAGCAGATCGGTGGGAGAAGACACAAGCAGCTGGATGTCGAGAGGACGTAGAGAGGAGCACGCCGGCGGAAGAGCACACTGACAGACGCCAGCAGGCGGGCAGGCCATCAACCTGTGGCACGAGGCAGAGTTTGGCCGGGGCAGTTGGAGGAGTGCCAGGGCCATAGAGCAGCCCAACTCCAGGGAAAACCATCTGCCTTCTGGCTCACCCATCCGCTGGGAGCTACTTCTACTCAATAAAACTTTGCATTCATTCTCCAAGCCTAGTGTGATATGATTCTTCTGGTGCACCAAGGCAAGAAACTCTGGGATATAGAAATCCCTCTGTCCTTGTGATAAGGAACGGGGTCTAATTGAGCCGACTAACACAAGCCGTCTAAAGATGGCTAAACTAAAAGCACCCTGTAACACATGCCCACTGGGGTTTCAGGAGCTGTAAACATTCACACCAAGACGCTGCCTTGGGGTCGGAGCCCCACAACCTGCCAGTCTGTATGTTCCCCTAGAGGTTTGAGCAGCGGGCCACTGAAGAAGTGAGCCACGCCCCCTGTATCATGCCCTGGCGATGGGGACAGGGGAACCTTTCCTGTTTCATAATTACTTTGCCAGAATGACTTTTGGCAAAGTTATTCTAAGTCTCAAGATTCTTGGCTTCAGGCTGCAAAATTTCCCATCAACATGTACAAAATGTGTATACTAACATAGAAAGCCATAGGCCCTTGGGAGTGTCTATACACATGATGATTAAACAAAAGGATGACATAAGTTAGCTGGCATCGTAACAAAAAGCGTGAAATCATGGAGACAATAAGTAGTTAGCTATGCTTTTTTTTTTTTTTTTTTTTTTTTTTTTTTTTTTAGTTTTGGCTAACAACTGATTTGGCTCTCTGTAGTAATGAACTAATCTCCTCACCACCACCCCACCCCAATAACTGCTAAATATTTATTTCAAGTTGGATAATATTTCTAGGAAATGGATAAGTCTTATGAAATGGGAGGTATTAGTCTTAAAAAGAGGAATATTTTACTTATTTATTTGCACATATATGTCACAGCCTTGGGTCACAGAGTTTCAGTACTACCCTGAAGCTAATCACTGACCCAAAGTAGCAGCTTTGTCCATCAATAGCCAACATGGTAGTAATGGTCCTTGGCATACGAGACGACTATAGTGGTAGAAAAAGAAATAGAGCAGGTGTTTTAAAATCTTAAGAGAGGATGTACTTGATAACAAACATGCTAATATAAATTGTCCTATTATAGGCTGTTCTTTGTTGTCACAGAGAAAATTCTGCCATTTATGCCTACTGAGAACAATGCTTAGTTGTGCTTTTAGCTATTCTATTTTATCTGAACAGTTCGTTCCTTCTCTTCCCCATTTTTTAATGAAGTCTTAGCAACAAATTGACATTATTAACTCACCGTGCCTTGAGAGCAGTTACTGTGAATTCAAATGCATATTTCCTCAATTTAAAATAAAAATGAGAAATATACAAAATGATTATATTTCATTATGCAAATTTATTTTTCTTTCTTGCTAAAAAGATTTGGTTTTCGCCTCTGCTTCAAATGAAACACAAATGAGGCATGAGATCTCCTGTCGCTTTTTCACAGTTGAAAACAACTTTGAGTATTAACATAGTCATTAATATCATATAAAAGCTCTAATTCAGTCAGTTATTGATTTGTGTGGTACCACAAAATAAAGAAATAGTAACTATTTAAAACGGCTTGTAGCAGAACTGTGATAAAAACCACTTTAGACTACTGGCTTGAGCTAAATATACTAAAGATTTCTTTGCTTAACAATATAATCAACAGGTATTAGCTACATGTTGAGGAATTTGAGCTGCTTTTTAAGTTGCTACATGGTTAATAAAACAAGCAGTTTTATTAGGTACAGTTCCATTATTCTCCTTTTCTGGTAAAACACTGTCATGAAGTCAACTATAAACTTAAAATTTATACTGGAAAACTTGAAAGCCACTGTTCCTTGGATGTGACCCAAAGTCATAACCCAGGAATTTATATAAAGAATCTATCCACATTAATCTGTTATTTATGTAAATTTAAACTGGTATATTATTCAGTTCTCACACTGCTATAAAGAACTTCCTGAGGCTGAGCACGGTGGCTCATACCTGTAATCCCAGCAATTTGGGAGGCTGAGGCAGGTGGATTGCTTGAGCCCAGGAATTTGAGACCAGCCTTGGAAACATGGCAAAACCCTGTCTCTATAAAAAAAAAGTAAAAAATTTGCCAGGCATGGTGGTACATGCCTGTAATCCCAGCTACTCAGGAAGCTGAGGTGGAAAGATCGCTTGAGCCTGGGAGGTGTATGTTGCAGTGAGCTGAGATCACACCACTGCACTCCAGGTTGGGCAACTAAGTGAGACCCTGTCTCAAAACAAAACAAGAACTACCTGAAACTGAGTAATTTATAAAGAAAAGAGGTTTAACTGGTTCATAGTTCTACAGCCTGTACGGGAAGCATGGCTAAGGCAGCCTAAGGAAACTTATAATTATGGTGGAAGGTGAAGGGGAAGCAGGCACGTCCTACGGGGATGGAGTGGGAGGAAGAGAGAGCGAAGGGGGGGAAGGTGCTACACACTTTTAAACAACCAGATTTCATGAGAACTCACTCACTATCATGAGAACAGCAAAGAGGAAGTCCGCCGCCAGGATCCAATCACCTCCCACCAGGCCCCTGTTTCAACAGTGGGGATTGCAATTTGACATGAGATTTGTGCAGGAACACAAATCCAAACCATATCATTTGTCATTATGAAAAATGTCACTGTCTTGAAAAGGTGATCTTTTAAAAAAAGTTATATATTGAAATTTTAATTTTAAATTTTTGTGAACCAATTTTTATTTACATTTATTTTAAATTAATGAAATGTGTTAGAATTCATAGTTTTGTGAACATTCTGTCGGTCTTATTTCTATATACAGTTTGCTCTTCCATTATAATACAATAGCATTGCATTTCTAATAGGAAACAACATATTGAAAAATAATTACTTTGCTAAGCATATCAAATGAGCAAATGCAATGCCTTTGAATTTTAGGTATGTGCATTTTTCCTTTGTCAAATATAGCATTGAAAAATTGTCTTGGTATGGCAATATGAGATTACTTTGGATGCTGTAGTAGACTAGTGGTTCTCAAACAGGAGTAATTTTGCCTCCAGGGGATGTTTGGCAAGTGTCTGGGGACATTTTTGGTTGTCACAGGTTGGGGAGATATGCTCCTGGCATCTAGCAGGTAGAGGCTAGAGATGCTTCCAAACATCATATGATGCACAGGATATCTCCCTACAACAGATAATTATCCAGCCCAAAATGTCAATAGTGTTGCTTAATTATGGGTTAAAAAAACCTGTGGTAGAGCAACACTGAACAACAGAAATATATTGTGAGTCACTAAGTAGAACCACATATGTAACTTAAAATTTTCTATTAACCAGCTGGGTGCAGTAGCTCAGGCCTGTAATACCAGCACTTTGGGAGCCCAAGGCGGGTGGATCACGAGGTCAGGAGATCGAGACTATCCTGGGTAACATGGTGAAATCCCGTCTCTACTAAAACACAAAAAATTAGCCAGGAGTGGTGGCAGGCACCTGTAGTCCCAGCTACTTGGGAGGCTAAGGCAGGAGAATGGCGTGAACCCGAGAGGCAGAGCTTGCAGTGAGCCGAGATCGTGCCACTGCACTCTAGCCTGGGTGACAGAGTGAGACTCCATCTCAAAAAAAAAAAAATTTTTTTTCTATTAACCACATTGAAAGAATTTTTTAAAAAAGACGAAATTATTTTAATGATGTATTTTATCTAGCTCAATATATGAAGAATATTATCTCAGTATACATTCAATATATTAAATATATATTTTACATTTTTAATTCCTTCAGAAATCCAAGCCAGTTATGGTTGCTCAACCTGTAATCCCAGTGTTTTGGGAGGACAAGGAGGGAAAATTGCTTCAGATCAGGAGTTTGAGACCAGCCTGGGCAACATAGTGACACTCTCCCTGTACTAAAAATAATAATAATGATAAATATTTTTTAAAAAAGAAATCCAGTGTGTATAAACACCTATAGCACATCTGAATTCAGACTAGCCATATTTCAAGTTCTCAATAGTCACCTGTAGCTAGCGCATACTCTACCGGACCACATTTTATTTACTAAATAGATAGCTTTAGCAACAACTTGCTATATTCCTACTTTTAGGAAGCTTGCCTATATTCCTACCTTTACCACTATTCACCCATATGTTACATATAGAAAAAAAAGATAATAAAGATAATAATGGTCTAAACTGAATTGTGTCACCAAGTGTGACTAGTGTTTTTCTGTGTATCAAAGGATCTTATTAAAATTAACACTTTAATATTAATGTTAAATCTTATCATTAACCGTATCACTTTTTATGAGGTCTAGTTACAAAATCAGAAGGCATATTAAGGGAATGTAGTACAACATCTATTTCAGTTCAGCAATTCTTAAGCTTACAATATCACAACTTTTGTGCTATAGCTTCCTTATCACAGCCCAAAGTCAGTTTGTTAAGACTAAAGAGGGGAGGTTGCTTTTCTGGAACTCCTGGCCTCAAGCGATCCTCTCACTTCAGCCTCCCAAAGCATAGGGGAGTTTGCTTTTCTAAGAATAATCCTGAATATTACTTTTAATTTACTTGAAGCAATTCTTGTAAATTAAGATATATTTAAGTCGACTTCTCTCTTTTAATGTTAAGTACACTGTTCCTGACTGGCTGTGGTTTGCTTCCATTTAACATGACACTGGAGTGCTCACTTGTGTTTTCCTCAGGACGATGAGTCTGTAGTTGGTGACTTAGACACGACACTATTAGGTCAAAATACTCCCAATTTTTTTAGCACAATTATTATGTAACTAACTGTGCTCCAGGCAATTAGGCAATAAATTTGAGTTATTGGATGAATGGCCAGACAGTGCTAACCAGAATTCTGATGGAAGATTATAGAAAGTTGGATGGAAGTTCACCTTTCCTTACCCTTTTTCCCCCAAAAAAATTAATATAAGGTTATCATAAATATAAAATAAACATAACAGATATCATTGTAATTGCTACTTTAAAGCAATAAAACACCTTCAAAATAGTATTTTGCTTTGCAGAAAACATAAGTAAATTTTTGAAATGATTGATTAACTATTATTGAAAATTGTTATACTACTACATATGGTATCTAGGGTGAATTTGAAGGATACATACTAGTTAATTAAGTAACTTATTCTTATTTTCGTGATCTTCCTCACATGGAATATTTCTCAAATGGCCAGGAATTATGGGGAATTTGTGTTTCTGCTTTGAAAAGGCAGCACTAACCCTTGCAAATTTGAGATGTACTTGATATAACAACAAAGTATTTCAATTTCTCTAAAACACATTAAGAAGGTTCTCAACTCACAAAAGATGAGAATCTTAGAATTGAAAAGAACAGATTGTCAAATGAAACATGATAGTAGGTGGTGGAATTTGTTTAAATATAGATATCTACTCTTCAATAATTGTTGCTGAAAATGCACCATCTGCTTTAAAAGAATAATCATTTGTGGCATATCTTGTTAATATACTCATGCAAAGGAATAAGCTTATTTTTGAAAATTCAATTACTTAGACTCATTGATTAAGCATATTTGGCCAGTGTGTTAGGGCAGTATTAGAAAAATTCCAGTGAGATACATGGTGTGTCTTTCTGCCAGGTGGTCCTCTACGATCTGGTTAGGAATGACTACTTCATTCCTTCAGAATTATTTGGTGCCAAGATATAAGAAATGTCTTGTAAAGGAGAATAAATGATATGAGGTATATTATTTGCCAAATGGATGCCTTAATGTTTAGAATATTCTGGGGGAGATGTATTGTTGGAGCTTAGCAAATATCTGCTAAGTAGTCTATGTATATCCATAGTGTTCTTTACTAGAAAAAATGAAATGGTTTCTGTTTTATAAGTATGTAATCAAGAAGAATGGAATAGATGATATTAATTTGCTTTATATTCTAAAAATAATGTTAATAAAATGTATTATTTTTAATTTACTGGACAGATTATAAAACTTTGCAATAATCCTCCACTAACTTTTGATACCTGACTTCCAACACCTATTAATTTTGCTGTTCTTCTGCCTGTTACCACTTTATAATTATAACAATATTTTACTTTATAAGTAATATATTCATTTTTCACAATATGTAAAATATGTTCTAAGTAGATAATAATATTAGGTACTGAATATTTTGGCCTGTTATTTTAAAACTCACCTAAATAGCTTCTCTTCTTGAAAACTTTTAAAATTCCTTCTCAATTAAATATGATTGATTCTCATTCTGTAGTATGGAAGTTATTAATTTTATCTTTAATTTCTTCGGCATGCATTTTTATTTAATTTCACTCTACACCATACTCTTCAGAAGATAAGCACCCTTAAGAGAAGAGACCCTCTTTTATTCTTCTATATAATTTTTATCAAATCTAACAGGTGTTCTTTATAGTAGAGTCTCAACTAATGTTGGTTTCAATTAAATACTATATACTTTTATTTATTTTGAGATTATGACTCTCATGTATTAAGGAAGGAATTTAGTACACAACTCATGTTTCACAGAGAAACCAACACGATGGAATTTTCCATTTATGTGGTTGACACTTTTATATTTGTTCCATGTGGCATGTGCTCTTTCTATCACATTTCTCACCTTAATTAGTTGATAATGTCACCAAATGGTTTTGGCTATATCAGAACAGGTATGTGTAGGAAGTAGCTAAAATTCTTTTATGAATACTCACAAATGCCACTTGAGTTTCTAACATTGGCATTAGGGGAAAATAGAACATCTAAGTTAGTAAGAAAAAGGAAGATACCCTCCCTGGTAGGCTGCAAACGAATGGACTTAGGATAATGCAGTGTTTCCCTTAAGAAACACAGCTGCCTAGTTTCAGTATTTTATATATATTTTATATATATATATATGTGTGTGTGTGTGTGTGTATACACACACACATATATATGCATACACATGTAATTACATATATGTAACTTATCTCACCTTGATTATTTCTCACTTAAAAAAATTTCTAGCACATTCAAGTCTAGCCTACATCTGAAGAGTTGGTTATACTACCAAACATTAAAGAATTTTAAAAATAAATTTATATTACTTAAGCTATCTACAGCAACTAAAGTTAACCTCCAGGCATTAACTGGAAGACTGGTCTCTGCTTACTAAAATAGAGCAAGCTTGGAGGCACTAGATTTTTATTCTTATCTTACTTCACTTAGTACCTGTATGATCTTGGCAAGATATTTAACCCGTGTCTTGGTTTTCACATCTATAAAGTCGAAGATTCAGGTGTCTTAGGCTTTAATGTGTCTTCACTCTGAATATGTTAGTGTGCAGTTGTGTTTGTGAAGATGACATCCTTGGCTTAATGCCCTCTTATACTACTTATTAGCTCTTTTACCTTGCAGAAGTTATTTAGTATGCACAAGACTCAGTCTTGTCATTTCCACAAGAGTTATTGTTACTGAAATGCCAGGAGTTCAGTCGAGGTTCTGCTGCTTGTTGCACAGAAAGCTAATCACTGAGACAACAAGTATTGTCATAAAGGAGGCTTTATTAGGCTGCTGCAGCTGAGGAGAACAGGAGATCCGTCTCAAATCTGTCTCCCTGATGCACTAAAATTAAAGGTTTATATAGCAGAGAAGAAATGGAACTGTGTGTTAGAAAACAGGAATGAGGGAGGGGTAAGAAAGAGGAGTTGGTCCACAGGAAGCAGGTCGTCAATTAGGCAATCATGATGGATGAGGAGTCTGGCATCTTATTGGCCAGATGAGATGATCTGGTATGTTTCGGTTCCTTGGTACTATCTGGAAGGTCTGAGGGTCGGTTTCCTGAGAAAGAAACTCAGATACAACAACTTTAACTTTCTGAAAATTTAAGACTGGGAGGATCAATTTGCATGTTTATTCAAAAGAAACCATTAACATCAGCTTTATGGGACAATTGGGTCAGTTTCAGTATAATAATAGACATGTGTTATAAGGATTAAATAAAAACCTGGATACAAAGTGCTTGATACATAAAATTTCTCAAGTTTTAACTATTATACTGAGAGTATTTCAAGCTAACAAAGCTCTAAATATTCCTGTTGTTTAGTTTTAGAATAGACTCTTCTATTTGCAATAATGAATGTAAACTCTTCTGGTTCAACTTCCTTAATTGTGTTCTAAAACTAGATATAAAAATAAAAGGAAAATATGTAGTATATTTTATTATATATTCTTTATCGTATGGAGAGATGACTTCTAAACATACACTGTGTTGAGAGCTAACATTATTAAGAAAAATACAATTTGAGGAATTTTGGAATACTTCAAATCTTTGCTCATAAGAAGTTTATAATCCAAGTATCAAGACAAGAAGAAAATAATAAAATGAGTGTAATTCAAAGTAATTGATGACAAATACAGATATTAGTAATTACTGAACTTTGGACAAAGGGTAATATAGTATGTGCTATGGCAATGAGAAAAAAAAAAAAACAAACTTAGGAGCCTTCAAGAAAACATTGACCAAAGGATGGAATCACAACAAATAGTAATGAAATGGGAGAATAGCATGAGTGGGACATGAATGAAAAAGACTATTATGTATTTACGGACAATGGATGAATTAGTCTGGAGATTTTAAGGAGATAAAGGTAATAAATATGATGAAATTGAGACCTTTTTAAAGTACCAGTTGAAGAACTAAGACTATTTCTTCCCAAGAGGGAAATAGAAACCATGGAACATTAACTAGCTCTCTCCTCTCTGGCAAAAATTCAAGAAACAAAACAAAACAAAACAAAACAAAACAAAACAAAACAAAACAAAACAACTTTCCAAAACAAGCTGAATAGAATATATATTAATTAAAAGTGTTTTCAGGGCCAGGCGTGGTGGCTCACGCCTGTAATCCAAGCACTTTGGCAGGCCAAGGGGGGTGGATCACAAGGTCAAGAGATTGAGACCATCCTGGCCAACATGGTGAAACCCTGTCTCTACTAAAAATACAAAAATTAGCTGGGCGTGGTGGCAGTCTCGGCTACTCGGGAGGCTGAGGCAGGAGAATCGGTTGAAACCAGGAGGCGGAGGTTGCAGTGAGTCAAGACCATGCCACTGCACTCCAGCCTGGTGACAGAGCGAGACTCTGTCTCAAAAAAAAAAGTGTTTTGGAAATATTCATATTATTGTGTGCATTATTATCTGACATTAAAAATTCTTTTTTTTTTTGTCCTCAAGTGCATTTAAAATTTAAATGCTTTCAAACAGAGAGGCAGTTTATAAATCTAGAACCAATATGTGGAGTATGCCTTTTTCATTGAAGAGTAAGTGAGATGGTACATAATTGTGTTCATAATATTCATTCCCAACTGCTAAAGAAGAATTTGACTTAGGGAAATCAGTTAACTGGGGACAATGTTGGTGATGTTTCTCATATAGTGAAAACATTGCTATTGTTAGCAGAATAATATAAAAAATACCTATATCTAACAAATTCATCCAGTCACTTAATTTATGCCTTACCACAGAGTAATATGCCAAAAATAAGATGAGCATAATTCTTTGATAATTTCACTGTGATTCCATCTTATAAAATGTAATTTATCTTTCCTTTTTAAAGTTGAAATGTCTACGTGAATGAAATTATTTTCTCTTCAAGGCAAAAACTCATATTGTGTGTATTTTACGTGTATTTCTACAAATACAGTAATAATCATAGATATGTCAACAAAGCACAGTTTGGAAATGTAAAATACATACATAAATGTGTGTGTGTGTGTGTGTGTGTGTGTGTGTGTGTGTAGTTTCTAACAACATATTTTCATCTTTGGAAGTACTGAAAGAAGTATATAATTCACAAAAATATTTATTTTTTTCACTATAGTTTACATGAGCAGAGCACATCTGAATTACTATGTTTTAAGCTATATATATTGACAAGTATATTGTTACAATCACAAACTGATTAAAACGTATTATTCTTATTATCATCTCTAGAATATATAAACACCACAAATTAAAAATTTTCTTAATATATATATGTTGGCACATTACTGTATGTATAATACTGTCTTAAGTATATATAACAGGTACTTTAAAAACACTTTCCAAAATACTACTGGCTGGCAAATGTTTTTCCATCATAACAAAAGTGAGAAACCAGAAACTTGTTCTATTGAGAGTTAGTAGAATTCTTGTGGAAAATAACATGGTTTAGTAAGTGAATTGAAGGATACTTTAATATCAACTGTGTAATTTGGAAATATGTAACCTTGAGCAGGTCATTTAATATTTCTAAGCCTTAGTTCCCTCAGTTGAAAAGTAAGGTCTAGGGGGTTAAAAAGGTTCAAATATGCCTTATAAAATTAATATTTCACAGGCCAGGTGCAGTGGCTCACGCCTGTAATCCCAGCACTTTGGGAAGCCGAGGCGGGTGGATCACCTGAGGTCAGGAGTTGGGCACCAGTCTGGCCAACATGGCAAAACCTAAAAATACAAAATTTAGCTGAGCATAGTGGCGTCTCTACTAAAAATACAAAAATTAGCTGGGTGTGGTGGTGGACACTTCTAATCCCTGCTACTCAGGAGGCTGAGGCAGGAGAATCGCTTGAACCCAGGAGGTGAACATTGCAGTGAGCCGAGATTGCACCACTGCACTACAGCCTGGGTGACAGAGCAAAACTCTGTCTCGAAAAGTAAATAAATAAAAAATAAAAAAATAAATAAATTAACATTTCCTATAAACATAATATTATCTATTATTCCAGTGACTCTCTTATTAATGTAACTAAGGATTTATGTTATCTTTATATAAATAAGGCACTTTCCTTTTAAATCCTTATAAAATGTATACTTTGTTATTTTTAACAGAATCTAAATGGTTTATTATAAAATTTCTTTTAGAACACAGGTCCATGACAAAGCTTTTCCTAAAATATGAAATTTTCCATTATGCTAGTTCATCCTTGTTGGTGCATCAAAAATATATATATATATATACTGTATATACAATTTACATATATATTTACTTTTACTTATATTTTACATATATATATTTATATATATATACACACACTTTTGGAATACTAATTTTATTAAGTTAATATGATTTTAACCCTGAAAAGAAACAAATTAAGGGAAAAAAAATCAAAACTTTTAGAGCCCAGTAATAAATTATATATGTAGTGTTGATTCCTCAATTTTGTATGGTATTACGTTTCCTTTTGTATAATGATGCTACCTTAAAAATCAGAGAAAAAATGGTGAATTTCCATGAAATCAAAAAACATTCTTTTTAGTTTCCATTTTATTAAAATTTAACCAGTATTGTTAAGCATTCTACTCTCAATTTATTTATAATTCTAACATTTTCATTTTTCCCTATGATCTTTGGATCAAATATGTTTAATTTTCCTCATGGGCTAAATATTAATATTTGCAAATACCATGTGAAACACAAAAATATTTGGTTTTGATGAAGATCTCTACCAATATTTCAGGATAAAATATTAAATGAGAGGTTTCCTCTATGTAGATACCCCCATGATGTTGTGAAACTTAATTCTTGAATGCAAAATAAATTTTGCATTTTCTGATAAAACGTTGTAAATTTCAGTTATGTACATAGCAATTCACTATACTGCAAACGTTCGTAAGATGTAGTCTAATCTTAAAACAAGAAAATATTTTTATTTTCATGTAATACATTACAAATATACATATAAAATTGCAAATTACATATGCAAATATATGGAAATATTTGAATTTGGATATTTAGATATTACAAATATCTCCAAGAAAGGGCCTGACTTTCTGACATTTTGGAAAGGAATGCTGAAGAGAGAGTGACAAGAAGGCTATGAAGATAAATTGGAACTTTTTACAATTGTATTGGTTTCAGGGAAACCAGCCCCCAATATTTCAATGTACGTTCTTTTCTATTTTCCCTAAGTGTCGGCCGGTCTGAGAAATAAAGAGAAAGAGTACAAAAGAGAGAAATTTTACAGCTGGGCCTCCGGGCATGACATCACCTATTGGTAGGTTCCGTGATGCCCACCTGAGCTGCAAAACCAGCAAGTTTTTATTGGGGATTTCAAAAGGGGAGGGGTGTATGAATAGGGAGTAGGTCACAGGGATCACATGCTTCAGAGGGCAATAAAAGATCACAAGGCAGAGGGCGAAATTAGAATTACTGATGAGGTTCCATGTCCCGCTGGGCATGCATTGTTTTGATAAACATCTTAACAGGAAACAGGGTTCAAGAGCAGACAACCGGTCTGACTAGAATTCACCAGGCTGGAATTTCCCAATCCTGGTAAGCCTGAGGGCATTGCAGGAGACCAAGGCATATTTCATCCCTTATCTTCAACTGCATAAGACAGACACTCCGAGAGCAGTCATCTGTAGGCCTACCCCTGGGAATGCATTCCTTCCCCAGGGTTATTCCTTGCAGGGAAAAGAATTCAGCGATATTTCTCCTATTTGCTTTCTGCAAGAAGGAAAATATGACTCTGTTCTGCCCGGCCTCACAGGCAGTCAGACCTTATGGTTATCTCCCTTGTTCCCTGAAAATCGCTGTTATCTTGTTCTTTTTCAGGATGCCCAGATTTCATATCATTCAAACACACATGTTTAACAAACAACTTGTACAGTTAATGCAATCATCACAGGGTCCTGAGGTGACATACGTCCTCAGCTTAGGAAGATCACGGGATTAAGAGATAAGTAAAGACAGGCATAGGAAATTATAACAGTATTGATTGGGGAAGTTACAAAAATGTCCATGAAATCTTCATAATTTATGTCCAGAGATTGCAGTAAAGACAGGCATAAGAAATTATAAAAGTATTAATTTTGGGAACTGATAAATGTCCATGAAATCTTGACAATTTATGTTCTTCTGCTGCGGCTTCAGCTGGTCCCTTCTTTCGGGGTCCCTGATTTCCCGCAGCATATTGGTAGTCTTTTCTACTTTTCCTATGTATATAACCAGTGATGGCCTGTAGCAGCTCACGAGTACTGGTTGTTTACATCTTTCCACAATTCCATAGCGTGAAATCAGCCATGGAGGGAATACAAAAGAAACTAATCAGAGTCAGTTTTTTTTTCCTTCTTTCTTTCTTTTTCTTTCTTTCTTCCTTCCTTCCTTCCTTCCTTCTTTCCTTCCTTTCTTCCTTTCTTTTTCTTTCTTTTTTCTTTCTTTCCTTTCCTTTCTTCTTTCTTTCCTTCCTTCCTTCTTTCTTTCTTTCTTTTTCTTTTTCCCTTCCTTCCCTTCCCTCCCTTCCCTCTCTTCCCTCCCCTCCCCTTCTTTCCTTCCTTCCTTCCTCTCTTTCTTTCTTTCTTTATTTCTTTCTTTCTTTCTTCCTTCCTTTCTCTCTCTCTCTCTCTCTCTCTCTCTCTCTTTCTCTCTCTCTCTCTCTGTACAGCTTGTTGTTAAACATTCCCAGTACACCACTTAATATATCCAACTGGATATATCCAGCATTTTCCAGGCTTAATATCTCATGATTTCTCTTTTCCATTCATGCCACTTAATGCTCAGAACTATCCCAGAATTTAAAAAGAACAAATAAATAATATTAGATAATACCTTGCTTCACAAGATTACAATAGCTTGGGAAGCAGAGACACATGAGACACTGATGAAGGAAATTCAGGTACGCTCAGGCTTAGGAAATAAACTAACTGATTGGGGTTAGAAAATCCCACTGGACAATGTGGAAATCATGGATTAAAAAGTGGTTTGCCAGACCTGATTCGAATTTTTAGCAAAAACTTGCAGAGATGGAGGGAAAACAAATTGTTTGTTTGAGTTATCAGGGTTTTTACACATCCCACCAAACTATTAGGTTATATTGGAAAAATAATTTCTTCCCAATTTACATTTGAATCAATAATTGAGGTGGGTATTACATAGTAGGTATGAGACCTAAGTAGATCTAGCTGTGAGTAGCTATGGAAGAAAAATTAAGGTAAGTAGATATGAGTCAATTACATTCCTTATTTGTCATCTTAATTGATCCCAAACACTCTTCCCCTACCCACATCCAAAATTCGTATTGATGTAACAAATTAGACATCAAACAGATGCATTAAAAGTGGAAGAGAGATAGCATAGAAAAGAGCAGCCATTAAGGTTGAACAGTTTCCATGTGGGCAGGAATGTTTAATGGTGTTTTATTCATTTCTCTCCAGATCTGGACACATGAAACTTTGGGTTATAACCTCTGAATTCAGGAATAAATACATGCTCTGTTTAGATATATGAAGGGAGAAGATCATACAATTTTGAGGAATGAGAAAGAGACTATTTGATGGCCTAAAATTGTCTAGCCTTCTGCTAGACTCTAAAAATAAGAGGAAGTGTGCTAGGATTTAAAGCATGTGGTATGGGTGGACCACATACCAATAGCTCATTTTAGGCTCCAGTGGTTCTTATCAGTTTTAGAGGTCACAGGCATCTTACAACATCAAAAAATTATGAACTTCTTTTATGGAAAAATTCATATGCATACTTTTTTGCATGCAGTGTCAGGGTATGTATGGATCATCCACAGAATTCATGTTAAGACTATATGCACTAAGCCTTAAGGGTTTCATCTTGCTTGTCATGTAAGACTGATCAGCATATAGTTTTCTGGAAAAAAAGTTTGTATCAGATGATTTCATAAACTTCAGAAAGGGACCGGTAACATAACAAGTTGAAACAGGAAGACAAGTAAACCCCAATATCCTTATCTTTATTATATAAAATACATGTTTTGCTTGTCTTGTATTAAAAACATACTGATAAGGGTGTCCAGGTTCTTAAGACTGACCATATTGCATCTGAATTAAACTATGTCCAAAGTCAAGGACCATAGTCATCAGCAGCTCTGCTAAGTTACCCTTAATGATTTCTACTACTTTCTACATCTGTATTCCTGACCTTAATTTCTCCTGCATTCAGTGACTCTTCCATCTCTCAAGTTTATTTTCAATCTCTTCCTTAACTGCAGCTATTTTCTTTCAGTTTATAGACATGTGCATTTTTTCCATTGTTAATGTAATAACAATAATAAATTTGTGTCCTACAACTCTCTTTGTTTGACAATTCCTTAACTCTCTCAACCCTTTTCACAGTGAAATATTGGGTCTTTAGTAAGCCAGTAAACAACACTTAAGGTTTCTCCTCCACAATTTATAGCACATTGATAAATAAGCATACAATATACATAACTGATAATCTGGTCATATTTCTCCTCTTCTTAGAAATGATCAGTGATTTATTATCACTTTGGCATTGCTTACAAGGCCATCCAAAACATTGCCTCTGTTCACCTTGCCTGTTTCATCTCACCAATCAGCAATCCACCTACCTCACCTAGCCAAAATTTACAGAATTCAGAGAACTGCTCTTTGTTGTTCAGTTGGACACATTTTTTTTTAAAAGTGCAATGCTCTCTGTACCTCTCTTTGCGTATGAAATTATCTGTTCTCATACATAGATTCTTGGACTTTTTCATGCATGGACTTCTTTGATGGGCTGGTGAAGCCCATGAATTCTTTCTCAGTATAATGCTTTTAAATGCATAAAGTAAAATATGCAGGAAGCTGGTAATATTGAAAGAGAGTTATCAAAATACAAAAATATGTGACATAATTACATGTCTTTCGTTAACATATTAAATAACAAGATCTAGAGGCAGATCTAATAACTGTCATAATTTCAAGTAGTAATAAGCATTAAGTGATATGAAAATACATATATTGGCTGGGCGCAGTGGCTCAAGCCTGTAATCCCAGCACTCTGGGAGGCTGAGGTGGGCAGATCACCTGAGGTCGGGAGTTCAAGACCAGCCTGACCAACATGGAGAACCCCGTCTCTACTAAAAATACAAAATTAGCCGGGCGTGGTGGCACATGCCTGTAATCCCAGCTACTCGGGAGGCTGAGGGAGGAGAATCGCTTGAACCCGGGAGGCGGAGGTTGCAGTGAGCCATGATCGCACCATTGCACTCCTCCAGCCTGGGCAACAAGAGCGAAACTCCACCTCAAAAAAAAAAAAAAAGAGAAAAGAAAAGAAAATACATATATTTTCTAATATTAATATGATGCTGGTACTGTTAGTACTATGGTGGCATGTGTCTACATTCATAATTAATTGCAAAATTTGATTAGACATTGATTGTGTTTTTTCTGCAACCAAATTACCAGACTTCTGAATCCTATCCCAGGATATCTGTTGACCCGAGGTAGAACTTTATGTCTCTCTTGGAGCCTTCTCTGACTTCCCATTTTTAGATTAGGTATGCAACCCTGAAACAGTCATAAATTTTTAGTCAGCAGTAATGATCCCACTGTAATTATTAATTTAATGTTGATACTTCTAGGAGTCTTAGAGAAAGGGGCAATTTTTTAATCTTTTTTATGAATATTTTTTCAGCTCCGTTCATACATGAAGAGTATGTGAATGAATAAAAGAACAAATACATAGAAATTTGTGGCTCACTGACTATTGATTCCCACTCATAGTAAAAGGAAAAAAAATATGAAGATATTTTTATTTTCCTGGTAGTTGTCTTTTGGTCTTTCCTTTTTTTCTGCATGAGTAAAATCATTAGAGATCAATAATGGTAGGTTTTTCAAACATAGCAGTGATAATATGAATACTTTATTAAGGAAAACTCAATCTGAACCTCACAATATTCTAAAGTGAAAAATGCGTAACAGCGAAAGAATTCAATACACAGAAAACTGGATAATTTCTATAAAATCATAGCTTTAAAATCTGTCAAAAATGCCTATACATTATTCCTTCTCAGAGATCCTCAAAATTTGTTGATATCAATTTATCAGGACTCCCCATGGACTTTAGCTAGAAGAGAAATACAGACTTTGAACTTTTATTTATTACTTCAAGATCTTTCTTACTATTTCTCACAGTAATACCTTGGATCTTATTCTACTTCCTCACTTCAGCCATTCTGAGGTAGAGCCAGCACTAAAAGTTGGTGGGTTTGGGGTAGAAAAGTACAGTTATCTAATACCAAACAGTTGTTTAATAAATAGTAGTTTATTTTCCTTTCCATTTCTACAGTGGTGGCTTCTCTAAATTGTCTGCTTGCAGTTTTCCTACTCAGCATATTTACCAGAACTTTCCTTGCCACAAGATGTATATATTTATAATAATTAAAATGATATATTCAGAGATTCGACTTCTTCCTGGTTTAGTCTTGGGAGAGTGTATGTGTCGAGGAATTTATCCATTTCTTCTAGATTTTCTAGTTTATTTGCGTAGAGGTGTTTGTAGTATTCTCTGGTGGTAGTTTGTATTTCTGTGGGATCGGTGGTGATATCCCCTTTATCATTTTTTATTGCGTCTATTAGATTCTTCTCTCTTTTTTTTTTTATTAGTCTTGCTAGCAGTCTATCAATTTTGTTGACCCTTTCAAAAAACCAGCTCCTGGATTCATTAATTTTTGAAGGGTTTTTTGTGTCTCTATGTCCTTCAGTTCTGCTCTGATTTTAGTTATTTCTTGCCTTCTGCTAGCTTTTGAATGTGTTTGCTCTTGCTTTTCTAGTTCTTTTAATTGTGATGTTAGGGTGTCAATTTTGGATCTTTCCTGCTTTCTCTTGTGGGCATTTAGTGCTCTAAATTTCCCTCTACACACTGCTTTGAATGCATCCCAGAGATTCTGGTATGTTGTGTCTTTGTTCTCATTGGTTTCAAAGAACATCTTTATTTCTGCCTTCATTTCGTTATGTACCCAGTAGTCATTCAGGAGCAGGTTGTTCAGTTTCCATGCAGTTGAGCGGTTTTGAGTGAGATTCTTACCTGACTTCAAACTATACTACAAGGCTACAGTAACCAAAACAGCATGGTACTGGTACCAAAACAGAGATATAGATCAATGGAACAGAACAGAGCCCTCAGAAATAACGCCGCATATCTACAACTATCTGATCTTTGACAAACCTGAGAAAAACAAGCAATGGGGAAAGGATTCCCTGTTTAATAAATGGTGCTGGGAAAACTGGCTAGCCATATGTAGAAAGCTGAAACTGGATCCCTTCCTTACACCTTATACAAAAATCAATTCAAGATGGATTAAAGACTTAAACGTTAGACCTAAAACCATAAAAACCCTAGAAGAAAACCTAGGCATTACCATTCAGGACATAGGCATGGGCAAGGACTTCATGTCTAAAACACCAAAAGCAATGGCAACAAAAGCCAAAATTGACAAATGGGATCTAATTAAACTAAAGAGCTTCTGCACAGCAAAAGAAACTACCATCAGAGTGAACAGGCAACCTACAAAATGGGAGAAAATTTTCGCAACCTACTCATCTGACAAAGGGCTAATATCCAGAATCTACAATGAACTCAAACAAATTTACAAGAAAAAAACAAACAACCCCATCAAAAAGTGGGCGAAGGACATGAACAGACACTTCTCAAAAGAAGACATTTATGCAGCCAAAAGACACATGAAAAAATGCTCATCATCACTGGCCATCAGAGAAATGCAAATCAAAACCACAATGAGATACCATCTCACACCAGTTAGAATGGCGATCATTAAAAAGTCAGGAAACAACAGGTGCTGGAGAGGATGTGGAGAAATTGGAACACTTTTACACTGTTGGTGGGACTGTAAACTAGTTCACCCATTGTGGAAGTCAGTGTGGCGATTCCTCAGGGATCTAGAACTGGAAATACCATTTGACCCAGCCATCCCATTACTGGGTATATACCCAAAGGACTATAAATCATGCTGCTATAAAGACACATGCACACATATGTTTATTGGCGGCATTATTCACAATAGCAAAGACTTGGAACCAACCCAAATGTCCAACAATGATAGACTGGATTAAGAAAATGTGGCACATATACACCATGGAATACTATGCAGCCATAAAAAATGATGAGTTCATGTCCTTTGTAGGGACATGGATGAAATTGGAAAACATCATTCTCAGTAAACTATCGCAAGAACAAAAAACCAAACACCGCATATTCTCACTCATAGGTGGGAATTGAACAGTGAGATCACATGGACACAGGAAGGGGAATATCACACTCTGGGGACTGTTGTGGGGTGGGGGGACGGGGGAGGGATAGCATTGGGAGATATACCTAATGCTAGATGACGAGTTACTGGGTGCAGTGCACCAGCATGGCACATGTATACATATGTAACTAACCTGCACATTGTGCACATGTATCCTAAAACTTAAAGTATAATTAAAAAAAAAACAAAAAAAATAAAATAAAAAGAATAAAATGATATAATCCCCATAAAACAGTAGGTTAGTTTAAAATAATTACAATGGTAGCTTAAGAGCCTATCACTGATGGCTTTCAGCATTCCTGTTTATCTAATTTTTAAAATAAATGCAGCATCACAAATATTCTTGATGGCACAGAGGAGGTTAAAATATAAAAAAGAAAGAACATTGATGACTTTGAATTAAAAGTAAAATTATATATGATAATGATGCATCTTAAAATCAATGACACTATGATGAACTATGATATATGTATTAATCTGCCTGTGTTACTATAAAGAAATACCTAAGACTGGGTATTTTATAAAGAAAAGAAGTTTAATTGGCTCATGGTTCTGCAGGCTTTATAGGAAGCGTGGTGCTGGCCTCTGCTTCTGGTGAGGCCTCAGGAAGCTCACAGTCATGGCGGAAGGCAACGGGGAGCCAGCATATCACATGGTGAGAATGGGAGCAAGAGAGTGAGGTGGGGGAGGTCCCCAACTTTAAAAAAAGTAGATCTCATGTGAACTAACTGGGTGAGAACTCACTTATCCCCAAGGGGATGGTGCTAAATTATTCATGAGGGATCCCTTCTCATGATCCAGTCACCTCCCACCAGACTCCACCTCCAACATTGGGAATCACATTTCACCATGAGAACTGGAGGGAACAAATATCCAAGTCATATCAACATACAATTAGTAAAATCATTATTGACCTCTCTACTGTGAAAGATGAGGATATCAGCAGATCACTTTTCATCTGTACTTCCTAATAATAGTAATAATTATTATTATCATTATTATTTGGAAACGGAATCTCACTCTGTTGCCAGGCTGGAGTGCCGTGGTGCAATCTCAGCTCACTGCAACTTCTGCCTCCCGGGTTCAAGAGATTCTCCTGCCTCAGCCTCCCGAGTAGCTGGGACTACAGATGCGCACCACCATGCCCAGCTAATTTTGTATTTTTAGTAGAGACAGGGTTTCACCATGTTGCCCAGGATGGTCTCGATCTCTTGATCTCGTGATCTGCCTGCTTCAGCCTCCCAAAGTGCTGGGATTACAGGTGTGAGCCACTGCGTCCGGCCAAGAATAATTTTTATATTATGTGTAACATAAGCTCTGTGATACATACTTTTAAGTAATAACAATTAAGTTCTTGATTTGTCAAAGTAAACTTTATGTTTTACTTCTCTCTATGGAAAACAGTGAAATTGTCATAGTTATGCTTTCTCATGCCCCATATCATAAATGTTGGCTTGTTATTAGGTGGAAGCATATGGAAGTGCTCATTTCCCAGATCAAAAACAATCAACTGTTGACAATTTCATATAGCGCAACCTAATATTTATCATTTTTATATTTTTAAGTTTTTATAATTTTAACTTACAGAACCATATTTCACACACAGCCTGAGGGATTTATATACATTTAGTAATTACCCCTTTGTAAAATCTACATCCATTCTTCAATCATCTCATCTTTTCTATGGGCATCTAGGGCAAGTATTTTTGTCTTCAAATATGGAGTGAATCAGCATTTTCTCACATAACTTTTTCTAGAACTTAGTCATATGATGACAACTGGGTTCAAGCAAGGCTAGGAAGTATATTCTTAAGTTGGGTGGCAATGTGCCTAGCTTAAACTAAGATGTTTGCTTTTGAAATAAAGACGATGGGAAGAGATATTTGAGGACAATTAGCAGTCTCTGACACAGATACTGTCTAATTCTTGATTGATAGAGCTCCAAAATTTACGTAATTGTGCTAACAGTTTGTATTGATTGCTTAAGAGAGAAATGAGTCTATAATTTCTAAGGAACTAGAGAGAATTAAAAAACAGGCAATTATAACAAAAATCTTGATAAATCAAACTAGAAAAGAGAAAAATAAGAGGGAACAAAAGGTGTAAAATTCAAATCACAAACAGAAAACTGAAAACATTATGGTATAAATTGGACTAAACCAGTAATAAAAATTTACTAAATAGTCTTGAAGAGATACAAATCCGTATAATGACGCTATATGGCTAAAAATACAGAGAGAGATATGACAGATTTTTAAAGTAATAATATAGTCAGATCATTAGTGATATAATCAGGCAGGGTGAAATTTAAGTTTAAAGTCATTTATTGACATAACTGGGAATATTTTGTCTTGTTAAGTAACATGACCCATTAAGAATCTTTCTCTCTCTCCCTCTCTGTCTCTCTCTCTCTATATATGTACATATTGTATATATACTATATATGTATATAGTTTTCATAATTTTAAGTAATAACAATTATACACGTTTAAGTAATAACAATTACTTAAAATTAAAAGTATAATAAAATTATATACGTGTATATATAATATGTATACATATATACGTGTATATATAATATGCACGTATATATGTATATATGTATATATAATATATATTCAATATAATTAGTCATAGAACAAGATAATGTTAAATCACAATATAAAGGAAAATATTCTCTAAAAATACTGAAAATGGACAAATTCAGAATCATAAAGGGAGTCCCTAATATTTTTCCTCTCAGAGATCAAGTAAAAAAAAAGATTAAATTAAAATAGAAATTTTGAATAAGAGAATTAACAAGCTTAATCAAATAGATGCATAGAGAACATTATATCCAAGGAACAGTAACTATACATTGTCAAGTTGTTCTGACACACATCCAAAAAGTAAGTGTATTATAACCCAGAAAGAAAATTAAAATTTATTTAAAATAAAAAAGTCATATAGGTCATTTTCTGTGAGTTCTTTACAATAAAGCAAGAATTGAAAAAAAAAACCAAGTTATCCATTTGACTCCAAAGATAAAGTTATATTTAGAAAAATATAAACTGTAATGAAAGGCCAGGCACAGTGGCTCATGCCTGTAATCCCAACATTTTGTAAGGCTGAGGTGGGAGAATCACTTGAGGCCAAGAGTTCAAGACCAGCCTGAGCAACGAAGTGAGACCCCCATCTCTGCAGGAAAATTTAAAAAATTAGCTGGGCATGATGGCACATACCTGTAATCCCAGCTACCCAGGAGAATCACTGGAGAACAGGAGTTTGAGGTTACAGTGAGTTATGGTAGCACCACTGCATTCCAGCCTGGGTGACAGAGTGAGACTCTGTCTCTAATAAATAAATAAATTAATTAATTAAAATATAATGAAAGTAGAATAATAAATAATATTTAAAGCATTATATACAAAAACCTGTGTGAGAAACATTAAGTTCAAGATGGCAAATTGAGCACCCACATTTCCTTCATATTGATCTCTTATCTAACAAAAGGTCTCAGAAACAGTTATAAAATATGAAAGAAATAATAAGACTAGAAGAAACCTTTTAAAGTATGTGGTTAAACAACATAGAATTACACAGAGAGTTTGTCAATTCATTATGGTTGCCAGATTAACCCTAGGAGCAAACTGGGTAAAGATAACACTTACAGAAAAGAAATTACCAATTTCACTTGAGAATATATATATATATATATTTATATATATATGTATATTATATATACACATATATGTATATTATATATACACATGTATATACACTTGAGATATATATACACTTATATATACACATGCACACACACACACACACACACACATATATATATAGCCAGGTGCGGTGGCTCAGGCTTGTAGTCCCAGCACTTTGGGAGGCCGAGGTGGGCGGATCATGAGGTCAGGAGTTCGAGACCAACCTGGCCAACACAGTGAAACCCCAGCTCTACTAAATCTGGGTGTGGTGGCAAGTGCCTGTAATCCCAGCTACTTGGGAGGCTGAGGCAGGAGAATAGCTTGAACCCAGGAGGCGGAGGTTGCAGTGAGCAGAGATCACGCCACTGCACTCCAGCCTGGTGACAGAGCTAGACTCCATCTCAAAAAAAAAAAAAGAACATATATATACACACATGCACATACACATACACACACATATACATATATACATACACATATTTCTGAAATGCAATATTGGCAAATTAAATGTAACAGGTTATTAAAAAGAATAATTATTCATGACCTAGTAGATTTAATCCCAAGAATTCAAGGAAGTTTCACAATTTGAAAGTATATTAATGTAATTCTTCTCAGAAACATATTAAAGTCAAGAATAAACTATACAAATGTTTCAAAAGTGACTGGAAATGACTGACAAAATTAACAACCATTTCTATTAAAATGTATAGCTAGAAATAGACCCTTTTCAATCTCTTAAAAGTAAATATTAACAGAAATAGGGAGTAAACATGCGAGTTAATGAAGCAATACTTAATCTAATCAGTAATACCTGCCAAAACATGCCTAAAGACACTTGAACCATTCAAAATTGTTCTGGATTACAAAAATTATTTAAAATGATCAGATATATGGATATTAGAAAGAGATGACACTAACTCCTTTTGAAGAAGATAAATTTCTACATAGTTTTCTGATGAAAAGTTAAATTTCATTAGAATAAAATAGTTTAGCAAGTCCTCTTGATACCAGATAAACACACACACACACACACACACACACACACTCCCCAACTGCATTCTATGTATGACCAATAAATCATAAGGAAATTTAGACATGAAAAGACACAATTTACAGTAGAGATCCACCAAATTTCCACCACACATTAAATGCTACGACTCTAGTCTATCTAAGCCACAATAATCTCTATATTAACTGTCTCTTTGCTTACTCCCTTGATTCTCTGGCTGTCTTTTCTTCAACACTGCAGCCCAAGTAATCTTTTAAAGCTGAAGTAGACTTTTCTCGTAGCCTCTGATAGTTATCTTCTCACTCAGAGTAAAAGCCAAAGATCTTACAGGACTCTATACAATTATGGCTCTCTTTATGTCTGTGACCTCATTTTCTGAAAGTACCTTCTTAGCTGACTCTGATCCAACCATACTGGCCTCTTTCCTCTTCTTAGAAACTGCCAAACATGCTTTCATCTCAGATACTCTTCCTCTCAGATGCTGTTCCTTTATCTAACCAGAATTTTCCAGTTATCCATAAGGCTTACTCTCTAACCTCCTCCAGTTATTTATTTAAAGGTCATCTTCTGAGTGAAGATCTTTCAGGTCCATCCTATTCAGAGTTGTGTTGACCACCCAAAGTCTCTTCTTTAATTTTCTTCCTAACATTCCTCACTGTATACATGCTTCCTGTTTATTTCTCCCTCCCCTATTACAAGGATCTAAGACGATACTGGCTGAGGAGTGCATAACTCCACTGGAAGCATTCACATAGATTGCATTACTCCCTAAAGCTGTATAATATGCAACCTACGCAATTGTGTTAGGAGGCCCTGCTCTCACAGTGGTAATTCTAGGCCTATAAAGGGCATGGATTTTTGCTGAGGTTTTGTTACCAAAATTCCAGGATTTTTTCTATGTCCCATTGCTTGCCGCACAGAAAGCCAATTACTGAAATGAGTATTGCTAGGGAAGAAGGCTTTATTCAGGTGCTGCAGCCAAGGAGATGAGAGATCAGTCTCAAATCCATCTTCTCAAATGACTAAATTTGGGGGTTTATATAGTGCGGAAGGAAAGTAGCTATGTACAGGAACAGGAATTAGAGATGGTTAAGGAGGAGGAGTTGGTCAACAGGAAACATGTGGTCAGTTAGGAAAACAAGAATTAGGGAGGAATAAGGAAGAGGAATTGCAGGTCCTTGATACTATCTGGGAGGCCTGAGTGTTGGTTTCGTGAGCAAGTAAATCAGATAAGGCAAATATAAGTTTCAAGCTTTAAGTCTGGGAGGATCAATTTCTCTGTTGTTCAAAAAAAATGCCCCGTAAATATCAGTTCTATGAGAAAATTGGACTGGTTTCAGTTTCTTCAGGTCACATAAGGAGTGAGGTTAAGAGTAGTGGAGGATGAGGTTAGAAAGGTAATGGGGCAAGTTTTAGTAGGGCTTTGAAGGGCATTGTAAGAATTTGGAATTTACTCTGAGTGAAGTTGGGAAATCACTAATGGGTTATAATCAGATGAGTGACATAATTCAGCTTTTACTTTAAAAGGGTCACTCTGGCTGTGTGCTGAGAATAGACCATATGTGAAGGAAGATGGAGACCAGTTAGCAGGCTATTGCAGTGGATAAGGCCAGAGATAATGATGGCTTGGATAAAAAGGACAATGCGTTGGAGTTGGAGAGTCATGCTCAGGTACTGGATATAAATTGAAGGTAAGAGCCAGTAGGAATTGGTGATAGATTGAATGTGGGGTACAGGGTGAAGTCAAGGATGATCATAAAGGTTTTGGGTCTGAGCAACTATAAGCAGTTGCTTATACTTGGATCTATAAGAGATGGAAAAGACACCAGGAGAAGCATATTTGTGTTGGGGGAGAGAGCATAGTTTGACTTTGGATATATTAGATTTTATATTTCTTTCAGACCTCTTATTTGTATACATGACACTAGAGTTCAGGGAAAGGATACAAACTGGAGATAGAAATTTGTGATTTACAAATTTATAGATGGTTTATTTGTTTTATTTTTGATTGTGATAAAACCACATAAAGTTTAACATTGTAACTATTTTCAAGTGTACAGTTCAGTAGTGTTAAGTATTACAGTTGGTTTTTAAGTCATGATCACAGATGAGATCAACAAGAACGTAAGTACAGAGGGCAAAGAGAAAATGTCCCATGATTGATCCCTGGGGTAATTCAATGCTTAAAAGATGAGAAATGCCCAACAAACTATACAGAATGTGAAGCCGCTAAGAGGGAAAAACAAAACCAGGAATACAGGTGTGCTAAAAGCCAAAGGAAAAATAGTTTAAAGATGGGAGTAGTTATCAACTGTGTCACATGCTGCTACATATTAAGACAGATCAGCACTTAGATTTGTCCATGTGACATAGTACTGTGGAACTCATTAGTAACAGTGGTAGAGTAATATATTAGGCCTAGTTCTTTACCTCTGTCTCTATCCATGCCCTTTGCCTTGTGGCTTTTCTGTTTTTCCAACTATAGGCAAAATATACTGTAGTTTCTGACCTTGGACTTAGTCTTGTGACTTGTTTTGGGTGATGGAATGCATATAGGAGTTCTAATGTGCTAATTCCTAAAGAGGTATACATATTTCCATTTGTCTTGTCCTTCTCTATCACCATAAGAAGGACAAGGACTGGCTAGCCTGTTGGTTTAAGGAAGATGAGACACCCAAGAGAAAGATGCAGACCCAACAGTCTAGAGCCGACCAACCAAGTACAAAGCTTTATCAACTGACTCTTGGACAAACTGCCATTGATTGATGAGTACCAGAGAGATTATTGCTTGTTACATAGTTGGCTGATATGGTGACATTGACAAGAGCCGTATTGTTGGAGTGATGAGTGATGAGTGGAGAGCCTTATGGAAACAAGTTGAAAGGAGAAGGGGAAGAAAATAATTGGGCATAGTGAATATAGCAACAATTCTGTGCAGCTTTCACAATTTTCCATTAAAGGATTATAATAAATGAGGACATATCTACAGAGAGATGTAGAGTAAAAAATGATTTTCCTTTCGGATGACAGAAATCCCAGCATCTTTAAATGCTGATAAGAATGATCCAATAGGGTATGTGTATGTGTTGGGGGATGCTGATGAGGGAAACAGGATGGAGAATCACTCCAGTCATTCTTGGGGATACTATACACAAAAGAGCATATTTTAGCTTAGGAAAACTTCAAGTTCAGGTTGTCCTGATGTGAAAATCCACTCATTTTCTATTAAAATATGCTATCAAACTTCTCTCTCTTTCTCTGAAAGCAGTAAATGTGGAACGGGAGTGGGAAGATATGTAGTAAAGCCAATATAGTGGAATGATAATTTAAAGTCCAGAGATCTTCCCATGGCGTGCCTTTAATTAGATGCATGATCTCAGGCAAGTGCCCTAATTGTTTGTGTCACTTTGCTTCTTCATCTATTAAAAATTAATTGAGAGATGAGTTTTAAATTTTCCTCATCTAGCTCTAAAATAGTATTATTCCAAGACCCAACAATTATGCTTCAAATGAGACCCTCTGAGAGCTGTTGTCACCATTATGTAAGTACACTGCTTATTGGCATTCTCCTATCTAACAGATCTGAAAATGCTTCTTTCACAGTAACATCCCAAACTCACCTAAAGTCAGATATTTTAGAATACCTGACATCTGCTTAGTCTCCCAAGGCTGGCAGAATGGATTGAATAATAGTTATTTTAGGATGTAATTGCCGCACTGTTAAAAAATAAGCCCCTCTGCAACTAAATAGTGTCACATTTCTGAGCCACTTATGTAACCAACATGATTTATCCAAAGAAAAGAGCATTATTTGGGGAAACATTTAAAAAGTCATTGCAAATGGTTTTCATTACTAGCCTGCTGTGCTGTAAAAGTGCAATTCTCCCACTTATAAGTATGGACACATAGAGGGGAACAACACACACGAGGGCCTATCTGAGGGTGGAGGGTGGGAGGAAGGAGAGGAACAGGAAAAATAACTAATGGATACTAGGCTTAATACCTGGGTGATGAAATAATCTGTACAACAAACCCCCATGACACACGTTTATATAACAAACCCACATATCCTGCACATGTACCCCTGAACTTAAAGTAAGTGTTAAAAAATAATAATAAAATATCTGGCAGGGTGTGGTGGCTCACGCATGTAATCCCAGCACTTTGGGAGGCCAAGGTGGGTGGATCACCTGAGGTCAGGAGTTCAAGAACAGCCTGGCCAACATGGTGAAATCCTGTTTCTACAAAAAATACAAAAATTAACCAGGCATGGTGGCACGTGCCTGTAATCCCAGCTACTTGGGAGGATGAGGCAGGAGAATCGCTTGAACCCCGGAGGCGGAGATTCCAGCTGCCAAGATTGTGGGGCCACTGCACTCCAGCCTGCATGACGGGGCAGAGCAAAACTCCGTCTCAAAATTAAAAAACATAAAAAATAAAAGAAGGTTTGTATAATTTTAAAGATTATGGATAAACTAAGTTTGGCATGGAATACTAACTGGAATTGAACCCTGACTGTGCATATTAAAATCTTTAGTAGTCCACAAATTAAGAATTATAATGCTCCTATTACCTCAAGTTTGACATAGATGTGGGTGGGTGTGTTTATGTATGTGTTTGTATGTGCGATATATGGATTTTTGCGGTACATTTCAAATTGAATAAGTCAATTACATTGAAAGAAAAATTAGAATAGCAACTGTATTCTGAAACTTAAAGTCAAACTATTATTTTTTAAAATTCAAAAATGACTAGTCAGAAGTGATATTATTTCACCTAACTAGTAATTTATTGTTGTTATACAGCCAAATAACCTGCTAAATGATATAGTCTCCAAAATTTATTTGGCTATCAGGCAGTGACCAATGTTATAATACTTGTATACCAACAAACAGAATTAAAGTACATCATATAATATTTTGCTTTACTTACATCCTCTGAAGAAATAGGATGTGCAGTCTCACTGAGATTCATTCACATTGACTCAACGTTGAAATGTCAAATACGTTACACAGGATGGTCCATCGCTTCTTTCAGGTTTTGTAAATAAAAGATTAAGGAGGAAGATAACACTAATTGACAGGGAAATAATTTACTATATTATGGTCTGTAAATAATTTTTAAAAAGCAAGCATCCCACTAAATCTCATTCTTTTTAATTAGATTTCCTGTTTCTTTGGTAACTTATGGTATTGTCCCATAGATGCAGCCTCAGTACCCCCATTAAAAATAATGAGAGGGTTAGAGTTAGCTATTTTTTCCTCACTAAAAGACTGAGCATTAGTTTTTATATAAATTAAATATCTGGCAACAAATTAGTTTATCATATCATTAGTCTCTGCATTTCTACAATAACGCATGACCGAACTTGACTTAATTTTTTTAAAATTTAATGGCCTGGCAGATGGCTCAGGCCTGTAATCCCAGCACTTTGGGAGGCCCAGGCAGGCAGATCACTTGAGGTCAGGATTTTGAGACCAGCCTGGTCAATATGGTGAAACCCTGCCTCTACTAAAAGTACAAAAATTAACTGGGCATAGTGGCACACACCTGTAACCCCAGCTACTTAGGAGGCTGAGGCAGGAGAATTGCTTTACTGGGAAGTGGAGGTTGCAGTGAGCAGAAATCGCGCCACTGCACTCCAGCCTGGGAGACAGAGTGAGAGTCTGTCCCAAAAAACAAACAAACAAACAAACAAAAACGAAAACAAAAAACCCAATTCATTATTACATTAAACTGTTGCAGTTCCTAGGCTATGTTGCCTCCTTTAACATCTTTTCTGCTGTTGCTCTCATTTTATGCCAAATATATGCTAACTAACAGATGATAGAGCTAGGACTATTTAAACCTAGGTCTACTTCCTTCAAAATCGCATTCTGTTGCCCCAGGTTCTCTTTAAAAAGTACACTGTGAAAACAAGCATGGGGTAAGAATATATAATTGTAACTAGCCAAATGGATATATAAATATAGATCAACTGCTAGATAAATTGACAGGAAGATTTGTTATATACTATGGGTGGATAATGAAGCTTTATTGATAATTTGTGTGTGTGTGTGTGTGTGTGTGTGTATATATATATATTTTTTGTTTGTTTGTTTGTTTGTTTTTGAGACAGGGTCTCACTTTGTCACTTAGGCTGGAGTGCAGCAGCATGATCATGGTTCATTGAAGCTTCATCCTGCCAGGCTCAAGCGATTCTCCTACCTCAGCCTCCCAAGTAGCTGGGACTACAGGTGCACAACACTGCACTGGACTAATTTTTGTATTTTTTGTAGAGATGGGGTCTCACCATATTGCCCAAGTTGGCCTCAAACTCCTGAGCTCAAGTGATCCTCCCACCCCAGCCTCCCAAAGTGCCAGAATTACTGGCATGAGCCACCATGCCAGACCTAATTTTTATAATTTTAAAGTGTATCAAGAAACTCAGTTTGTCATAGGATGCTAATTGCAGTTTCATCATATCTTTAAAGTTATAAACATAAGATATTTACCACATAGTGTATTGACCATAGACAGGGGTAAGTAATGGGCAGATCTGAGTTCAAATCCAAGCTCTGCTACCTACTGGTTATGTAAACTTATCAAGTAGCGTAACTCATATGAGCTTCAGTTTCCTCATTTGTAAAATGGGCATTTAGAATATATTTTCTCAAAATATGCTTGGAAATATTAATTATAACAATGTATACAATGGCTGGGCACAGTGGGTCACACCTGTAATCCCAACACTTTGGGAGGCCGAGGTGGGTGCATCATGAGGTCAGGAATTCAAGACCAGCCTGGCCAATATGGTGAAACCCTGTCTCTACTAAAAATACAAAAACTAGCTGGGCATGGTGGCGCACGCCTGTAGTCCCAGCTACTTGGGAGGCTGAGGCAGAATTCTTGAACCCAGGAGGCGGAGGTTGCAGTGAGCCGAGATTGCGCCACTACACTCCAGCCTGGGCAGTAGAGGGAGACTCCGTTTTACAAAAAAAAAAGTATACAATGTGTCTGGTACAAGACATATTTTCTATAAATTTTCATTAAAAATAAATAATGTAAACTAAAGTCAGACAGTTAAGCAGAATGTCAACCCAAATGCTATGATAATAAGTCTTTCTTCTCTTTCTTAAGTTATTGTCTTTTGAATTGATTTCTTACTCAACATATGAAGATATGACACTTTGATGCATGAAATATTTACTGCAAAAAGTCTGTTGTCATTTATGTTGAGGAAAACCAGTTCGTTCTCTTCATTCACTCTCAAGTTATGTACATTTCCTCCTGCCCCTCTCTGGGCATATTCACCTTTCAATGATGGATATTTGTCATTCCATAATTAAAGGAGTTCCAACACTGATCATAGAACTTGAATAAACTGCAAATGACTATGGAAGAAATAAAAACTTTTAAAAACATTTTTCCCCTTTGGGGACAGGAAACTGTGAGAGTAAGCTTCAATAGGGAGAGAGGACAGAGACAATGGTCCTCATGTCGCCACTAACAATGGAAGGGACAAAATAGGCTAACAAAATCAAAGATATATTTCCCTATATCATCATTAAACCTGTGGGTCAGTCACCTTAATTTTAAGGCATCTTATCAATTAGTTACCATCAGCAGTGAAGGTAAAGTAGGACATATATAGCAATGAAGAAAGTAGGACATATATAGAGAGGTTACTATAATAGATATTTATTTTGAGAAGGAGCTCTGATGACACTAGCGTATAAACAATGTGGAAGATTAACTGCTCAGCCATGATACTCTTTCTCTGATACTGAAAACAGAAGAAAGTCATTTTCTTGAGGCAGCCCAATACTTGGAGTAGACAAAATCAGAATAATTTAATATCTGAAAGTTTAAAAATCAATTATTGGATGTGAGATAGTTAGAGACTTTACTGTCTTTTAATCAATTGAATACAACTATTAAATAGAGCAGGTATCAACTGGGTAATTGCATAAACTGGATAATTATATATCAGCAGCTTAATGACTGATTGCATTATTTCTGGTACAGTGATAAAGGGTAATTTGATTTTTTTTTTTTTACTTTCTAGATGAAAATTTAAAAACGACAACACTAACCTATCTTTTCAGAGCAAGGCCAAAAATGGAAATGGTCTATAATTATTCTAATCTATGTTTCATTACATCTTCAGTGCCTAGCACAGTGTCTGGCAAATAGTCAATATTTTTAAAACCTATGTTCGTTAAAGTTTGTTGGGTAGATTGTAGGATTATAAAGTGTTTACTCTACTTTTAAAGATATATTTTACATAATTCTGTATAAAATTCAGTTCTGGGCTGCAGCTATGTACGACTTTTGCAGATAGACTTAATGAACCTTTGGCGTTTCATAGACATTATCATTCATTCATTACACTGAAAGCCAATATGGTGAAACTCCATCTCTACTAAAAATACAAAAATTAGCCGGGCGTGGTGGCAGGCGCCTGTAGTCCTAGCTACTCAGGAGGCTGAGGCAGGAGGACCCGGGAGGGGGAGGTTGCAGTAAGCCACTGCACTCCAGCCTGGGTGACAGAGCGAGACTCCGTCTCAAAAAAAAGAGTATGTATTTAGTGATAGAAATAAAACTGAAGCATTGGAGTAAAACATAATTCTCTTCTGGTACCTTTGTGAAAACTTGTGTAAATAAAGAACACATTTAAGTTAAAAGCACACAGAACCTTATGAATAAAAATGTAAGTCACTTTTCCCTATTCCAAGATGCAATTGATGTTTTTGTTTGTATGTTTCACTGCCAATGGAATAAACATTTTGAAATTTCACGGTAATGTTACTTTTGAAATTCAGCAACATGTTCTTATGAATCTAGATTGAATGTCTTTATCCATTACTCATCAACTATAAAATACACTTTCCCTTTCGACTTGTAAATCATTAGTTTTAAATTACTACAATGAAACCATTAAGGGATAGTTTTTACCAAGTGGCCAAAATAAGAATCAGGGGTCTTTGCTGTAGCTGTGGTTGTTATTGTGCCATTGTTTATTTTATTTGTTCCCTGAAGGGCAGAATATGAGTAGAGGCTAGTCAATGAGTAAGAAAGCAAAGAGGATCATTTGTATTCTCATTAGTGAATTGTCTTTCATATGGTACTTTTAGCATCCAAATCAATACCCTGAGTGATACAGTTTGTTGGAGACTTAATTAAAACAACAAGTTTAGGGTGGGAGTGCTGGGTCATGCCTGTAATCCTAGCAATTTGGGAGGCCAAAGGTGGAAGATTGCTTGAGGTCAGGAGTTTGAGACCAGCCTGGGTAAGATAGCAAGACTCCACCTCTACAAAAAGTAAAAAATTAGCCTGGCATGGTGGCTTGGGCTTGTAGTTCTAGCTACTCAGGAGGCTGAGGTGGGAGGATCACTTAGGCTCAGGAGCTCGAGGTTACAGTGAACTATAATAGCACAACTGCACTGCAGCCTGGGAGGCAGAGTGAGACTCTGTCTCTATTTATGGGCCATGAAAAATAGAACTATATTTCCACAACTACTACTTATATTTATTTCTTTTGATGTCACATAGTCTGCTTTTTCTCCTTAAGGGAAAAATATTTTCCTTATGCTTTCCTCTTACATTTTCTGTTAACTGGAACAAGTGAGAGACTTTATAATCCCTGGCCATGGTTAATAGACAATGCTATATCAACCATTTTACATGATAATAATCTTTTACAATTTATTTCCTTCTACATATGTAGAGCTAATTTAAACTATCAATGACAATGTACTATTTTATAATACCACGCACGGTCCATATTAAATTATTTGGACAAATGTAAAATTCATTTTGAAACACAAATACTTTATGATCAGTGATAACTGTTTTGCTTTGTTTTGTTTTGAGGCAAGGTCTCACTCTGTAGTCCAGGCTAGAGTGCAGTGGTGTGATCATGGCTCACTCCAGTCTCTACCTCCTGGGCCCAAGTGATCCTCCCACTTCAGCCACCTGAGTAGCTGGGACCACAGGTGTGCACCACCACACCCAGCTAATTTTTTAATTTTTGTTTTTGTAGGAATGGGATCTCCCTATGTTACCCAGGCTGGTCTTGTACTCCTGGGCTTGAATTATCCTCCTGCTTTGGCCTCCCAAAGTTCTGGGATTACAAGCATGAACCACCATGCCTGGCCATATGAGTTAACTTTTTTAATCAGTAATTTTAGCAAGCAGGAAGCAAAAATGAGAGCAATAGTTATGAAGGTAAGGACATATGCATGCATATCTCACAATCCTTAGAATACTTCTTTTCAGATAAACAATATATGTATATATTTATACACACACATAAATACACAGGTACATATTTATCTAACATTCTGTAGAAAAAAATCTTCTCATCTTCATATTTCCCTAAAATTTTAAAATATTAGTTATATATAAGATGCAAGTATATATCCACTTTGAGTATAAGCTACAATATACATTTTATCTTTTTCATTTTATTATTGTTGTACACATTTGGTATTCATAAAATGCTCAACAATAGAATTATAAATGCATTCCTTATATCACAAAAATGCAGAATATCAATTACTGGAAATTATGCATTGCTTCTGAAATTAAAATGTTTATTGATACAAAAAACTAAGAACTTAGTTAACAAATAACTAAATTAATAGAACAAACTTCTAAAATACTACTGTTCAGAACAGACACAAAATGCTGTGCATGACCATGAAATTTTTACTCCTTTAAAGCACAAAATCTCTTACATAGATTAAAAACATGAAATAAAAAACATGAAAAGAATGCTATCCAATCACACGGAAACAAAATTAGAGGTTATAATAACGTAATAAACATCCATAGTAGTTACTTGATTATGTATTGTATAGTAGCTAATGACATTGCAACTGTACATCAAACCTGTTATTTGAAAGAGCTAGCATGGTTTTCAAGATTGCTAGAAGAAGAGTGGTTTAAAGAATTAGATTTTTATTACATACAAAAGGCTAAATTTGACTTTTGTTTACACAAATAGAGATTAAATATTTCTCATAAATGAGATGAAAGTCAAAGTAACTTTGAAAATAACACCATAATTGCTTGATCACTCCATTTGTTATAAAGATAATAATTGTTTAGGTGAATGAAATTAAATTTATTTCATGAAAAAAAATACACTGTGTTCTATGGATAGTAAAGTTAAAAGAACATTAAACATTTCTGGCCCGCGCCTGTAATCCTAGCACTTTGGGAGGCTGAGGCAGAAGAATCATTTGAGCCCAGGAGTTCAAGTCCAGCCTGGGCAATACGGTGAGCCCTTGTCTCAAAAAAAAAAAAAAAAAATTTTTTTTTGCATTGTCCAGGATCAATTGACCTCTCCAGCATAACTGAAGCCCAAAAGGGATATTGCAATATATCCTCTCTTGTTATTTTTAGGCTTGTACTTGGTATTACTTTATGGTTGTCCTTGATGTTCTTCACCACTGACTTTGTATCTTGAGATTGGTACGCAAGGCACACTGTAAATCAGAGAGTGTGTGTAGAAGTTTCAGGGAATTTAAGAGTGCAATGGGGCAGTGAGGCACGAAGTTTTAGAGGTTAGAGGAATTGGTATCACAGCAGAGATGTGGAGAAAGGATGGAAACAGCAGTTTTGTTGGTGGAGAGCATCAGTAGTATCTTCAGTGGACCACGTCTGGGGCACAATGTTGGCTATATCTTTTATCCCTCAGTTTCTGTTCCCAGATACTCCTGTAGCATTCCAGGGAGGGGTGTGAATTATCAGATTATCTTCAAATAAATTATTTTTCTGTTTAACGTAGGCAGGGTAGGTTTCTGTTGTTTGCAAACAAGAATCTTGACTGGTATTGCCTCTTTATTTTCTGAGTTATCTTTTTCTATTTTTATTTTTGAGATGGAATTTCGCTCTTATTGCCCAGGCTGGAGTGCAATGGCGCATTCTCGGCTCACTGCAACCTCTGCCTCCTGGATTCAAGCGATTCTCTTGCCTCAGCCTCCTGAGTAGCTGGCATTACAGGCATGTGCCACCACTCCCAGCTGATTTTGTATTTTTAGCAGAGACGGGGTTTCTCCATGTTGGTCAGGCTGGTCTTGAACTCCCGACCTCAGGTGATCTGCCCACCTCGGCCTCTGAAAAGTACTAGGATTACAGGCGTGAGCCACCACACCCGGCCGAGTTATCTATTAATTTAATTCTTAATTGGTCATGTAAATCTTATACTGCTCTTTGATAAACATTAACTTTACCAAATGTATGTGCATGCAATGGCTGACCAGGAGATTTTGACCGTATCAAATCATTACTGAAGAAATAAAAGAGTTCATGGATCCTGGGAAATAAAATTCAGTGACCAAAAATATTATATTTTTCACCCTTACATGGAAGAATGACAATGTCACACAAAAAAAGAGACTTGAGTATAGAGATTGTGAAAAAACTTACCAAAATCTCACAGAATATTCATGTGTATAACATTTCCCACACATAACCTAACAATATTTTCATCATTAATTATTCATTAAAAGACATTGTGAGGTGAATCAGAAAACAAGAAACTCTATTTTCTGGGCCATTATGAGAAATCAATCTGTTTTAGAGCTTTAATTAGGCTATAATGCATTAGAGTTCAAAAGATCCAATTAATATTGGTTCCTCCTGACCTATGGTTTCCTGCAGTTCTCTTATATCCAATTGCAATTCACAAAAGCTAAATCTTCTGAATCAAGACAATGAATGAATACACAGATAAACAAATAGACACATCAATAAGTGCTTTCTCACGATATAAAAATACTACTGGTAAATATACCACAATCTAAATTATTGCCATTTTAAACTACAATCCAATCTCATGATAAATACACTATATACTCCAAGGAGTCTTTAATAAAGTTTTATGGAAGTTTTGTTTCATCCACAGCTAATTCCAGTCTTTGTTGCTCAGCAACTACCTGCCAGATCACATTTCCAAGCTGTAATATAACTAGCTCCCTGGAGAGCACGTCAAACAAATGGGAGTTTTCAGCCACTTAATTCAATGCCCTTTACACAGGGATTGCTTTAGGGACCATGAGATTTGGGATTTAGAATGCCCCAGGACCCCTGTTAGTTCTCAAGGTTCTATAGAATACTGGTTGCAAGTAGGTGCCTAGTAGTTTAAAAGAAATGCACATACACATGACTGAAAGACATCCTGGCAGAGACTTTGTTTCTTGACAGACTAAAAGTGAATAAAATATCCCATGGAGAGCTACTGAGAAAAGAAAAACAGAGACTAAGGACAGTCTTGTGGCATCATTTCCTTATAGTTTCTTGAATATAAAGAGAAAAAAGTCAATACAAATATACAACTGGAGAAGTAGTTGGAAATTCAGGACAATATAATGACTATGGCAGTTAATAAAGTATGGAATCTCAAGAAGGTCTGGTCATCAATGTTCAGAATATACAAGAAGCCAAGAAAGGGTGAGATAGAGCCATGTGACTAGAGGTAAAGTTCTGATGAGGCCAAAAGAAATTTGCCATAATAATGGATTATTGTTCAATTGAGCCCTTTGAACTAACCTTTAAATTGTCTTGTGGTAGTTTTCTTTTTTAAAATTTCTGTTAAGCAATTACTCACCTTCTTTAACTGTCTATGACCAGAATAAAACCACTAATCAGCTAGGCCACCCATAAAAGAATGTACAACCAAGGAGATGGTAGGGGTTGGAGACTACAGAGTCATTTTTCCATTATTAGCATAAGATTAGAATAGAATAAATAAATCAGATCTATCATAAAGTCAAAGCATACAAGCCATGAAAGAAGCCACGGTCAAGTCAAGACTATAGGATGGGGACAATAAAAGTCAAGGAAAAGTAGAAATCAAGAAAGGGAAAAGTAGAAATCAAGAAAATTAAAAAAAGGAAGATAATTTCAGGAATTCTTACATTCCTCCAGATTTCTCCATATATATATATATATATATATGGATGTCCAGTTGACAATCACAGCTTGAAACCTTAATCAAAGATGCAAGCTGGGAAAGACAGTGGGGTGGAATCTACCAACTTATTCTAAGGCATCTAAGACCATATCCCATTGAACTCTGTCTCTCTCTTCCTCTCTCTCTCTCTTCCTCTCTCTCTCTCTCACTCACACACACACACGAATACACCTATACATATATATTTATATAAACATATATATACATATGTGTATGGAAATGCACTAAATTCTGTATAATATTAAATCATTGTACATAGCTGTCTCTATTACTGGAGTTGTAAAATTCTTTATAGAAGGAAAAAAGATGTCCAACAGAATGTGTCTAGTATCTGGTTAGAATGAATTGCAAAAGTATGGTTTATTGTTGAAGTGGAAAAGTGGTTATAAATTAATAAGATTAAAAATTTCACACAAAATGACGTATTTGTTAAAAATTAAGATATCTCAGAAGCAACCTGGATATATCCCTAAATATCATTAACTGAGTTCCATATTCTTCCTGCAGACCTTTCTAATTGCCTACCCAGTATTCATTCTCCTCTTTTACTGACTATAATTCTCTTTGGAGTAGATATTTGTCTAGTTAAAAATACTCCCCTCCCTGCAGGTCTTTTGCACCTGGGGTGGCCTTGTGAATCCCAGCCAATGAGATAGAAAGACAAATCATGTGGCCGGGCATGGTGGCTCACACCCGTAATCCCAGCTCTTTGGGAGGCCGAGGCGGGTGGATCACCTGAGGTCAGGAGTTTGAGACCACCCTGGCCAACATGGCGAAACCCCTCTACTAAAAATACAAAAAATTAGCCTGGCGTGGTGGCGGGCGCTTGTTATCCCAGCTACTTGGGAGGCCGAGGCAGGAGAATTGCTTGAATCCGAGAGGCGGAGGTTGCAGTGAGCTGAGATCGTGCCATTGCACTCCAGCCTGGGTGACAGAGACTCTGTCTCAAAAAAAAAAAAAAAAAAAAAAAGACAAATCATGTATGTTAGTCTTTCAAGAATGCCCTAATTTTCCTAATGAAGGGGGACGGATGCAGCATCCTTTACATTTATTTTCCCCATTCCCTTTTTATTCTTCCTGCCTTGATCAAAGGCTTGATGCCTGATAGGTGGGCAGTCATTTTTCAATCATAACTTAAAAGGTCATATTATAAGGATAATGAGGGAAAGAAGAGAAAAATTTTATAGATGATATCTTTCTGAAAAAATGACACCATTCCTGAATTGCATTCTCCAGGCCTGAAAAAATAAAACCCCTATTTGTATGCGATACAGATAATTCTCAGACATGCAATTTTACCAACTTTTTGGTTACACATTTAATTTTTTTTGAAATTATGTACAAGTTATATCTATGTCTATACATCTATATTTACAGATAAATATACAATACAAAGATACACATATTTAGATTGGTTTTCTAAGTAATATTATTGAAATATAGCTGGGTAAAAGATCACCATTGATACGGACAGGAGAGAGGGAAATACTGGGTAGAAGAGGATGTTTGCCAGCAGACTCTGCCTTCCAAGCCAGAAGACTCACAACCTTAAATGAGGACAGACATTCCTGTTTTCATGACCAAAAGTTGCCTTTTGGCCCACCATGCCCCCTATACTGCACCTATCTAAACCCCAAGCCCCAAGCTCCAGAAGCAGACCAGCAAGCCAGCAAACAGATGGCAGAACTTTGTGGCAGAGAAAGGGAGAAGAGGAGGAACATCTGAACACCAAGAGGAATTTGGCTAGGGGCCATTGGAGAGGAGTCCAGCAGCGGAGCAGCCTGACTCCAGGGGAAGATCCCCTTCCCACTCCATCTCCTGCTTCTGGCCCCCCATCCATCCCACCAAAAGCCACCTCCACCACTCAATAAAACCTTGCATTCATCCTTCAAGCCCATGTATGACCCAATTTTTCTGGGATGCTGGGCAAGAGCTTGGGATACAGAAAGCTGTCACACTGGCCCTCTGCCCTTGCAAAAAGGCAGAGGGTCCATTGAGCTGATTAACACTCAAGCCATCTGCAGACGGCAAAGCTGAAAGAGCTTTGTAGAACTGATGTTACAGGTACCCACCCCTAGGACACTACCACCAGGCGGGAGCCCAAATCACTCACCCCAGCCTCTGCACCTGCGCATCTGCGTAGTCCCCTCTCCCACAAGGGGTTTGAGCAGCTGGGTGACCAAACAGGTGAGCCACACCCATCACACGTACTGCAAAGGGGATCAGGGAACTCTCCCATTTCACCGTGACTAACATTTTATATTTAATTGGACAATGATATACTTTAATACAATGTTATTGCATGTGAAAATTGAGATTTTTCTTAAAAAGACTGTATGGACATAGGAGAAATAACAGCTATAGAAAGTTCATTTTACAAAATGAAACAACACCATATTTGTTCTAATTAAAACTCATCAATGTTAAATGACATGATAAATTTTATTAACTTCCTTTATTTACTCCAAATTAAAAAGAAAACTTTGACTAAGGACACGTTAAAGTCTTGAATATTAAACTTGTGATTTATGAACATACAAAAGCCAAAGAGTAAATAATTGTGTTTAGGCTGGTAGCCCATCATTTCAAGAAACATTTTTGTAAACAATGATTCCTTCAAGGATTTGTTAAACATCATCTAACATAACATAAATATTGATTCTTGGGCCTAATAAATAGTAGAGGTGAGATGAAATGTCAAATGTCTAATGTGGTTAGGTCTCATAAAAACATTGGCAACATGTCATTTATCACCTTTTATTTTGTTTTGTGTGTATGTTTGTTTTTTATGATATATGAGTGGCAGAGTAAAAAAAAAAAAAAGTATTAAAGGGCATTTTTTTTTTCTTTTGAGACAGAATCTCACCCTGTTGCCCAGGCTGGAGTGCAGTGGCGCGATCTCGGCTCACTGCAACCCCCGCCTCCCGGGTTCAAGTGATTCTCCTGCCTCAGCCTCCTGAGCAGCTGGGATTACAGGCGTCTGCCACTATGCCTGGCTAATTTTTTGTATTTTTAGTAGAGACGGGTTTCACCATGTTGGCCAGGCTGGTCTTAAACTCTTGACCTCAGGGGATTCAGCCGCCTCGGCCTCCCAAAGTGCTGGGATTACAAGCCTGAGTCACCGCGGCCTGCCTAAAGGGCATTTTTGTTTGGAGAGATTAAGTGTTTGATCCCTTGCTTTCCTGTAAAGCGCGCATTGCATGAATATATTGAGAACCAGAAATATAATACATTTAGGACTAAATAAGAAAGCCGAGATTTAGGTTGACGAGGGAGAAACAAATTTACGACTCTTTCTACAGCAGATTAGGAAAATGTAGTCTTGGTGAATAGCAACAAAGTATTGAGTACTTTTTGCAGAAGCCCAAATAAAACTATCAGGCCTATAGAGCAGACATCATGTTTGTACAGTTCAGTTCTGATGCATTTTCTCATTTATAAATACTGTAGTAAGAAAGAGCAAAGCTTTTTAGATATGAATAGGAGATTATCTTTCCTCTGTTAGCCTCCCTTTGTTGACCACTGTATCCACTACATCATCATTTGAGGGTTAGTGGACTGATACAGAGTTGTGAATAACAGTTTATTTTGTGTGTGGATTTCCAAGTGAGTTACAGCAAATTCTTCTCTAGAAGTATGATAAGCTATTTATTTCACTCATCAATTCTATCTAATCATGATTTTTCCATTTTTAGATAACAGTATCCACCCTCAAAATTCCATCCCCTTTTACCTGTATACTACTTTCTAAGACAGGTCCATGCCCTACCATTACCTAATCAATGTATGACACACTTATGAGAGAAAAACTTTAAGACAGTCTTGAATCCTTTAAAGAAACCACCTCATTTCTGATAATATATTTCATCATCCTGTCTCTGATAACTCCCTTTGAGAAAGCTATTCTCAGTAAGAAGGTTGAGACAGAACAACCTTTGTAGGCTGAGAGTACTCACAATGACTTGATGGTTTTGGGCAGAGGCAAACGCTCTATGGATTTTTGCAGTGATTTTTTTTTCTCCTGCAGTAAATAAAGGAAGCCAGACAGCCTTTACATTTTCTATTGAAATTGATGAATGGTTAACTTTAAACTCTGCCTGGGGTTAAATTAGCTCAGGCTTTAGTGAGTTTTTGTCTCCTCTCTGGAAAGCTTTCTATGAGTAACAGTGTGTTCATTCATCCTGAAGGTACACCCATTGCAATTAGAAGAGATAATGAAACATCAAGAATAGCTGTGGCCTTACTGACAGATGTTACTCTGTGTTTATCTATCACTTTGAATTCCAACTGTTAGGTCTTACCGGTAGAAATGTGGAGAAAACAAACTTTGTAAGGTGCAGCCAAGAACAAATTGAAACGATGGTGACCAAAAGGTCACCATCAAAAGATACTCTAAGAATGGTATCAAGTTTTAAATTTCAGAGAGAGAATCACAGTCTTCAGAGTCAGTTGTAAAATGAACTAGACCTGAAATGTATTTAACTGCCTTACATTCCTTAATAACTCTATGAAATAGGTGACAACTTCTTCCAATTTTCCAGATGACCAAAATAAAATATAAAACAGTAACCTGACACGCTGCTTAACATATAAAAATGTTGGTGTTGACAGCATACTACTTTATGGACCAATAAACTAACCACATGTTTTGTAAGTAATAACTAACTTTGTAATTACACTACATCACTTCTCCCTTTAAAAAATATTTTAGTCACAAGCTAATGAATTTTGTTTTCCATGTTATAATTAGTAGTGCATTAGCAAATATATTGTGTGAAGAATTTATTAACTGTCTAGGTTTATTTTTCTAGTTGTTCCCTAACCACCACCACCTCCATTCTGGATATTAGCATGAGTGCTCTAAATGAACTTTTCATTTCCTGGAAGAGAAATATATGTTTCAGCGGACATTTAATCAACTGGTGGTTTGTGGAAAGGAGGATTTTGACCTTGTAACATAGTCTTCCTGTTAGTTATTTCCTGAGATCATTATGCAACAAAAAGGGTGTAGGAAACAGTTACAAAGTTGAACTCTAAAATTCTGCATTCTCGGAAAAGATATTTGAAAACATGAAATTAAAACATTGAGATAAGCCAGGTGCAGTGGCTCACGCCTGTAATCCTAGCACTTTGGGAGGCCGAGACAGTTGGATCACCCAAGGTCAAGAGTTCGAGACCAGTCTGGCCAACATGGTGAAACCTTGTCTCTACTAAAAATACAAAAATTAGCCTGGTGTGATGGCGGGCACCTGTAATCCTAGCTACTCAGGAGGCTAAGGCTGGAGGATCACTTGAACCCAGGAGTTGGAGGTTGCAGTGAGCCAAAATTGCGCCGTTGCACTCCAGCCTGGGCAACAGAGCAAAAACTCTGTCAAAAAAAAAAAAAAAAGCCATTGAGACAATGATCTTGCATTATGGCAGTGATGATTTCTTGTGGCTGTCAACCTGAAAGCTGTATTATTCCTGGGAAGAACTGGGAAAGTATGTTATACCCTTCCTAATAGCAGTCTAGAACAAAAATATAATAATTCACTTTCTAGGGTTGTCACCATGAATATTTTGGTTGTATATAATGATGTTTTCTCTCTCTCTCTTATGTATATATATATAAAAATACATGTTATGAATATATAATATACAATATATAAATACATAATATATACTGAGAGATGACTACGTATGTTCATTTATATATATGGTCATCTCTCAGTATTTGTAGAGAATTGGTTCTAGGACCTTCGTGAATACAAAAATCCACAGATGCTCAAGTCCCTTATATAAAATAGCATGTAAATGCAACGTAAATAGTCGATATACTTTATTAGTTTTGAAATTGGTATTATTTGTGTTGTTGTATTATTTTTATTGTTATTTTCCAAATATTTTTGATTTGCCTTTAGTTGAATCCACTCCTGCAGAATCTATAGATATGGAGGGCTGACTCTATATACATATGAAGTTCAATCATTGCGAGACAGACAGAAGAGTTTCGGACCATGCCTACTTATATTTGACTCAAATAGTCAAACAGAATAGAATAGGATAGGGCTGACAAGACTTTCTGGACACATAGGCTCATGATCTGAACTCAAAAGCAACTTTGGCAGGGGAGTCAGGCCAATATAAATTTGAATCTGTAAAATTATAGCAATGTGATATTGGTAAATGTATTTAATGCCCAATAATAGTTTATTAACCTGAGACAAATGGAATCATGTCATCAAGTTTTCTGATAATTGACAGGTTACTTTGGGAGGCCGAGGTGGGTGGATCACCTAAGGTCAGAGGTTCGAGACTAGCCTGGCCAACATGGCAAAACCCTGTCTCTACTAAAATTACAAAAATTAGCTGGGCATGGCGGTACATGCCTGTAATCCCAGCTACTCAGGAGGCTGAGGCAGGAGAATCGCTTGAACCCAGGAGGAAGAGGTTGCAGTGAGCCGAGATCAAACCATTGCACTCCAGCCTAGGTGATAAAAGCGAAACTCCATCTCAAAAAAAAAGAAAGAAAGAAAGAAAGAAAGAAAAGATTACTTGAAACATGGAAATTTATCTGAAAGTTGTTACTTAAGTATTTATTGCAAATAATCTGCTTCTTAAAAGGCGTAATTCTCCCGTATATGGACAAGGATATTGATTTAGTAAATAAAAATATTAAGTAGACAATGAGAAGAGATAAAAATGTATGTTTTGTGAAAATTTGTTTTCATTTAAAATTTTATCAAATCTGGCATAACTTTATTACATAAAAATTTACAAAATTGAGAAAAGAATAAGTTTAAAAATAAAATTGCATATAAATATATTCCAAGTGAGAAATTATATATAATCATATATATACAATTTTTATGTATGTAGTATATAAATAAATAGATATGAGAGAGAGAACATACTACTGTAGGAAGGTTACAGCGAATTACATGTAACCAATTTAAAAATACTTTGCTATAACAAACTATTTTTTTAAAACATATGATCTGAACCTGCAAAACCATATGATCTGAAACTGCAAAAACTAAGAAGTGTTACTTGCACCTTTAATAACATTAATTTTTTTAAAAAATTGAATTTTGTATTGTGTAATAACTCACAATGCTTTGAGAGCAAAGCATTGAGAATTCCATTGTCCCCCAATCAAAATGTATAATATTGTTGTCCGTTTTCAGTGTATCATATATGTGGCTATAGTTTAAAAATCATCGTCATGTGTACATATTTATGTGTGACATTCCTATCACCCTAATTTATTTGATACATTTGAAATTGAACTATGATTTTGACTATTTATTTGTATATTTTTTGTTCTCTTTGATATGATAGTTATACCATATACTGCTTACTGTTTTATATATATCAAATATGAGCTCTTATAATACTTTTTCTCTATTTAATATAGTTGTGTTTATTTTTGGCATAAAATTTATTTCAAACTCCATTGCCTAGTTTGATGGCATATTTGGTTAAAACCTTTAAGGTAAAGGATATTAAACATATACATCATGTTGGTTCTCATTCACCTTCAAGATGAAATATGTCCTGTTGAGTTTTAAGGCTGGGAAGGAAACAGTTTTCATAACATTAATAGGAAGCGAGAAAAAAAATTACAATTTGTGTGTTAAATTACAAGTGTGTTTAATTGTCTTAACGTGTAGAATCAGAAAATCTTTTTAAAATCAGGAAATATTGTTAGAAAGCAAACTGCTTATCTGTGTTAGTTTAGGTAAAACTAAGAAATGTTTCTAAAAGTAAAGTGTGTTAAATAACTTTAGATTGCTTTTAATAAAAGAGTCGATCTTTATTGATCATTTCCTATGGATTTGGAACAAGGAATTTACAAAAAAGAGACAAACAAAACTCACTAAGAATAAGCTCAGGCAGTCTAACAACTTTCAGCCAGTAAGAGACATCATACCTTCATTCAGTTTTGTCAACAAGTGTTTTTTTAGTATCTACTAATGTGTACAGCATTACAAAAATCTGGGCCAGGTGCGGTGGCTCACGCCTGTAATCCCAGCGCTTTGGGAGGCCGAGGTCGGCAGATCACGAGGTCAAGAGATCGAGACCATCCTGGCCAACATGGTGAAACCCCGCCTCTACTAAAAAATACAAAATTAGCTGGGCGTGGTGGCAGGTGCCTGTAGTCCCAGCTACTCGGGAGGCTGAGGCAGGAGAATTGCTTGAACCCGGGAGGCAGAGGTTGCAGTGAGCCAAGACTGTGCCACTGCACCCCAGCATGGCGACAAAGCGAGACTCCGTCTCAAAACAAACAAACAAAAAAATTACAAAAATCACTTGATGAAAAGACACAAGTCAAATTAATGTAAGAATTGTTAAATACAATAATATAACAGAAAATACAGCTTCTGCTAATCATAGCTAACAATTAAGAAGGAGAGATAGGCTTATACTAACACAGATCAGATTGAGTCAGAAATCAAGTGCCAAGTTAATAGTAAACACTGAAGTTTATTTCCTTGCCATTCATTAAACAACTATTTATTGTCACCTTTGCACCAGGCACTCTTTATACTCAGAGATATAAACAGCAGTCTTAAAGCACACATGATGCCTGCCCTCAGTGGAGCTGACAACTTCGCTAAACTGATTTGCTAGACAGGGTTTTTGTTTGATGGCTTTTAATGTTTTTATGATAATATAATTTTCTTTGAAAGATTAAGACTTTCAAATATTTCAAGTTTCTACACATATGTGGGTAAAATTCTGAGTGCGACTTAAATTTTCCGAACTTACGGGAGTGTGAACTCCATATTTTGAAACACTAGGAAGAAAATGGAGAGTAGGCTGGGCACAGTGGCTCACACCTGTAATCCCAGCACTTTTGGAGTCTGAAGGGGGCAGATCACGAGGTCAGGAGATGGAGACCATCCTGGCTAACACAGTGAAACCCTGTCTCTACTAAAAATACAAAATATTAGCCAGGCGTGGTGGCACGTGCCGGTAGTCCCAGCTACTCTGGAGGCTGAGGCAGAAGAATCGTTTGAACCCGGGAGGCAGAGGTTGCAGTGAGCCGAGATCCTGCCACTCTGTACTCCAGCTTAAGTGACAGAGCAAGACTCTGTCTCAAAAAAAAAAAAAAAAAAAGTTAAACACACACCACCGTATGATCCAGACCTTCTACTTCTAGCCCTTCTATTTACTTCAAAGAAATGAAAGCTTATATTCATACAAAGACTTCTAAAAAAATACGTTAATGGCCACTTTATTTACAACAGTAAAAATGTGGAAAGAACCACAATGTTCATCATTTCAAAAAACAAAAAAAAAAAAAAAGGAAAATGGAGAGTAAAGTTGATAAAAAGCAGTGAAAGCTGCCTGCAAACTTTGGGTTTCTAAATTAGCTATGAGAAGGGAGATCTGCAATTATAAGCAACTCTCTGGGACCCACTTGCTTTGGGTGGCTGAAATAAGGGCTCATGAGCACTTGTACTCACATCTGAAAATCTGTAAAGCCTCTTATTGAGGCCAGTACTAGCCACAGCAATCAGCCTGATACTTCAAGCGTAATGGATCAGATTAACTTATAAAATTACATTGAGAAGTGTTCAGAACAGAAGCTTAAAGTATAAACAGGGTCATGCTGTTTTGGCATGTTTAAATATGTTTCTGTGTCTTAATGCTAATATTATGGCTAGAGAAAAAAGAATGTCCTCTGGAAGAAGGGGATAGTGGGCATAAATATGGAAATTTGATTAAAAAAGGGAAGATAAGACATTATCTTGGTTATCCCTCTAGCTGCATAGAAATTTCAAGTGGTGTCTACTGATGCAATGAATGGAAGGAAAGATGCTTCCAACACTTATTATGATAATCCTGGCTTATGGACTAAGCTTCTCCAGTCTCAATGGCCAACATGTTCCTATTTTTGGACTTAGATACATCTAATAAATTAAACTGGATCCAATAGTTTCTCTTTGGTCGAAATGAGTTTTTATGAAATCAGATAAAGAAAAAAAGGAAAACAAAGAGTAACAATTGCAGAAATAAAAGTAAAAAGGTTAAAGGAAAGTTGGGCTAATTTTGCATTCACAGTATGAGTTTCCACTAAATTATGTGAATTCTTATCAAAAATTTTAACAGTTGACACTATTAATACAACTATTATTAATATAGCTAATCTTTATTTTAAATTATTTGAACAGTCAATTTTAGTATTTATATGCATTATTGTAGGTGTGCACTCATATCACTTTTTGTTTTTATTGTTTTCACTTTGTTTACGGTTTTAATTTTCCTAAGGTTTAATTTGTGAAATGATTCTTAGGCTTGAATATAATAAAGCATATTAAAATTTCTTTGAAACCTGAAACCTGACAATGCTAATTTCAATGCTATATTTCTGATTTACAAAGAGATATCCCTATTCTCTCTCATTACAATAGTCTTTTAAAATAAATTTCTTAATGATCCTAACCAATATCTTCTTTTAATTTCCCATTTAAATTTCTGCTCAGTTTCACACAAGGGTCTCTTTCAATACTCATCCAATCCCGGTTTCTTTCTGCCATTAATAGGTGTAAAATCGATTTTTTTTTCTTTTTTAAGAGGCGGAGTCTCACTCTGTTGCCCAGGCTGGAGCACAGTGGTACGATCTTTGCTCACTGCTTCCTGGGTTCAAGCAATTCTCCTGCCTCGGCCACCTGAGTAGCTGGGATTACAGGCATGCACCACCAAGTCCAGCTAATTTTTGTATTTTTTTTAAAAAAACAGATTGTTTTCTTTAAGGTATTATTTTGCCTTTGTTTGAGTCACATATCAGGCATAAGTGCTAAATTCTCAGGCTAATTTGCAATATTTCCTCACATTTGACTGAAAATATATATAAATGTCCCTACATAGTGTTTATATCTTCTTAATCACTGATGATATCAATGAGTAGTTCATAGAAAATTTATCTAAATTAGGGACTGCTTATTATTATATCCTTTTTTTATTATGTAGTAAGCTTTTAGGCAAAGTATCAAAGCTTTTGTGAATTTTATTTTTAAATTATATATATTATATATTATATATATCGTCTTAAAAATCTTAAACATTCTAGATTCATAAAACTAGATATATGCTGCCAATTTATAATGTATTTTGACACTTAATTATTACAAATTTGCAAACTTTATGTGGCCAAAAATGTATTTCATTTTCCAAAGCAATTTAATATAATTTTATAAAATTTTATACTCATGTTTTTTCCTCCTATCCTTACACACTCACCAAATAAGTGTTTCACTTAAATATGTCAAGTGAGTCTATTGAAGAAATATATCTTCTGCACATGCTTTTTTTAAATGGAAAAACCTCTATGGTTTTCTGGATGACTAATGCTAGCAAAGCCTTGACAATACTGTTTGCTGAGTATTACTTAATTAAAATTGCTCATTTAACTAAGATGAATTCATCATATTAATTTTTAAGTAAATTTCTTTTTCTGAAAAATCCAGTCTCAAATTATCCCCTTGCCTATGACTAATATTATTTGATATGAACTAATTATGAGTAATTTTGAACCAAGAGCCACAAAGAGGCTCTTACTCATGTTTTGTATGAATAAAACTAATAAAACAGACTGCCCAGCTCTCTTGTTTTGCTCTGAGAGATTCAATATGCCCAGAAAAAATTAGAGCATCTATAAAACAGGGGCTTAAGTTCTGAGCTGCTTATATATATGTACCTTGGCTAATAATGTAAGTCTTGAGAGGCAAATATCTGCCTCCACTCATGGAAGCCAATGAGACAAGACATTTCATCTCCAAGTCTATCAGGTAATATGCTTTCATCCGCAAGTGGCAGAATCTCTACCTCACCCTGGATTAAAAGATAAATAACTGCATTATCTCAAATAGCACAAAGCTCAGAGATAAGGAAGAGTTTCAGAGTTACACATTTAAATAGCTCAGTGATGTCATTCAAGATCCAGGTTATTTTTAAACTCTCTTATCTTCATTCCTCAAAGTTGGCTACTTTTTCAGATTGTTAGCTGCAGCAATCTGGACAGCACAATTCCCAGAGGAATAAGAGATGCTTTGCCTGCTCCCTTAGGAGTGAGGAAACATTTTCATAAGCTCACAAGCACACTTCCAGGTCTTTTAGGTCACCTGAACTTTGCTGAACCAACTAGACCCAATTTTTAATGAGTTGCATGTCTGTGGAGAAAATGGGATATCTGATCAAATCTGTGGTTCCTTTGCAAAGAAATAAGATAACGATCAAGGTGTTCTTTATACCTTGCTGTCTGGCAGCTAGGACGTAGGCACTCCATGAAGACCTAAATTCTATTATTAGCCATAATAAATGAAGTTGAGATGACAATAATTCATAAATTCAAATATTTCAGATTATAGAAATGCTGTAATACTTTCAACGTGTGATCCACCTACCCACATAATATTTGTACTCCCTCCCCAGGAGGGTCAAAAATACATTACCTTTATAAAGACTTTAAGAATTATATTGGTGACAGGGTCACTCTAACCTTTGAGAAATGTTCTGATGGATATTATGGCTAATTTTGGATTATTGGTTAGAGATTCTAGATTGAAATGGCTCTTGATTTTCATAGAGATGACAGATACCTTGGGTATGTAGTAGGAAAAGATCCTAAACAGTAAGTGAAGTGGCATGCTTACACATAAACAAGATTAGTAGTAGTATTCCAAGTGATCTTGTATATAGTGGCCTTTGGCAGTGGTTAAAAGATTATAGGATCTTTAGAGCCAAAATGATAGCTCACTAAAGTCATGTTTAATTTTTATTTATTTATTTATTTATTTTTGTTCTTGAGAAGGTGTTTTGTTGTTTTTTTTTTCTTTAAGTTCTGGGATACATGTGCAGAACGTGCAGGTTTGTTACATAGGTATACATGTGCCATGGTGGTTTGCTGCACCTATCAACCCATCATCTAGGTTTTAAGCCCTGCATGCCATTTATCTAAATTTAAAACTTCAACTCTGGTGAGTGGATACTTAATTTGAATCACTGTTACCTTTCTCAGTTCTTTGCAGTTCCTATAGACCTTGCATTGAGAGGATGTTACCAAAATGCTAGGAGTTTGGTCTAGTTCTTGACTGCTGCTTGCTACACAGAAAGCAAATCACTGAGATGAGTATTGCTAGGGGAGAAGGCTTTATTCAGGTGCTGCAGCTGAGGATAATGGAAGATCATTCGCAAATTCATCTCTCTGACTGACTAAAATTGGGAATTTATATATTGGGGAAGGAATGTAACTACATGTGGGTAAACAGGAATTAGGGAGGGGTAAGGAAACCATGAAGGATGAGGGGTCTGGCTTCTCACTGTCTGGGTGTGGTGATATGTTGAGTTTCAGTTCTGTGATACTATCTGGGAGGCCTGAGGGTTGGTTTCCTGAGGCAGGAGCTCAGATAAGACAAATGTAAGTCTCAAGCTTTATAACTTGGAGGGTCCATTTCTAAACTTACTTTAAAAGGCGGTACACATCAGTTCTATGGGACAATTGGGCTGATTTCAGGGACATTGAGTACCTTCTGTGGACCTCATCATTGCAGCACTGAGATCCCCTCTAATCCTTTTTTGTTTGTTTCTCTGTGCATCTCCTCCATCTTTGGTGTGCTTTACTTCTGATTCTTCTTTGCAGAACTGCCTTTAGGCTACTGGAACATCTTTGTCCACATGAGCAGAGAACCGAAGTTCCTGAATGTTTATATTCCCTCGAGAAGCCATTAGCAAATGACTAATGTTTGAGGGAGAATGTAAAACCCCAGCTTCATAATCTCTACTAAGAACATTTTGAGGTGTAATATACAATCTAAAGATTCCCTGTTGGAATAAGCTGAAACTACCTAAAATTTACACATTTGTTCAGTTTCTTCCTCTTTCTTGCTTCCTCCAGTTCTTGAATCTTGGGAATACTTCCTTAATAAATCACTTGTACATTATTCTTTGTCATTAGGCGTGCTTCTGAAGAACCTAACTCTTGAAGAATTACATTATAATAATATCATAAATACTTTGCCAATTTCTCCTAGCCTTCCACTTTAGGACTTATGGTCCTTTACCAGGGCAAATTTATACGTGAGAAATAAAAATGTCAGGATTTTAAGGGACTCTTTTGAACCAACTTTGAACTAACACCAACTTATATAGACTGAAAACATCAATTCACTTTGCCAGTGAGTGTAGGCTTATAAGGGTCCTGTTATAACTTGAATTGTTTTCTAAACGAGCTTCATGGTAGAACCACAGTGATTGCAAAACCCATTCTACATTCATTTCACCACTAGTTGATTGTGTGTTTTATAAACAGGCTTGATGAATAGCAAGATCCCACATTAGTTCTCTGACTTGGAATATCGGCTTTTCCATTGCATTGGAGCAAGTGTTTGTTTCTGAAATCATCTTCATAAACTCTGATAATTAACAAAAAAGGAATCCAGCATGCTTAGAAGAATCAAGGGAATTAGGTCAAAGAATTGAAGAAAAAATCAGAAATTGAGATGCTTATTGTATCTCCATTCTTGAACTCAGATTAACTAATGAAGAAGGTAGATGTCTCCCAGAAAATGACAATAGATTATCATAAATGAACTTAATATGTGGCTATTCTGACACAGGATATTTTCTTGACCCCGTCATGGGATCTGTTTTATTCATTTATTCAGCCCACTGTGCTCAACCCCTCGTGGGAGGGAACACTTAGGCAAGTGAGTAAGGTAACCAGTCAGCCACTTCGTTGCCAGCAGAAGCAAATTCTGTTTACTTGGGCCCACCGCACCCCACCCCTCATGGGAGGGAGCACATAGGCAAGCAAGTGCAGGAACCGACTGGCTGCTTTGGCACCGGCAGGACCAAAGTCCATGCAGGCCCTGCGGCAGAGTCCAGGTGGAGGTGCCTGCGACCCCAAGGCCCAAGAGGGCATGTTACAATGCTCTCTTAGCTCCTCTGTCTGTGGACAGCAGTGTGTTATCAGCTCAGTGGGCCCTTTGCCTCTTTGCATGGGGCGACTGCCCTCTGCCAGTGAGGGCAAAGGGTCAGTGTGACAGCCTTTTTGGGTACCTGCATTTGGTGGGTCCCAAATTCTTGTCTCGTGCCCAAGAAGAATGAGGTCACACGGACAAATTGAAGGATGGTGAATGCAGAGAATATTATTGAGTGATGAAAGTGGCTGTCAGTGGAGAAAGGAGCTGGAAAGTGGATGGGAAGGGCAAATGGCTCTCTCCTGAAGTCAAATCGTCTCTCTGCCTCTCTCTCCTCCAAAATCAAGTTGCCTCTCTCTGATGCCCAGCCATCACCTCTGAAGTCAGGTCACCTCTCCCCAACATCCAGCCACTTCTCCCCTCTACCAGATGAGTCTGGGGTCTTTATAGGCACAGGATGGGGGATGGGGTGGGCCATAGGTAGTTTTGGAAAAGGCAGCATTCGATTGGTAAAAAGATATTATTCGGAAAGAACCAATCAGGAGACAGTGGGCAAACCAGGATAAAAGTTCTCACTTTGGGCCATGGGTTTCAGACTTTTTGGTTTGAAGGTGGGGTTTTGCCAGGGACCTACCCCTGTCTGCCTAGAGTTTCTCTGCCTCCTGCCTCTATCACCTCCACATGGGGCTTCCTTACTGGAGTCAATCTGTGTAGTTCCTGACATCTTGTCACAGGTATTGATTTAAAAACAAACAAACAAAATTAGCTGTAAAAGCAAAAACAAAAAATAGAGGCTGTTTGCCATCACCTACAAAGAACAGACATCTTGCATTATGGCTATAGAATCTAAACTCAAATTTAATCTTGAGCATTTCATTATCACACAGTTCAGCTACATTATGACATCATACTGATAGAACTGAAATAGTAGAAATCTCACGCACTTTTGTAAGGCACATGCTGGCCAGGGTGAGAGACAAAGAGACATTAAACCCAGTGAAAAAAAATCCTAATGCTTCTGAGTCCAGTTGTCTGGACCAAGTTAAAATATTCCTTCCAAAGTAGGGCACAGATTACACCTTCTAATGCTAAGGAGAAAGCACAATAATACTTAGGAATTCTTTGATTTTGAATTCAACAACATTTGAGGGTACTACTTGATCTATGCTGCGTTAATATAAAGGACGCTTTGAGTTAAATCTATCCAAGCAGATGCACTACAAGCGGACCTTTCCTTTCGGCATTATGTCCAAGCAGATTCAATATTACCTAAAATAACCATGTTAGATGTATGGAAACTGTGTCAAGGCTTCATAAGCAAATCATACACTTTTCTAAAAAGGCATATATATGTGTGTGTGTACATATATATATGAATATATAGTATATATATATATATATATATGAATATATAGTGTATATATACACACATATAATCATGAAGTGGGCTCAGCCTTTCTATGTGAAACCATGGTGGATTTTGCTCCCCTGACAACAGAACAGTAGGTGACCACGTAAATGAGGTAAATGGTACTACCAAATATAAACTAAATATTTGTTTCTGATTTGCTGAAATCAGTTATTTAGTCAGGAGTGCTCCAGTATCTAGTAATATGAGCAGGATGATTCAAACTCTGGGAATGCTTACTCCTGCCTCATTGGCATCCCTCCTTAGCCTATGCTTCTGGTTTTATGTGGAGTTTTCTATAATCAATGAACTGAGGAAAATATTTGAGCTTAGATTATATACGGTTCTGCATCATTTGCTGACCTATGTCAAAGATTGATGATCATGTTATGTTAGAGATTGCCCAGAAGGATGCTATCAAAAGGTGAAATCTTTCCAGTGGACAAAATTGCAAATGGCCCATTTAGTAGTTCACTTTGCTTGTAAGAAAAGATGGCCTGAAGTAAGTATAAACAGCAATTTACAGCAGAGGCTTTTGGTGATAAGGGACTTAAAAGAGATACTACTGCATTGTCTTACAGGATGCTGGGTAAGATCTAAATCAGTGCATAATATATCATTATTTCTAGCCAGCATTTATGAGATAAGTATTAAACGGCAAGAGATGGTGGCTTTCAGATTAAAACCAGTGACTCACTCAGTTTTACTTTAGATCTTCATATGTCTGGGCTCTCATTTGAGAATCCTAAAATGAATGTTTCCACTGTGGAATATAATAACGTTCCTTTTAAGTTGTAAATGATTGACAACTGACAATTTCAGCCTCTTAATATCATTGGGTAATCAGGCATAATAAAAAAAAATAATAGGGAGAGAAAAGAGAAAAAATGAAAAAAAAAAAACTAAAGATGGACGGGGGAAAAGTTAAAGTGTTAGTTGGAATAACTGATCCAAATTATGAAGAAGAAATAAGATTGCTGATCTATAACAGAGGCAAAAAGAAGTGTGTATGAAACTTGGATGATTTCCTCGAGTGATTCCTCATACTACACTGTCTGAGGTAAGGGATAATGGAAAACTCCTGTGACTATATGAAAGAAAAGCACTGAAGGCTTATACCACTCAGAAATAAATATGTACATGAGAAGGAGGATATTTCCCTGACCCCTTAATGGATGGGAACTGGAGTGCATGGGCGCCCGCAGGGACAAACTCCACTAACTTACTGGTCCACCCCTCGTGGGAGGGTGAGCACAGGTGAGTGGGTACAGGAGCCGGGGTGAGTGCTCTTGGGCACTGGCAAGAGCAAGCTCTGTACTGCCCCTGTAGCAGCATCTAGGGGAGGGTGCCTGCAACCCCTGAAGCCCCAGAGGAAGTGTTACAGTGCCCTTTTAGCTTTGCAATCCACGGACAGCTTAAGTGTTCACAGCTCAGTGGAGGGTCAGTGTGACAGTCTTTTGCACCCATACTTGTGGCTCCTGAGTTCTTGACCAGCGTCCAGGAGGAATGAGTTCGCACAAATGAATTGAAGGTGGTAAATGCGGGGGATTTTATTGCTGTTGAAAGTGGCTGTCAGTGGGAAGGGGAGTTGAAAAGGGGATGGACCCATAAGGTAATCTTCCCCTGGAGTCCAGCCATCCCTGGCCGACGCCTCTCCAAAGCTACACCATCAAGCTGTCCCTCTGAAGTAAAGCTGCTTCTCTCTGATGTCCAGCCACAGTCTCCGACGTCCAGGTGTTTCTCCTCTCTGCCAGCAGAACTTGGGGTTTTTATGGGCACAGGATTGGGGGTGGGGGCAGGATGTGGCTGGTTTTGGAAAAGGCAACATTCAAGCGGGAAAACAGAGATATACATTTCTCACTTTGGGCCATGGTGGCAGGATTTTTGGCTTGAGAGTGGGGCTTTCACCAGGGACCTGCCCTCTTGTGCCCAGAATTTCCCTGCCTTCTGTCCCTGTCACATGGACCTAATTAACTCTTAATCAGCTCAGGAGGTGGCTGAAAAAATGGGAACATAGAATGAGTAAAGAGAAACATTGTAAATACCTACAATCTGGAGAAAAACGAGAAAGATAATGTACCCTCTTACTCATATTTCCTACCTTGCTTGTTGTGTCACTTATACATAGACAGATACTAAATAACTGCCCTTCTTTTCTGTTCTTTCATCCTTCCTACTATAAGTGGAATGCATAATGGTGGACTTTAGATTACTGATACAAGATTATTACCTAATACTGAGGCATCACCTAGAGATTGTGACTTGTTACTATTTTGATTAACCAAGCATGGCCTATTGATTTGGAAATTTAGATAAGAAAGAAGCAAGAATTTGGATTCTGGCAATTCTGTAGTAGGCACATATCATTATTTTTGGTATTGAACATCTGAACAGCTTTTTTTTTTCTTTTTTTAGAGCAGGGTAGGCTGAGGGCCCTGTTTTCCACTACAGAAGCCATCATGGTGGATATTTCCACTTTTTTCCTGAAAGAGCCATGAGACAAGCACATGACATAGGCTGCACAATTAGGCTGTCCTGATCTGACATTCTGAAACTTGAAGGCATAACAAAAAGGACACTGTTTATCCAGTCACCGTGATGCTAGCAGAGGCATCCTAATCAGACTTTACATGTGTCCTAAGTTTGGCTGAATACCCAGCTGCATATCTTACTACATGTGTGTTATTTTGACAGTCTGATTCTTTGGCCTTCTTCTCAGCTTTGTGAGCTTTCTGATGTTCTTCCAACAGTTATTTTTCTGTTTCTGATTGATAGTTTGACAATGTTTCTTACAATGTTAATCTTCATCGGTACAGCAAGTAACCTATCTTGTATAGGTCAGTTTTTGTTTCTAAAATGAATAGCGTAAAGTAGATATTTTAAGATTTCTTCAAATTTAAATTTATTTGTTAAAAGTTACCTAATAGATAAAAAGACATGTTTTGGAAGTTTCTTTAATAAATGAACTTGACTATTCCAATTTCTCTTTAATTTTATCTCCATAAAAATAGCTTGATGGATTTTAAAAAGTTAATCTCATAATTAAGAAATACTGTACTATATTCTAAATATTCAATTTTTAAATTATTAACTTAAATTATTAGGAGAATGCCACACATGCCTGTTGTGCAACCTACTGTTTGCATAGCTGTGCATTCAATGTCAAGTTTTTTCAAAATTCTATAAGGAAAGTGATCTTTAAAACATTGTTTTTCCAAAAAAAAAATTACATTTTCATATTTCCATTCTTGGTAGTTATTTTATTAACCTGTTTATATATTACCAAGATTTTGAGGTGTCCCTTTTGAAGCTGGTAGTATGTGACTCATGCTTCTTGAGAGATATCATGAAATATTCAGAAGCCTCTATTCTGAAAAGTATTTGATATGCACCTTCTTGCTTCAGTTAGAGAGAAGAGAGTAAACACACACAAAAAAAGACAGTCATTTGTAATATCCTATCATAAATAACTCCTGTAATGGAAAAAAAAATGTTTTGCACAAGTGGAACAAGGTAATTGCTTCTGATCTTAATTTTTCTTTTGAATTGCCTTGAGTATTTTTTAAGTTACTGCTTACATGTTTAATAAGTGAAAAGTTTTTTAATTTTGCTTTAAAAAGTATTGACTGTCATGATTTCTTTTATACTAGAGTGATTAAATATGATGATAAGAAGTTGGTGGAATAAATATATATATCAGTAAAATATCATTGCTAAATCCAAGTAGATTTGTTTAGAAATATCAATTAAAATAGATATAGGCTTCTGTCTTTTTAAAATACAAAAGGGTGAATCCAAGGACTTAACAAATAGGAACAAAACAAAGCCAGGCACAGTGGCTCACACCAATACTCCCAGCAATTTGGAAGGCTGAGGTGGGTGGAACATTTGAGATCAGGAATTCAATACAGCCTGGCCAAAATGGTGAAACCCCATTTGTACTGAAAATACAAAAAACTTAGCCAAGTGTGGTGGTGGGCACCTGTAATCCCAGCTACTTGGGAGGCTGAGGCAGGAGAATCACTTGAAACCAGGAGATGGAGGCTGCGGTGAGCTGAGATCCCACCACTGCACTCCAGCCTGGGCAACCAGAGTGAGACTCTGTCTCAAAAACAAATAAATAAAAACAAATATGAGCAAAACAAAACAACAAAAAGCCTCCATTAGATAATTCTGTTAAATAAATAGAACATCCACAAGTAATAGCTCTTTGTTTTTAATTCTAATCTGATGAAAATATGATTGTAGAGCCTAATATAATTTTAATTGTAAAAAACCACAAACAAAAGCCTATAGGGAAAAGAAGAGAGTTGTGGTCCTGAAGTTTTATCAATGCCTTGGCCATGTAAACTAGAAGAATTTGAAGATGGATTAAACCTTTATTTATTTTTTTATTTATTTAGAGATGGAGTCTCGCTCTATCGCCCAGGCTGGAATGCAGTGGCTTGATCTCGGCTCACTGCAAGCTCCGCCTCCCGGGTTCACGCCATTCTCCTGCCTGAGCCTACCATGTAGCTGGGACTACAGGCGCCCATCACCACTATGCCTCGCTAAGTTTTTGTATTTTTTGTACCGACAGTGTTTCACTTTGTTAGCCAGGATGGTCTCGATCTCCTGACCTTGTGATCCACCCGCCTCGGCCTCCCAAAGTGCTGGGATTACAGCCGTGAGCCAACATGCCCAGCCAAACCATTTTTTTAAGAATAAAATTTGCCTTGAATATATTTACAGGTATATGTCTGCATATATATATGTATATATTTTATGTGTGTGTGTATAACCAAATAAATGACTGGTTTAAAAAATCAGTATGTATAAGTAGAAATGCATGGGTTTTAGACATTTTGTTTTAAGCAATAAAAATAACATTATACTTTGGACTGAACAATTTAATTTTATTTATCAAATAGAAAATATAAAAAGCCCTGAACTATTACTCATTTTAATTATATAATTATCCCTTTTTCCACAGAAACCTACTTGGGACTTCTGTATATTAACATAATTATTTTTTGGTAAATCTTTCATTAAATAAACATTGTTCGTAGGAGAAAATGAGAGTTAAGATTTTTAACTAAAGAACACAAATTTTTATCAATTCCAAGTAATCCAATTTTTTCTTGCATTTTACAGATTTGATATAGTCTTCTACGGAAACAGAATCAAAATTTTATTCCTAGGTAATAACATTTAAATATATATATGTGTAATATTATGTAATATAAGCATATAAATATGAATATAGAGTAAACATATCAAGGATATATGTGCATTTGTAATTAATATATAAAAAAGTATAATAAAGTTCTGATAACCTCTCTCCTCCTCACACATGCACACATATACATGCACACTCACAAGGAACATGCTGAATAAAGATTGCCTCTGCTCTTACAAGATAACAATTACGGCTGCAAAATAGAGTTGTCATCATGATGCTAAAGTATACGATTTTCATTCAGTTATGAAATCGCATTTTATTTTTACATACACCTGCTTCTGTTCTGTATTGTATTATTCATTTGAACTTTACTCCTTCTAGAATTGATCTTTGTGCTTTACTGAAGATTTTCAGCTCTCAAAAAAAGAAATAGTGGGTCAAACACTTTTTCTTTTGCTGCAAGACAAAAAGAGGCACATGTGATCCTGAGAAAATTCTTTTGGTTATGCATATGGTTTCTCCTATTTAATATCGAAATCTCTTTTATTCACAAATCTACTAAAGGAAGGAAGCTTTTCTCCTCCCCAATCTCAGGAGTTTCACGTTTATCTTTAGAGTCATGTAGAGCTTCTTCCCAAGAACCTCAGATTTAGAATGATTAAATATTTCAGATCATCTAATCACTTAAGCCCTATACATACACTTTAAATATGCCTCATTAAAAAAATCCAGATATAAAATTTGCGACTTGTATAAGTGAATTTAGAACACTTGTCCACAGAGTCTGGAAAGGTTTTGTTGGAAATAGCCAGAGCATTAGTGTGTTTTCTATTGTTTGCTGTTCTTAACACAGTATTAGAAAATAAGACATTAGCCTATTCAAGAATCAGTTTTCAAGCAGAAAGAGAATGAAATATACACAGTACAGAAATGAAAAAACTTTGTTTTTTTAAATATGAGGCAAATTAGAATTCTACTAAATTTCTGGGAAACATAATTGACAAATACACCAAACTCTAGCCTACACTATAAACTTGTAGACAAAGTCTCACTGTTGCCCAGTCTGGAGTGCAGTGGTACAATCATAGATCACTGTAACCTTGAACTTCTGGGCTCAAGCAATCTTCTTGCCTCATCCTCCTGAGTAGCTGGGATTGCACATGCATGCCACCATGCCCGACTAATTTTCAATTTTTTGTAGCAGCGTCTTGCTATGTTACCTAGGCTGGTCTCAAACTCCTGGCCTCAAGTGATCCTCCCACCTTGGCCTCCCAAACTCTTGGGATTACAGGTGTGAGTCATCATGCCCAGCCACACTTGTCATATACTGAAGTGGCCTGCAAAACTGCATCACTCCAGGAGGGTAAACTTTCCAAAGCCTGTTGAACATATGGCCATGAAAGCTAAAAGTAAATATTTCCTTATAGAAATCAGACTCAGAATCTAATCAGACTTTCCCATATCAGGGATTTTTTTTATAATACCTGTCTCATATGTTGTCATCTTGGTATGCACCATGTTATGGAAACACCAGTGGTTCAGTTTAGGTCCTGCTACTTGCCACACAGAAAACCAATAACTGAGATGATGAGTATTGCCAAGGAAGAAGGCTTTAATCCTGTGCTGCAGTCAATGAGATGGGAGATCAGTCTCAAATTCGTCTCCCTTATTGACTAACGTTAGCAGTTCATATAGCAGGGAAGAAATGTAACAACGTGTTGGAAAACAGGAACTCAGAAGGGGTAAGAAAACAAAACGAAGGGCCAGGTGCGGTGGCTCACGCCTGTAATCCCAGCACTTTGGGAGGCCGAGGCGGGCAGATCACGAGGTCGGATCGAGACCATCCTGGCTAACATGGTGAAACCCCATCTCTACTAAAAATACAAAAAAATTAGCCAGGTATGGTGGCAGGTGCCTGTAGTCCCAGCTACTTGGGAGGCTGAGGGCAGGAGAATGGCGTGAACCTGGGAGGCGGAGCTTCCAGTGAGCCAGGATCGCGCCACTGCACTCCAGCCTGGGTGACAGAGCAAGACAAAAGAAAGAAAGAAAGAAAAAGGGAGGAAGGAAGGAAAGAAAGAGAAAAAACAAAATGAGGGATCTGGCATCTCATTGTCTGTATGTGATGATGTGGTGAGTTTCAGTTCGTTGATACTTTTTGAAAGGCTTGGGAGTCCTTTCCTGAGGAAGGAACTCAGATAAAACAAATATAAGTTTCAAGCTTTAAGACCAGAAGGGTCCATTTCTTTCTTTATCCAAAAGAACTGTTTATGGAACAATTGGGTTGGTTTCAGCCATTAACTTTGTATATTTCTCACTCTTCCATTTTCCCAATGTAAGATTTTTTGTCCTTTCCTCTCACTACCTGCTGTTGGATATCGAGTTTCAAGACAGTGAAATATATCTTGCATGTTCATTTTCTATTGGTCCAGACCACAGGGAATCACATCCACATCTGAAAGAGGGCATGATGTATCCTCCACACCTTGATTTAGATTGGGATGACATTTCTAGTTTGGAATTTTTCTCTTTCTTTGGATTAGGAGTTATAAATATAGGAAGAGCATTTCAAAGGGATAACAAAAGGAGGCAACTATGGCAAAGCCTAATAAATATTCATAAAACTAAGTCATCTTCTTTATTCCAGGGTACAAAACTAAATCATATTTTGGAGAAGACTTTGAAGTTAGCTGTAAGACTGAGTTCCAGCAAAGGGATGTGGGCTATTTGTGGACCTTAGCTTTTAAATTGGCTGTGTCTTCTCCATATTATCCGTTCTCTTCTACTGGGTTGACGTATGTAAGCAAAGCCCTAGCAGATAGAGGAGCCACGAGATAGAAGGATCCTGGTCCCTCAATCACTTCATGAAGTAGAGCCATCCTCCAATCGGGAATATTTGCTTTAGACCTTTAGGTGAATAGAAAAAAACTATTTATTATCTTATACTTCCTATATATTTTTGGATGCCTTTTCTTTGTAGATTATTTTCCCTTAAAAAAGGTATGTACCATTCATCCTCACAACATACAGTTAGCGATCCCTTGAGCTATAAGAGTTAACTACTTAATTTGCTGCTTTCTTTCAATCTCCATTCCATAATACACACCGTAGTCTCATTATCTTCCTAAAATATTTTTTCTAGGTGGGTAATTACACGTGTTCATTCACTCTCCTTTGCTGATAGAATAAAATTTCTGATTCATTATCTGGGCAGTCAGAATTCCTCACAATCTGTCCTTTACTGAGTTTTATCACTTTATAAATCTCTATCCACCTACTTCAATAACATTGCTCTTTTCACTTCCTTTAAATACATAGTTCCTCATTCCCATCTCCACTCATTTGCCTACATTCTTTCATTGAATGTGTGTTATTTTTTCTTCTCTATTTTTTTAAATTGTAAGTTCCATTTAAAAGCCTTGTTTAAATCCTTCCTCATTTGTAAAGTTTTTCTCTAACAATCTCAACCCCAAATGAAATGTGCTGCCCTGACTTTAAAAATCACTAAATTCTATGCCATTTATTAAACAAAAGCAAGAACAAAGGGATGCAAGGAAATTTTGGGAGGTATTGGGTGTGTCTTTTATCGTTTTGTTTTGTTTTGTTTTGTTTTTGAGACGGAATCTCGCTCTCTCTCCCAGGCTGGAGTGCAGTGGTGCAATCTCGGCTCACTGCAACCTCCGCCTCCTGGGTTCAAGCAATTCTCCTGCCTCAGCCTCCTGAGGAGCTGGCATTACAGGTATGCGCCTCCACGCCTGGCTCATTTTTGTATTTTTGCTAGGGACAGGGTTTCGCCATGTTGGCCAGGCTGGTCTCAAACTCCTGACCTCAGGTGATCTGCCCGCCTTGGTGTCCCAAAGTGTTAGGATTACAGGCGTGAGCCACCACACCTGGCTGTCTTTCATCTTGATTGTGATGATGATAACATGGGTGTTTGCGTATGTCTAAATTATTTAAATTGTACACATTAAGTATGTGTACTTCTTTGTGTATCAATTATACCTCCAGAAACCTTTAAACAAATAATCTATCAAATATCTCTATAGTACTTTATCCTTTGTTTCTACTTGGAAAATAATGTCTAGTAAGGCAGATTTCTCTTTGTTTACTTAGCATTACACATTTTGAATAAAACTTGATACTCAGTAAATAATTTTATGTCATCTTAAATACAGGTCTGGTGTCTTAATTCACAATGTATGAAAAAATGAATATTTTATCTCCTGTTGTTTTAACCTCTATTGAACATATGTATGCATATGTGTATACTGAAGAAAATTCAACTTCCATTTAAAAAAATTTTCATTTTAATGGAATGAGATGGGTCCCAGACTATTCCATTAAATTGAAGGCTCCATTAAATTGAACTTAACATCTTTGAAGTCTGAAGTCTTTAGTTAATAAAATATAACATTTATTTCAAAAATCAGATACCATATTTCTTTCCTTCAATCATTTTATTCAATAAGAAAATATCCATTGTATGCATATACGTTGTTCTTGGATAAAAAAACACACCTATCCTTCATGTTTTGCATAAAATTTTAGTGAAAATAGTCATGGGAAAAAAAAGCAAACTTAAGATATGTTAGTGAGTTAGAATTAATAAGTTGAGAGGTCCGATTAGTTGTAGTAGGAAAGGGAAAAGAAAGAGTCAAGGATGACCCAAAGGTTTTGGTGTGACTGCCTGGGTTGGTGAAGGTACCATTCACCAGAACGTGAAATATAAGGAAAAGAGTAGATTTTTCATCAGTTTCAGGTGCTCTTTTATTCTATAAATATTTATCAAACATCTACTTATGCTGAAAAGCTTTATAACAACTGGAAATTCAAGAACAAATATAGTCCCTGTGGAGTTTCCATTCTAGTAGGAAAGATGGGAAGTAAGCAAATAAATGGTAGCTATGAGACCTGTGTGTGTGAGGAGGGTTAACTTAGCAAATAAATATGTCCCAGTAAGATTAAGCTTCAGGTCTTCCTGAGTTTCATTCTTGCAAGAATTTTCAAAATGTTCTATTGTGTGGAGGGGAAGAAATAGGGTACAGTGAGGTGTTTAATTTGGTTAGGAATTGTCTCTAAGAGTTGATAAAGATGGAAGAGCGCCTCACATAAGTGAGGAGCTAATTAAGTGAAGACTTAGGAGAGCATTTGAGGATTAGGAAAAAACAAATAGAGAGTTCCTGGAGGATTAACAGTTTTATTGTGTTGAAGAAAAGCATAAAACCGGAACTGGTACTAATCAAGGGATGATTACTAAAAAATTACATTTTAGACTGGTTAAAGTCCAAATTATGTAGGCCTTTGCGGGCTGTGCTTAAGAATTTAAATTTTAAGCTGGGTACGGTGGCTCACGCCTGTAATCCCAGCACTTTGGGAGGCTGAGGTGGGCGGATCACGAGGTCAGGAGTTTGAAACCAGCCTGGCCAACAGGGTGAAACCCCGCCTCTACCAAAAATACAAAAATTACCTGGGCGTGTACTAAAAATACCAAAAGTAGCCAGGCATGGTAGCAGGTACCTGTAATCCCAGCTACCCAGGAGGCTGAGGCAGGAGAATCCCTTGAACCCAGGAGGCAGAGGTTGCAGTGAGCCGAGATCGCGCCACTGCACTCCAGCCTGGGAGACAAGAGCAAGACTTCGTCTCAAAAAAAAAAAATTTAAATTTTAATAAAAATTTGATGAGAAACTTTTGGATAATTTTGATTAGAGAAATAATGTATTAAAATTTAGATGTTTTATAAAAGAATGCTTTTTTCATTTAGGTTCAGTCATGTTGTCACATATTGCAGTATTTCCTTCTTTTTAAGGTCAAATAGTATTCCATTGCATGTATACACATTTTATTAATCCATTTATATATTAAAGGACATTTAAATTGTTTCCACATTTTGGTGATCGTGAATAATGCTGTAATGAATATGGGAGTGTTAATATCTCTTTGAGATCCTGATTTCAATTCTTTTGGATGAATAGCCAGAAGTGGAATTGCTAAATCATACGTTAGCTCTAATTTTATTTTTTTTGTCGAACCTCTATATGGTTTTCCATAATGGCTGTACCATTTTGCATTCCCACCAACAGTGTACAAAAGCTCCAATTTCTCCATAACTTCACCAACACTTGCTGTCTTTTGTTTTTTATAATAGACATCCTAACGGGTGAAATGAATCTCATCGGGGCTTTGATTTGCATTTCCCAATAACTAGTAACATTGAGAATATTTTCATATACCTGTTGACCATTTGTATGTCTTCTTTGGAGAAATGACATTATTGTGAGTAAAATAAGTCATTCACAGAAAGACAAATACTGCATTATTTTACTTTTATGAGGTATCTAAAATAGTCAAACTCATGGAAGCAAGAAATAGAATTTTGGGGCCAGGGCTGGTGGGAGAGGAAAATGGGGAGTTGCTATCCAATAGGTATAAAGTTTCAGTTACGTCAGATGAATAACTTCTAGAAATTTGCTGTATAACATTGTGCCTACAGTTATCAATACTGTATTGTACACTTAGCAATATGTTAAAAAGATAAATCTCATGTTAGGTGTTCTTACCAAAATAAAAAATATATGAAGAATTTTGGTTTCTATACAGACACAATATGTAGAGGCCATATGGTTGTCACAAAAATCATGAATGTGATATACAAAAGGGTACTTATAAACAGTCCAATGGTGCACACCTGTAGTTTCAATTATTTTGGCTGAGTCACAAGGATTGATTGAGCTCAGTAGTTTGATGCTGTAGTCTGCTATGATTGCACCTGTGAATAGCCACTGCACTCCAGCCTGGGCAATGTAGCAAGATCCCATCTCTAAAAAACAAAAACAAAAGAAAAATATAATCAAAAATATGTGTTATTTAATAATGTATTATATTTAAAATGATGTGTTTTCAGATGGTTATATAAAGTGGGGGAAAATGCAGCATGCAGCTAGCAAAAGGTACACAATTGTCTCTACCTGAGTCTAGCCAAAGGAGACATTTAATTGCAAGCAATACTGCTCTCTTGGAGTGAGGTTTTTGCCAAGCATGAAAAGTTTGTGTTGAATACTGTCAATGGAAAATTTACTCATCTCTTCTCTAACCTCCTCTAGCCTGACTCTTTTTGTGCTCATTTGCTAACATGTATAAATAATTAATATAAATGTTTCCCATCAAAAACTATATTTACATTTGGGTTAATCTTTGTTATGGGCTGAATTGTATCTCCCCAAAATTCACATGTTGAAGCCTAATCTCTAACGTGATACTACTTGGAGATGGGGCCTTTGGCAGATAAATAAATTTCGATGAGGTTGTGAGTGTGGGACTCTTATTATGGGAAAAGCACCCTTCTAAGAAGAGGTACTAGTGTGTAAGCATTCCTCCTTCTCTGTATCCTTGCCAACATCTGTAGTTTTTTGTTTTTTTAATAGCCATTCTGACTGGTGTAAGATGATATTTCATTATGGTTTCAATTTGCATTTCTCTGATGATTAGTGATATTGAGTATTTTTTCATATGCTTATTGGACATTTATATGTCTTCTCTTGAAAAATGTATATTCGTGTCATTCACCCACTTTTTAATGAGAATATTTGTTTTTTGTTGTTGTTACTGAGTTGCTTGAGTTCCTTGTAAATTCTGGATATTCAGTCCCCTGCCAGATACATAGTTTGCAAATATCTTCCCCTATTCTTCAAGTTTTTTGTTCACTCTGTTGACTATCTCTTTTGCTGTGCAGAAGATTTTTAGTTTAATTGTCTCATTGTCTGCTTTTGTTGTTTGTGCTTTTGAGGACTAGTACAACCTCTATGGAAAACAGTATGGTGATTTCTCAAAGAACTAAAAACAGAACTACCATTTGATCCAGCAATCCTACTACTGGGTGTCTAGCCAAAGGAAAATCATATAAAAAAGATACCTGAACTTATATGCTTATTGCAACACTATTCACAACAGCAAATATATAGAATCAATCTAAGTGTCCATCAATAAATGATTGGATAAATAAAATATGGCATATATACACAATGGAATACTACTTGGCCATACAAAAGAATGAAATAATGTCTTTTGCAGTAACATAGATGGAATTGGAGGTTGTTATCTTAAGTGAAACAACTCAGAAACAGAAAGACAAATGGTGCACATTCTCATTATAAACGGGAGCTAAATAATGTGAACACATCTGCATAGAGTGTGGAATGGTAGACAATGGAGGCTCAGAAGGGTGGAGGGGAAGGGAATGAGGTGGATGATGAGAAGTTACTTAAGGGATCTAATATACATTATTTGGTTGATGGATACATTAAAAACACAGACTTCACCACTACGCAATAGTTCCATCAAACATATTGCATTTGTATTCCTTCAATTTATACAAATAAAAAAAGAAGAGACACTAGAGAGCTCTCTGTCATATAAGTACAGAGCAAGAAGGCAGCCATCTATAAGGAAGGAAGAGAGCCTTCACAAGAAACTATCTGCGTTGGCACCTTGATCTTGAACTTCTAACTTCCAGAATTGTGAGAAAACACATTTATGTTGTTTGAGCCAACCAGTCTGTTTTTTATGGCAGGCTAAGCTAAGACAGATTTTGAAAGTAGAATGGGAAGGACTAATGGATTGAATTGAATTTTGCATACCACAAAAAGCAAAGACAATTTCTAGCTCTTTGGCCTACAAAATTGAATAAACCTTGGTACAATTTAATGAAATGGTAGACACTAAATGAAGGGATAGCAAAATAAAGAGCTCTGCTTGCCACATTGAGTCCCCTCTAAACTAGGATGAATTGACCTTAAGTGGGATGATGGGGATAAAAGCCTAATTAAAGTAAATTCATAATCTTATTCTTGTTAATTTTGAGCTGTCAATAGGGGAGATATGTTAAATAGACATTCTCTGTTGATACGCAATTCTTTGTTCAGGAACTTAGAAAAATGATCTTGACTATAGATATAGAATAGAAAAACCGGCTGGGCATGGTGGCTCACGCCTGTAATGCCAGCACTTTGGGAGGCCAAGGCAGGCAGATCACGAGCTCAGGAGATCAAGACCTTCCTGGCTAACACAGTGAAACCTCCATCTCTGCTAAAAAAAAAAAATACAAAAAATTAACCAGGCATGGTAGTGCGTGCCTATAATCCCAGCTACTCAGGAGGCTGAGGCAGGTGAATCGCTTGAACCCAGGAGGCAGAGGTTGCAGTGAGCCGAGATCACACCACTGCACTCCAGCCCCGGCGACAGAGTGATTCTCTGTCTCAAAAAAAAAAAAAAAAGAAAAGAAAAAATCAGTATTACAAGGAGATGGGGATTTAAGCACTTTGTCACATTTCTCTTTCAAATTCTAATTAACTACCTTACCTTCCAAGCAGTGGATGAAATGGTTTGTAAGGTAGTGAAGGGAAGATTACATAAGGTCAATTTTCCTGTTAAAATTTCTGCATGAGAGAATAAATATAGCTAGACTAGAATTGGCTTGGAGAAGCTCATGTGCACGGGTAAGGCCTTTGATTCCACAATTTTCTGAGACAAGATGACCCCTTCAAGAAGGAATGGGACCACCCTCCCTTTCATAAGTATGTGTGTTGGTGTGTATGTATGTTTGTGTGAGTGTGTGTGCGTGTGTGTGTGTGTAGCTAGGTACATTTAGTAGCGTATAATGAATTTTTAACTATAGAGAAGCTGCCAGAGAATACAAAAGGTGATCAGTTGTCTCAATTTCCGAGGCTGGGGGAACACTATATCCAGCTCAGAAGTTAATTCCTAATGCCTCCAATGAAGAGTGGGCTAATTAATCTGAGAAGCAAAGGTTGCTGTGCTCCCACCTCTGATGTGTTGGCTCCACTGTCTGTAGTAGGTCTACCAGCATGACCTTCACCAAAAGGAATAAAGAAAACCATGAACAGGCAAAGGAAAATAACTTTACATTTCTGTAAACTCACTAATTAGAGACAGGATGTTCAAGCAGAAAGCCTAGAATTGAGGTGACGTAGCGTTTGAAAGATGGGACAAATTTTTTAAAATAATAAAAACACTTGAGATTTATTTGAGTATGAAAATACTTTATGTAGCTGAAAATATTACTTTGTGAATGCTTAACATTTTATTATAAAATAGAAAACCATAAAATATATAGGAATGTAAAATAGCAGTTTAATCAATATTATAAAGCAAATGACATACATTATCACTGCTCGGGTCGATACATAGAACATTGATATCTGTCCTCAGGAGCTCCTTATGGAACACAACTCTCTCCCTACATTGTGGGGATAGAATATTGCTGGTACTTATGGTATTAGTATTTGTTTTTCTTTATATGTTATCACGCACTTATGTTTTGTTAAGAAATATAATTTACGTAAAGAGTATATAGTTTTTGTAACCAACTTATTTTACTCAAAGTTATGTTAGAGGATTCATCATGTAGCATAGCTGATTTATTTTTATTTCTGCCCATTGAATAAATATGAAATATGCTACAAATTGTTCTTCTATTCTACTATTTATTAAAATTTGAGTTGTTCTAAACAGTAATACAAGTTGTTCTAAACCTTGCACATGTATCTTTGTACACATGGGGATAACTGGATATGATATGTTGGACTGGAGTACATTATCATAACATATGAATATATTTTACCATAATTGACAATGTCCAGTTTTCCGAAGTCCTTATAATAAGAAATTATTTTAGGCAGTTAGCAAGGGTAAAAGAGTTCTTGGTGGAATTTTCCTTTAATAAAAAGCACCCCCAAAATCATTCCTTTTCTAACAGAAAGCAGCCTGAAAAGTCAAGCTGCAAGCAAGCTGGAAGCTTGCATATGTAAATGCGGGTGGCTCTACTAGAAGCCAGGTCCCCCGAGTATGGCAATTCCTGCTCCTCTTTCTTTGTCGCCATGTGTGCAGGTGTCATGGTGACAGCCAGGTAGAAGCCACATTTGCATAATAAAAGATTAGGATGGGAGGGCCAGTCTTTTCCTGGGCTATGTAAATGGCACACCTGGTCAAACCAATCCCCTGGGCCCTGTGAAAATCAATCACCACCTCCTCAAGCCTCTCTGCAAAATCAATTGTGTTCTGCCCCAAACCCGGAAACCCTCTCTTGGGCAACCTGCTTTCTCAACATGAGGAAGCTTTCTCTCTCTTCTTCTCTGACGATTAAATTTACTGCTCCTAAACCCACTGCTCATGTGTGTCCCTGTCCTTAATTTTCTTGGCATGAGACAACGAACCCTGGCTATTTACCCCAGACAATGGAATCGTTTCACTTATAGTCACAGATCATATGTGTGCTCCTGTTGTTCCACATCTTGAACAATATTTTTTGTTGTTAGCCTTTTTTAAATCTTTTCATATGTATGTGGTATGTAATGGTATCTTATTGTGGTTTTAATTTAAATTTCCCAGATAACTAATGTGGTTGTGTATCTTTCTGTGTATTAATTAAGATTTAGGGTATCCTTTTTGGTGATGTGTACTCTATGAACGCCTAGTTGCTTCATATCTTTTTTTTTTTTTTTTTTTGAGACAGAGTCTCGCTCTGTTGTCCAGACTAGAGTGTAGTGGCACCATCTCGGCTCACTACAAGCTCCACCTCCCGGGTTCACACCATTCTCCTGCCTCAGCCTCCTGAGTAACTGTGACTACAGGCATCCACCACCAGGCCCGGCTAACTTTTTTTGTATTTTTAGTAGAGACGGGGTTTCACTGTGTGAGCCAGGATGGTCTCAATCTCCTGACCTCATGATCCACTCGTCTCAGCCTCCCAAAGTGCTGGGATTACAGGCATGAGCCACCACGCCCAGCCGTTGCTTCATATCTTTAAGGCATTTTCAGTGATTTTTGTTTTGGCCATTCCAGTGATACGTAATTCATTACATTGTGGGTTTAATTATCATTTCCCAGATGAATAATGAAGTTGGACAGTTTGACCAGTTTTTGGTTATTTGAATATCCTTTGTCAAGTTTCTGCTAAAAAAATTGCCTATTTTGTAAAAATTGAATTGTCTCCCTCTTATTTATTTGTAGGAACACTTTGTATAGAAATGGAATCTATAATGAAAAACTTTCTCACACAAAAAACTACAGGCACATATAACTTCAGGTGAAGGTAGAACTAAAATCAGACTAATGCAAACATTTTTCAGAGGAAAGAAAAAGAGAGACCATATCCCAGCTTGTTTTCTGGAGGGAGAATTACTTTGATACCAAAATATATGAGAACAACTTTACAAGAAAAAAAAATTAAAGGCTATTCTCTCATGAAAATAAGAGGCAAATGTCCTAGATAAGATATAAAACAATCAAATACAGCATTATATTTAAAAGCCATTACATTATCATTAAATTAGGTATAGTCATGGAATGCAACATTAGAATAGCATTTGCATATCAATCAACATCATTCACCACATTAATAAAATAAAGTACAAATGCCACACGATTATTACAAGAAGTGTAAGAAAACATGTTTGAATCTCTAGCAAAGTGGTAATAGAAAACTTTGCCTAGGCCAGGTGCGGTGTCTCAAACCTGTAAACCCAGCATTTTGGGAGTCCGAGGCAGGTGAATCACTTGAGGTCAGGAGTTCGAGACCAGCCTGGCCAACATGGTAAAACCCCATCTCTACTTAAAATACAAAAAAATTTAGCTGGGCGTGGTGGTGCACGCCTGTAATCCCAGCTAATCTGGAGGCTGAGGCAAGAGAATCACTTGAACCTGGGAGGTGGAGGTTGCAGTGAGCCAAGACAGTACCACTGCACTCCAGTCTGGGCAACAAGAACGAAACTCTGCCTCAAAAAAAAGAAAAGGAAAGGAAACTTTGCCTAATTGACATTTGTAGGACACTGTATCCAATACATCAAAATACACATTATTTTCACACGTATGTGGAATTTTCACCAAAATAGACCATATGCTGGACCATATAAAGAGTCTCTATAAATTTCAAAGGATTGACATAATACAGAGTACCTTCTTTGACCAAAATAGAATTGGCTTAGAATTTAATAACAATAAGATAGCTGTAAAATCCTCAGATATATAGAAATTAATCAGCTCATTTCTAAATAATGAATTGTTGGAAGAAAAATAAATAAGAGAAACTTTTTTTGAAATAAAAATGAGAGGCACAACATATGAGGATTTGTGTGATACTACTGAAGATATAGATTCATATTATATATGTGTGTGTGTATATATATACATATATAATATATAGTTTCAGGTGAAAACAGAACTAAATCAGTCTAAAAGTTTCTTAAGGTGGAAGATATATGTATACACATATACACACATAATCTGTGATCTTCCACCTTAAGAAACTTTTTCAAAGGAAGAAAAACTTAAAAAATTTAAAGTAAAAAAACTAAAGTCAAACTAAGTAAAAACAAAGAAATAACAGATAAAATTTGAAATTAAGGATGTAGACAAAACAATAGAGAATTTAATGACAACAAAAGATGTTTTTATTAAAGAAAAATAAAATCTATAAAAATCTAAGTTGATCATGAAAAAAAGAGGCACAAATAATCAATATTGGAAATTTTTTTAAAAGATGTAACTCCAGATCCTATAGACATTAAAAGGAAAAAAAAACCAGAATACAATGGAAAAAAACTTTATATCAATAAAAGCAGGCATAATTAAATGAAATGATGATTTCTTATATGCAGAAAAAACATCTGACAAAATTCAATGCCCATTCATTATAAAACATCCCAGCCAAACTAAGAATAATAGAGAATTTACTTAATGTGATAAGGGGTACCTTCAAAAAACCTACAGCTAATGATGAACTTGCTAGTGAAGACTAAGTGCAAAAGTCAAAGATATTCTTTCTCATGAGTTCTATTAACTATCAATTTCATTTTCTTTCTTTTTTTTTCTTTGGAGACAGAGTCTCACTGTGTCACCCAGACTGGAGAGCGGTGGCACAATCTCAGCTCACTGCAACCACCATCTCCTGGGTTCAAGCGATTCTCCTGCCTCAGCATCCCAAAGGATTACAGGCGTGCACTACCATGCCTGTCTAATTTTTTGTATTTTTAGTGGAGATGGTGTTTCGCCATGTTGGCTAGGCTGGTCTCAAACTCCTGACCTCAAGTGATTCACCCACCTTGGCTTCCCAAAGTGTTGGGATTACAGGTGTGAGCCACCATGCATGGCCCAATTCCATTTTCAAGAATATCAAAATCATGAACTATTTAGGGATAAATTTAACAAAATATATGAAAGGCCTGTGCACTTATAACTAGAAAATAATAATGAGAGAGATGAAGAACTAAAAAATTGAACTGACATACTTCATTTATCAATTGGATGACTCAATATTGTTCAGATCAATTCTTCCAAAATTGATGTATACATTCAACGTTATCCCAATCAAAATCCAAGCAGGCTGGTTTTTCCTCAAGTACCAATAAACTGATTCTAAACATTTATAACACCAGCATGGCACATGTATACATATGTAAATAACCTGCACATTGTGCACATTACCCTAAAACTTAAAGTATAATAATAATAAATTAAAAAAAGAAAAAGAAAAGAAAATTAAAGGACTTAGACTTACCAATTTTTCTTTTTCTTTTTTTTTTTTTTTTTTTTTTTTTTGAGATGGAGCCTCCCTCTGTCGCCCAGGCTGGAGTGTGGTAGTGCGATCTCGGCTCACTGCAACCTCCGCCTCCTGGGTTCAAGCAATTCTCCTGCCTCAGCCTCCCAAACAGCTGGGACTATAAGCACCTGCCACCACACGCGGCTAATTTTTTTGTACTTTTTAGTAGAGACAGGGTTTCACCGTGTTGCCCAGGCTGGTTTCGAACTCCTGAGCTCAGGCAATCCACCTGCCTCGGTCTCCCAAAGTGCTAGGATTACAGGCATGAGCCACAGCACCCGGCCACACTACTTGTTTTCTAAACTTTTTATAAAACATCAGTAATTAACACAGGCTGATATTGCTGTAAGGGAGAGACATATCAAATAATAAGACAGAAGAAAATGTCCAGAAGTACATTCACATACATATATGTTCAATTAGCTTTTTTTAGTACCAAGATAATTCAACAGGAAAAAATAATCTTTTCAACAAATGGTGCTAATACTCTGGAATATACATATGAAAAGAAGTGAACCTTGATCAGAATCTCATACAGTAAATGTAACATAAAATGGATCATAGACTCACAGGTCAAAGCTAAAACTATAAAGATCTAGAGGAAAACATATAAGAACATCTTTTTTTTTTTTTTTTTGAGACGGAGTCTCGCTCTGTCGTCCAGGCTGGAGTGCAGTGGCGTGATCTCGGCTCACTGCAACTTCTGCCTCCGGGGTTCAAGCGATTCTCCTGCCTCAGCCTCCTGAGTAGCTGGGACTACAGGCACATGCCACCATGCCCGGCTAATTTTTTGGATTTTTTAGTAGAGACGAGGTTTCACCATGTTGGTCAGGCCGGTCTCGAACTCCTGACATCATGATCCACCCATCTTGGCCTCCCAAAGTGTTGGGATTACAGGCATGAGCCACCGCATCTGGCCTATCTTTTCAGTATAGAGGTAAGCAAATATTTCTGTGTATAAAGTACCAATTTAAGAAGAAAAAAATCAATGTCATGAAAGTTAAAACATCCGTCCTTTTAAAGGCACCATTAACACCACACATTCATTAGAATAGCTAAAATTGAAATGGCAGTCAATTCTGAATGTTGACAAGCATGTGAAGACAGTGAAACTTTCATGTATTGCTTTTAGAGGGGTAAATTTGCCCAACTGTTCAGCGCTTTCTGATATAATTAAACATATACTTAGCATGAAGCCTACTAATTCAATTTCAAGGTGGAGCGGAAAGAAAAGAAAATATGTCCTTATAAAGACTTGCACATGAATGTTCATAGTAACTCTATTCATAATAACCAAAACTGTAAGCCACTCTAATTTACATCAACAAATGATTGGATTAAAAAAATGGCTGACATTGTTGGTATACCAGTGATGGTATACAAATATATAGGGATATTACTTTGTAATAAAAATAAAAATACTAATGATACACATGACATGAATAAATATGCAGAATTTTAAAAAGGCAGACACAAAAGAGTCCCTATACTATGAGTCCACACATATGAAATTGTGGAAGAGGCCAAAGTGATCTATTGTGACCAAGAGCAGATTGGTGGTTGCCTGGGGCTGTGAGAGGTTAGAGGTTAACTGAACAGGGACCTGAGGGAAGCTTGGGGTGATGAAAATGTCTTATATTTTGATGGTAAAAGATATGCAAAATAAAAGTATAAAATAAATATTTTTTAATCAAGAAAATCACACCATGCCCAGAAGCATGAATGAAGTTAAATAAAAACTTTATTTAACAATATCATGTGCTAGAGAGTATTTAGAGTGACTGAAACTCATGCACATTGCTGATGAATATAGATCGGTAATGCACTTTGAAAAATTCTTTGACAGTATTTACTAAAAATGGACATTTGTATACCTATGACCTGTCTCAGCTATATACCCAAGATAAATGCCATTGTTTGTTAGCTGTGAACATGCATGAGAATATTCACAGCTGCATTATTTGTAATATCCCCCAAATGGAAGCAATTTAAACATCAATCAATACAGTAGCAGAACAGAAAAATAAATTGTAAACAAACTGCTAGAACATGCAATAGAATGGATGCATGTCATAGACATAATGTTGAGCAAAAGAAGCAAAACACAAATGATATTTTCCATTTATAAAGTTAAAAATGATTCAAAACTAAGCCATGGTAATAGAAGTGAGAATCACGATTACTTTTGGTGGTGTGGTGGGCTTCTGGATGTTGGTAATGTTCTTTTTTTCATCTGTTTGTTACTAAGGTGTAAATTTCATTTAAAAGTTTATCAAATTGTATAGTTGTGATTTATGCACTTTTGTGTATATATAATACTTTGAATTCATACATTTTACAAATAATATCATGTTGTTGTTCTTAAAATTGTCCAGTGGCTTCTCACTGCACTTCTAATCCAATCCCAAATCCTTATTATGGTCTGCAGTCTCTTATTTTTTCATTCCTTGGCTTGCTTCCTAAGCTGTAGCCACATGGAGCTCTTTTGTCTTCTTGAACAAATAATAAAGCAAGTTCCTTTGTATACCTTTTCACTTGCAGTTCTCTCTCTGCCTGGAACACTGTTTTCCAAAATCTTTAAGTAGCCTGCTTTTTATTGGCTTCAGGCCTATGCTGTTCCCAAAACCCCAAAGCAGTTCCGTCATCACTTTTATAAGAAGCCTGCATTTTTTTTTTTACTTCAGTGTAATTTTAATATCTGAAATTACCTTCTCTATTTCATGACTTCGTCTCTGGTTCCCTGCTAAAATACAATTCCAAGACTACAGTAACTTTGAATATCTTGCTTTCTGCTTTATTCTCATTTACTAGAATCCTGCTAGACAGATAGATAGATGTTCACTGAGTAATTGGGACATGAATAAATTTATAGATAAATGAGTGAATAAATGAATAATTTAGTAAATATATTGCGTAGAAATTAAAGACTATTGATTAAATATGAAATGTTTTTATGGAACTGCATTAGTCAGGGGAAAGTGTTATCGAGTGGTATTTTTCTTCTGCCCCTTAAATGATATTGAGATATAGCCCAGGGAAAGGTTTTTGAGAATGATTATTTCCGCAGTTTGCACAAGCGTTTTTTTCATTTCAAATAATACAACATTAAATTATTATTTCTGTACTGATGTTCAAGCTTCTATTACCTACAGTTTTATTACTAAGGCTTCAAGAGTAAATAATTTTGTGTGCTGATGATGCAGGATATTTTCTGGACCCCTTTGCAGGACTCCCAACAGAGGTGCCCCATTTACTCAGCCCACCCACTCAACCCCTCCTGGGAGGCAGCGTGTGAGCAAACGAGTGCTGGAACCAACCAGCTGCTTCAGGGCGGGCAGGAGCAAACTCTGGTCACTCAGGTCCGCTGCACTTCACCCCTCGTGGGAAGGAGCACATAGGCAAGCAAGTGCAGGAATCAGCCAGCCACATTAGTGACAGCAAGAGCAAACTCCATGCAGGCCCTGTGGCATCATGCAGGTAGGGGTGTCTGTAGCTCCAAAGCCCTAGAGTGCGTGTTACAATGCTCTTAGCTCTGCTGTGTGTGTGTTATCAGCTCAGTGGGACCTTTGCTTCATCACATGGGGTGACTGCCCTCCACCAGCAAGGGCAGAGGGCCAGTGTGACAGCCTTTTTGGATACCCACAGTTGGTAGGTTCCAAATTCTTGTCTGGTGCCCAAGATGAATGAGCTCACACAGATGAATTGAAGCACGGTGAATGCGAAGAATTTTATTGAGCAATGAAAGTGGCTCTCAGCAGACAGGGAAGCTGGAAATGGGATGGGAAGAGCAGGTCACTCTCCCCTGAGGTCAAGTTACCTCTCTTCAATGTCCAGTTGCCATCTTGGAACTCAAGTAGCCTTTCCCTTACATCCAGCCACTTCTCCTCTCTACTGGCTGAGTCTGGGGTCTTTATAGGTACAGGATGCAGGGCGGGGTGGGTTGTAGGTAGTTTTGCAAAAGGCAACATTTGATTGGTAAAAAGACATTATCCAGAAAGAACTAATTGGGAGAGAGCAGGCACACAAGAATGGAAGTTCTCACTTTGGGCCAGGAGTTTCAGGCTTTTCAGCTCGAAGGTGGGGTTTTGCCAGGGACCCACTCCTGTCTGCCTAGAGTTTCTCTGCCTCCTGCCTCTATCACTGATTATATGCTACACTAAAAACCAGAATATTATGAACATGTATTTTCTCAATATACTAAGTGTATATTCAAACAAATTGCTCACAAAACATATATTTTTATACTAAAAGCAGAATGTCATATAATTTGCTTTGTTCACTTTCTAAAGAGATTCAGGTGCAGGTGTGCATATAAGTGCTTTTTCATCATGATGATAATTTACTGCAATTTCATATATATAACATTTTCTTTGTAAAATTGTAGCACATATGTTCTCTTTTATTCTTACTAAATTTTGCCACTTGTAATATTCCATTTTCCCAGTTTGAACTGTTATATGGTTTACAGTTCTTAAGGATTTTTCAACTTATGACCTTATAATGCAGTAGTCTAATATTTATGTTCCCTCAACAGCTAGTATAATCAATAACTGGTGGATAGCAGCAAATTATATACAGAAATGACCAAATGTTCACAAAAGGTCACTGTCTCAAGGCTAAATGAAAAATAATCTATTATGATTTAAATTAGGTCTCTTTGGTAGAACATAGTCTAAATAGCTTATTATACTGCTAATTAAGACAGAAATTCAATTACAGCAACCAAGGCATATTCTTAGGAGGGCATACTTGGAGTAGAACTCATGTAAAATAAAACTGTCGTTGTCTTAGTCACATTCTAATTGGTGTTCGGGTTCTTGAGAGAGACAGAACCAATAGGAGATACAGATATAGATATAGATATATGAGAAAATATTTATTAGGGGAACTAACTCACACAATTATGGAGGCTGAGAAGTCCTACAATAGGCTGTTGTCTGCTAGCTGGAAACCCTAGGATGCCAATAGCATGGCCCAGTCCAAGTCCGAAGGCCTCAGAACAAGAGAAGCTGATGGTGTAACTCTCAGTCCAAGGCCAAAGACCTGAGAACCCAGGGGGTCACTGGTGTAAGTCCTGGAGTCCAAAGCCCGGGCTGACTGGAGTTGTTGTTCAAGGACAGGAGAGGAAGAGCATATCCCAGCCTCAGAGATAGATCAATGTATTTGCCTTTTCTCTGTTTTTATTCTCTCCTGGCTCCCAGCAGATTGAATGGTGCCTGCCCACATTGAGGGTGAATCTTCCTCATGTAGTCTACTCAGACTCACATGCCAATCTCCTTTGGAAACACCCTTACAGACACACCCCAAAATAATGCTTTACCAGGTTTCTAGATATTCCTTAATTTAGTTAAATTGACACGTAAAATTAACCATCACATAATCTATGAATTTGAAATAATTATTTTTGTGATTGGCGTTCTACAGAACATCAAGAAATCAGTAGTCACTAAGCGTTTGCAGTGCTTTTCTCACAATGTCAAAGTGGAAAGAAAACATTTCTGTATTAGACTTTTATGCATATTTGATTTCACTTCATCCTTACCACAACTCTAGGTGATAAATATTTAGCATATTAATTGTGGTTATTTTGAATTCTTTGTCTGCTAGATTCCTCTCTGGAATTGATTCTTTTAGCACTTTTTCAGCTGCTTTTTCCTGCATCTTTGTATGTTGAATCATTTTTAAATAAAATGTCAGGTACCGTCAAGGATTTTAGAAACTCTTGGAAAGGTAGTAAAGAAATAGCACTAATGGGCTTTACGTAAAGAAGTAAGAAAATTAGACTGGCATATTAAAAAAATAAATTTGTGTGGAGAATGTACAGAGGGCCAAGAATAGCTATGGGGCATGCAATTAAACAGTGAGGGCCATTGTCCAGGTGAGAGATGATTTTAATTTACAGTGGTAGTGAAGGAGAAAAGGAGATGGATTTGAGATTCACTGTACATACCCATATATATGAAGAGTTTTTCAATATCAAAAACTATCCTTAGAAGAGGAAATCATCTTATATTTGAACCTTAGAATATTTCAGATTACAGACTGCTATATAAATTATTTTGTTCTGAAAAATCACAAAGTACTGACTGGAACAGACATGTTAGCCTGAACCAACAACAATTGTTTCAAGAGATAATTTGATACAACTGGTAAAAAAGGAAAAAAAGTCAGCAAAGTAAGATTTAGTAATTATTCCATGGGGTATTACCTCCCAGCTGTGTGTGTTAAATGTCACCATCAAGCAATATTTCAATGATCATTTGAAAAAAGTGATTCAGTCCATACTTATGTTATGGGATCATGAATATATGCCAACAGGAAAAGTAGGGGGAAAATTCTACCCTAATTGTACTTGCAACTGAGACAGCATTATACATAGATTCAAAAAATACATAAAGCAAAAAAACTGTTAATTATATTATCTTCCTCTTAAGAATATTGTATCTTACTGGTTGATTGCCACAATCCTATGAATAGATAAGTTTCTTAAAAATTATTTTTTATTTTTTGTAGAGTTTAGGGGGGTGTCTCACTTTGTTGCTCAGGGTGGTCTTGAACTCCTGGTCTCAAGCCATTTTCTTACGTCAGCCTCCCAAAGTGCTGGGATTACAGGAGTGAGCCACTGTGCCCTGCCTCTATCAAGACTTATTTTTAAGCTTTGTTAGAGTGGGTCTATTTTTTTTTTGTCTCTATTAAGGCATCATCTCTAGTTCATGGCCTTCTGGTGTGTCAACTGCAAATTTGTATGTTCATGATAATTTTTCCCTTTTAAATGAGCCCAGACTCCAGTGATTTCCCAGCATTGTGTGATCTCTAAAATCTCTGACCACCTATTTAGCCTCTTGATGCTGTTCTCTGCTTGACCTCAAAGAATCTCACACTGCATATGCTCAACTTAGGAGCTGGCCAATGACCCAAGAGAAAGTTTATACATAGATTTTTAGCACTCTGCCTACAGTTCTGTCTTCTCCAGTTATCTCTCCACAAAGTCCCAGCTAACTTTATAGCCTCAAACACTTTATTTCTCTGTCTCTTTCACCCAGTGATTGATTCCACTGCTGTCCTTGGGCTCTATTAATCTGTGTTACAATTTGGAAAATACATTTAGATGCATGGCTCACCAACCACCTCCTCTTCCAATGTATATCTGGTCTCGTCTTGCTGTTTTGCTGTCATAATCTGCCATGATATTTTCCATCACCTGAAGAGGCAAGCTCTACCTAAACAAATCATTAGTTCCAGACCTGTTGGCAGTGAGTTTTCTTGTCAAAGAGCCCAGCTTTATACCCCAGGGCTATACGATACCTATCTTATCTATCCTAAGGCCTTAAAAATTTCCTGGCCTCAGGCTTCAATATTGTTATAGATCAGTACCTTATTGCTAATTTACTTCTTTTAGTACAAGACCCTTGCCAAAGAGTTGAGATTCATTCATCGAGACTCCTTTATCTAGTACGGACCTGTGTTGCATACGGTCCCAGTTTCTGAAATATTAACACTGCTCATCTTCACTGAAGCCAGTTCCACTAACACAAAATCAAAATTTCTTCTGCTAGAACTGCATCAAGATGTTTTAAAACTCAGAGTTCCTTCCTCAGCAGATAGAAATATTTTTCTGTTGAACATCAATTAACTTTAACATTACCTCTGAAACTAAGAAAAGATTTAAGGGATTTTGGAGATCTTAACTGACGACAGGTGAGTAATATAAACCTTTTATCTCCCTTTATCCCACTGCTAAAATGGTCAGTTTTATAAATGGCTATATTCAATCCTAAATTTGTCCAATATATTGTACAAAGTGGAATGAAAAGAGAGAAGAATTGGTACACAATAACCTGTGAAGGCTCCCAGCAACTTAGTCCTCTAAAATAAGTGGAAAATTGTTTTTTTTCAATGTCTGAGAGATTTCCCTTTATAGGTCTGCTGAGTTGTATTTTGTCAGCTCCTATTAAATTGTGTTGTCATGATACCTATGAATCTTACAAAGTATAGAAAGACTTTATTTCAACTTTTATAAACCTTCAAAAATGGGGGGAAAGATTTATAATCTCTTATTTTAGAGAGACTATTCAATTTATTATTTTTTTTAGTTCCTTGTACTATGAAGTCACACTCTTGGTATCTAGGCATATAAAAAAGTCTCAAGGAATTTTGGAGATATGTAAATAGTCTTCTGTTTTTTCCAACATGTATGAAATAAAAATATAATTATCTTGTGAATGCTTGATATGGTTTCAATGACTACATTGAGTGCACTGTCTTTCCAATAAAAAATAGACACCTGGCATATATGCTTGTGTGTGCATGTGTCTGTGTGCTGATTTTTTTCCACTCTGTTGAAACAGATACAAATAGTAATTTTACCTAATGGCCTTAGCTACAATGCATGATAAGACTTCACTGATGGGCCAGGCGCGGTAGCTCATGTCTATAATCCCAGCACTTTGGGAGGCCGAGGTGGGCGGATCACGAGGTCAGGAGATTGAGACCATCCTGGCTAACATGGTGAAACCCCGTCTCTACTAAAAAATACAAAAAATTAGCCAGGCATGGTGGCGGGTGCCTGTAGTCCCAGCTACTCGGGAGGCTGAGGCAGGAGAATGGCATGAACCTGGGAGGCGGAGGTTGCAGTGAGCTGAGATTGTGCCAGTGCACTCCAGCCTAGGCGAGAGAGCGAGACTCAAAAAAAAAAAAAATCCTTCACTGAACTTCACTGATGGATTCTGAACAAAGAAAAATAAATTGAGTCTGGAGTTAAAGAAAACTAACTTGGTGGCACCCATAAGAGGTAACAATAATTCATACCACAGTGCTGAAGCGCTGGTCATAGAAATGTAAGCCTTTAAATGAGATGAGTGTTGGTAACAGCCTGGTTTCAGAAATGTATAAATAGTTACAGTGCTCATAGTCAGGGGGCTAACAATATTTGAAAAAGTTCCCTCTATTTTGGAGCTAAATCTGACTAAGCTTTTGGGACACAAAAAGATAATATTGGAAAGACTAGGCCTGTTATGAGAGTTCAAGTTAAGCAAGTTTGTGTTTAGGGCATGTTTCTGGGGCCATATGGAAAATAGCCTGTTATTCAGGAAACAGAAGTCCAGATCTACTGAAATGTCAATCTAGACAGAAGAGAGAGAAAGGAGACAATTTGGTGCGACGTGGATACCTCGTGCCAATCTATCATGTCAGGCATAAAATTAGCAAGGCTAATTTTAGCAGCTATCTGATAATAAACTTGGTTTTCTGATACACTGAAAAGTTTGGTCTGGATTTGTGCATGAATAATTTTCTAGTATACCAAGAAATAGGATATGGAAGAGTAAACTATAGCTAGAAATTATTGGAACTTAGGATGGACAAAATAAGTTTTTTAAAATGATCAGGAAGTGCTTTCATTGTCAGCAGGCCTGACTGACTGTGGGAAGCGCGCCATGGCTTCTTAACCAACGTGGTGCAGTGTAAATACTCCCATACCTAGAAAGTGTGGGAGTTGCCACTCCCATCTTTACAACAAGAAAAAGCTGAACAAACTTGAAAATCAACAACTTCTTTTTGGATGCATCAGAGAACTTAGTTCACAGGGCACACTACCCCCCTTGAATCTGGAGACACAGGTGGATCTAGAGTAACGTCAAAAATCTGCTTATCTGGAGAAAAATCCACTAGAGACATAAACTAATAGGAACACATAGATGGTAATTCCAGTAACACTGATTGTGGACTAGCATGAGAGTGAAAATCTTCCCTGGGCCACAGTTTTAGAAAAGGCTCCACACTTTAATGGGTTTTACCTCTAGGAACCATTCCTACCAGGTTCTCATGGTGAGGAGTCAAGAAAGATCCCTTTGTGGCTTTGGCAGGGAGAGAGAAAGAGTAATCATTGTGAAACATACCCAGAGCTTACTTGATTCTCCATACCAAAGGACTTCTCTACAGGAAAAAATACCTTAACAGCCTTACCCCAGCTGCGAGAAAGACATTTTCCTGCTCCAAAACCCTCTTGCCGTCCTGACTCATTTAAGGAAGGTAACAGGCCAGGAACGTGGGCCTACTAAAAGACTCTGAGTTAATCATAAGTTTATAAAACACTTCCCCTCTGCACATCTTACCACCATACCAATGTGGCTTCAGTAAAATAACAGTGGATTGCAGCTGAAAGAGCTTCAAGATGCAGACTCTTTCTAAGTAGAACTTAACTTACTGAAGTTTAAAGTGAAGAGGGGAAGCAAAAACAAGGACACTAGAGGATATTGAAGCCTCTAACACATACAGCTACAACGAACTAGCCAGTCCACCTCCTAGCCAGATTAACATAAAACATCACACTGAGTCCTGTTTAACCTCAGTTCCTATTATCACCGTGTCTGGTTTTCAATAAAAAAGTTCAAGGCATACTAAAACACATCTGAAGAGACAACTAACAGAACCAGACTCAGATACGACACAGATGTTGTGATTATCAAACAGATTTTAAAATAACTGAATAATTTAATAAGAGCAAAAATGGATAAAGTAGACATACAAAAACAGATGGGTAGTATAAGCAGAAAGTCATGGAAACCCTAAGAAAGAAACAAAAGGAAATGCTAGAAACAAAAACTACACTGTAACAGACAGGAAGAATGCCTTTGGTGGGCTCATCAGTAGACTGGATGTGGCCAAGGGAAAAAAAAAATCAGTAAACTTGAAGATATGTAAATAGAAACTTCCCAAACTGACATGCAAAGAGAAAAAAGATTGGCAGGGGCAGGGGGGAGGGTAAAACCAGAATAGAATAGCTAAGAACTGTAGGACAACTTCAAAAGGTGTAGCGTACACATAACTGCAATACCAGAAGTAGAAAAAAGAGAGAACACAGCAGAAGAAATACCTGAATAGTTACTGGGAATGTTTCAAAATTGATGACACATATAAAACCACAAATCCAGGTAGCTCAGAGAACACCAAGCGGCATAAATATCATAAAACAAATAAATATACAAAAAACTGAAAAGTATTTTTAAAAAAACCCTAAAAAATACATCTGGATATATTACATTCCAACTGCAGAAAAACAAAGACAAACAGAAAATCTTGAATGAATCTGGTATAAGGTATATGGGGAAAAATGTACCCATAGGTCAACAAAAATAAGAATTATAGTGGTTTCCTCATCAGAAACCATGTTAGCAAGAAGAGAATAGAATGTGAGATGTTGAGTTTTGAAAGAAAAAAATTCTAGAATTCTGTAGTGAATTATTTTTAAAATTAAAGAAGAAATAAAGACTTTCTCAGACAATCAAAAATTGATGAAATTCACTTTCAGCATACCTGCCATGCAAGAAATGTGAAAAGTTCTTCGGAGAGAAGGAAAATTATATAGGTCAGAAACTGAGACCTACATAAGGAAAGAAGAGCATTGGATGAAGAAGAAATAAATAAAGGTAATATGAAATTCTTTATTTTTCATATTTTTATTAGTCTTTATTTTCATATCGTTAATATTTTTCTTTTTAATTAAACTAGTTAGTTTAATTAAAGTTTACTCATTTTTTTCCTTGGCCACACCCAGTCTACTTATGAGCCCATCAAAGGCATTCTTCATTTCTGTTACAGCGTAGTTTTTTATTTCTAGCATTTAATTCATTTAATTAAAGTAGGATCAGTAACAATGCATTATTATAGCATATGGTTAAATAAAACAAATGGTACTAATATCATAAAAGACATGATGAAAGAAACTGAAAATACTCTGTTGTAAGTTTCCTGCTTTGCATATAGTGTTATAGTATTATTTGAAGGCAGACATATTTGTTAAAATATGTATTGCAAACTTTAGCACAAGTACTAATTTTTTAAAAAGAGGTATAATTTATATGCTGAGAGATAATAAAATGGAATAATATAAAATGCTCACATAAAACCAGAGAAGGCATAAAAAGAGGTGAAAAAGAAAGAACAAGTGGAATAAACAGAAAACACCTGAAAGCATGGTAGATATTAGCCCAAATGTATCAATAATCATTTAAATGTGACTCATCTAAATATAGCAATTAAAAGCCTCACATTGTCAGAGTGGATTAAAAGAAAAACAATATCTATGTTGTCTACAAGATACTCACTTTCAATAGCAAGAGTCAAATAGGTTAAAAGTAAAGAGATGAAGGAAGGTATACCAACACTAATCAAAAGAAAGCTGTAGTAGCTATTTTAATTCAGAAAAAGTTAATAGCAGGACAAAATATCTAGGATAAAAAGTGGCATTATAAAATGATATATATAAAGTGGTGAATTCTCCAAGACAACAATTCCAAATATGTATGCATTTAACAAGATAGCATGAAAATATGTGAAGCAAAACTGATAGAATGGAAGGAAGGGAGAAATAGACAAATCTATTGCTATAGCTGGAGACTTCTGCACCCTTCTTTTTGCAATTGATAGATCAATAGGGCAGAAAATCAGTAAGGATATAGCCAACTTGAAAAATATTATCAATCAACTTGATCTAACTGACCTTTATAGAATATTCCATCCATTACCAGTAGAATATATAATATTCTTAAGCTCTCATGACATACTCACCAAGACACACCACATTCTATGCCACAGAATACACTTTGACCAGTTTCAAAAATTAGAAATCAGATAAAGTATCTTCTTAGACCACAGTGAAATTAAATTAGAAATAAATAACTGAAATATAGGTGGAAAATCCTCAAGTATTTGGAGATTGAACAAAAGTTGTCTAAATAGCACATGGATCAAAGTGTCTCAAGATAACTTTTAAAAATATTTTAAACTGAGTGAAAATATATATACAATTTATCAAAAACTTGTGAGATGCAGCAAAATCAGTGAAATGTATAGTATTAAATGCATATATTAGAAAAGACAAAATTATAAAATCAGCAATTGAATCTTACACTAGAAAAGTACAGAAGGAACAGCCATTTAAGTCTCAAGCAAGCAGAAAAAAGAAGTAATAAAAATTGAAGAGGAAATCATTCACATTAAAAATTAGAAAACAATAGAGAAATCAATGAAACCAAAAGCTGGTTTTTTGAAAAAAATCAATAAAACCAATAAGCTCTATCCAAGCTCACTAAGGAAAAAAAGAGAAGACATAAATCACCAATATCAGAAATAGAAACAGGGTCATCACATTACTGATGCCACAGACATTAAAAAGATCATAAAGGGGCTGGGCACGGTGGGTCACGCCTGTAATCCCTGCACTTTGGGAGGCCGAGGCAGGCTGATAACAAGGTCGGGAGATTGAGACCATCCTGGCTAACATGGTGAAACCCCGTCTCTACTAAAAATAGAAAAATTAGCTGGGCATGGTGGTGTGTGCCTGTAATCCCAGCTACTCGGGAGGCTGAGGCAGGAGAATCCCTTGAACCAGGGTGTTGAATGTTGCAGTGAGCCATTGCACTCCAGCCTGGTGACAGAGCGAGACTCCATCTAAAAAAAAAATAATAATAATAATAATAATAAAGAAATGCTATGCTCACAATTTTGATAAATTAGATGAAGTGGACCTATTTCTTCAGATATACAAAGTATCAAAATTTACAAGGGAAAATAGATTATCTGAATAATTCTATATTTATTAAAGTCATTAAATTAATAATTATGAACCTTCTAAAAAAGCACCAGACTGAAATGTTTTCATTGGTGAATTCCACCAAGCTTTAAAGGAAGAAATGACAAAAATCCTTCACAATGAGTTCCAGAAAATAAAAGCAGAAGGAACGTTCCCTAAGTCACACTACTGTAACCACCCAGTGGGTTCTCCTTGCCCGCTGCCTAGAGAGAGCTGATTTATCAAGACAAGGGGACTGCAACAGAGAAAGAGTTTCATTCACACAGAGCTTACCGTAAGGGAGACCAGCATTTTATTATTACTCAAATCAGCCTCCCTCAGAATTTGGGAATTGTGGTTTTTAAGCATAATTTGGCGGGTAGGGGTTGGAAAGTGGGGAATGTCGATTGTTCAGATCAGAGATGCAATCATAGGGAGTTGAAGCTGTCCTCTTGCCTTGAGTCAGTTCCTGGGTGGGGGCCACAAGTCCAAATGAGCCGGTTTATTGATCTGAGTGGTGACAGCTGATCCATCGAGTGTAGGGTCTGCAAAATATCTCAAGCACTAATCTTGGGTTTTACAGAAGTAATGTTATCCCCAGAAGTAATTTGGCTTCAGAATCTTGCAGCTTCTAGTTGCACGACTCCTAAACCATAATTTCTACTCTTGTGGCTAATTTTTTAGTTGTGCAAAGGCAGTCTAGCCCCCTGGCTAGAAGCGGGTTTGTTTTGGGAAAGGACTGTTATTGCCTTTATTTCAAAGTTAAACTATAAATTTTCTCCTAAAGTTAGCCTATGCCTAGGAATGAACAAGGATAGCTTGGAGGTTAGAAGCAAGATGGAATAAGTTAGGTCAGATCTCTTTCACTGTCATATTTGTCTCAGTTATAATTTTTTCAAAGGCTGTTTCACTATGAGGCCAGCATTACCCTAATGCCAAAGTCAGATAAAGACAGTATATTAGAAGGAAAAACTACAGATCAGTATTTCTCATGTACACAGATGCAAAAATCCTCAACAAATTATAAGCAGATAAAGGGAACAATGTCTGAAAATAATTATTTGCCCTGACCAACTGGGACAGGGGAAAAAAAATACTACATTGGAGAAACCTGATAAGCCCTACCTAAGCCAGGTGATCAAGGTCAACATCAACAAAGTCATGTTGATATTATATTTTCTTGATATAATATGATTAAAATATTTACCTCAATGGTATTTCTTCCAAAAAGGCATTATTCCCATATAATCATGAGAAAAACGTCAGACAAATCTGAAATGAGGAACATTTTGAAAAACACCTAAGTAATACTCCTCAAAACTGTCAAGGTCATCAAAAACATGGAAAATCTGAGAAATTGTCAGACCACAGGAGTGTAAGGAGAATGACTAAATGTAATGAAGAATTGTTGGTAGGATCTTGGTACAGAAAAAAAAATCAGTAAAAACTAAAAATCTGATCAAACTATGGACTTTAGTTAATAATAATGTATCAATATTGGTTTACTAACTTAAAAATATACCATACTCATGCAAGATGTTAATAATAGAGAAAAATTGGTATTGGTTATACGGGAACACTCTGTACTGTCTTCACAATTTTTCTGTAAATTTAAAACTGTTCTAAAATAAGTTTATTTTAAAAAGCAATCAGAATTAGACATGCAGTAAATAAATGTATATATACACATAAAGGTTAAATCATTCAAGTATATATATGTTTACACCTATTGTGCGTTTACTTGATTTCCTAATTGTACTCTAAATATATTTTAAACATATGCAGAGTATTACATAAATATTAAGTATTTTGGGCTGAGCGCAGTGGCTCACGCCTGTAATCCTAGCACATTGGGATGCCAAGGCGGGTGGATCACGAGGTCAGGAGTTCAAGGCCAGCCTGGCCAAGATGGTGAAGCCCCTTCTCTACTAAAAAATACAAAAATTAGCCCGGCATGGTGGCATGCGCCTATAATCCCAGCTACTTGGGAGGCCGAGGCAGAGAATTGCTTAAACCTTGGAGGCAGAGGTTGCGGTGAGCTGAGATCGCTCCACTGCACTCCAGCCTGGGCAACAGAGCAAGACTCCATCTCAAAAAAAAAAAATTAAGTATTTTGTATTAAGTATTATAATGCACAAAATATGATAAGAAATAGAAAAGATCTTGATTTAAAGGCTTTTTCAGATTGAGATATCAATAGCATTAATTGAAGATGTACTACTTAACAGGATATTTAATAAGCACTTTCTCAAAATAATCAATATATATTATTGTTATTTATTGTTGTTGTTACATATTGTTTTAGTTCATTTTGCATTCCTATAACAGTATACCACAAACTGGGCAATTTTAATAAAGAAAATACACATTTTCTTACATTTCTGGATACTGGAAAGTCCAGGTTTGAGGGGCCAGTATCTGGGAAGGGCCTTTTTGCTATGTCATAACATGGTGGAAGGCATTATATGGCAATAGAGCAAAAGTGTGCATGTCAGTTTGGGTCTGTCTTCCTTTTCTTATGTAGCCACCAGTCCCATTATGGGGGCCACACCCTGATGACCTTATCTAATCTTAATTATATTCCAAAGGCCCTTCTCCAAACAGCATATGAATTTGGAGATTAAGTTTTTAGCATGTGAAATTTGAGGGACACATTTAATCCATAGCGCATGTGCAAGCACACACACACACACACACACACACACAGATATATATATATGTGTATATATATATATATCTGTATATATAAGCTTTTACACTTAACAATTTTTATTTTGCTGATGACTGTGTGTGTACTTGTGAATTATATAGAATAATTATTTTTATGAGTAACTAAAAACTTACCGTACCATTCATTAAGGATATAAAATCTCTTTGGCAGTTAGCAGTTATTGTCATGGCTACAAAACCTTTTCTTTTAAACCAGGCTCAATGACTAATATGTAGGAAATATATAATATACAAGACATTGAGTTTGTTCTCTCCCAAAGTGAACTAATTGCTCTCCAGACCATATCTGTAATCATCCATCCTGGAGCTTAATTTCCCTATCATTCTAGGACTTTAAACTTCTGCCCCTCTATGTTGGATCTTCTATTCTCCAGATTCTATGTCTTCCTATTTCTTGTTTTACTCTGACTTTTTTTCTGGAAACATTCTTTATTTCCTCTCCTTTTTTTGGTGCCAGATCAACCAGATAGAATACCATTTCTATCTTCATTTGATCATCATGACAATTTATTAAATGAAAGACAAAAAAGTAATACATCATTAGAGTTGTATAATACTTGTTTAAAATTGTTCAAAACCAATTACTTATTTTCGCTTCATTGCTAAAGGCATGGCAAAAAGGAATGTAATTTTGTTTTCAGACAATGAAATCTTTTGCTTTGTAAAGAATTACTGTTGTCTGGCTAAAGAAAAAGGGTTACAAGATCACCTTGTCTTTAATGCAAATCACCTTTTCAAGTAATTGTCTCTTAGCCTGATATCTTGTAAATCACCATCATTAATTGATCAGGGTAAGGGATATTTTGCATGGCTAAAGACAGTTGAAATTACACCTTCCCCCAAGTCATCTAGAGAATGATTTCCTTAAGGAAACACCTGACCTTTGCCTGGTGATTATCTTTCAGAATACATTATTGGAACCTGCAAACAACTCGAAAACATTAAAGAGTAGGAAGATTTCTATATTTTCAAGTCTTCTTTTCTGGAAGAAAATAAATATTCCTGTCTATTTTCATAAACATAATAACATAATGATATAAATTGATACTAGACATAGAAAACTGATGAAAGTAACTAATATATATTTGTGAAAAGAAACAGTGTCACTTAGCATTTAAATAAAAGACAATATTTCAACTGGTAAGGTGAATCTTTAGTGTGTATGTATTTGTGTAATTTTTCTAAATCAAATATTTTCTCACTGTTTTGCCAAGTAGTGCAGTATGAATATATTTTTCTTGGGCAGTGTTTTATTAGAGTAAATCATTACCATGTTTGTTTGCTTATACACATTTGCATAATGTTTTTCCTTAACCTACATCATCTTCCACCAAATGTTTCAGTGTCTTCTTCTAAAACAGTTTACGGTAATATTTAACCCGTGGGTTGAGTTTTGTTCTACTTGGAGTCCCTGTTTTTGAGGCCTCTATTCTCTTACAAGGTGAACTAAATGTTTTCCAGATCATATCCACAACTATCTAACCTGGAGGTTAATTTCCCTATTATCCTAGGACTTTAAATTGCTGCCCCTACAATTGGATCTTCTATTTTCCAGATCCTATGTCTTCTTTCTTGTTTTGCTCTTATGTTTTTCTGGAGATACACTCCATGAACTTCCTAATAAAAGACTTCTGGGAAGTAAAAAAAAAAAAAAAAAGGCAAGTCAGGGTGAGTGTTTACATCTGCAATATTTATTCTGCTATTTTATGTAATTAATCATTTGTTTGGGACTTCAAAGTCTGCAATAATAAATTTCCTCAACAATTTAAAGGCTTGTTTTCCTCCTTTGCCTTCCAGCTTTCAGTGAAGCGTTAAGAAACATCAGTGTCATCTTGATATCTATTCTGTCTCTTGTTAAAAAATTGTGTGTGAGCATTTTCCTTTCTAAAAGTTTTAAAGATCATCTGCTTGGCACTGATGTTGTGAATTTCACCAATAAATGACCGATAATCTATTATAGATTTCAAATTTTTCAACTTGAACACTTATTTCCTTCATTTTCTTGCATTTTTTGATAATTTACTCTCTTTTATGAATGTGTTTATTGAAATGGATATGATTTGATTGGCTATTTGATCTTCTGAATCAATCATCTGATTTTTTTTTTTAGACAGAGTCTCGCTCTGTCACCCAGGCTGGAGTACAATGGCATGATCTCAGCTCACTCCACCTCATGGGTTCAAGCAATTCTCCTGCCTCAGCCTCCCAAGTAGCTGGGACTACAGGCAGGAGCCATCACACTCAGCTAAATTTTTTGGTATTTTTATTAGAGACGGGGTTTCACCATATTGGCCAGGATGGTCTCGATCTCTTGACCTTGTGATCTGCCTGCCTTGGCCTCTCAAAGTGCTTGGATTACAGGTGTAAGCCACCACGTCTGGCCAATCTTCTGAATTTTTAATCTTTTTCTCCTTTACTCTATTTAAAAACTTTTTATTCTACTTTCCAGAAGACTTCCTTTAGTATATCTTTCATCACTTCTACTATATTATTTCAACTATACAATTTTAATTTTCAAGAGCTCTTTCTTAGTCTCAGATTATTCTTCATTTTGTAGCATTCTATTTTTATTTAACAGTTACAATACTTTTCTTTTCTTTTTTTTTTCCTTTTGAGATGGCCTCTTGCTCTGTCACCCAGGCTGGAGTGCAGTGGCGTGATCTCTGCTCACGGCAGCCTCCACCTCCTGGGTTCAAGGTAGTCTCCTGCCTCAGCCTCCTTAGTAGCTGGGATTACAGGCGCACGCCACCATGCCTGGCTGATTTTTTGGCCTCCCGAGGTGCTGGGATTACAGGTGTGAACCACCACGCTGGCCCTACAATACCTTTCTTTATCCCTCTGAGTACATTAATCGTTGTTTTACTTTGATTTTTTTCTACTGGTTCTCCATATATTTTCTGTTTCTTTGAATTTCAAAAATGTTTTTATATTCAACATAATTAAATTGTTTTAATGTTTTACAGTTTGTTTCCTTTTATATATTCATTATTCCTGTGGAAAGCATTTACCATATATTTGGTGTGTCTTGGATCATTGTTTATATTTACATGTCTGACAGAAAGTTGATTGAAATGTCTGTTGGTATAAAGGTAATTTTCCACACATTCATCAGGCAGTGAGGGTAAATGTTAATGACGATAGTCCCTAATAGAGTATCCATAGCACTTTTCTTTGAGGCAGATCAGTTTATACAGTAAAAAAATATAAATCTTTTTATGCAACTTCCATGCTTGTAATACTTCCCTTATCTTCCATAATATGGAGAATGTAATTCAAACTTCATACCAGCACCTTCAAAGCCCTGCGTGATCAAGCTTCTGCTCATCTCTTAAACTACATTTCATGTCACTCTTCAGTCTATACTTTAGTCCTGTTGCCTTCCTTTTGATAGATGCAGGAGGCAGATAAGGAAGGGTCCCTGGAAAATCTCCAACCTGCCCCACAATGTTTATGCCAGATGTTTTTGTGCAGATAAGGGAACCAGAACAGGGTCTTACCTGGCCATGCCTGCAACAGATTGGAGGCCCACATGCACTGGGGGAATGGGATGGAGTCACTAGGAATTTGCGCCTTATGCAGGAGATGGAGCCTGGCCTCTTCAGATGAGGTGCGGTGGCCTGGTTTTTAATCTGTGAGGTAGGAGCCTGTTGGCAGGACCTCCTCTTTCTTTGCTGAGAGCTTTCTTTTCATCTAATAAGTCTGTCCCCCTCACCCTTCAGTGTGTTCACATGCCTAATTTTTCCTGGTCATGAGACAGGAACCCGGAACTTAGCCGAACTAAGGAGCAAAAAATCCTGCATCACTTTGATTATATGGACAGGTCAATTTTTTGCTCCACAAAGACTTTGTTTTTAATATTTCCTCTACCAGGAATTCTTTTTCTTCCAAATCTTTATATGCATATGTCCTTTCACTCTCCACCACAGGTTTCAGATTAACCGTTGCTTCTTCAGAGAGGCTTTTCCTAGCCAGCTTAGGTATGAATATTTCCTAATTCTTATCTAGCAGAACACCACATTTGTTCCCTTCTTCAAATATATCATAAACTGTAATTGTATTGTATATTTATTTGTTTATTCATTAATCCTTTTCATGACCACTAGAATGTGGGCTCCTGACAAGAGGGAACTTTTCCATCTTTTTTACTACTATATCCTTACACCTAGCACAGTGACATACACAGACAAGTTTCTCAAGTATTTGGTCACTGAATAAGATGTGACTATCTACCACGACAGTAAGATATGGAGATCTGGCCACTTTTCTATGCACATCTTTGATTGTTCACTTATTGATTACATACTAAGAGGTATCTAACACATGATTCTGCTAAAAACTGGGCCTGTAGATATTTTTAAAAAAGAATTTATTTTTCTCTAAATATTTACAATATATTTGAAGGAAAAGCTATGTAATGTGAAATTTTAGTATAATAGAGTAGACATTATAGTAGGAGTATATAAAAGATAAAATAGAACTACCTGTGGTCTCTTGGACACCCTTGCAGAAGATGACTTCCTGGGAACTCTTCTGGGAGTGAATGTTATCAGCAAATTCCCAAAACAACACCCCTTAGACAAAAAGCCTCCTCACCTGTGCATTGCCTAGGCCACCCACTAAAGGTAATGGCCACAAAGAGGTGGATTTGTTGAGTTGGTGCCATTCCTTCTACTGCCAACTTCACCAAAACAATGACACAGTCTTCCTTCTGCATGGAGACTCTTCTCTTTCTTGTATTACAGTGGATGCCTCCTGCAGATAAGAAATGCTTAACTGAGAAATGCTCATGTTGGGATATCATCGATGAGACTTTTATTTGGGCATGGTGACGGTTTCCCTTGCTGCCACTTGACTCAATCCCAGGAGCCTCAGTAGAGGATATAATATTACACAAGGTGCTCAAAATGGTGGAATTGCTCAGTGCTCCCATAAATATACATTTATAATTTTCATTTGCCACATGGTAAACTGAAAAATACAGAATATATTAAAAAGAAAAAAAAAGATAAAATACAACTACAGATAAAAGAGCAGTCAATTCTACACATGGATTTTCCAAAATACTACTAAAATTTTGAAAAATATGCATAGGATGCTTATTAGGTAAAAAGTGGGAGTGGAAGAGTGAATTTGGCTCAGAAAGAACAGCCAGTAAAAAGGTAAAGAGAAATGAAAAGATATTTGGTGCCTATTATAATTTAATGTACCTCTGTTAAACGGATTTACAATATATCTTATTGTGCTTTGGCTCTTAGTTCATGTTTAATTTTCAGATACTAAAAATGAAAAATTCTGTGTGCATACATGTGGTTTTTCCTTATGCTTTTGGGGCACGTTCACATGTAGAATTTGGTTCTATTTCCTCTGTACGTCAATCTCATTTTCAATAGAGGTCCAGATGAACTCAACCCAGTGCCTAGCCAATTTAATATCTAAATGCAGCCACATGAGGCAAGACTAGCTGAACCTGGCCCAGATTCTAAATGTATACACAATTATCTACTTTTTTTTTGTTTTAAATCACTAAGTGTTTGGATTGTTGGTTAAACATGAATAGACAACTAAAACAGGAATGATTTAAGTAGTTAAGAATACCTTTTGTCCAGACAGTGAACATGGATGGAGGTTGATGGGCTATAGTGGATGACAAGATCACTAGAGAAAGGGAGATAGGAGAAGAACACTTGTTAAAAAAGATTATTTATATATGCTGATAGTTATATCAAGTATAATTACGACCAGAATTACAGTGAAGAAGAAACTAAAATTTGCCAAGAATAAAGTAGAATGATCCAAGATTCAATAGAAATCAACAATATTGAGGGGAAGGATATAAGTTAGATTGATGATATAAACGTCATAAATGAGGGTTTTTAGAAAGAAAGAAGATAGAATATTCTAGAAGTGGCAATAAAAATCCAAGAGAAATGTTACCTTATCTCCAGAGGAAACATATGAGGGTTGTGGGACACAGTAATAGCCATCACTTGGGAGAGCTTCAGGAGAAATTGTGTCATCAGAGGAAAGTCTCCTTGAAGATAAAAGCAACATAAAAATTAGAGGTTGAGGATTCAAGAGATTTTGCTAATGGCATACCAAGAATTACAGAAATCCAAATGATAGGATTGGAATAGGGAATGTCTAGAGCCACACAGAGAAAAGATTATGGAAAATGAATGAACTTTTCTCAGACTTTTTCAGGTGACTGGCAAGCAAAGTTAATGACAAGTCAAGAGTGATTCTGATTGACTCAGGGAGGATAGTTTTGTTGAGCACTTTCTCGGGAGGATAGAAATGACTGATTCATATTTCAGGTCACTACTAACCATGTAGATGGACATAGAAGACCTAGGAGAAATGTGTTCTTACCCAATGTGCAGGGCTCACCCAAGGATCTAACTCATTTATTAGAATTGAGGCCCAAAGGAAGATGGAAGGACTGGAGCGGCACAATCAAATCTGGTAAAAGGAGGAGGCAGTGGGAAAATAGAGGAGAAAATACTGTTGGGGAGGTAGAATCTATGGAAATAGCTTACTTCACAAATTAAGTATGAGAATCACTTGAGCCCAGGAGGTCGAAGCTACAGTGAGCTGTGATTGTGCCACTGCACTCTAGCCTGGGCAACAGAGTGAGCCCTTGTCTCAAAAATAAATAAATAAACCTAAAAAAATGAGACAGTTATATTTCTGGGAATTTATAAAGTGTATTTAGAAGACACTATGTGAATTTTATTCTTTCAAACTCAATAATATATGAACATGAAGATGATACTAATACCAGAATACTCAAATTGATTTTTAAAATGACAAATGCATTATTTGAGTCACTATTTAGTATTTAACTTGAGTTTCTATAAAGTAACAGATTCTAATTTATCTTTCCCGTCTTGTCAGAAGCACAATGCCTGGCATATAATGGAGTAAAATAAGTGTTTTTCAAATAAATAAAAGTAATACAAAGACTATAAGGTAAGTACTATTCAAGTAACAAGATCTAGAATATAATTCAGCATCTCAGCATCTAATACAAGCAGTTAAAGAAAACTAACAGGTAGATATAGTGGGGAAGGAAAAGATGAGAAAGATAGATCTATGTTGTTAGTTAAGATTCTTCAGTAAAGGTCATATGAATGACAAAAAAGATAAAATGATAGTGACATTTTGTTTAATTTCAATGTTTATGTATGTATACGAAAAAGAATTTAGAGCATATGAACTAATCATTTTTATGCCAATGCATTTTCTTTTATTGCCCAATACTTGAATGTAAGCTGTAGGAATCTTGATGAAAACCATTGACTCTAAAGAAAGGAAATAATACATTAATAAAATGTTTATATTTTTATTATTTATATTACAAGACTTTTAAATTAATTTTTGTATTTTTCACATCCAAACTATTCCTGTGCACATTTAAGTCAAATGACATGAAAAATAGTCAAATATAGTCTTCTGAATGAGTTTAATGACATCCTAGGATGATACCAGCTGCTTCATGAACACAATCCCCTGTTCTTCATGAACACAATCCCCTGTTCTTCATGGAATATCCCACTTTGTAAAATAGAATAAAAAACCAGGAAAGCATGCTGTCATGGGAGTCAAATGATGAAAGTGTTTTTAAGAATGTCAAATGCTACATAAAGAATGAAGAAAATGAGGACTCAAAATTGGCCAATGAATTTAGCAAGGTTTAAGTCTCTGGTGATCTTACCAAAAGAAGTTTCTGAGAAAAATTGGAGGATAAAGCATGACTGAATGAATTACAGAAAGAAATGGAAGAGAGAAAATAGAGATGGTGAGTATATTCAATTCTCTTACTTTACAACAGTACAACAAATTTTACCAATAGTGAATGGTTTCTTCAAATCCTAAAGTGCTTTAAGGATTCCTAACAGCTAGCCATAGTCCCCAACCAGACTTAGACTTTTCTTCCTCTGCTCTACTTATATACTTTATATAGCTGTTATCTGTGAGCATCCTTCTAGATTTCAATTATCTTTGATGCTAATAACTAGCACCATATCTGCAACATAGTCATTTCATAATACATATTTGTTTCATTAGAATATAATCAGACTATTTAATCGATTAGGTGTTATAGGACTAATATAGCAACAAAGATCTTTAAAAATTATATCAGAACATTGTTATTTTCACCTTGGTTCAATATGGCCAAGGAGATCGATTTTTGCTGCCCAAACCACAATTTGGAACCTATGTACTACAACCCCTTACCTTACTAAAATACCAAACACTCCCTAGTTTCTCCCACATATCTGTAAGCTCATGTACATGCCTTAGTACTTTTGGAGAAGATCTACCATAATCCCAAATTAAGATTCAAACATATCTTGAAGTGGCTGGAAAACCAATGCAGAGATTCTAGATGAGATTATTTAGGTTGACTGACTTGTTCGTTGGTCTATTATTTTTGCTGGTGTAATTATTATATAAGAGGAATGTTTGTGCCACATATTCAGGGAGAGGAATGGAACGATGTTAGGGAGAATAGTGTGTGTTTCTATTCGGATCTTTGGAGCTGTCATTGATGAACCCTTTGGAGAAATAAGTTTCAGGCAGAAGCTGAAGAAGATACTTTCATAAAGTACAGTGCATCATAAGCGGCTGTATCTAACCCATAATGGTAACAAAGTGACTCAGAATGCAGAAAGCTCTGTATTTCTTTTCCAATTCCTCTACATGCAGAGGTGTAAAAATTTGGTTATGTACACAGACACACACGCACACTTCCCTACACAAACACATATGTATTTTAGTAAATCTATGACTGTTATTATTACCAAAGAACTCTCATTTACATGAAAGAGTTAAAACATGTTTCTTGAAAAATCCATGTAGCCTTTTCTCAAGCACAAAAATTTGACTGTCACTATAAAACTAAGTGAGAGAAATTCTACAAACACCTAGAGAACAATGAAACTATGCAAAATAAACACATTGGGATCATGAACAATGAATCATGCTGGGCAGAGTTCTTTGACAGATTATAAGATTAGCGTATAAAGGGAGGACTACGAATAATAAACGTCTAAGCTTCAATAACGTGGTTGATATAGTGGTTCAAGTAAGTGTATAAAAATGGTCAAATAAGTTTTTATAAGAAAAATAAAGTGGATAAAAAACAAACTAAGAGATCATAAATGTGGAGAATGATAGATGATAGTGAGCCCTTTGAAGCACCAGAAAATGATTCTTGGCGCTATTAAATGTATTTCTGACCATACATAGAGGGCAAATAAGGCTTGAATTCGATTGGCAGATTACATCAGTTTGGAAGATGCTGTAAAACTGGTTTGGAGAGAGAAATGATATAACTGGTTGTAAATAAGTTGATTCAATTTGTAAAAGAGCAAGCAGGAAAAATAATACCAAGCAACTATATAAAAATACAATTTCTTTTTTATTGAAATATAATAGTAGTACATATTTTTTGGCTGTGTGTGATGTTTCGATACCTGTATACAATGTGTAATGATCAAATCAGGGTAATTGGAATATCCATCACCTAAAACGTTTATCTTTTCTTTGTGTTGGGAACACTATAATTCTTCTCTTCTAGCTATTTTGAAATATACAGAAATTATTGTTAACTATAATTTCCCTACTGTACTATTGAATACTAGAGCAATATAATTTTTTGCTGATAAAAGTGATGGCATAGCAGTTTATGGTATATAGGATGCCTAGTAAATGCCTATTTTTATGAGCTTTTTGTGTAGCAAGGCCAAGTGAACAGACTACTTTTTGGAATAAGGTTGATTATCCAGGGGAAGTCACGGAGTTCTCCTCAGACTGCACATTGTGTTTGACAGATGGGCCAGCTGCATATCTTGTTTCCATCCCCATCTGGCTCCATCTGATTCTTGAAGACTTTTCTGCATGTTAGGAAACAGACTGCAAATATTTCTTGCTAGAAGAGTAACATGTCCATAATACTTTCGGATGTTTAGTCAGATGCTACATTCTATGGTCTTAGTACATGTTCCATTTACAGTCATCTCCTCTAATGTAGTTTTGTTGTCTGTCGTATAATTTCATAGACTAAGTGAATAGCTTCCATACACCCCATATGGTCTAAAAGAAAAAGAAAAGATACAGAGAACTTCTCTTGTTTGCAGTTTGGTGTACTATTGGTGTTATAAGTAAGGGAATGTTGTTAGTGGGAAATGCAAAATTTCCTCCAGGTAAAACCACATAATTTGTCTCTAGTTTTTCAAATTCGGCTGGGCATGATGGTTCACGCCTGTAGTCCCAGCACTGTGGGAGGCCGAGGCAGGTGGATCACTTGAGGCCAGGAGTTCGAGACCAGCCTGACCAACATGGTGAAAACTCATCTCCACTAAAAATACAAAAAATTAGCCAGGCATGGTGGCACATGCCTGTGATCCCAGCTACTTGGAAGGCCAAGGCAGGAGAATCACTTGATCCCAGAAGGCAGAGGTTGCAGTGAGCTGAGATCGTGCCACTGCACTTCAGCCTGGGGGACAGAGCAAGACTCCATCTCAAAAAAAATTGAATTAATTAAAAAAATAAAATTTAAGCTCAAGTAAGAAAACATAATACACCTACCACGTACTCGCAAAATTTAAAAAAAAATTTAAAAGATTTAGAAAAGAAAGCAAAGTATTATATATGCATCAAAGAAGGGGAAGTATGAGTTATGTTTAAATTTAAGTTGTTAGCCTCCCAATATGTGAATGCATGACACTATATACAGAAAAAATAAATGGAAATAAACAAAGAAATTTTCCTGTTATTATAGTGAAAATAGGTTTTGTTTTTAGCCAAAAACAATGTTGTGTTAGGTTTTTCACAGCCTTAGAAATTCTTCTATAGCAGGAATTACGACTCAGCACATTTTCTTACATAGATATGTGCACAATAAAATATTATCAAAATAATAAATTCCAGATCTAATTACTTCCTTTCTTCTCTTTGAAAGTGCCAGTGACTCTCAGGTCTTAGAATATCAACTGATGCCAAAACCCAAATGCTCTAGAAGTTCTTTAAAGGCCAATAGATGCATTAAAGAGTTCCATTAGAATTGGGTGGTAAAGGAAGAGAGTAGGTATTTGTGCTGAGAAAATCAAGTCATTTTGTGATGAATATACAAGAATGGCAAGCATCCTCAAAGAAAAACTTGTGAAATAAAAATTTCATTCAAAGATGGACCTACTGATACTTACAAGAGGTAATTATGATGATAAATTTGAATGCATTTACATCTTGTTTCTTAAATAAGAACATTTAAACATCTTCAAGGGCTGTGGGATGCTTGCGTACTCCCAGTCACTTTTGACATTAGTCATGGAAACTGGGTTAAGGGCAAATTCTTGAGGCCTCATAATTGGGCAAATCTGAGTTGGAAAGGACTCTGGATGAAAAATGCCAATTGCAGTTAAGTAAAAAAAAAAAAAAAAAAAAAATGGATTAGGCCGGGCACAGTGGCTCACGCCTGTAATCCCAGCACTTTGGGAGGCCGAGGCAGGTGGATCTCAAGGTCAAGAGATCAAGACCATCCTGGCCAACATGGTGAAACCCTGTCTCTACAAAAAATATAAAAATTAGCTGGGCATGGTGGCACTCACCTGTAGTCCCAGCTACTTGGGAGGCTGAGGCAGGAGAATCGCTTGAACCTGGGAGGAGGAGGTTGCAGTGAGCCGAGATTGTGCCACTGCACTCCAGCCTGGCAACAGAGCAAGACTCTGTCTCAAAAAAAGGGGGTGGGAATATCATATCTTCTGACAAATCCATGTTTGCCAAGAAGAAATGAGGTTAAAAATCACCAAGAATTTGGATTCAGATTCTCAGTAGGCAATAAAGAGTCCAAAGAATCATGAAGAATTAGGCGTTGAGGTTGAGGGATCACAGATTTGAACAGGAATTGTCATGACTCCAGCAGAAAAAAAGAAGACCTGGAAGATATAACTGTTGTTTTGGCCATTCAAACATTCCATACTGCTACCAGAAACTCTACCATATTTTGAAAGCTTTCTTTTAAGTGACCAGGCACAGGTTTTTCCTAAAAGACACAGTGAATAAGTTATATTTTGTATGTATTTTATCTTTGTGGTTAAACTACAGATACATTGCTGATGTTTGAAAATAATTAGGATTGTGGTTAATGTTTAAAAATTAAAAATTAAGAATTATTTTAAAAATAAATGGAAGAATTTTAAATCCATTACAATTGTAGCTCAACAGCTATAGCTGACTCCCTACCACATTAAAAGTGGCTTGAAACTTGATATGGAAAGGCAAATATGAGTAAGCCCTATCTCAGACTCTCAAGAAATATGTAATGTAGTGGTAGAAAATGATCTTCAAAACTAATTCTAATTAGACACACAACTATTAAGTAGACACAAAATACGACAGCAAAACAGTAGAGCATTTAGGGGGATAAACATTTCCAAAATAATCCCAACCTTTTGTGTAAAGTGGAGCCTTATTTAAATTACAACTGATAAAAGGTAAGGGATAAAACAAGCCACACTACCATTAGTTTTGTTCAGCTTAACTTTCACTTCTATAACCTGAGGGGAAAAGGCAAGACAGCACTCCTTCAAAGATGCATCAAGAGCAAATATCTGTATCCTGTTTCAAATGCTATTTATTGCCATCTAGAACAGAATGAGTTCAAAGTTCACACAGAACATGTATTACCATATGACAGATTTTGATAATATTAATATTACATGCCAAGATATTGGCACTGGATGATGCTATTGGTTAGCACTGGATGATGCTACTAAGCCCGGATTATGAAGAGAGGCAGGTCTTTTTTCTGTTGGGTACGTTCTGTTTCTACTTTAGCTTTTTTGGAATCCACTTGCCATATGGGCTTCCTTGAGATCTAATTTGACTGAAGTCAGAAGAAACCTATGCTTACTTTTATTAAATCATTTCCTCTTATATTGATGACATGAGAATTTTTTCATTCTTTATTCTATATAAATGCATTGAATGCTTTCTATATACCATATGTTCTTTGAATGAGGAATACACTGTTGAATGAAACCAATAAAGTTGCAGCCTCATAATTCACAGTTTAAGGTAGGAGGCAGACATTACACTCTAGATAAAAAAAAATGAATAGATGAATAAATGACTAGGTTCTAATCAGTAGTCTGAATTAAAATATAGTAGAATATGGTGGCAGAGAAGGACAATATTAGTAATTTTGGTAGCATGGCCAGAAAAAGCTGCTTAGAGGAGACAATTAGAGACTGGAATGAAGTAAGGGACATTGTCCTGTAACTTTCTGTGGGGGAAAGAGTTCCTTGGAAAACAAATGAAAGGACCTGTTAGGAGTATGTCTTGGGCATTTTTCTGTCTTGCTGTGAGCAAGGCAGAAAGAGTAAGAGATGAGGACAGAGGGGTAGTCAAGGAATAAATCTCATTTGGTCTTCCCCACCCCCAAACTAAAGCAATCATTTTCACAAACATTTCCAGGGTCCCATTGGGATATTCCACTGCACCTCCCTTCTCAGGCTTTGTCCCAGTTCTGCCTTTCTTGTTCTCTCTAGCTGTGGACTGAATGTGTCTCCCAAAATTCATATATTGAAGTTCTAATCCTCAATGCGATGGTATTTGGAGGTGTGGTCTTTGGAAGGTAATTAGGCTTAAATGAGATCATGAGAATGGAGCCCCCATGATGGAATTAGTGTTCTTTATTTTATTTTATTTTATTTCTTTTTCTTTTCTTTTATTATTATTACACTTTAAGTTTTAGGGTACATGTGCACAATGTGCAGGTTAGTTACATATGTATACATGTGACATGCTGGTGTGCTACACCCATTAACTCGTCATTTAACATTAGGTATATCTCCTAATGCTATCCCTCCCCCCTCCCCCCACCCCACAACAGTCCCCAGAGTGTGATGTTCCCCTTCCTGTATCCATGTATTCTCATTGTTCAGTTCCCACCTATGAGTGAGAATATGTGATGTTTGGTTTTTTGTCCTTGTGATAGTTTACTGAGAATGATGATTTCCAATTTCATCCATGTCCCTACAAAGGACATGAACTCATCATTTTTTATGGCTGCATAGTATTCCATGGTGTATATGTGCCACATTTTCTTAATCCAGTCTATCATTGTTGGACATTTGGCTTGGTTCCAAGTCTTTGCTATTGTGAATAGTGCCGCAATAAACATACGTGTGCATGTGTCTTTATAGCAGCATGATTTACAGTCCTTTGGGTATATACCCAGTAATGGGATGGCTGGGTCAAATGGTATTTCTAGTTCTAGATCCCTGAGGAATTGCCACACTGACTTCCACAATGGTTGAACTAGTTTACAGTCCCACCAACAGTGTAAAAGTGTTCCTATTTCTCCACATCCTCTCCAGCACCTGTTGTTTCCTGACTTTTTAATGATTACCATTCTAACTGGTGTGAGATGGTATCTCATTGTGGTTTTGATCTGCATCACGCTACCTGACTTCAAACTATACTACAAGGCTACAGTAACCAAAACAGCATGGTACTGGTACCAAAACAGAGATATAGATCAATGGAACAGAACAGAGCCCTCAGAAATAATGCCACATATCTACAATTATCTGATCTTTGACAAACCTGAGAAAAACAAGCAATAGGGAAAGGATTCCCTATTTAATAAATGGTGCTGGGAAAACTGGAAAAATTAATTCAAGATGGATTAAAGACTTAAACATTAGACCTAAAACCATAAAAACCCTAGAAGAAAACCTAGGCATTACCATTCAGGGCATAGGCATGGGCAAGGACTTCATGTCTAAAACACCAAAAGCAATGGCAACAAAAGCCAAAATTGACAAATGGGATCTAATTGAACTAAAGAGCTTCTGCACAGCAAAAGAAACTACCATCAGAGCGAACAGGCAACCTACAAAATGGGAGAAAATTTTCCCAACCTACTCATCTGACAAAGGGCTAATATCCAGAATCTACAATGAACTCAAACAAATTTACAAGAAAAAAACAAACAACCCCATCAAAAGGTGGGCAAAGGACATGAGCAGACACTTCTCAAAAGAAGACATTTATGCAGCCAAAAAACACATGAAAAAATGCTCGCCATCACTGGCCATCAGAGGAATTAGTGTTCTTATAAGAAGAGGAAGACATCAGAGCCTGCTTTCTCTCAGGCATATGAGGCTACAACAAGAAACCGGCTCTCCACAAACCAAAATGTGGACTGTAAGCAGGCAGACACCAAATATGTTGACATTTTAATCTTGGACTTCCCAGCCTTCAGAACTGTAAGATATAGATTGTTGGTTAAGCCACCTAGTTTATGGTGTTTTATTATTATAGCAGTCCAAACTGATCAAGATATCTTCTCTCGAGTCTTTGCTATACAGATACATCTAATTATCCCCTCTCCACTGCCCTGCATGCCTAGCTATGATTTGTTGTATTTGTGAAAATAATTAGGAATAAATATATTTGTATTTTGGGGGAGATTTTATATATAGTTTATTTACAAAGTTAATCTTTATAACAGTAAATTGCTTAATGTAAACACAAGGAGGGGTGTTAGTAATAATTTGAGGGTGGAGATATGCAGAGAGTAACCAATATCTGTAATAACAAATGCCAAATTAAAAAAATAAAATATATGTTATAACAACGGTATTAAAATACTATGAAAGTTGTTGGGCAGTTCTGCCACAGGTTGGGTAAGGCAAGAAACCACTCTGGTCCATTTTCTTAGAGCTAAGACAGATGTTTATCACTTTAAACATCAAATCACACACAATGGAGGGGCAAAAACATTGATACAGCCACTTTAAAATGGAGATTTAAAAACTATATCCATATTGTGATTTCTTGAGGATCCCTTGTATTTTTCAGCCATCAGTCTGTGAGGAATAATAATCATCTCTAATATCATTGATCCTTTGAGCCAATAACCAGAGGAAAAATATTACCTTCAATACCCTCATCTTACTTTATCTGTCTTATTGATCCTGTTCACTAGGTAAAGAAAGAGAGTGAAAAGTCCTTTGCAGGGACATGGATGAAGGTGAAAACCATTATTCTCAGCAATCTATCACAAGGACAGAAAACCAAACACCGCATATTCTCACTCATAGGTGGGAACTGAACAATGAGAACACTTGGACACAGGGCAGGGAGCATTACACACCGGGGCCTGTCAGGGAGTGGGGGGCTGGAGGAGGGATAGCATTAGGAGAAATACCTAATGTAAATGATGAGTTGATGGGTACAGCAAACCGACATGGTACATGTATACCTATGTAACAAACCTGCACATTGTGCACATATACCCTAGAACTTAAAGTATAATAAGAAATAAAGAAAATGTGGCACATATACACCATGGAATACTATGCAGCCATAAAAAAGGATGAGTTCATGTCCTTTGCAGGGACACGGATGAAACTGGAAACCATCATTCTCAGCAAAATATCACAAGGATGGAAAACCAAACACTGCATGTTCTCACTCGTAAGTGGGAGTTGAAAAATGAGAACACGTGGACACAGGGAGGGGAACATCACACACCTGGGCCTGTTGAGGGGTGGGGTGCTGGGAGAGGGATAGCATTAGGAGAAATACCTAATGTAAATGACGAGTTAATGGGTGCAGGAAACCAGCATGCCACAAGTATACCTATGTAACAAACCTGCACGTTGTGCACGTGTACCCTAGAACTTAAAGTATAATAATAAAAATAAATAAGAATAATTAATACAAAAAAGAAAAAAAGAATAAAATTTAAAGAAATCTATTCTTTGTCTCTTCCTCTCTTTTCTTTTTTGGTCCATAAATAATCTCTGGGCAAAATTATATGTTATCAGGAAACATTACAAAACTTAATTAAGGCTTTTAAAATTTAAGCCCAACATACTATTTTACTTAATTTATATTGGGAATAGGAAGCTTTAACTCAAAGGAAACAATTCCGTTTGTAATCTCTTCTCCAGAAGAGGGAGGCCAAGTCACACTTACCCTCCAGTTTAACAAAGGCTCATATTAATCTCAACTGTATATTTCACTCTATCTCTGGCTGGTAAGTTAACCTAAGAATTGTTCTTTGTGGCAGCCTTTTTACTTGTAGTTTTCTGACACCTAGAATTGTCTCAGTCTAAGTTTTTTAAAAAAGCAAAATGCCCACCCAGAGATAGTTTAGGTTAAAAAAAATACCTAAATTTTAAATTGAAGCATTGAAGCTTTTATGAGCTCCTTGGTAGTTCATTAAACTCTATTTACACTGGCCTTCCTTTATTTCTTGGCCTTACAAAATGTCTGTCTGGATGTCCTTTCCTAAGGTCTCCCAATGATTAGCTCAGCTAAACATGGTATCTTCTGGGAAGTCTTCCTGTATAAATAACACTCTTCACCCCAATTCTTTCTACGACATAATTGTACCACCCCATTATATTTCCTTCACAGTAACATTATTCAAGAGTATCTTATTTATTTACTTGTTTTCTGTTTTTATCTGTTTTCATCCCCTAAGATGCAAGAACCATGATTTTAGTTATGTTATTTTTCTGTTCACCTAAAAGAGCACCTGCTACATGCACAGTGTAAAAAGCATTTTGATACTTATATTTATAAAATGATTTCAAAGTTATAGGAAAGTTGCAAGCAAAAAAAAAAGAATGTTTATATATCCTTCAACCAGATTAATCAATTGTTAATATTTTGCCATATTCCATGATGTTTTCTAAATATTTATGCCTATCTACCTGTTAGATATATTTATTTTCTAAGAATATTCTCATGATTAGCAAGAGTGTAGATAGCAAAGTCAGAAAATTTATAATTTAAACAGTATTATTAGCTAATTCAATGTCCATATTTAAATTTCACAATTTTTCTAAGTTCCTTTTAGAGGTGGGGTGCAGTGGTTCATGCCTGTAATCCCAGCTTTTTGGGAGGCCGAGGCAGGCAGATCACCTGAGGTCAGGAGTTCGAAACCAGCTGAGCCAACATGGTGAAGCCCCGTCTCTGCTAAAAATACAAAAATTAGCCGGGCGTGGTGGCGGGCACCTGTAATCCCAGCTACCTGGGAGGCTGAGGCAGGAGAATCGCTTGAACCCAGGAGGCAGAGGTTGCAGTGAGCCGAGATCACGCCATTACATTCCAGCCTGGGGAACAAGTGAGACTTTGTCTCAAAAAAAAAAAAAAAGTTTCTTTTAGAATATTTATTTTTTTTCTATTGTGGGATTCAATCTGCAACCATGCATTGCATTTATGTCTACATCATGTGTCTTTAGTAGCCTTTAATCTGGAATCGTTTCTCAGCTTTTCTGTTCTTCTTGATCATGAAATTGTGGGGGAGTACATACCAATTATTTTACAGAATGTCAATAAATACTTTTTAAAAAATTAATTATAAGAACATTGACAGTCATTTAGAATTTTCTTGTCCTTAGTAAGATAGATGAAAATTAGAAATCGTATATGAGGAAATTATATATTTATATATAATATATGTATAATGTATATTATATATACATATATTAATGTACTTATATATGATATACATATATTATTTATACATATATTATTTACATGTATTATTTATATATTATATGTAAATAATATAATACATACTAGATATTACATATATTTGAAGCTTCTATATCATATGATATTATAGAAGTTTCTATATAATATAGTAGCTTCAGATATATGTAATACATAATATAGTATATAATTATATAATTATGTATAAAATTATGTCTAGAAATATATATTATGTATAAAATCATAATATATAATTTCTAATGTTTATCTCTTACTAATACATATATAATATGTATAAATGTATTTTTAAAAAAAAACTTCACTCAGTCCATTTTGGCATCTATCAATAAAGTGAACACTAGCTATAGTTTGGGAGAGTCCCAGTTTCTTATCTGTGAATCTTTTCATTTATATAATAAAGTAAATAATTACTTCAAATCATTTGACTATATTTTCCTATATTTGCTATTCAGGAAAACATGTTTCCTGAATTTTTCTATTAAGTTACTTAAGATACACTATGAAAGTTTAAGCAACCTATTAGAATATGATTTATGTGGACCTCCTTCAAGGAGCATCCATTAATAAGTAGATCAAGCTTTTAAAAATCAAGGATTTAGTAGGTTTATTTTTCACTTTCATGTTGCACAAATACCCTTGTTTGACCATAAAAGAGGAGACATTGTCTTACTTTAGGTTTATTTTCAACAAAATTTTCAAGATGGATGTTGCCATTGGCCAGCATATCACTCTCCAAAGGAGAGAACCCGAATATGATTTGAAAACCAAAAATCAATTAATCTCAGATTTTAATATTTTCAGAGTCCCAGTACACTAGATCATGTCCTAACCATTTTACCTACTTGTATTCTATGAATAAGTTCGCTGAATACTCAGTTTGAATAAATCCATTCAAACAACTGGGAACTATGACTATCACCTTGCTTCATAAATTATTAATAGCCTCAATCCCAAAAGTTCCTAAAAATTTTGTATCGCTTCTCAAAATTTTCCATATCTAATGGGAAAACTGTCTCATATTTTTAATCTATTCAGTGGTTTCCCAGCCCTTGATACACGTTGGAATCACCTGGGGAACTTTGAGGCCCTAGCTACTCTCAGGCCCCAACACCAGTGATTTTGATATAACTAATTTGGAGTGGGGCCTAATAATTGGTATTATCTTATTTTTTTTGGCTTGGAGAATTCTCAAAGATTTTATTGACGACATAGCTCCCACTCCACCATGAGAGACAGGTAATGTCCTGGCCCAAGACCGACTCAGACAGGGAAACTTCCATGATTTTTAAAGTCTCAATAAGGTGTCTTCCTCAATGTCATCCCAATCTCACATACTTAGTCACTTGACAACTCATATTCTATTAAGAAGACAGGCCAGAGGGAGAAGTGTCTACTGTGTATCATGTCCTAATGGTGACTCTGACAGCTGGTGTATAACTCCATTCTAGGTTGGCTTTGCCCTTGAAGATCTCAGGTCACCTACCTTAAATTTTTTCTTTCATTCCAATAGCTTTTAAAGCACAAGTTGTTTTGGTTACATGGATGTATAGTGGTGAAGTCTGGGCTTTTAGTGTATCCATCCCCTGAGTAGTGTACATTGTAATTTGGTATTATCTGAAAAGAACTCCAGGTGCTCCTAAAGTGGAACGAATTGAGAATCACTGATGTGAACCAAGGAAATTCCTATCACCTAGCAACATTATTTAAGTAGAATTAGCTAAGTATGTTTCAATCTGATAGCCCCGCTCCTTATATGTTGCATTCATTAATCCTTCCCCTCACTAACAATTTATCTGTCTAATTCTAATCTTACCTTTTTTTTCACTTAGATGCAATGGATTAAGACTCTTGACTAGAATAATCTGAAGCATTCTGCGTGAATTTGTGACCAAAGAAACCAAAAATCAGGCTACCTTTGACAATGTCAAATTACAGTGAACTGTGGAGTCGATTATACCTCTCATATTTCTTTATTATGTTAAATGCTTAATTATTTGCTTGATTCTGTCTTTGTCATAGTCCTTTATTACAATGACGTCTTATTTAAGTAAAAGAATTCCAAATACATAGAAAACAAAAGCATTTGTTTTATTTCAAAATAATGAAGAAACATAATAGGTTATACAACTTTTCAAGAGACCATTATGCTGTTAAATCATTTATATATCTTCTCTTTATTTGGACTCAGAAAATATGGACATTATAATGCAAAAAGTTACTGAAAAATCAATGTCAGCATCATCTGAACTCTTTTCCCCTAATCTAATCTAGGCATTTGGATTACCCATTTCTAAGCACATCAGTGGTTTTTGAATGTCAGTAGCACCCTGCTTAATCAATAAGCCTTTATTTGGCTCAATGAACTGCTGATACGTACTTTTACATATTCAAAATCTGTCCCTCAGTATGGATACTAACTAGATCTTTTTTGAATGAGAAGGTCAGGTCAGGCTCCCCCTTGGCAATGATACCAGCTCCCTCAGATTCTCATTAATGGAACCATGTGCTCACTGAACAAAGAATGCTTACAGAAAAAAAAAAGAATATTGACGTCAGTGTATATTATATTCCTTAAAAATATTTATAAACGAGCATTCGTTATAGAAGCAAGGAACATGACAGCTTATTGATTATGCAAATATGTTCCTTGTACGCTTTTAAAATAAATCAATTAGTGCAAGAGTTGGCAAAGTCTTCCTTAAAGGGCAAGATTATTAAAATATTAGGCTTTGCTGGCCATTTGGTCTGTCACAACTAATTAACTCTGCTGTCGTAATGGGAAAACAGCCACAGACAATATGTGAAATAATGGATGTGGCTGTATTTCAATAAAACTTTGTTTAGAGAAACAGGTGGTGGGACAGTGTGTTGATCCCTGAACTAATGGGATAAAATATAACTTAAATATAATATGCATGTATGTACATATGTTTCTGTTTACAAAATAGAATTGAGTGTCTCTTTCAGCTAATTGAGCACCATAATGTAAACCTACAAGAGGTACGAGAGAATTTCGTATATGTATTTGAAGTCTTGACACTGCTAAATCTTTTGTTTGTAATTGGCATGCCATGTTGGAAGACATAATAGAGAAACTGTCTATCCATGCGTCCTTTACTTAAGAAAACTAAACTCTTCTCTGAAGTTATGTGGTATAGATTTTTCCTAAAGGAAGCCAACCAGTTGAAAGATCAAGCTATGCATTAACTCATCACACTTTAAATAAGTAAATAAATAAATAACTCACCTAGTTCATTGTTTGGATGGTTTATTGGATGTGAGATACTTCATACTGTCCTGACACAGAGTTTATTACCTATGTAAGAGAAGGCACATATGGTTAGGTTTCAAGAGATATTCTAATTGTTTCCTGTGGTGATGTTTGAACTCTACAGTCAAATTCAGATGCATTTAATTTGGTAAGGTAGACAATTGGTTAAATGTTTGGTGTCAAAGTAAGAAATACATAGTGAATTGATGGAGAGGAATGTTCTTAAAGTGGTCTATACAGATTGACCCTAAAATCAACCTCACCTTTATATCAACCTCGTCTTTGAAAAGATTGCAGCCCCAAGGACTTTGATTATTTTTCTTCATGACCTCTCTGGGTACCTGATAATAGGAATAGACACACGAAAAAAAACCTGATAATGTTACTCTGGTGTAATCACAACTACTTCTGCTCTATTAAAACTACCATGCGATATGACCACTTTTACAGTCATTTGTTAACTTTCTCTTTTATCATCAAAGTTGTACTGCACATACTCAAAACTGACAGCTACAATAGAGTGGCCCATATATTCTCTGAGATCAAGACAGAAACATTACTCATCAAATTCTAATCTAGTGTCACATAGGAGAAATACAACTAGCCAGTGAGACTCTCACTGCTATCTGGCTCACAGAAACAGATAGAGCAACTTCTCATCTATTATTGAAGCATTGCAGAAATTGTGGTGCAGTGTATGTGCCTACACTATAAAGTAGCTAGGCTTGCACTTTTTATGTGTGTTTGGCCATATAATTCATCTGGGCCTAGTATCAACTCAGGACATGGATATACTTTTTAAAGTAATTGAGTAATGTATATCTTTAAAAGCAATCTCGTTAGAGCTTTAGGACATTTCTAACAAAGCAATGAAATGTAGAGATCTTAATACATTTCTATGACTATGAATGTAAATAATATATGTTATTTAATATTTTTCACATGAAAAGAAAATACTAACCCAGAATGAAAATGTATCAATAATCCTGAGTAAATTAATCTAACAACAATGAATGTTTTGTGGTGCATATTTGGCAAAGCCTTCAAATTTGTCAGACCTTTACAAATCATTTTCTTATGTAGAGTCATTGCTGTGTTTTGTAATAAATTTTGAAAACTGGCTTTATGGAATAAAATAAAAAGCAAATTTATTAACTTTTTTGTAAAAGCTTTTCAATGGTTTCACTAACTATTTAAAAACAAAAATAAATAACCTTTGAGATTGCTATATCATTGAGATTATTTTAAAAGTCTCTTGAAAGTACTTATACCTTATTTGGTATTATAAAGAGGTTTCTATAAAAAGTTACTTGTATTTTGTGTCCCAAATAATTCAACAACATATTTATTCATTCTGCAAACAAACGATAGCTGTTCCCTAAAGCAATATTTATTAGAAAACTTAGGAAACCTGAGCAAAATATTGACTGAAGACAAACACATTTATAATCAATTAAAGATAAAAAAGTTAACTTTTTACAAGATGGACTAAAGATTTAAATGTAAGACCTCAAACTATAAAAATCTGAGAAGAAAACTGAGTAAATACCCTTCTCGGTGTGAGCTTTGGCAAAAAAAAAAAAAAAAAAAATTATGGCTAAGAACCCAAAAGCAATTGAAACAAAACCAAAAATTGACAAGGGAGCCTAATTCAACTAAAGAGCTTCAGCATAGCAAAAAGAATTATGAACAGAATAAACAGGCAGCCTACAGAATGGGAGAAAATGTTTCCAAGCTATACATCCAACAAAGGTCTAATAGAGCCTAGAAGGAACTTAACAAGCAAAAAACAATCCAATTAAAATGTGGTCAAAGGACATGAACAGACACTTCTCAAAATAAGACATGCAGGTGGCCAACAAACATGAAAAAATGCTCATGAACACTAATCATCAGAGAAATACAAATTAAAACCAAAATAGAATACCATCTCACACCGGTCAGAATGGCTATTACCAAAAAGTCAAAAAATAACAGATGCTGGCAAAACTGCAGAGAAAAGGGAATGCTTACACACTGTTTGTGGGAATGCAAATTGGTTCAACCACTGTGGAAAGCAGTTTGGAGATTCCTCAAAGATTTGAAAACAGACCTACCACTCGACACAGCAATCCCATTACTGGATATATACTCAAAGGAAAATACATCTCTCAACCAAAAACAAACATTCACTCATATGTCTTTGTCAGTGCTATTCACAATAGCAAAGACGCAGAAACAATATAGGGACCCAACAATGGTGGACTGGATTTTAAAAATGTAGTACATATACACCATGAAATACTGTGTAGCCATACAAAGAATGAAATAATCTATTTTGCAGCAACATGGAGGCAACTGGAGGCCATTATCTTAAGAAAATTAACTCAGGAACAGAAAATTAAATGCTATATGTTCTGATATATAAATGGAAGGTAAACATTGAGTACATGTGGACTTAAAGATGGGAGCAATAGAAACTAAGGACTACTAGATAGGAGAAGGAGGGAGGTGAATGGGCTGAAAAACAACCTATTGGGTACTGTCTGGGTGGGATCATGTGTACCCCAAACTTCAGCATCACACAGTATACACATATACACACATATATACACACATATGTATATACACATATATGTAATATATCAATACACATATATGTAAATGTATGTGTATATATGTAAATATGTAAATATATGTATATATGTGTGTGTAAATATATGTATACATGTATATGTGTGTAAATATATGTATGTATACATATATGTATATGTGTGAATATGTATGTGTATATGTAAATATATGTATATATACATATGTATACATGTAAATGTATGTGTGTACGTGCATATGTAAACACACATATGCATATATGTAAATATATGCATATGTAAATACATAAATGCATATTTATGTAAATACATGTAAATATGCAAACACACAGATGCATGTTTATGTAAATATATGTAAATACATAATGTGCAAAGCGCATGTATATGTAAATATATGTAAATATGCATATATGTAAATGTGCATGTATACACATGTATGCATGTAAATGTGTATGGCTATAAACATACGCATATATGTAAATATATACGTATATGTAAATATATGTAAATATATTTACATATATACATATTCACGTTATGCATATATGTAAATATATTTACATATACACATACATATTCACACATATACATATATGTATACATACATATATTTACACACATATACATGTATACATATATTTACACACACATATACATATACATTTACATATATGTAAATTGATATATTACATATACGTATATGTATATATTTACATATCTGTATATAGATGTATTTACATATGCATATATGTATATATTTACATATATTTACATGTATACATATATGCATATATATATAAATATAAATACAAACCTGTCCATGTACCCTCTAAATCCAAAATAAAAGTGGGGTAAAAAGGCTTAACTTTTCACAGATTATCTTCAAAGTGACCACTAATGGATATACTTCCACACACAGAAAAATAAACCCAGAAAGAGGAAATTGAATGAAAGAAGAAATGACGAAAGAGAAAATGGTTAAATCTAAACAAGTTGTGAGGCTGGCACGGTGTCTCACGCCTGTAATCCCATCACTTTGGGAGGCCGAGGTGGGAAGATCTCTTGAGACCAGGAGTTTCAGTCCAGTCTGGCCAACATGGTGACACTCTGTCTATACTAAAAATACAAAAATTAGCCGAGTGTGGTGGTGTGTGCCTGTAGTCCCAGTTACTTGGGAGGCTGAGGCAGGAGACTCACTTGAACCCAGGAAGTGGTGGTTACAGTGAGCCAAGATTGCACCACTGCGCTCCAGCCTGGGCGACAGAGTGAGACTCTGTCCCAAAAATAAATAAATAAATAAATAAATAAATAAATAAATAAATAAATGTAAACATGTGAGATTTTAAAATATTGTAGTAAAGTTTGGAATTGTTTAAAAGCAAAACTTAATGAAAAGACTAGGAAAAATAGAGGGATGAATGGTAGACGATATTTGAATAAATTCTGTCATGTAAGGGATGAGAAAAATCATGGGCGCACTCTAAATTTGTGAATTAAATATAAAATTAATATGGATGTTTAATGTTAAGGACCTCGATTAAAACGGAATAATAGAATGCGGGAAGAAAATTAATATGAAACCAAAGCATGACAATTTTTTAAAATAGTAAAATAAATACATATATTATAAAATGAGAATTATAAATTGATTAAATTCATTCATTAGAAGACATTAAGAAACTAGAGTCTTGAAAATTAGATGTGTGTGGCTTATTAAGAGAAACCCCAAAAGCAAACTGACAGATACATTTGAATCATCAGGGTTGGAAGGCAATATGTATCTGACAAACTAAACAAATAGAAGATAATAAGATAATATGTAATATTACATAAAATACAATTTCACATGCCAAGAATCCATAATAATAAAACTAATGATAACTATAATATAATAAGAGCCAACATTTATGATAAATACATGGCAATTATAAATTTGTACAAAGCTAAGAGCTTATCTTCAAAATATATAACATGAAATAGCATTAAAAAAGTATAATAAAAACAAAAAAAATTAAAAAATGAAATTTTAAATGTGTTACCCTATTTGAAGGTTTTAAGAAAGTTTTCTTAGAATATAATATATTGTACATAAATAAGCATAAATATAGGTAATTTGTACACCATTAATTTCTCCTGTAGCCATTTGAAGAGAACTATACAGCTAATAAAGAGAGGATAAATATTCTAGTCTCATGGTACATCTGACACAATTAAATAAGCATAATTTCAGAAAAGGAAGCTTTAACAGATTAATAGATTTTGCATTTAATAGATTCCAGATAATTAATTGAGACATTTTTACTGGTTGAAAAGAAGGTTAAGAATTATATAAAACATGTAAGTTCTATTCATATAATAAAAGGCTACTCAGAAGTTAAAGTGATTAAACTCAATTAGTCTATATTATCATGACGATCTAAAAAATAAAATGTTGAGACATAAAAGTGAGTCGTAGAATATTTGTACAATATAATTCTATTCATGATTCTTTTGGGCACTCTAAAAGTGTACAAATACAAAAAATACAGAGTGAAAAAAACAGTTTACACTTTAAAGATATGGTAGTAGCTTCTGTGTGGAGGGGAATGGAATTAAAAATAGATGATACCACTGTCTTTTATGGTTGATGTTTGATGTATTCCACAACCTAACCTCATAATTTAAGAGGGGGTGGGAAGAAGAAGAGGGAGAGGAAGAGTGTGAGAAGGAAAGAGAAAGAGTGAAAGAAGGAGGGAAGGGGGACTGGAGAGAAGGGGGAGGAGGAGAGAGAAATTGATTGGAGAGAGGTTTTGAACCAAAATCTGTGTTATGGATCCTTGTACAAAATCTGTGCAGTGGGTCCTTGTATATTTCTTATGTCATTACTCCATCTATTTCTGTATTTTTTACATTTATCAGAACACATTTAAAAATCAACGAATCACTTGAATAAAACTCTAAATATTCTAAATGCATACTTTATATTAGGTTGGCACAAACATAATTGCGATTTTTGCATTGTTGGAATTTGCCGTTTGATACTGGAATACATTATTAAATAAACTGGTTATGTTATACATCATTTTAATGAGCATTTCTCACTTTATTTTTGCTAATGACTTATTATTTGCTGGATATTTTATGTTTATTTTAGACTATGAAAATGATGTTAGACAAAAAGCAAATTTGAGTGATTTTCTTATTCAAGTTCAAAATGAGTCATAAAGTAGTGGAGACAACTCCCAACATCAACAACACATTTGGCCCAGGAACTGCTAACGAATGTACAGTGCAGTGGTGGTTCAAGATGTTTTGCAGAGGAGACGAGAGCCTTGAAGATGAACGGTGCAGTGGCCGGCCATCAGAAGTTGACAATGACCAATTGAGAGCAATCGTCAAAGCTGATCCTCTTACAACTACACGAGAAGTTGTCGAAGAACTCAAGGTCGAACATTCTATGGTCGTTCAGCATTTGAGGCAAATTGGAAAGGTGAAAAAGCTGGATAAGTGGGTGCCTCAAGAGCCAAGAGAAAACAAAAAAGAAAATCATTGTTTTGAACAATGTTTCTCTTATTCTACACAACAACAATGAACCATTTCTCGATTGGACTGTGACCTGTGACAAAAAGCGGATTTTATACAACTACTGGCAATGACCAGCTCAGTGGCTGGATGGGGAGGAAGCTCCAAAGTACTTCCCAAAACCAAACTTGCGCCAAAAAAAGTCATGGTCACTGTTTGGTGATATGCTGCTGGTATGACCCACTACAGCTTTCTGAATCCCGGCAAAACCATTACATCTGAGAAGTATGCCCAGCAAACCAATGAGATGCACCGAAAACTTCAAGGCCTGTAGCCAGCATTGGTCAATAGAAAGGACCCAGTTCTTCTTTACTACAATGCCCAACCACACATGGCACAACCAATGCTTCAAAAGTTGAATAAATTGGGCTATAAACTTTTACCTCTTCTGCCATATTTGCCTGACCTCTCGAGAGGCCAACCGACTACCACTTCTTCAAGCATCTCGACTTTTATTGCAGGGAAAACGCTTCCACAACCAGCAGGATGCAGAAAATGCTTTCCAAGACTTTATCAAATCCCAAAGCATGGATTTTTACAGTACAGGAATAAACAAACATTTCTTGTTTGCAAAAATGTGAGCCTAGTTGTAATGATTTAAAATCCATGGTCCAAAACCACAATTACTTTTACACCAAACTAATAAATTTTTACAAGTCAAAGAACAGTGGAAATGAAGTTAGAAGACTTGATTTTCAGTGCAATCTCTACCACTAATAAGCTAGTGCAAGTCACTGTTGCTGAAACCTATGTCCTTCATTTGTAAAATGAATGTGTAAATAAGAATGTTCTACCTACTTCACAAGCTAATGTGTGAGAGCATTTTGGAATAAAGAAAATGCTTTCCAAATGTAAAGGGTATTTTTTTTCCTAATGAGTACTAATTACAACTCCCATGCATTTAATACCTACAATATTCCAGGCACATTTAAAACATTGTTAATGCTAAAAATAATAAAAAGAAAAATTATTATTCCCATTTTAAAGAGGAGAAAATTGAGGCTCAGTGATAAATTTATGCAAATTTACAAGGATGATTCTGAACTTTTCTAACTATAAATTATACTTTTTTTTGGTTAAAACATCTTTTGTAGCATATAGAATAATTCTGGGGGTGGAGAAAAGTGACAACCTAATGGGCTTTTCTCATATCTAGAGCTTGTAAAGTTTGTTAGTAATTGTGTAATAAGTCCTTTTTCTGAGCTAAATCCTTGAATCCCATTTTCTAATAGAAAGTCTCATTTGTGAAGAAAGATTGCCAGATGTCTTGATTTGGGTCTCTGGGAAGGATCTCTCTTGACTATAGAGCTGTACGTTTCGGTACAGTAATTTTTATATTTCAAAGTCCTTAATGATATGTAGCCTTCTGCTAGTAACTGAAGTGGCGGTCTGTCACCCTGCTGCTTCTGCTCACTGTCTGCCTGACAACTAGGATAGAAAAGAGCTATCTGCTCTGCCACTTCTGCTCCCAGGAGTCCACAACTATGCTACCTAATCTGAATGCCATGCTTCAGTAACTTCTTAAGAGGGTTCTTCTGCCCACTCAGCTTATGTTCCCTAAATAAATGGCAGCTGCTTGGGAGGCCAGCTATCATCAGTTCTCTATGCAGGGCCCTCTCGGTGGACTTACTCTGCAGCATATATGGATTCGGGAATGATAGATGCCTACCTTACTGATGCTTATGCCATCACACAGTTCAAAGATGAGTCACTGACACCACTTGTGGAAGTATTGACAAAACCATCACATTAGCCTGCCTGAGTTTTTCACACCACAGAAGATACCTTTATAGAATCAGTATAGTGAGTATTTGAGGAGTAATGTGCACAATTAATTTTGTGACAGCGAAGGAAATCACAAGTTCAGAAGAACTTTGCTTCAATATTAATTTTAAAATTCATTGTCATTATTAATTTCAGTGGCTTTCCAAACATATATTCATAAAAGCATTTCCATCATTCTAGTTAGAAATTACTTTGGGATTCAGAGATCTTTATTCCATTAGCTTAGATTTTGTGATCATTAGTGGCAAAAGTGAACTAAACAGATGTACTAATCCTAATGCTATATTTCCTTTTCAATTTCTGGTTCAGTGGAGGTTTCTGGCAGCTGTTTTTATGGACAAGACTAAAATTCTCCAGAGACATGCTATTTATATTTAGTATAATGTATACACGTTTAGATACCCTATGAATAAGTATATGCATGTTTTATTACTGTTTTAAACATATTAAATGTTAAAATCTATGTAATGAAAGATTTATAATGTGCACTGATATTCACTTTGGCTTTGAATACCTTGTTTTAGAATTACACTAATTTGAGATATCAATATTTCAGAATGATTGACTATTATACTAGTGGAAAAGACTAGTTTATAGTGAGATGCTGATGTTTCATAATTTTGTTCTTGCATATCTCTAAATATATATTTACATGATTGCTTTAAATAGTTTCTCTTTGCATTATTCTTTGAAATGGAATTTTTGTAGTCTCCAAAAATGTATATGACTGTATCATCAGTTTATGTATTCTAACTATATGTAGAATTTTAAATGAAGACCTACCTTTTTATGGATAGATAAAAATAGCAAGAATCCTTATTTTCAGGCTCATTTTAATAATGCCCAATTCCAGGTAATTTTAAGGTGAGATAAATGCTAAAGCATTAAAAATTTAATACAGTTCAAAAATAGAAATAAGGTGTGGGTAGTGTTTTATTCTCAGAGTTGGAAGGTTGTAAAAAATAAGATAATAGGAAATTGATTCAGAACAGAGTAAATCTTCCTATTCCTTTTATCATATGTCAGTTTGGAATTTTTTTATTGATAATATCTGTACATATATATGGGACACATGTGACATTTTGTTACATTCATAGAATGTGTAATGATTAACTCAGGGTATTTAGGGTATCCATTACCATATGTATTATCATTTCTATGTGTTGGGAACATTTCAAGTCCTACCTACTAGCTATTTTGAAATATACAATACATTGCTAACTAGTCACTCTACTTTGCTATCAAACATTAGAACTTACTCATTCTGTGTAATTGCATGTTTGTACCAACTAACCAACTTCTCTTCATCCCCCTCTCCACACCCACACACCCTTCTTAGCCTCTGGTAACTATCATTCTACTCTGTAATCTTCATGAGATCAACCTTTTAAACTCCCACATGTGAGTGAGAATATGCGAAATTTGTCTTTCTGTGCCTGACTTATGTCACTTAACATAATGACCTCCAGTTTCATCTGTGTTGCTACAAATGACATGATTTCATTCTTTTTATGTCTGAATAGCATTCCATTGTGGATATGTATCATATTTTCTTTATCCATTCATCTGTTGATGAATACTTAGGTTGATCCATATCTTTGCTATTGTGAATAGTGCTGCAATGAACATGGCGTTGCAGGTATCCCATTGATATACTGTTTTCCTTTCCTTTGAATAAATTCCATTAGTAAGATTGCTGGATAATAAGGTAGCTCTATTTTTAGTTTTTTGAGGCGGCTCCACAGTTTTCCGTAATGGCTGTACTAATTTACAAATGGCTAAGATCTCAAAAGCACATACAAGGAAAACAAAAATAGACAAATGGGATTATATTAAACTAAAAAGCTTCTGCACAGCAAAGGAAACATCAACAAAATGAAGACACAACCTGTTGAATGAGAGAAAATTTGCAAACTATTCATTAGACAAGGGACTAGTATCTAGAATATACAAGGAAATCAAACAACTCAATAGTAAAAAAACTCAAATAATTCCATTAAAAAGTAGGCAAAGGACATGAATAGCCATTTCTCAAAAGTAGATATATAAATGGCCAACAGGTGTATGTAAACATGCACAGCATCACTAATCATATGCAAATCAAAACCACAATGAGATTTCATCTTACTCCTGTTAGAATACCTATTATTAAGAAAGCAAAAAATAGCCCGGTGCGGTGGCTCACGCCTGTAATCCCAGCATTTTGGGAGGCCAAGGCGGGCAGATCACGAGGTCAAGAGATGGAGACCATCCTGGCTAACACGGTGAAACCCTGTCTCTACTAAAAATACAAAAAATTAGCCAGGCGTGGTGGCAGGCGCCTGTAGTCCCAGCTATTAGGGAGGCTGAGGCAGGAGAATGGCGTGAACCCAGGAGGCAGAGCTTGCAGTGAGCAGAGATTGTGCCACTGCACTCCAGGCTGGGCGACAGAGTGAGACTCCATCTCAAAAAAAAAAAAAAAATTAGCTGGGCGTGGTGGTGTGCACCTGTAGTCCCAGCTACTCAGGAGGCTGAGGCAGGATAATTGCTTGAACCCGCGAGGCAGAGGTTGCAGTGAGCCGAGATCACACCAATGCACTCCAGCCTGGCAACAGAGCAAGACTCCGACTCGAAAAAAAAAAAAACAAAAAGAAAGAAAGCAAAAAATAACAGATGCTAGTGAGGATGTAGAGAAAAGGAAACTCTTACACACTGTTGATGAGAATGTAAATTAGTACAGCCATTATGGAAAATAGTGTGGCGCTTTCTCAGAAGTCTGAAAATAAAAATACCATATGATCCAGGAATTGCACTACTGGGTATTTATCCAAAGGAAAAAAAATTAGTATATCAAAGGGATACCTTCATCCCTATGTTTACTGTGTCACTATTCACAATAGCAAAGATACAGAATCAACCTAAGTGTCCATCAATGGATGAATGGGTAAAGAAAATGTGGTATATATACACAATGGAATACAATTCAGTCATAAAAAGAATGAAATTACATCATTTGCAGCAACTTAGAGGAACTGGAGGTCATTAAGTAAAATATGCCAGACACAGAAAGACAAATATTAAATATTCTCACTTATGTGGGAGCTAAAAATGCTGATCTCATGGAGGTAGAGAATAGAACAAGGACTGAGCAGGGTGTATGGGTGGGAGGGGGAAGCAGAAAGTTTGGTTAATGGGTACAAACATACTGTTAGATAGAAGAAATAAGTTCTAATGTTCAATAGCAGAGTAGGGTAGCAACAATGTATTGTATCTTTCAAAGTAGCTAGCACGGAGAACTTGAAATGTTCCCAACATACAGACATGATAAATACTTGAGGTAATAGGTAACCCAAGTACCCTGAATTGATCATTACACATTTATATGTGTAGCAAAATATTCCATGTATCCCGTAAATAAGTAAAATATTATGTATCAAAAGTACTCAGAAACAGGAAAAAACTATGCACCAATGACTACATTTTAGCCCTTACATCCTTGATTTCTTCCCTAAACTCCAATTGTGTAGCTGACATCACTTGACTAACAGGTATTTCAATCTGAACATGTCTAAAACCAAACTTTTGATTTACCACTGACCAAACCTAACCCATATGACTTGCCATCAGAGTAAATGACACCTCCATTCCACCAGCTGTTTTAGTGCAAAAAAACATGGAATGATTTTTTTACTCCTCTCTCACTCACATTTTACAGCACATCCAGGAGAAAATTGTGTTGATTTTAACTTTAAAATATACCAGAGATTTGAACACATGCTCCCTTCACTGCACAAAGCCACTATCATCTCTTCCTTTGACTATAAATAGTACCTCCTAATTAGTCTACCTGCTTTCACATTTTAAAAACAACTTTATTGAATTAATTGTACATATCATAAAATTCATAAAATGTTAAGTGTACAATTCAATGATTTTATTAACCTTACTGAGTGGTGCAACCATAATGATACATCAATCTGAGAACTTTTTCATTCTCTCAATGTTTTTCATGTTCCTTCTTCTTTATTCTCCCTGTTTCTACCCCCAGCCAAGGCAACTACTAGTCTACTTTCTGTCTCTGGACATTTCTTATAAACGGGAATTGTACAATATGTATTCATTTGCATCTGGCTTCATTTGCTTAGTATATTTTTGAGGGTCACTGCTGAAATTATATGTGTAAGTATTTTTTCCTTTCTATTGCTGTAGAGTATTCCATTGCATTGGCATACTACATTTGGTCGATCCATTTAAAAATTAAACACCTCAGTTGTTTCCAGTTTGGGACTATTATAAGTAATTCTGCTATGAACTTGGACATGCAAGTCCAAGCAGAGTTGCTGGGTCATGTGGTAGTTGCATCTTTTACTTTTTGAGAAACGGTCAAACTCTTCTCCAAAGTGGCTGCACCATTTTACATTTCCACCAGTGATCTTTCTCTATTTTCTTTCCGCTTTCTTTCTTTCTTCTTTCTTTCTTTTTCTTTCTTTCTTTCTTTACTTCCTTCCTCCCTCCCTCCCTCTCTCTCTCTTTCTTTTTCTTTCTTTCTCTTTCTTTCTTTCTGTCTTTCTTTCTTTCTCTCTCTCTCTCTCTCTTTCTTTCTTTTTCTTTCTCTCTCTCTCTTTCTTTCTTTCTTTTTCTCTATTTTTTCTTTGGTTCTTTTTTTTTTTTTGATGGAGTCTTGCTCTGTCGACCAGTCTGGAGGGCAGTGGCACGATCTTGGCTCACTGCAACCTCCGCCTCCCGGGTTCAAGTGATTCTCCTGCCTCGGCCTCCTGAGTACCTGAGGCTACAGGCATGCCCCACCACGCCCGGTTAATTTTTGTATTTTTTGGTAGGTACAGGGTTTCACCGTGTTGCCCAGGCTGGTATCAAACTCCTGCGCTCAGGCAATCCACTCGCCTCAGTCTCGCAAAGTGCTGTGATTACAGGTGTGAGCCACCGTGCCCGGCCCTCTATATCCTTTCTTATCCATACTAAGAAGTGAATGTATTGTCCGCTTCCCCACTCCAATCCAGACTAGTCATTCTAGTGTGTGTGAAATGGTATCTCATTGTGGTTTTAATTTGTGTCTTCCTAATGACTAATAATGTTTAATATCTTTTCATGTGCTTATTAGCCAGTAATATATATCTTATTGGGTGAAATATTCATATATTTTGCCTATGTTTTGATTAGATTGTCTTCTTACCATTGAGGTGTTAGATATTTTTTTATGAATTCAGTACACAAATCCTATATTTGATGTACATTTGCAAATATTTTCTTCCAGTTTATTGTATGTCTTTTCATTTTTTTAATGATGTCTTTAGAAGTACTAGAAAGTCTTTTGAATCTTAATGAGGTCCAATTTATCAACATTTTAAAGCCATCCTTTTGGTGTTATGTCTAAGAAATCTTTGTACAAGGTCTAAAAATATCCTTTATTTCTTCTAAAAGTTATAGAGATTTAGCTCAAATTTAAGTCTATCATCCATTTTGAATTGATTTTTCTCTATATTGTGAGGGTCCCTGCTTCCATAATTATTCACCACATTCTATTGAGAGGTGAAGCCAGCTGGGCTTCTGGGTCAGGTGGAGACTTGGAGAACTTTTCTGTCTAGCTAAAGGATTGTAAACACACCAATCAGTGCTCTGTATCTAGCTAAAGGTTTGTAAACACACCAATCAGCACTCTGTAAAAACACACCAATCAGCACTCTGTGTCTAGCTGTTTGTAAATGCACAAATCAGCACTCTGGAAAAACGCACCAATCAGTTCTCTGTGTCTAGCTAAAGGTTTGTAAATGCACCAATCAGCACTCTGTAAAAACAGACCAATCAACACTCTGTAAAATGGACCAATCAGTACTCTGTAAAATGGACCAATCAACATGACGTTGACAGGGCCAAATAAGGGAATAAAAGCTGGCCACCTGAGCCAGCAGCGGCAACCTGCTCGGGTCCCCTTCCATGCTGTGGAAGCTTTGTTCTTTTGCTCTTCACAATAAATCTTGCTGCTGCTCACTCTTTGGGTCTGCACTACCTTTATGAGCTGTAACACTCACCACTAGGTTCTGCGGCTTCATTCCTGAAGTTGGCAGACCAGGAACCCACCAGGAGGAATGAATGAATTCCAGACACATCATCTTTAAGAGCTGTAACACTCACAGTGAAGGTCTGTGGCTTCACTCCTGAAGTCAGCGAGACCACGAACCCACCGGAAGGAAGAAACTCCAGATATATTTGAATATCTGAAGGAACAAACTCCAGACACACCATCTTTAAGAACTGTAACACTCACCGTGAGGGTCCACGACTTCATTCTTGAAGTCAGCGAGACCAAGAACCCACTGGAAGGAACCAATTCTGGACACACTATGATCAACATTTGGTAGAGTGGCCGTTTAAGATATTAAATCAGATCATATTACTCCTCCTGTTAAGACCCTTTAGTGGCTTTCCGTTTCATTCTACAATATTCAAAGTCCTAAGATGTCCTAAATATCCTACCTTTTTTTGTTCTTTTGTTTTTCTTCTGAGATGGAGTCTCGCTCTGTCACCCAGACTGGAGTGCAGTGGCTCACTGCAAGCTCTGCCTCCCAGGTTCACACCATTCTCCTGCCTCAGCCTTCTGAGTAGCTGGGACTACAGGTGCCCGCCACCACCCCCAGCTAATTTTTTGTATTTTTAGTAAAAACAGGGTTTCATCGTGTTAGCCAGGATGATCTCCATCTCCTGACCTCGTGATCCACCCGCCTCGGCCTCCCAAAATGCTGGGATTACAGGTGTGAGCCACCACGCCTGGCCAATATCCTACCTTTTTATGTCATCTCCTGCTTGTTTCTAAACTGTATAGCTCTAGAATTACAGGTTTCTTTGCTGTTTCTGAAAGAATCCAAGAACATCTCCACTAAAAGATTTATCTTTTTTTTTTTCTGAGACGGAGTCTTGGTCTGTCACCCAGGCTGGAGTGCAGTGGCGTGATCTCTGCTCACTGCAACTTCCACCTCCCGGGTTCAAGTGATTCTCCTGCCTCAGCCTGCTGAGTAGCTGGGATTACAGGTGTGCCACCACGCCCGACTAATTTTTGTATTTTTAGTAGAGGCAGGGTTTCACCATGTTACTTAGGCTGGTCTTGAACTCCTGACCTCGTGATCTGCCTGCCTCGGCCTCCCAAAGTGCTGGGATTACAGGAGTGAGCCACCACGCCTGGCCTCCACTAGAAGATTTCAAAACATGCTGCTTCCATTGCCAGGAACGTTCTGTCACTTCCTCATAGCTGTCTTCCATGACCACGCTTCATAAACTAGTGTCTCATGTTATTCTCTCTATCCCCTTATGCTGTTGTATTCCTTTGTGGCCTTCAGCATCTGCAAACTCAACATAGATATATTTACTTATGGTTGTTTGTTTTATATATTGTCCACTTCCCCACTACAATGAAAGCTCTGTAAGATCAGAGACACTTTTCTTTTGTTCAGTGTTCTATCTTCATTATCAAGAAGAGTACCTAACACATAGTAAGAGCTCATTGAATCATTGTGGATTAAAAACACAATTAACTCATGGTTTATATCTTTGCTTCCAAGAAACTTCCAGGACGGGTATATGAATTCAAGTATGCTTTTACTGTTGAATAAAATGAGAGTGAAATAATGAGACACTCCTTATTTTTTAAGATAAATATTTCATTAGACTATATAAAATGTAATAAATGATTGCCTGAATGGTTTTACAAAAAGAAAATCTCCTACCAAACTAGTTGAGAATCATATGGATTGCAATTTTGAATTATTTAATAGAGTATTTAAAGTTCTTGCCTAGAAATTGGCAAAAATATTTCAAAATAATTGATATGAAAACGTCGAGTGTATTAAAAATGGGGGACATGCACATATTAATTCTTAGATGATGCAATCCTTATCTGACTGTCACATAAATAAATAATCTCTTCCTTTCTCTGCCCGTTTCTGGTAATTTATCTGTGCCTACTTTAATGAGAGTTATCATTTGTCTATCAATCTCTACTTGAATTAAAGCCATCACTTCCATTTTGATTTAAGTTTATATGAATGGATTATAAACCACTAGTGAGCAAGATCCATATCTTATCTATCTTTGCATTTTCCAAAAATCCCTTCCATGAAGTTCACACATACATTTTTGTTAAATAAATAGGAAGAATCTTAGTCAATGTGCCAAAACTTGAAAAAGTCATGTCGCCAAGTTAGATTGACTGAAAAATATGTAATAAGATGCTGACTTGTGTTTATAAACTCGAAAAGCATGAGATATCTCTGAAATATTTGAATTAGACATATAAAAATATAACAGTGCTTTCTGGGTCCTAGTACTCAGAAATGATACTTTATTTTTACCTTAATGTAACCATTGCTGCTTTAGGCATATATATGAACTGAAACAAAAGTGCTTATATATGTGTGTATATGTTTATGTGTCTATAATGGGGGTCTGATAATATGGAATGTTAATTTTATTCAGATGAATCCTGTATTTTATAACCATGAAGATACTGAGGGGAGAATGAAGGGAAACTTACTTATAGTGCTCAACCAATAAATGATGATGCTAGCATTTTAATACACACAATCCGAGTCCAGATTATGTGTCCCTAAGCACAACAACACTTAATCTTTCTCTGTGAGGAGCATTCTTCCCATAATCCCTGTGTCTCAGTTTAATCATCTATGAGACAGGTATATTCATTTCATCTACCTCATAAAGGTGTTCAGAACTTAGCCTTTGTCTGGCATATAGTAATTAGTATTAACATTTTATATTTGAAAGCATATTGCTTTTATAATGGAAATAAAAACAATAGAGTGTGGGCAAAATAAAATTTAACATAAGAAAATTAAGTTGTTTTAGTTATAAGCCTTAAATAAAGAACATCAATGGAAATTAGGAAATTTATACCATCCTTGACTCAATGCCCACGTGATGCTCAAATTAGAGGTGAAAACACAGGTAGAAAAGATCTGGGGATAATTATACTTGATAGTGGGACAGAATTCATTATAATTTTAGTGTTATTTTATGTCAGGTATAACCCAATTTTATTTTGTTATTTTTTATTTAAAAAATTATTATTATTTCAATAGTTTTTTTTTGGAAGAAGTGATGTTTCATTACATGGATAAGTTCCTTAGGCGTGATTTCTGAGATTTTGGTGCACCCATCACCCAAGTAGTGTACACTGTACCCAATGTGTAGTCTTATCCCTCATCTGCCTCCCACCCTTCCTTCCATGTCCCCACAGCCCATGATATCATTCTTATGCCTTTGCATCCTCATAGCTTAGCTCCCACTTATAAGTGAGAACAAACAATGTTTGGTTTTCCATTCCTGAGTTACTTCACTTAGAGTAATGGTCTCCAGCTCCATCCAGGTTGCTGTGAATGCCATTATTTTGTTCCCTTTTATGGCTAAGTAGCATTCCATGGTGTGTGTATGTGTATATATATATATATATATATATATATATATATATATATATATATATATATATATATCACATTTTCTTTATCCACTTGTTGGTTGATAGGCATTTAGGCTGGTTCCATATTTTTGCAATTGCAAATTGTGCTGCTATAAACATGTGTGTTCCAGTGCCTTTTTCATGAAGTGACTTCTTTTCCCCTGGGTAGTTACTCAGTAGTAGGATTGCTGGATCAAATGGTAGTTCTCTTTTAGTTCTTTAAGTAATCTCCATACTGTTTTCCTTAGTGGTTGTACTAGTTTACTTTTCCACCAGAAGTGTAAAAGTGTTCCCTTTTCACCATATCTCTGCCAACATCTATTATTTTTTGATTTTTTAAATTATGGCCCTTCTTGCAGGAGTAAGGTGGTATCGCATTGTGGTTTTGATTTGAATTTCCCTAATAATTAGTGATGTTGGGCATTTTTTCATGTGTTTGTTCACCATTTGTATATCTTCTTTTGAGAATTGTCTATTCACGTCCATAGTTGACTTTTTGATGGGATTATTTGTTTTTTTTTTCTTGCTGATTTGTTTGAGTTCCTTGTAGATCCTGGATATTAGTCCCTGGTCAGATGCATAGTTTGTGAAAATATTCTCCCACTCTGTGGGTTTTCTGTTTGCTGTGCTGATTATTTATTTTTGCCGTGCAGAAGCTTTTTAGTTTAAGTCCCATGTATTTATGTTTATTTTTGTTGCATTTGCTTTTGGGTTCTTGGTCATAAATTATTTGCCTAAGCCAATGTCTAGAAGAGTTTTTCCAATGTTGCCTTCTAGAATTTTTATGGTTTCAGGTCTTAGATTTAAGTATTTCATTCATCTTGAGTTGATTTTTGTATAAGGTGAGAAATGAGGATCCAGTTTCATTCTTCTACATGTGGCTTGCCAATTATCCCAGCACCATTTGTTGAATAAGGTGTCCTTTCCATCACTTTATGTTTTTGTTTGTTTTGTCAAAGGTCAGTTGGCTGTAAGTATTTGGCTTTATTTCTGGGTTCTCTTTTCTGTTCCATTGGTCTACATGCCTGTTTTTACACCAGTACCATGCTGTTTTGGTAACTACAGCCTATGAAGCCAGTATTACCCTAATACCAAAACCAGTAAAGGACATAACAAAAAAAGAAAACTACAGACCAATATCCCTGATGAGCATAGATGCAAAAATCCTAAACAAAATACTAGCTAACTGAATCCAACAGCATATCAAAAAGATAATACATCATGATCAAGTGGGTTTCATACCAGAGATGCAGGGTTGGTTTAACATACACAAGTCAATAAATGTGCTACGGCACATTAACAGAATTAAAAACAAAAATCATATGATCATCTCAATAAATATATAGAAAAAGCATTTGACAAAAGCCAGTATCCCTTTATGATTAAAACCATAAGCAAAATTGGCCTAGAGGGGACATACCTTAAGGTAATAAAAGCCATCTATGACAAACCCACAGCCAATATTATACTGAATGGGGAAATGTTGAAAGCATTTCCCCAGAGAACTGGAACAAGACAAAGATGCCCACTTTCACCACTTCTATTCAACATAGTACTGGAAGTCCTAGTCAGAGCAATCAGACAAGAGAAAGCAATAAAGGAGATCCAAATTGGTAAACAGAAAGTCAAACTGTTGCTGTACGCCGATGATATGGTCATATACCTAGAAAATCCTAAAGACTCATCCAGAAAGCACCTAGATCTGATAAATGAATTCAGTAAAGTTTCAGGATAGAAAATCAATGTGTACAAATCAGTAGCTCTGCTATACACCAACAGCAACCAAGCTAAGAATCAAATCAAGATCTCAACCCTTTTTACAACAGCTGCAAAAGAAAAAACAAAACAAAACAAAACAAAAAACTTAGGAATATACCTAACCAAAGAAGTGAAAGATCTCTACAAGGAAAATTACAAAACACTGCTCAAAGAAATCATAGATGACACAAATGGAAACACATCCCATGCTCGTGGATGGGTAGAATTAATATTGTGAAAATGACCATACTGCCAAAAGCAATCTATAATTTCACTGAAATACCCATCAAAATACCATCATCATTCTTCATTAAACTAGAAAAACAATCCTAACAATCATATGGAACAAAAAAAGAGCCCACATAGCCAAAGCAAGACTAAGCAAAAAGAACAAATGTGGAGGCATCACATTACCTGACTTCAAACTATATAATCCAATTTTAAACCATCTAAAACTTGCTGAAGAATGGATATAGTCAAAAAAGGAAAAGTTATCTAATGTTTTATCCTGGATCTAGGAGATTTAAGTGGCAATTGTCTTGATAAGTTTCTTTAAAGTATTGCCTTGTACTATAAGGAGCACACAAAAAGAGAATGAATGTTTTTCTTGTTGCCATTAATTGAGAATTCACATTTGTAGCCTGTCAGAAGTTAGAGGCAGAAAAGCACCAAATGCTACCATCCTTTGTGTCTTCCTTTTATTTTTATTTTAATTATAATAATAATTATTATTATTATGTAGAATGTCTTGTGACCGGGCGTGGTGGCTCACGCCTGTAATCCCAGCACTTTCGGAGGAAAGAAAGAAAAGAAAGAAAGAGAGAGAGAGAGAAGGAAGGAAGGAAGGAAGGAAGGAAGGGAAAGGAAAGGAAAGAGAGAGAGAAAGAAAGAAAGAAAGAAAGAAAGAAAGAAAGAAAGAAAGAAAGAAAGAAAGAAAGAGAAAGAAAGAAAAAGGAAAGTTTTGTTGTGTCACCCAGCCTAGAGTGCAGTGGGGCAATCACACTTCACTGCGGCCTCCCACTCTTGGGCTTAAGTGATCCTCTTACCCAGCCTCTCAAGTAGCTGGGACTACAGGCATGTACCACCACACCCAGTAACTTTCTTTTATTTTTTAAATTTATTTTGTAGAGACGGGATCTCATTATGTTGCCAAGGCTGGTCTTGAATTCCCGGAGTCAAACAATTCTCCTACCAAGGACTCCCAAAGTGCTGAGCTTACATTCATGAGCCACTGTGCCCAGTGTCTTGCTTTTATATACTGGAAGAGGATTTTATTTTAGGATATCATTGATGTCTAAGAAATGAGAGGAGAACTTGAAGAAGAATCTCAAATTTTAAAATGAATTTTATGCTGGGCACAGTGGCTCACGCCTGTAATCCCAGCACTTTGGGAGGCCAACGTGGGTGGATCACCTGAGGTCAGGAGTTGGAGACCAGCCTGGCCAACATGGTGAAACCCTGTCTCTACTAAAAATACAACAATTAGCCAGGCATAGTGGTGCATGCTTGTAATCTCAGCGACTTGGAAGGCTGAGGCAGGAGAATCACTTGAACCCGGGACGTGGAGTTTGCAGTGAGCCGAGATCGCACCACTGCACTCCAACCTGGACAACAGAGGAAGACTCTGTCTCAAATAAATAAATAAATAAACCTATAAATAAAATGAATTTTAGTATTGAATGAGATGTGGGATGTTCTCATGTTGAACCACTATAAGATAGAATTTTAAGATCTTTGAGGTTTTCTGGGAAAGTTTAGAATGATTGCACAGTCAGAAGTGTTTTTATAAGAACCTGCTGTGCTTGTTCCACAGTGGCACTGTGGAAAAATTCTTACAGTTCTTATCTGGACTGCTTCGATTAGAATCCATACGCTTTAGTGTTGAAATTTGGAAAAACGACTCCCAAATCCCTATGGCTGACAAGAAGGGTCAACTATCATCTGTCCTTGTTTACTTAGGAAACATAATTACAATTTGCAAGACTTTACAGGAAGATTAGCAGAGAATCTTTAAGAGACTCGAAGAAGAAATAAAGTTGTCCCTTGACAAGAGTCAATTATGAAATATATAGGTTGTATATTTTGTTATAATAAGGGGCATATCAAACCCACATACCCATTTCATCTGTTAGCCCTCAAGATTTTAGAGAATTAAAACTATCCTCAGAGGTTCAATTGGCTATTATTTTAAGTTTGAAAAAAACAATTTTAGTGTTGCAAAATATTTAATTATTCTGTGAATTACAAAGTCAAGGCTGGGGTGCCAAAAAGAAATAGAAGTCTATCTCAAAGGAGCCAAGCCTTTTTGATTCCTCAATCCCTTTAAAACCAGGTGATGAGAGGTGTGTGAGAAACCAAATAGACTCCTGAAATAGTACTCTTGATTTAACATTTTATTATCTTGCTAAATCTCTTTTTAATTGTTAATTTTGGATTTAGGGCCTTAGAGGCTAGACTAAATTGAGACAAAGAGAGAAGAGGAAAAATTATAACTTTGTTCAAAATATAGTTATCTGATAGTGACACTCCATACTTTATTTTCAAATGAGATTTCCTCCCTTATGACAGATAAGATCGAATGACAGGTAAGTAATACATATATGTGTAGATCTCTTTCCAGTCATACTTTGATGATACCACACTTATCTCTGTGCCGACAAGTATTAGGCTAGTTGGAATTTGTTGACTCTAATGTCAGTGTTAAAAAAAAATAAAACTTGCTAGGAAACAAGGATGTTGATACTTTCTCAGTGATACCTACCTATATACAGAGAAAGAGAGAGACAGAGAGAGAGAGAGAACCATTTAAGATTTTTTTTTCTTTTCTTTTCTTTTTTTTTTTTTGAGACGGAGTCTCACTCTGTCTCCAGGCTGGAGTACAGTGGTGTGATCTCAGCTCACTACAACCTCTGCCTGGGTTCTTGCTAGGTTCTTGCCAGGTTCAAGCAATTCTCCTGCCTTAGCCTCCCGAGTAGCTGGGACTACAGGTGCGTGCTACCACGCCCAGCTAATTTTCGTATTTTTATTAGAGACGGGGTTTCACCATGTTGGCCAGGATGGTCTCGATCTCTTGACCTCATGATTCACCCTCCTCAGTCTCCCAAAGTGCTGTGATTACAGGCGTGAGCCACCTCACCCGGCCCATTTAAGATTTTCTAAGTGTTGGGTATGGAACTGTAGAGATATGGCTGAAAGCTTGGGACTGTGGCAGACCACAGACTGTGCCACTGATGGCTGCAACCTGGGGCTCTGGGCCAATGAGCTATTTCAGTTGGGACTAGAAGAGCAGAGAACAAAAAGCAATATTAAACTATCGGAAAAAAAAAGAAAGAAAGAAAGCTTAGCACATTTGCAGGTGTCAAAGCTACAAAAGGAAACAGTTTTCCAGCTGTTATCTGAAAATTGTTATTCAGGACACACCTGAGAGGGGAACCAGTCAGCCTCTGTCCCTAGAACATAATCCATTTAGGATGCCCTTTGAGCAAGTTAATGCCACCAGGGAACTCCACTAGGAAATGGGAAAAGCCAGTGGACTTAGATATCGCACCCCTGGGGAGAAGTTGCCACCAACAAGATATACGTAGTCATCAGGACTCAGGTGAACACATGGTGATTCCAATAGAGTGACTGAGAATTTGCTTGAAACCCTGCCTACTACTATAATGCTTATAGGGTACTGCCAGCAGAATGTGGAGTTATTGTGAATATGGCAGCTTAAATTCCAGGGATTAATTTCCCAGAACTGAATCCTTGCATCTCAGCTGGAAAAGAGCTTTCCTTATATTCAGAGAATTATTACTGGTGGCTGTGGATTTACAGCCATTGAATACATCCTCATGGATTGTGCATTACCTGATGGCACCAAGTCTAAAGGAGGAGGAACATTTATGTAATACATGTCATTGATTTGAATATCTTTTGCAAGAATGTTCTAGCAGATAGAAACAATGTGTCTTGTTATAAAACAATCAATTTGTAGTAAGAAATTTCCAATAGATGAAATGGAGTATCTTGAGATTTGGTCACTTTTTTATTTTGCACAAAGGCACTAGCATAGTGCTGTTTCCCCTTTGCAAAGGACTGCAAAGAGTATACTGGGTGTTGTATGAATAGTGTATCCCTGGAGGAGGAAAAGTAAATGTTTGTGTTTTATTTTTGTGAGAGGTTTTGTTTATGTGACATGACTTATGTATATATACACATGTATGTATATATACACATGTGTATACATACATATATGTGTATATATGTGTATACATACATATACACATGTATGTATATATACATATACATACATGCATATATATGTATATCCACTTATATACATATATGCATACACACATACATTTACATATATGCATGTACGCATACATTTATATATGCATACAGACATATATTTACATATAAGCATACATACATATAGTTACATATAAGCATACATACATATATTTACATATAAGCATACATACATATATTTACATATATGTGCATATTCACATATATTTCATACATATATGTACATACATACACATTTACATATATGTGTATAACATACATATGTACATATATACGTGTGTGTATTTACATATGCACATACACACATATGTATATATGTATACATATGTATATATACATATATTTACATATATACATACATATTTACATATGGATATATATGCGTATATACATAGTTACATATATGCATATATACATATATTTATGTATATGCATACATGTATATTTACATATGTTTATGTATATACATATATGTGTATATTTACATATATTTACATATATGCATATATACATATGTTTGTGTATATGCATGCCTATATATGCATGTTTACATATATGCATACATGTATATATTTACATATTTACATGTATACATATATAAATAAATATAAATATAAATACAAATCTATTTAATATAAATCTAAAGATTATAAATATATAATCTATTATAAATATAAACCTATATAAATATAAATCTATTAACCATGTAAAATTTATATATGATATATACACATATATTGTATGGACATATGTACATACATATTTATATAATATATAATATGTATCTATTTGCTTGAGATTGGAAGATTATTTGATTATGCAGGTTCCAGACTCTTACTTTGTATTTTCTGTATCAAATTTGTAATTTGAGTCATACACTGCACTCACTGTTAATGAGTCAAACTGCTCCTGTAAAGTTACTTGACTCACTAATTTAATGATGTGGACTGAAGTAGAATGTTCTGAGACAGGAAGCTTTGTAAAAATCTCCCATTTCTCAGTAGTTCTTGCTCACTCTTGCTTTCTTTTATGAAGTAGGCAAGTTATTTAAAGTTATACTAAACAAATGATAACTTAGACTATAATATAAAACAGTATTCTGTGATAATTTAATTTTTAAATTTTATCTAAGACTGCAAACCTTGGAGAATTGTCAACTGGGTTGCTCTTGTGGTTGATGGTATTGGCTGTAATTGCACACTGTAGTTTTTATTTGAATGGCAAAAATATGTAATATGGATAGGCCAGTAACAAAGAATGTGTTGTGATTTCTGTTTGAATGTACTCTTTACCCTTTGAAAGGCTGTGAGGCGATATATCGGGAAAGTTGAGTTGCCTAGCACTCTATCTTTAATTTATCCCATCATTATATTTGTACCTCATACAAATAGGGAATATAATTATCAGTATGGCTAGCTGATCCTTAACCACTATGGCCCTGACTTAGCTACTAAATTACTTATTGCTTTCAAAAAATCATTTTCAAGCTCATTATTATTTTGTTCATATTCCTCTAATAGGGCTCAAGTGGAGGCGTTTGCTTTTGAATGATTTCAAATTACGTTTCCAATTTTTCAATAGTATTTCTATTAATTCACAATATGTGTTTTAGAAGAACGTAAAATATTAAAACATGGTTGAAAAAATGTTCTTGCTTACTAATAAGTACTAATGTAATATTTACAACAGTTTTCAAGAAAAATCAATTACTTGAGATTTCAAAGGCATAAAGATAATCTTTAAATTGTTGAAGTTTTAAGAAAACAGCCTTTATTGTGCATTATGTACATGACCCAGGGCATTCCATGAATATTATGATACTCCAAATTTCAATGTGAGTCGTTTTAGCACCTCCACAACTATATTACCCTATGTACTAAGGTCTCACATGTTATATGAAGAAATTTAATTGGTGTTGGATAAAACTACAGCTTGAAACAGAAGACTTAATTTTTTGTAAGTATTTTAATGCTGCCAAAGTAAAGACATTTTATTCTATCACTAAAATATTTAACGATTTCTATGAACTAAAGTTAATACCTTTTTGATAATATACCAGATAATATTATTTTCTTTGAGGCGTAGCAATTTTGTTTTATTTCAGAAGACTTTTAATAAAGTTAAATGCCATGAAGAAAGTGTACAGCTCTTTGGAATAACTCCACTGAAAACAAAGGTATTTTGTGAATTAATATGTGTGCATATTTTCCATTTATTCAGGGGAAAATAAAATAATGTAACAGTATCTCTGATAAAAGTCAGCATTTCGAATCCATTTGTCAACTGTGCCATGCAAATTTATGCACTATAGTATTTTTCTTAAACCTGATATCATCAACATGTAGTAAACATGATATTAAAGAAAAGTGTACTTTTCAATCTAAGCTGCTAATTGAGGACACATTGAACTTTGAAAGAGGAGACTCATTAGATTTTGTGACCAAAAAACACAAAGACATGACTTAATGGATGAAGGAGGTTAGGAAATGAACACAGTGTACACATGACCACTGACAATAAATCAAAGAAGATATTGTTGGTTCGTTGGTTGATTGGTTGGTTTTAATGATCATAAATTTTTAAGTATACTTATAAATTTAACTGGATATAAATTAATAAAGATAAAAACTAGACTTATAAGATATAACCAGCTTAATTAGACGGTCCTTAAGAAAGCAAAAGTTAGCCGGGCGCGGTGGCTCACGCCTGTAATCCCAGCATTTTGGGAGGCCGAGGTGGGCAGATCACGAGGTCAAGAGATCGAGACCATCCTGGCCAACATGGTGCAAACCCGTCTCTACTAAATATACAAAAATTAGCTGAGCGTGGTGGTGTGTGCCTGTAGTCCCAGCTACTCGGGAGGCTGAGGCAGGAGAATCATTTGAACCCGGGAGGCAGAGGTTGCAATGAGCCAAGATGGCACCACTGCACTCCACTCCAGCCTGGTGACAGAGCGAGACTCCATCTCAAAAAACAACAAAAACAACACACACACACACACACACACAAACAAAAACAAAAAAACCAGAAAGCAAAAGTTAGTGGACGGAAGAGAAATTGAAGGAGATATATGATTGGCATTAAGTAGCAATTCCTTTTTCTCTGAAAAAAAAAAAAAAAGAGGGGCATATTAAAACAAAGATAGACAAGAGAGTAGGAAGGAAAACTGAAGAAATTCACATCTTATGACCTCTATTTTTCTGTTGAAGAAGAAGGCAAATTCATTATTAACTGGTGGATAAAGGCATAGATGGAGGCTTTGGAAGGTCAACAATAAGCTGAATACTTGATTGAGGACTTAGGATGTAAGATCTGTTTACACAGCTATGCATTATGTCCTTGCAAATTACCATCAGCCTAGGCTTCTAGTAATCACACCACGGACATGGATTTGTACATTTGGACTGAATTAGTCTACATTTGTGTAAACATCACTTCCGTTTTGCAAATCCTGTATTTCTTTTAATGTGGTCATATAGTTACCATTTTGCCCTAAATTTCAAGCATCTTTCTAATCCACACACATTTTTACATTAAAAATCCAGTTTCTTCACTAGAATAAAACTTATAGATCTAGAGTTACATTGCCCAATATGGTAGCCACTGTTTACACATGGTTATATAACTTTAAATTTAAGTTAAAGAAAATTAAAAATTCATTTCCTCAGGTACACTAACCACATTTTAGATGCTTACCATATGTGGCTGGTGGCTAGCATATTTAATCATGTGGATATATTTTTATCATTGCAGAAAGATTTATTGGATAATGGTGGTCTAGAATCAATCCCAATCTTACTTAGGTAATTTTTATTTAAACAAAATAAAGACAATCTGTTAAAAACATGTTTATTGGGGATTTTGAATTGGGTGCATTCTTGAAAAGTAAAGTGGTTTCTTATTCTGAAGCTGTTTTCAACTCCATAAGTGAAGTAAGAATATGCCCAAAAATTTTAGAAGATTCTTCCTCAAGAGTCTCAATATTTATAAAGCTGTAGTTTTTTACTTCTACTGGCAAGTCAGACCTAATCCTTACTTGGTGTTAGAGAAATTTAAGTAATTTATCAAAAACCTTTGCTTTTGACTTATTCTTGATCTTGTACCCCAACTAGAATAAATGAGCTTCTAAATTTTTCTCAAGGCTTCAGCCATACCTTTCAAACTCCATACTTGTTAACAAATTTAGAAGTGTTTGCTTTCTATTTTCTTACCCAGAAAGTGTTACAATGTTGTGGAAAAAGAGCACAGCATTTTAACCTAAGGACCTGGATTTTTTCCAACTCTGTCACAAACAAGTTATTTGATTCTTCTGATATTCATTTTTCAAATTTATTGAATCCAGTTAATTCCATTTTCAGTTTAAAATGAGAAAATGCATTTAAAATGAAACTACAAAATTATCATCAGTGTTATTCCGAACATATGTGATACTGCCTACATGTTTACACTATGCTAAGAATTTTGTACAAATATATTAACCAAGTTCTCACAACAACCCTTCAAAGTAGGTACTCACTCAACACATTGTAGTTTCTTTAGAAAGGTGGTGTTTCATAGTTACTAAGACTGAATTAGTGTATGTAAAGATAGATGCCACAACTGTTAAGGCCAAATCTGAATGATTAATACAATAAATGTTTCTTTCTTTCTCATACAACAATCAAATATGAATATTGAAGGGTAGCTTTTGACCTGGTGATGGATGAGGTCATATTTTTTTAATCTCACGTCTCCACCACAGGCTAGGACCTTGGGGATATTTACTTACAGCCAGCACACGAAAAAAGAAAGAATGGAGAAGGCACATTTATTTCTTAAATGCTTTGTCCTAGAAGAGACACAAAGCACTTCAACTCACATGCCATTAGTGAGAACTAGTCACATGTACTGAGTTAGATATAGGGAATACTGGGAAATGTAGCCTATGGTCAGATAGTCACTTCTCAGTAATCAACTCTTCATTATGGAAGAGGAGTGTGGGTCTAATTTTAATACTTCCCTGTATGACCTAGGACCTTAACTTATGTAAACTTTGGTTTCCTACTTTCCATGATAGATTTAATAACCCTGTTTCACAATCATTAAGTTAACTTCAACTATCAAGTTCAGGGCTCAAATGTAGTAAGCACTCAATAAACAGTAACTGATTAATTCATTGTCATCCTCTTAACAAGCTATCAAATATTCTGGTCCCTATAAGACTGGGACTTCATTTGATTCTAGCAATTTCTTTCCCTACTCTAACCATAAACCTAATTAGGAGGACTTTATATCACGGCTGTTAGCCTTTCATGATGCTGCTCATGTTCCCTGAATATCACTTTGCTCTTTACCTCTTACAACTGTACTAAGATTATTTGCTGAAGCTTCCTTATTTTGTGTTTTGTTTATTTTATTTTTATCTTGGGCACCTGATGCCAACTGTACATTCTTTTTCATTTATTCATTGGAAATTTTGGTTTTCTCCTAAGTGGATATTACCTCTGTGGCTGAACTCAGGTATTTTTCTCTATACTCAGCCTCATCCAAATTGCAGGTTAATTTCAGGCCTTGATAAAATTGGACGATGATGCTGTATATGAACCATCAAAGTCCAGCTATTGAGTGGTGATCAACTAAACAGTCAAAATGAAACCAGACAATATGTGTAAAGGAAATGGTGTGCACGGAAGTCTGATTTCTTTTGCATTCTTTGTTACTGCATCTTCTTTGAGCATGAATGTGCATGTATACGTGTGTATAAGTTGTATACGGGGTGTGTGTGTGTGGGGGGGTGTTTGTGTCTGTGGAGTCTGGACAAGGAAGATGATGAGGAAGAAGTTTATATAATGTAAGCATTTTTTTTATCTAGGAGGTTCATAATGAGGAGAAGATATTGAGAAGGATTTCAGCGGCAATGATTGAGGTGAATGTCATTTTTATTGACCCAGTGGTTTTTACTGGGAAAAAAGCAAGATTTACACTTACCTCCCAGAGTCTGGAATATTGTATCTGTTCATTAAACACAGTGTAATCAGTTGTCAAAATAGGAGTGTTAATTGAAACACATTATAAAATAATGCATTAGACCAAAATATGAAAATGTTCAATGTAATACAGAAATAGAATAGTTTTAGTCTTCTTAAGCCTATCAGGAATATGAATTGGTGAGTTTGATTTTTGAAAGATTGGGAAGAACATTTTCTTCTCTGACAACTGCGTTTTGAGGACCCATTTGCTTGCAAAGTGAGAAGGACAGAATGACACCTCCTAACTTCAAGTAGAGTCATAGTAGCCTCACAGGGTTTTACCTGACAATATTTTTAGCAAGTTTATTCGGAGGGAATAGTGTCATGAGTTCCTTCCTTTCAAAGGAGAAGAGTGTAGTATTACTTCCACATCCCACATCAAAACAAAGAGGTTTTAATTAGATGCCACAATGAGTTTAATCTGTGTCTCTTTAAATATGGACACCAGGAACTGTTTTTTTGTTTGTTTTATTTGGTAGCTGATACATTCCCGTTGTCAGCCCACTTCTTTCCATGACATTTATTTTATTGACATATAATAATTGTAGGCCGGGCGCGGTGGCTCATGCCTGTAATTCCAGCACTTTGGGAGCCGAGGCTGGAAGATTACCTGAGGTCGGGAGTTCGAGACCAGCCTGACCAACATGGAGAAACCCCGTCTCTACTAAAAATACAAAATTAGCTGGGCGTGGTGGCGCATGCCTGTAATCCCAGCTACTCAGGAGGCTGAGGCAGGAGAATTGCTTGAACCCAGGAGGCAGAGGTTGTGGTGAGCCGAGATCACACCATTGCACTCCAGCCTGAGCAACGAGAGCGAAACTCCGTTTCAAACAAAAAAAAATTTGTACGTAATTATGGGGTATAATATGATGTTCTGATACATGTATATATTGTGTAATGCTCAAGTCATAATTAGCATATCCATCACCTTAAACATTTATCTTTACTTTGCTGTGAGAACATCCCAAATCCTCTCTTCTATCTATCTGAAATATATGATGTAGTATTTTTAGCAATAGTCACTAAATAGTGCAATTGAGTACCAGAACTTATTCCTCCTGTCTAACTGTAACATTGTACCCATTAATCAACCTATCCTTATCTCCCCTTCCTTCCTATTTTCCCCAGTTTTTGACAACCAATATCCTGCTCTCAACTTCTATGAGTTTAATTATTTTAGATTCCCCATAGGAGTGAGATCATGCAGAATTTGTCTTTCTGTGCCTGACTTGTTCCACTTAATATCCTTCTGTCTCATCTATGTTGTCACAGATGACAGGATTTCATCCTTTTTAATGACTGAATAGTATTTAATTGTGCATATATGCCACATTTTCATGTTGTTTTTTTCTTTTTTTTAAACAGAATCATAGTCATATTTTGTTGCCCAAGCTGGTTTTGAACTCTTGGCTTCAAGCAATCCCTTTATTTTGGCCTCCGAGAGTTCTGGGATTACAGGTGTGAGCCACTGAAACTGGCTGCCACATTTTCTTTATCCATTCATTCATTGATGGATACTTTTGATTCCATATCTTGGCTATTGCGAATTAGTGCTGCAATAAACGGGAATGCAGATGTCTCTTCAACACACTAATTTCATTTACTTTGGATATATACCGAGTCGTAGAATTGCTGAGTTATATGGTAGATTTATTTATCAGTTTGTTTTTGTTTTTGTTTTTAAGAAACAGGGTCTCATTCTGTTGTCCAGGCTGGAGTGCAGTGGCACAACGGTAGCTCACTGCAGCCTCGAACTCCTGGGTTTGAATGATCCTCCCACCTCAGCCTCCCAAGTAGCTAATACAGGTGCGTGCCACAATGCCCAGCTAATTTTTACTTTTTTTTTTTTTCTGGCAGAGACAGAGTCTTGTTATGTTACCCAGGCTGGTCTCAAACTCCTGGCCTCAAGTGATCCTCCTGCCTCAGACTCCCAAAGTGCTGGGATTACAGGCTTGAGCCACCATGCCCGGTCTATTTTTAACATTTTGAGGAACTTCCATATTGTTTTTACTAGTGGCTGTACTAATTTATATTCCCACCAACAGTGTATTAGAGTTTTCCTTTCTCCGCATGCTTGCCAGCACTTCTTGGTTTTAATTTTTTTGAACATAGCCATTCTAACTGGGGTGAGGTGATACCTCATTGTGCTTTTAATTTACATTTATCTATGATCAGTGATGTTCAGCATTTTTTCATATATCCGTTGGTAATTTGCATGGAGTACCAAAAAAAAATTTCTTTTTTGGAGAAATGTCTGCTCAGATATTTTGCCATTTAAAAAATAAGATTTTTATGTTTTGCTATGGGATTGTTTGAGTTCCTTATATATTCTAGATGTTAACCCCTTGTCTGATCTATAATTTGCAAATATTTTCTCCCATTCTGTAGGTTGTCTCTTCACTCTGTTGATTGTCTCCTTTGCTCTGCAGAAACTTTTTAGTTTGGTATAATCCCATTTATTTATTTGGGCAATGCTTTTGAGGTCTTATCTAGAAATCCTTGCCCAGACAGATGGTATGTAGCATTTCCCCCATGTTTTTTTCTAGCACTTTCATAGCTTTGGGTCTTACATTTAAGTCTTAAATACATTGTGAGTTGATTTTTATATATGATGAGAGATAGGGATCTAGTTTTATTGTTTTGCCTGTGGATAAACTGAGAACTTATATTTAATTCAAACATCAAGAATTTTCTTGTCCATATAGCAATTGAATTGCACTCCAAGTGTTCCTTTGGGTAAAAATTATGTTACTGTTTCCTATACCCCAAATATGATCCATGAACAAGACAAAGTAAAATATGGTTTTCTTAGACTTTTTTCAGTGAAATCTCTGGAAATGTTAGTTAAGTCACAGAATAAATTACTTGGAAGTTTTTCTTGATGTCTAGGGACTGGAGAATAAAAGGACAACTCATCGACATAGAAATGCCTGTAATTTTCAGCCGGGCGCAGTGACTCAGGCCTGTAAACCCAGCACTTTGGGAGGCCAAGGCAAGTGGATCACTTGAGGCCAGGAGTTCAAGACCAGCCTGGCCAACATGTTGAACCCCGTCTCTACTAAAAATACAAAACAAACAAAAAAAGGCTGGGCATGGTGGCACACTCTTGTAATCCCAGCTACTCAGGAGGCTGAGGCATGAGAACCCGGGAGGTGGAGGTGGTAGTGAGTTGAGATCATGCCACTCCACTCCAGCCTCGGTGACAGAGCTAGACTCTGTTTCAAAAAAAAAAAAAACTGTAATTATCCTTATATATGAGCAACTTTCCTACGATTAGAGGAGTCAGGAGAGTGCCTGTATCAGTTATCTATTTTCACAATGATATTGCATTAAAAATAATCAAGAGCTTATTCACATACAATAATAATTTTATAGTTCATGTATCTAGGTTTGTCAGCCAGATGTCTGTACTCATCTTGGTTTGGCTCATATACGGATTTAAGAATTGGTTGACTCTCAACTTTGTCTAGGATGCTTTTAGCTGAAATAACTGAGATGGCAGATGCCCCTCATTTTCTAGCAAGCTAGCACAAGAATGTTCTCGTAATGGCAGAGGTGCAAAAGTGGGGACAAGCCCATTCACACAGCATCTTTAAACCTCCACTTACAGGCCAGGCGAGAGTGGCTCACGCCTGTAATCCCAGCACTTTAGCATGCCGAGGTGGGCGGATCACGAGGTCAGGAGTTCTAGACCAGCCTGGCCAATATGGTGAAACCCCGTCTCTACTAAGAATACAAAAATTAGTCAGGGGTGGTGGTGGGGGCCTGCAGTCCCAGCTACTTGGGAGACTGAGACAGAAGAATCGCTCGAACCTGGGAAGCGGAGGTTGCAGTGAGCCGAGATCGTGCCACTGCACTCCAGCCTGGCAACAGAGTGAGACTCCATCTCAAAAAAAACCACAACAAAAAAACCCCTCCACATACATTATAGTTGTTCACATTCCTTTGGCTCAAACAAGTCATTCAGCTAACCCCAAAGTCAGAGTGGAGGGGCATTTTCAAGTTACAGGGCAAGGGTTATGGACAAGGCAGGATTGAAGATTTGGTGCATTTTTGCAATCAGTTTATCATAGTTGCCATGGAAAAAGTCAGATTTAACTAAATATCAGATCCAAAGTGTCCTGGATCTAGATCACTATGCCATCACTAAGCAAATAAGAACTTTCCTGCTCATTCTTCCTCTCTCTTTTCCCTATATTCAACTATGTTGTAATCACACATGATGATTGGTGAGGTAAAAGTCTAGGTGATAATAAAGAAGTTGACTTCCATCTGAAGTGGGCCCAAGCTTAGGCAGCTGAGAAAACTGCACTGTAGAGCAAAAATGAGACTTTTTAAAAATCATTTTTTGGGATTGGTGTCTTAATTGCTGAAGTGATACTGTGTTTTGAAATTAAAAGCCACACTTTTAATTTTTTACCTTCTTATGACTACAAAAGCAATGGGGTTCACTTTGAATTTTCATCCTGGACCTGGTGAAGAACCAGCCCTACTCAATAAATTTAGAGAAATACTGGGAAACAAATAAAAGTTACTTTATGATTAAATCCAGTTAGTCATTCTTATTTATTACATTTTCTCAATAAATAGCATAAGGTGGTGTTTAAGAATGAGAAATTAAGAGCAAAACTGCAGAGTCTTTGGGTTCAAATCTCAGCTCTGCTTCTGGATGACTTCAGCGTGTTTTTGCATGCTTCAGTTTTCTTACCTAGACAACTGAGATAATATTATCTCCACCCTTAAAGGGTTGTTGTAAGGTTCAATTGAGTTAAAATATTTAAAGCATTTCAAACAGTGTCTGGTAAGCACAGTAAGCACTTGATAACTACTACTAAAATTTACTACTTTTGATTAACTTTTCCACAAATAATTTTGTTGTTGTTGTTGTTGTTGTTGTTGTTTTTGAGATGGAGTTTCGCTCTTGTTGCCCAGGCTGGAGTGCAATGGCACGATCTTGGCTCACTGCAACCTCTGCCTCCTGGGTTCAAATGATTCTCCTGCCTCAGCCTCCCGAGTGGCTGGGATTACAGGCGCCCACCACCATGCCCAGCTAATTTTTTGTATTTTTAGTAGAGATGGATTTCACTATTTTGGCCAGGCTGATCTCAAACTCCTGACCTCAGACGATCCACCCGCCTCGGCCTCCCAAAGTGCTGGGATTACAGGCGTGAGTCACCTCACCCGGCCTGCAAACTTTTTCATACCTCATAGCTTCCTACATGAGATCAATCCCAACAGGGAAAAGAGTGATTTGGATAAGATGAGTAAGCAGGGGTTAATATCAAAAAATGGAGCGCAGATGCAAGGCATGCAATAGAAACAAATTTTATTTGTTTTTAAATTTATTTTTATTTTTTATTGTGGCAAAATCATATGACAAAACTTACCAATTTTTGTATAATTTATAGGGTACAAGTGTAATTTTGTTACATGGATAGATTGTTTACAGGTGAAGTCAGGGCTTTTAGTGTATCCATCACCAGAATAATGCACATTATATCCATTAAGTAATTCTTCTCTATTCCTTGTCCAGCCCCCCCAACTCTTCTGAATCTCTACCATCATTCCACAGTCTACAACCATGTGTACATATTATTTAGCTCCCACTTATAAGTGAGAACATGTACTATTTGTCTTTTTGTGTCTGATTTGTTTCACTTAAGATAATGGCCTCCAGTTCCATACATGTTGCTGCAAAAGACATGATTCCTTTTTTTTTTTTTTTTTTTTGGAGAGATAGAGTCTTGCTCTGTCACCCAGGCTGGAGTGCAGTGGTGCAATCTCAGCTCACTGCAACCTCCACCTCCCAGGTTCAAGCAATTCTCCTGCCTCAGCCTCCCAAATTCCATTCTTTTTAATGGCTGTATAGTATTCCATTGTGTGTGTGTGTGTGTGTGTGTGTGTGTGTGTATATATATATATATATATATATATACCATATGTTCTTTATTCATCCACTGATGGACAATCTGGTTGATTCCATATCTTTGCTATTGTGAATAATGCTGCAATAAACATACAAATGTAGGTGTCTTTTTGATGTAATTATTTATTTTCCTTTCAGTAGGCACCCAGTAGTAGAATTGCTGGATCAAATAATAGCTCTATTTTTAATTCTTTGAGAAACTTCCATACTAATTTACAATCTTAAAATTTTAAGTGTATATTCCAGTGACGTTAAGAACATTAACGTTGTGCAATCAACATAACCATTCATAGCCAGGATCCTTTTCGTCTTGGAAACTGAAGCTCCGTACCCATTAAACTATAGCTCCCAATTCCCACTTCCCCAGCCCCTGACAACCACCATTTTTCTGTCTCTTTGTATTTGACTACTCTAGATACCTCATATAAGTGGAATCATACTGTATTTGTCTTTTTGTGACTGGCTTATTGCACTCAGCATACTGTCCTCAGTGTTCATACATGTTGTAGCATGTGTCAGAATTTCCTTCCTTTTTTAAGGTAGAGTAATATTCTACTGTGTAGATATACCACATTTTGTTTATCCAATCATTGATTGATGGACAATTGGGCTGTTTTCCCTTTTGGCTATTGTGAATAATGCTACTATGAACACAGCTGTGAAGATAACAATTTGAGTCCCTGACTACAATTGTTTGGGGTATATACCCAGAATTGAGATTGCTGGGTCACATGGTAATTCTATTTTTAATGTTTTGAAATGAAGCCAACTTACAAAGTAAAATCTGCTTATGTTGGTGAAGTCTTAAATGACTTTTTGCACAAAAGTATAGTGGAAGATGCTTAATAGGTAGACATGAGGGAGATGAGGCGCCTCCTATACATGTTTGCTTCATGTTAAAAGAACAATTGAGAATGTATTTATTGATTTCAATCAGATACTCTCCCTCCTTTTACAATGATGAAATACTGCTTTCAGTAGTATCGTATCATTGTCTACATCAGTGCCATGCATCAGAATCACCTAGAGGGTAACACCATTTCTCTATCTCTTCCTTGGAGTTTCTGATAAGCAGACCCGGGAGATGGTGATGGTGGTGGTGGTACTGAGACTGCATTTATGATAAGTTCTCAGGTAATTCTGATGCTTCTGGTCAGGAATTAAGCTTTCACAGTCACTGGCCTATGTATATTACACTATATATATAGTAGTAGTAAATAATAATACAACAAATGTGAATGTGGCTGTGTGTGATGCCAAACATTTCACACATTGTATGTGCATATGTACCACATTTAGAATATAAAAATATCTTCTTGTTGTAAGTGAAAAGAACCAAAAAGGTTATACTATGTGATATAAGGTATGTGTATATATTTCATCTTCTCTGTGTATGTGACGGATTGCTTGAGGAATGTTGCTGCAGCATTTGTTACATCCCAAGAGATATATTTCAAGGATGTCTTTGCTCTAGCTTCACAGCTATTATAAACTGCTCTAAGATCTGCTTTAACCTATAAAATTCTTCACTTATTTCATTTCAATAAGAACAGCTCAGTAAAGCCTTTCTTGAGTAATCGCTGATATGTTAACATGTCTTTTCTTCCCTCACAATCTGTTTATTGGTACCATCTTATAATCCTTTTCCCCTTGCTTTACTGAGGTATTGTTGACAAGTTAAAATTATATATATTTAAGTTGTAAATTGTGATGTTTCTTATATGTATATACATTGTACAATGATTGAATTCAGGCCGCTATAAATATAAGTCATGTAGTTTCACATTGTTTTCCAGCTTTCAAATGACACATTTATAGCAAAATATTCCTGAAAGTCATTTGGGAAGTTCAATATACCTCATGCTCTTTAAAAAAAATACTTCCCATGTGGTCTTGTTCTCAAAGCCATCTGGGATATCAGAGGCATTTAATTAGGAATGCCTAATTGCAAGTATATGAAATATGGCTGGAGCAGATCACAACAAGAGCGTAGATGAAGGAAAACGGATTTTCAGAAACAATAGCCTGAAATTTTAACCATGTCCAGCTGTGTTTCTCTTTCTTCATTTTATCTCTTCAACTCTCCTTTCACTTTGGGCCCTTGGGAAGTCCCAGCCCACCTTCTAGGCATGAACATCCAGTGCTGCGTACCTCTCTCAAACTTCCTCCCTCCCTTTCCCGTACCTCAATTCCTTTGTTACACCTTCTGAGAAACCCCCCTGTATTGGAGTTCATGAGATATTAAAGGGTCATCAAACAACTCTCTCCCTTGACAACTCCCAAAGGACATTTTTATTTTTTAATAAAGGCTTTATAGATGTTAATGGCCTCAGTATGAAATTGAGAGTCTCAGGTAGCTCAAGAGAAAAATACGTTAATTTGAATGAGATATTTAGTTTTCCTTAAAATCACACCACATGTACAGTTGCTTCCTCGCCTGTACAGATGGATATTATTAAAGAGAAAAAAAGAAACATCAAGGCAAAATACCCCATTGTGATTTTTTCTATCGCAACTTATTTAAAATTATTATTCTCATTTCTATCATTTCCATACTTGAAACTTATAATGAAAATGAATATAAACATGTTTACTGCCAGCCATATAATTATTTACATTAGATTTTAATTAATTGAGGCTAGATATTCTCTTCCTTTCTATAAGTTCTGAATGAGCAAAGGCCATGACTTTTTCAACTCCCGTACCACCTATCATGCATTTTTACATAGTAAGTATCATTAACAAAAAATAATAATGCTAATAATAATACTAACAACTACCATAGCTATTGAAGAGAAAAACCACAAAATGAAATATAAATAAACAGAAGAAGAGAGATAATTTAAAGCCAGGGTGCCCAAACCCTGGGTCATGGACCAGTACTAGTCTGTGGCCTGTTAGGAACCCAGCCACACAGCAGGAGGTGAGTGGCAGGTGAGCGAGAGCATTACTGCCCGAGCTCTACCTCCTGTCAGATCAGCGGTGGCATTAGATTCTTATAGGAGCGCGAACCCTATTGTGAACTGTGCATGCAAGTTATCTAGGTTGCATGCTTCTTACGAGAATCTAATGCCTGATGATCTGTCACTGTCTTCCATCACCCCCAGATAGGACTGTATATAGATGGGACCATGTAGTTGCAGGAAAACAAGCTCAGGACTCCCATTGATTCTACATTATGATGAGTATGTAATAATAATAGAAATAAAGTGCAGAATAAATTTAATGTGCTTGAATCACCCAGGAACCATCCCCACCCCACAATGGAAAAATTGTCTTCCATGAAACCGGTCCCTGATTCCAAAAGGGTTGGGGACTGCTGATTTAAAGGAAATAAATGTTTATTTCTAACAGAAAGGGTATCTTGAGAACAGCTCTGTGATTCCCAAGATATAGCCTTAAGTCTTGCTGGAAGATCCTGTGCCTGAATTTCAGGGAGAAATGGATTTTGCAAAGGGGAAGTTGAAGAGTTCTGATCAGGTGTCTCTGTGAGATACTGACAAGGCACTTGGGCACTTCTGTAAATATTGTAACAGAGGGGTGCTTAGTGATGAGCATAGATGGAATTTTTTTCAGAGTCCAAAGGGCAGCATCAGCCCATTGCAATCTGGCATGACGAGATTGCAAGGAGCCCATGCAAGGTGAGAAGAAAAAGGAAGCCATAGCAGTGGCCTTTCCCCATGCCATGAATTTCATGATCTCCATCGCCAAAAAGAGAAAGAGGTAAACACAAGGAAAAATACAAGATATCTTGATGTATTGAAAAAAACTTTCAGAAGCATCATTGAGATAACTTCTGTGGATATCAGAATGATTTGAGGAATGGTTGCCTCAAAATTGTGATGTTGCTAAGTGAAAAAAAGTGATATATTTATTTATTTATTTTACTTTAAGTTCTGGGATACATGTGCAGAATATGCAGGTTTGTTACATAGGTATACATGCGCCATGGTAGTTTGCTGCACCTATCAACACGTCATCTAGGTTTTAAGCCCCGCTTGCATTAGGTATTTGTCCTAATGCTCTCCCTCCCCTTGTTCCCCGCCCACTGACGGGCCCTGGTGTATGATGTTCCCCTCCCTGGGTCCATGTGTTCTCATTGCTCAACTCCCATTTATGAGTGAGAACATGTGGTGTTTGATTTCCTGTTCCTGTGTTGGTTTGCTGAGAATGATGACTTCCAGCTTCATCCATGTCCCTGCAAAGGACACGATCTCATTCGTTTTTATAGCTGCATTGTGTTCCATGGTGTATATGTGCCACTTTTTCTTTATCCAGTCTATCATTGGTGGACATTTGGGTTGGTTCCAAGTCTTTGCTATTGACACTATGAATTATTAAGTAGCAAGTTAAGATATCAGCATGGTTTAAATACTTTATGTACATACAGTGATGTCCAATAATATGCATTTATTGAGCACTTGAAATATGGCTAGTGTGATTGAGGAACTGAACTCTTAATTCTGTGATTGAGGAACTGAATTCTTAATTATATTTAATTTTAAGTAATTTATATTTAAATTTCAGTGACCACTTATGGCTACTGACTACCATATCCAAAAGCACATTAGAATCTCTGGAAATTCTAATCCTCCAGATGCGCCATAGATTGGGGTTTTTAATATCCTGTATTTTACAAATGTGGAGACAGTACAAAAGATTAGGTAACATGGTCAAGATCACACCTAGAATGTAACTGCCTACAACATAAATTCAGGGGCTTTTGACTAAAAATACACACTGTAGTCTTCACAATATTACGTTTTTATACAGATTTTTTGAATGACTAATAATTGGCCTTCCCTCAGTTTATTTATTTATTTTTCAAATGAAATGTTGATTTTAAATGGTACCAAGACAAGAACTGAAGATTGGGCTTCTTCTAGCCCATTTTCTTTTCCTGAGAAAGAGCAAAAATTCTGTGCAAAGTGATTCTAAACTGCCAGACACCAGTAGCCAACAAATACACAAGAACTCCCACCACCAGACAGCACATGTCAGCCTGACTCTGCAGCAGGCCCTTCGGCTGTTAGCCTGCCATGGTCCCAGGCCTCAAGAGCTTGGTGCATCCCAAAATGATGCCTTTAGATCTCTGGAGGTCAGCCTCACCTCCCACGCACTTCACAGACAAAGCCCCAAACCAGGAAAGGATGTGCTCATTTCTCTCAACCTGCATCTCCCTGAGTGGCCACAGCCATGTGAATGAGGTGGATTTGGCAGGCCATGCCATGGCCTGGGGTTAAGATGACAGCCCTGTGGCAGATTGAGAGACTACAAAGCAGACAGGAGTTGAGCCCACACTCCCATAACTTCAGAATAGTTGTGCTTCTGTCCTATGAATGGTGCGTAGTTTAATGGTTTCAAGTGTAGATGACTTCTCTCAGTTTAAAACTAAACTACACATATGCATATACGTATCATGGATATGTATAGCTACCAAAATACATATGCTGCAATGCATCACTGGAATAGCCCCATGCTGGAAAGTACCCACAGGGCCAGCAAGTCAAATAGATAAGTAAATTGTGGTCTATTCACAAAATGGAATATTATGCAGCAACGAAATGAAGTATCTACAACCCCATGCAACAGTATGAATAAACCTTCAAAAAAATTATTGAGTTAAATAACCAAAAGCCAGAAAAGCACATGATGCATGATCCCATTTAAATCAAATACTTAAACAGCACTAATCTATACAGTTAAAAGTCAGGGCAATTACTACTACTGGGGAAAGAGGTGGAGGATTGGTGAATGGTGAGTGGGGTAGTGGCTGGAAGGGAGCATGAGGGACACTTCTGGGATGTTCTATTTCTTGTTCAGGTAGTGGTTATAATTTGTGAAAATTCTTTGAGTTGTATACCTATGATACAGGCATATTCGCTTTCTTTTTATTTACATACTTATTTATTTTTAGAGAAAGGATCTTGCTCTGTTGCCGAGGCTGGATTGCAGTGACACAATCATTGCTCATTGCAGCCTCAAACTCGTGGGCTCAAGTGATCCTCCACTTCAGCTTCCCGAGTAGCAGCTGAGACTGCAGGCATGCACCATGTCTGCCTAATTTTTTTTTTCTTTTGTAGAGACAGGGTCTTGCTATGTGTCCCAGGCTTAGAGGGCTTTTCTATTGCTGCATAACACATTACCATAAACACAATATAGATTTATCATCTCACAGTTTCTATAGGGATAACTCCAGGCTTGGCATGGATGAATACTGTGCTAAGGGATTCACCAGGCTGACAACAAGGTGTCATCTGGGGACTGTAGGTGTCGTCTGGGGACTGTAGGTCTCATCTGGGGCTTGGAGTTCTCTTTCAAGCTCACTAGTTGCTGAGATTAATTTCCTTGTGGTTGTAAGACCGAGGTGTCCTGTTACCTGCTAGCTGTAAGTCATGAACTGCTGTTAGTATCTAGAGGCCGCCTTAGTTCTTTGCCATGTGGTCTCCAGAACAGTTTACAACATGTATATTTGTTTCCAGGCCAACTGGAGCATATTTCTTTGACTTCCTCTTCTATGACTATCTGGAGAAAACTCTGGTTTCAAAGGGCTCATGTGATCTAAGTCAGGCCCACCCAGATAATCACCATACCTTAAGGTCAACTGACTTGAGATCTTAATTATATTTGCAAAATCTCTTTACAGCAGTACCTTAGATTAGTGTTTGAGTGAATACCTGGAAGAGGTGTGCATATGTTAGAGGCTGGGAACCCTTTAGCACCATCTAAGAATTTGACCTACTGCATTTATCTTTTTTATGTGTAGAATGCTGTTGAATAAAAAGTTAAAAATAATCCTTAATGTAATCTGTGAAGTACCAGTAATAAGCTTCCCCATCTACATATTACTCTCCTTCAGCAGCACTGCTTTCTAGCAATAATTGGTATGAGAAAGGAAGTTCTGTGGATGCTGTTGGTAACAGATAATGGAAAATGGCATAATTAATATTTAGATTGATTTTGTATTCTCTATCTTTTCCTTTGCCCAAATATTGACGTGAAGGAGCCAGAGCCTCCCAATTTACCATGCTCCAAAATATGAATTCAAGTATCCTGATCCAGAAAAATTATCCCTGAATGTATTGAATGTATGGCAATTGTCGTTGACCTTGATGGTCTTTGAAAATATGTTTGTGTATCAGGGATAGTTTTGTATATTAAAAAGAGATAGGACTGAGGTGGATATGGACCTCCATATTATATTAGGATGGAGGAGCCTTATGACAAAGCATGTTCCTTTGACATCATCAGGCCATGCAGAACATGATAGATTGTGAAGGTCTGCCGCCTTGTAGGTTACTCCAGGGAAGTAACACTTAAGTAAAGAAAATTTTACTTCCAAAAGAAGCCTTTACTGAGAGTGGTCAGAGAGACTTCACAAGAACAAGATATGTCAAGCTTAAACCACCTTTATTTTATGACAGTTCATTAGGCTAGGAAAGCAAGAAACTGCATATATCTGGACACCAGCAAAACATGTGAAATTTTCTCCTATGATATTCCTATGAAAGGCTGTAGACACATGCCCTGGAAATGAGTTCAATTAGGTAGAATTATATGTGGTTGATTGCACACAGAAAAAAAGGACCTGTCCTGCTTAATATTGTCAATCACTGCCATCAAGTTCTGGAAGGCATGATTGTCAAAATTACACATGATACCAAAGTGGAAAGAATAAATTTGCTGCATAACAGAATCTGGATCCAAAAAGAGGTCAATAGCCTTGAATGATGAGCCTGATGTAACAAGGAAAAGTTCAATAGGAAGCATTTAAAGACTTTGTATAGGTGCTCCCAAATTACAATGCCCATAGCTACTTAGTTGAAAATACTACATTAATCTGTGCATTTAATTTGTGCTAGGAGTAACACTGAACATTAACTTATCTATTTTTTCTTTTTTAACCACACTTTTAGGTGGGTGCATTTTCCTTGATTATGCAATCGTGAAGTTCAGAAAAGTTAGCTTACTTTTAGAAAGCCACAGTTGGTGTATTTAATTAATCTGCTATTTCAGAAGTATACATATAAAAGATTAGAGGAGCTTGGGGTTTAAAGATTACACTTTTAGAGTGGATTAGAATTTTAGACTTATTAAGCTCAATATATGAATGGCAAGATGAAGGCAAAAAACAGTTAATATGAAGTACTTAATTCCTTATAAATATAACATCTAGAATTACAATGATTAAAATCCTGCTCTGTCTTACCTGCTGAGACCCAGAGCACTGCATTCAGATCCTTATATAGCAGTTTCAAGAGAAGTTAGGCAAACTAGAGCCAATTCAAAATACAGCAATCACAGTTGTGAGAATGTTTTATATTATGTCAAAAGAGGAAAAAAATAAGATTTATTTTTTATTTTGAAGAAAATATTTATAAGGTTTTGTACATCTACAAATGTAAGAAGGATTTTCTGGTAAAAATCCTAGTGAAAAACAAATCAGACTTGTAAAGGGAGGAACTAAGATACTAGGTAGAAGCTACTGTGAGAATTTATTTCTGTACAAAAATATTTAGTAACATTTACTATATAATTTAATCGTATTTTACAGCATTATAATTCTCATCTTATTTAACATAATATAGTTACAAATTGTTTGATTAATAGTAAAAAATACAAATGAAGTCGACTTTCTCACCTGTAACACTGAACTTGAGCTCCTTGAAAATGTGAACTTTTCCTTATTAGAGTCACAGCCTAATTTTCCAGTTTGTGGTGATTTTTTTTTTTTGAGAGAGTCTTGTTCAGTCCAGGGTGAGGTGGCATGATCACAGTTCATTGCAGCCTCGACCTCCTGGGCTCAAGTGATCCTCCCACTTCAGTCTCCCAAAGTAGCTGGGACTACACCGGTGGCTTTTTTTTTTTTTTTTTTTTTTGGAGAGACAAAGTTTCCCTGTATTCCTCAGGCTGCGGGGCTTGAACTCCTGAGCTCAAGTCATCCTCCCACCATAGCCTCCCAAAGTGCTGGGATTATGGAAGTGATTTTTATAGTCTATGTATGTATGAATGGATGGATGGATCTATCTATCTATCTATCTATAGAGAGCGGTTAGATTTCATGAGACAAACCATCTTATATTGAGCATACTATCAACAAAACTGGGTCAGCCTCGAAGTGGGCTTATTTTCTAAAGCTTTAGACTTAAAATTTAAAGACAAAGTATATATGCAGTAGAAAATAAAGCGTTTTAAAGATTGGACAAATTAGCTTAATTTTTTGGCTGAGAAATTTCATTTCGATATTTCATACATTAGTATTAATTTTTACAAAAATTATTTTCTTTCCATTCTTTTGAATTTTACATTCAAAATGTAACTAGGATTGCAATTTGAATTTATTTCTCTTTACCATGAAGAAAACTTGCATTTACCTCTTTATAAACGTGATCTGTAGTTAGAAAGTTTTATGCCACTTCCTCCTCTTAGAAACTGGAAACTCATTGTATTTGTGGCTGGAAGTGAAAGGAGAAAGAAAAGATGTGAAGTAGCTTCACTTTATATAGTACCCAATTAGGGATTTTTTATGACAACCCCTCTTGCAGTTCACTTTTTTTTTCTCACACAGTTTTCTGAGAGATTTTAGAAGTTACTGTGGGATAACAGTAATATCACATGTCAGTATGCTCATTAAATTGAAGTAGTTGTGCTCTTTGTAGAATAATTGTAAGACAAACTTCATCTATTTGCATTTAGATTATGTGCCATAGCTTCAAAGTATTGAGAATGAAAGATAAATCAGACACTTCAGATATAATATTCCATTTCCTCTGTTATTATGACTAGTAATCAATATTATCATTTATATGTTGGCTTATATTACCAAGTTACTAGCAGTACACAAAACTAAAAGACCAGGATCAGAACAAAAAAATATTTAAAAATATTGGCTTAATTAAGCAAAAAGTCTAAGAGGATTATAAAACAATAAAAATGGAAATCATACATATAATAACCTTCAAATGAAAAGACATAGATAATATTAACGGTCATCTACTGTAATCTGTAGATGTTGATATATTGATGAAACCAAAATGAGATTAAATAGAGATTTATACAAAATCTATCAATAAATTCAAAAATATCATGTATTAGACATTAGAGATGCCTTTAATTAAATTGACTTCCTTTTAAAAACATGATGAGGATTCACCCATCTTAGTTACCAAGGGGTTTTATTAGCCATATACACAAGGGAGGTAAGGTAGCTGAAACCGAGATCTATCTGTACATCAATCCAGGATCCTCAAATATATGGAGAGAAAGTAGACTTAAAAAAACACTCAGCCGCAAAAGGAAACAAGGAAGCTCACCTGCCTCTGACTTCCTTCTTGATGGGGTTTTTAAAAATCTGAGAAATCAAAAGCATATGTCTGTCTCACACATGTGGTAAGTTTAATTTTATTATTTCTCCAGACTAATAAATCCTAGTTTGAGAAATTCACACAAAAAAAATGGTTCCTGGTTGCAAATTTCCACACGACATCTGGGAAGAGCCAATATAGTACTACTCTTTATACTATTCAAGAATAACTACAGTGAAGACATTTTCAGACAGAGAGAGAAAAGGAGGGACATTCCCTGAAAGAATTTCCAAATATACACTTCAACATGAAAATTAAAGCACCTAGAAAGACAGGTAAGTCAGAAGGATGGGTGAACAAAGACACAAAGACACTAGTAACCAAATAACGAATGTGTAAGATCAACATAATGGACAATACTTTGTAATATGTAATATAAAATAAGAGACACTGAAGTTAATTTTTGAAGGTCATCGTGTTGTTTCAGAGAAAGATAGTGACACTATCTTTAACATTTATTAAGTTAAATGAGGATGTTAAAAATGCATGTGCATTACAGGAGCCGTGGCTCACACCTGTAATCCCAGCATTTTGGGAGGCCGAGGCAGGAGAATCACCTGAGGTCAGGAGTTCGAGACAAGCCTGGCCAACATGGCGAAACCCCGTCTCTACTAAAAATACAAAAATTAGCCTGCCGTGGTGGCTCACGCTTGTTGTCCCAGCTACTTGGGAGACTGAGGCAGGAGAATTGCTTAAGCCCAGGAGGCGGAGGTTGCAGTGAGCCGTGATCAGGCCACTGCACTACAGCCTGGATGACAGAGTAAGACCCTGGAAAAAAAAAAAAAAAGCATGTGCATTCAGTGAAAGAACATAAAAAAACGGACAATAAATGAAGACAAAAATAAACCCAGTACAATCAGAACAAGCAGAAAATGAAAACCATGTGTTAAAATTATTTAATGTATCAGCAATTACTATAAATGCAAAAGATCTGAAGTCTCTGTAAAATAGACAGACATGGGTATATAGACAGGGATATAGAAATATGGATATGCAGACATAGGTAATATAGATCTCTCTCTCTCTCTCTGTCTACCTCTCTCTCTATATATATATATATATTTCTCTATATAACATTTCACATTGCGTGCCTATATCAAAACATCTCATGTACCCTATAAATATATACACCTACTATGTACTATATATATATATATATAGAGAGAGAGAGAGAGATACTTCCATATTTTTTAATTTCTAAAAATTTACTTCCTTATGTTTTAAGTGTGTATCTTAGCCTCTCAATTATTATAAGGTAAATATGAAGACAGAAGGATTTCTAGACTGTCATAATAGAATGATAATTTAAGTTCATTAGTAGAATAAAAATATGTAATCAGTATGCACCTAATATGTAGAGCAAAAATTATCAGTATTTCAAGGGGTATAGACAATTGCAAAATTGGACCAGGAGTGTTTTCAAATGCTTGTCAATAAATAGAAACTTGTTTTTGTTTTTTAATCTTTCTGAAATTTTTGTGGGTACATAGTAGGTGTATATATTTATAGGGTACATGAGTTGTTTTGATATAGGCACGCAATGTGAAATAAGCGCAACATGGAAATAAAGCAGATTTTTTAAAATATGAATTTAGAATGAGTTGAGACACAATAAAATCAAGTTTATTAAGTATTATATCTGAACAAGAAGGTATATATTTTAATAACAAACACACAAAGAATATTGATAAAATTTGGTCATAATCTAGGTTATAAATTAAGGCTTACCAAATTCAAAGTCTGTATCACAGCGACTATATTCTGTAACAGAAGGACAATTTAGCAATCAAAAATAAAAAGATTATTGAAAAACCTTATATAGTTTAGGAGTTTAAAAATGAAAGTTTATGGGTTGGAGAAATCAAAAGGAAAATTAGTAAATTCCTCGGAAATGAATTACGACAAAACCACTGCATATAAAATTGTTTAACAGTACTTAGAAGAAAATCAAAGCACAGGAAAGATGATTGAATGCTAATTATTTATGTATCCAATATATGAAGTAAAATAAAAATGAGATAAAGAACATCTGAAATGTATTAGAAACTGAGTGGGCACAACTAAAGATAAAATAGATTTAAAGAAAATATCATAAGCAACTCTACGCCAATGTGTGAAAACACAAATTTACAATTTCCACACATATATTTTCCACACATATATACAGAGACACACAGTTTATTTAATACTACCTAAAACATATAGCATACATAATTACAAGCCAATATGGAAAAATAAAAATATTTTTATAATTTTCTGTGCACTATAAGATTTTGAATATTTCTTCAGTTTTTAAAGTCATCAGTTCTTTAAAAAGTCCAAGTGACCCAGACATGAAGCTAATGTGTTATTTACTCACAATGGAATTCCTGTTATTCTTGTATCAATATTGGAATTACCACAACCATTTATCTGGTTATATTAACACATTTTCTTTGTTAATATGTTCTTTCTGGCTAGGTCTATAAAGAGTAGCTTGTCTGGGTTAGATCCTGGGGGTGGTAGCAATGGCCAGATTCACTGATAATATCTTGATTCACTCACAGACACTTCTGACAAAAGCAAGAATTAACTTTGCTGCAGCTTAACAGTGGATACTGTGGTCTCCCCTTATCTAGGGTTTTGATTTCTGTGATTTGAATTTCCATCGTTTCAGTTTCCTGAGGTCAACGGCGGTCCAAAAATAGGTGAGTACAGTATAATAAGATATTTTGAGAAAGAGACCATAGCCACATAACTCTTACTGCAGAATATTTTTATAATTGTTCTATTTTATTACTGTGCCTAATCTATAAATTAAGCTTTATAAGAGAAATGTATGGATAAAAAAACACATAGTGTATATAGGATTTGATACTAGCTACAGTTTCAGGAATTCAGTGGGGGTCTTGGAACATATGCCCCTGTGGATAAAAGGAGATTACTATACATAAGGGAGTCCCAAGAAATGCTTTAAAATCAAATGTAAAATATTCATTGATGATGTCATATTGGTGCCGATATCACTCCACTGAATAGGTATAAATATTAGGAAAAAATCCAGTTAATTTAAAAACCTTTTTGAAACGACTTTACACACTACTTTTTCTAATCAAACCAGAAATTTGTTTTGAATAATTTTACTGCTTGTAGAGATGCCCACTGATATTTCAAACCATTGAATGGGTTAAACTTGACCATTCTCTCAAAATACTGTATAAAAGGCTGAATAAACATGACTTGCTAGTATTTAGGTATTTATACTTGGAGGCTTAATATACATGAATAGAAATTCTTGGTGACTGGATGGGTTTTTTAAGTGTAAAATGCTTTATATTTAAGAAAAATTTATTATTTATTATTTACTAAACATCTCCAAATGCATAAAATGTCTAAATTCAACCTACCTCTCCCTGTCCATAAAACATGCTTTTCCTGAAGTCGGCAAATAGCAAATGCATCGAGGGCTTCAGGAGCATGCAATCTGGGTAGTTTGTTTAAAGCCCCACTGTCAGCATCTTGATATTCTTAATCCTTTGTTGTTGTTGTTGTTGTTGGTTTTTTGTTGGTTTGTTTGTTTGTTTGTTTTGAGACACAGTCTCACACTGTCGCCTGGGCTGGAGTGCAATGGCATGATCTCGGCTCACTGCAACCTCTGCCTCCCGAGTTCAAGCAATTCTCCTGCCTCAGCCTCCCGAGTAGCTGAGATTACAGGCGCACACCACCATACTCGGCTAATTTTTTGTATTTTTAGTAGAGACAGGGTTTCACTATGTTGGCCAGACTGGTCTTGAACTCCTGACCTCGTGATCCACCCGCCTCGGCCTCCCAAAGTGTTGGGATTACAAGCATGAGCCACCGTGCCCGGCGAATCCTTTTTTTTTTTCTTTTAAATAAATAAATAAGACCTTGCATTTTCGTTTTGCACTGGGTCCCACAAATTATGTAGCAAGTAATGACTACACCTCCTAGCTGCTTAGTCAAAAAATCCTGGAGTCATATCCAAACCATCAACATATTCTCTTTCTTTACCATCAGAATATATTCACTTCACATAAATTTCACTACTACCACACAGGTTTATGCCATCATCATCGATCCAGTCTCCTAATCCTTCTAATCAGTCTTCCTTCCTAGTTTCTTGTTTCTCTCTCCAGTGTCTCTTCTCAGCAGTGCAGTTAAAGTACTAAGGAGAAGTCAAGTAATGTCACTTTTCTTCTCAAATCCCTCCAATTACTTGTTGTTTCACTTGAATAAAGGCCCAAATCCTTACAATGGTCTATAATGTTGTACATGATCTATCTTACTGAAATATCTCTCTCCTCATCTCTTGACATTTTCTTCCTTGTCCACTCAATTTCATCAAAACTCATATATTTCCTGTTCCTGCAATCTCCCAGCTAAGGGCTCTGAAACTATATATTGTTTCCATTTCTCTGCTAAGATTCATTATTTGGTTATTTATGTGTATATATTTTCTTTTAAGTTGTTGAAAATATTTAACAGTTGCTTTAAAGTCCTTGTCTGAAAATTGCAACATCTGTGTCATCTTAGGGATGGTTTATTGACTATATTTTTTCTTGAGTGTACATCATGTTTTTCTATTCTTTTACAAGTCCAGTGATTTTTCTATAGAATACTAGATATGAATGGTTTGTGTAGAGTCTAAATTCTGTTCCTCTGAAGAGTAATTTTCATTCAAGTAGATAACTTGGAGGGACTCAAGCTCCAAACTCTATCTCTCCTGTGGGCTGCAGAAGATGAAATGTCACTTACTTCTTTCAGTTTACATCTACTGAGATTTTACTGGGCCTCTTGGGATCTTTATCACGCTTTAGAGATCAGCTAAGGTTTGGTAGATTTTATACACAGATATTGGGACTTGCTGCCTCTGCTGCTCCCTGACTTCCAGAATTACTAACTTTCTGCTCTGCTGTCCCTAACTCTGTCCTCTCATACTTCAAGCCTTTTGGGCTGCGGTTTTTTTGTGTGCTTATACTTTATAAAGGTCTTTAAAGTAGGGAACTTTATAAGGCCAAAAGATTACCTCACAAATTTCACCAAGCATAGTTACCTTCCTTCAAGGAAAGTTTCCCCCCTAGTTTCTGCCTGTTTTGGTTCTTTCACCTATGCCTTCAAATGATGATGAGGATGATGATGATGATTATTATTATTTTAAACCACTTTATTGGTGTACTACTGACATATAAAAGCTGTACATATTTAATGTCTACATCTTGATAACTTTAGGAATAAGTACACACCTGCGAAACTGTCATCACCATCAAGGTCATAAACACATCCAGCACCTCCCAGCTTCCTCCCATTCCCTTTATTATTCCTACTGTGGATTTTTGTGGTGACATTTAACAAAAGATCTATCCTCTTAGCAAATGTTAAGTATACAATACTCTGCTGTTACATATAAATACTATGTTGTATAGTAGATTTCCAGAACTTGCCTATCTTATATAACTGAAACTTTAGCCCTTTAACCATCACTTCGCCATTTATCTCTTCTCCCAGACCCTGGAAACCACCATTTTACTCTCTTCTAAGAGTTTGACTATTTTAGATTCTACATATAAGTGAGATCATACACTACTATATTTGTCTTTCTGTGCCTGGCTTGCTTCATTTAATACAATGCGCTCCAGGTCCAACTATGTTGTTGCAAATGGCAGGATTTCTTTCTTTTTAAAAGCTGAATAATATTCCATTGTATGTGCGCACCACAATTTCTTTATCTGTTCATCCATCAATGGACATTTAGGTTGTTTCCATATCTTGGCTATTGTAAATAATGCTGTGATGAACATGGGAGCACAGTTATCTCTTAGAGATTTTGATTTCAATTCCTTTGGATACACATCCAGAAGTGGGATTGCTGAATCATATGGTCGTTCTAGTTTTAGAAATTATCATTTTGGGCCAGGGGCGGTGGCTCACACCTGTAATCTCAGCACTTTGGGAGGCCAAGGTGGGTGGATCACCTGAGGTCAGAAGTTTACCACCAGCCCGGCCAACATGGTGAAACCACATCTCTACTAAAAATACAAAACATTAGCCCTGTGTGGTGGTGCATGCCTGTAGTCCCAGCTACTCGGGAGGCTGAAGTAGGAGAATCGCTTGAATCCAAGAGGTGGAGATTGCAGTGAGCTGAGATTGTACCACTGCACTCCAGCCTGGGCAACAGCATGAGACTCTGTCTAAAAAAAAAAAAAGGAAAAAAAATTATCATTATATTTCTTATTTTGTCCAGATTTAATAATCTTTATCTATGGAAGGGTTACTCTGACCATGGCACTAAATTCACTAAATTATTTATCCTCTCTGTGACTCATTTTCTTCATCTGCAAGGTGCGGATAATAGGGTTAGTGCAAGGATTATGTATGTTCATGTATATATAACGGGCTTGTACCATGTCAACTTAGCTAAGCCTGAACTTTCTCAGAATTCTCTTTTCTTAATAGAGACATCTTGCCTGGGAATTGGAAGGGCAAAGAGTATGCTTTTTATACTCAGAAGCCCAGTGCAAGACATCAGTTCCTGTTGCAGGTCATGAAGGTTTTCGCTGATCTGCTGGCTCACCTTGTTAGTGTTAGGTAGCAGCTGGGCCCACAACTATTCCAGCTTCTATTTGGTTTCTTACTTAAGCTTCTATAGCTTCTGTGCTGGTGCTTGTGTAGACCTGGAGAAAAGGACACAAGCTTGTCCTGCAAGACATCCCATTATTGAAGGAGGTTTGGAAGCAGAGAAAGACTAATGTGCATTAAAGCTTGTCCTCATTGGTTCCAGTTTGTCCTTACTTTCTTTCATGTCACATCTGTCTTCTTTTTACTGTCTGCACTGTTTACATTAGGATCAGCACCAGATGCAGAAATGACAGTCATCCACAATCCGTTTAACCTGCACCCACAATTTCCCAAGGTCAAATTCCTATAAAAAATTTCCAACTTTATATCACTCCTAGAAGTTCTGCTTCTCTGATTGAACCCTGACTGATACAATATGCAAATTTCTTAAAAGAGCTCCAGGCACATACATTTTTGAACAAACATGCTCTTCATGACAGTTTAATATACTACTAATAAAAATACATAGATGAGATATTATTGAGGTGTTTGGTTTCTGTTGAGTTTCTGGCTCTACAGCCTATGAATTCATGATAAGATATGGTGATATTCTGCAGTTTCTAAGATGGTATTATCCTCCATTGAGGCAAATACATATGGAAAACAGAAGATAACCAATGAATACTTGTTGATCAATAAACTGCATAACTGATTCTTGCCTGTTCAAATAAAAACATTCTTGCTTCAGAAAAAAATGAAAATATCAAATGGAGTAAAAGAAAGATTTGCCCTGACTTTTAAGGCAAAGAGCAAAATTTTTCCTCTCAGAATTTACTTTTGAAATCAATAAGTCAAAACATCAAATTTATAGGTAGTAAAATGAATGAAAGCTACAAATCTATTTAATGTGTACAGCAGATACAAATCTCAATGTATTACATTCAGGGTGTAAACAATACAATGTTTTTATAACTCAAATTCATTTATATTACAAATATGGAAGAAAGATGGCAGAAATGTAGTGTATTTTTATCTTGTTTATGTTTTACATTGATAGATAAAATTTTATGTATTTATCATGTATAACATGATGTTTTAAAATATATATATACATTGTAGAATCTAGCTAATGTACATATGTGTTAACTCACATAGTTGTCAATGAATGAATGAAGAAAATGTAGTACATATACACAATGGAATACTATTCAGCCATGCAAAAGGAAATTCTGTCATTTGTGACAATATGGATGTACCCAAAGGCCATTATGTAAAAATACCACAGGATCTCACTTATATGTGAAATATAAAAAAGTTGATCTCACTGAATTAGAGAGTAGAATGGTACTTACCAGAGGTTGGTGTGGCTGTGAGGGAGGGGGTTGGTGAGATGTTGGTCAAAGGATACAAAATTTGAGTTAGCTAGAAGGAATAAGTTCAAGATCTCTATTGTACAACATGGTGACTATAGTTAAAATTATATTATATTCCTGAATATACTAACAGAGTGAATGTAAAAGTGTTCTCATGAGAATGCCATCTTAATTATTCATATCATATTTACTTTAAAATTTGTATTCTATCCCTGCTTTTTCCTCTTTGTTTGCTGGTGAAATGCAACAAAAACCTAACCTACTAATGGGATTAAAAGGATTTGACTGCAAAATAGAAAACAACATGGTTAATAATTCTCAATGTCATATTGTCAAACATTCTAGAAATCAATCAATCAATACTGCAGATGTTGTCTGTTGGTTGGGTTCCTTGAGAAGTGTAGTTGAGTTTATATCTCAAAATATTGGTTAGAGAGTATGCTTGGGTCCACATGTGGAAGAAAGAGTAAATAAGCAGGATTAGGCAGGAGCCAAAATGCTTGGCAGGCCAAAAAAAGAAAGAAAGAAAAAAAAAAAAAGCTCCAGCTGACACCCACAGGGAACTCTGTAACTAAATTGTTATGTCAGAATCATCTTGCTTTGGGCACCCTGAGTACCAACTTTATCAACCAGCCATTGCACGACAGTTCGTCTTTGCCCCTGAGTCAACAAATTCTTCATTTAAAGAAGATACAGACTGTACACCTATAGTGGATGTATGTCACAGTATCCAATAAAGGTGTTGAAAGAAAACCTATGGTGAGTTTGTGAATCTGTTGTCCAAGAACAGCAATCCATGCATAAAAAAGTGATAATGTTAGAGAAAATCACATTAACCGGATATCATTTTATCACCCTTAACATTGGGTTTGAAAGTGATCATTGGCCCCACTGGGCCATAAGTCTCAGTTACTTCCTATGCATAGTCCTGGCATTTAGAAGGAAGGTCACTATGAAGCCATCCTTGGGGAATACTGACTTTATTTCATTACGAACATTTATTTATTTTTATTCTGGATTTTTACTTACTTCACCACCCCCCACAGGCTAGAATTAAGTCAGCAGTTTTGGTTTTTGTTCTTTTTCTAGGTCTTCAGAATGTATTCATCTTATAACTAAAAGTTCGTACCCTTTTACAAATATCTCCCCATTTCCTCACCCCAGCCCCTGTTAACCACCATTCTACTTTATGTTACCATGAGTTTCACTTTTTCTAGATTCCACATATAAGCGAGATCATGTAGTGTTTGTCTTTCTCTGTCTTAGTTCACTTAGCGTAACGTCCTCCAGGTTATTCCATGTTGTTGCAAACAGCAGTTTTTCTTTCTAAGGAAGACTTATTTAATGTATTGGGTGTTGCTCAGGATTTGGATACAGACTGAACAAAGTATATTCAAATACTCTGTTTCTAAAGCAATTTTAATTTTACTTCAAAACTATCTTATTCTTAATATGTTTGTTTCCAAATAGGCTATTAATCAACAATAATTTCCTGGAGGAGCATATTTGCCAATTAACTCAGGAATCACAGGGTATGTATAGGTGTGCTATAATGCCAGAAATCTGGGCTAATTTTGGAGAATGCAGTTTGAATTAGTAAAATAATATGTAATTTTGCTTCAATGAAGATATTTTTAACACAGTTTTGGAATTGTTTTTGGAACTGTGCCTTAGGATATTTGACAAGTTATACAAAATAATCAGTCAATCATGTATATAGTCATCTTTCATTTTCTTTTTCTTTCTTTCTTTCTTTCTTTCTTTCTTTCTTTCTTTCTTTCTTTCTTTCTTTCTTTCTTTTCTTTCTTTCTTTCTTTCTTCTCTTTCCTTTCTTTTTTTTTTGAGACAGAGTCTCATTCTGTAGCCCAGGCTAGAGTGCAGTGGCCCGATCTCAGCTCACTGCAACCTCCGCCTCCCGGGTTCAAGAAATTCTCTTGCCTCAGCCTCCCAAGTAGCTGGGATTACAGGTGTACACCACCATCCAGGCTAATTTTTATATTTAGTAGAGACGGGTTTCACCATGTTAGCTAGGCTGGTATCAAACTCCTGATCTCAGGTGGTCTGCCCGCCTCGGCCTCCCAAAGTGTTGGCATTACAGGCGTGAGCCACCACGCCCGGACACATCTTTCATCTTCTTCTCCAAAGTAGCATTATCCAACTTGATTAGCTTTCTGTCCCAGTAATATGAAGAATTAATAATTATTGTTGAATTTGATTTTCCTTCCTGATTTTGAAAGGGCAGCTTTATATAGTCATTTCTCTTTCCCAAACTTCATATTAAATAATTCTTGACCCTTTCATATTTTTCCATGCGTAACACATTGAATTATTTATTGAAGTTGATACCATTATAGATAGACAGACATATGTGTTTAAAGTACTTTGATTTCTTCTTTGGTAACTTTTATCTATAGTAACCCAAGCAAGGGTGAGAGTGATGAACAAAGCAGTAGGGAAAGAGCTTAATTTAACATATATGAGATTATAGGACATTATGTAAAGTGAAATAAGCTAGGCACAGAAAGACGAATACCACATGATGTCACTTATTAGTGGAATATAAAATAGTCCAACTCATAGAAACAGAGTCATGGTTACTAGAAGCTTGTAGGTAGGAGCCTTGGGGAGATATTGGTCAAAGGACATAAAATTTCAGTCAGATAAGAGGAATAAACTTAATAGGTTGACTGCACATTATGGTGACTACAGTTAATAACAGTATATTATATATTTGAAAATTGCTATGAAAGTAGATTTTAAGTGTCTCCACAAAAAAAGATAAATGATAAGCATGTGAGGTAATGCATATGTTCATTAACACAATTTAGCCATTCATGTATACATATCTCAAAACATCCTGTTATACTTAGTAAATATACACAATTTTATTTTTCAGTTAAAATAAATAAACAATATACATGAGATTATCCATCATGACTTGGTTCTACAAGCTCAAAACAATTTGTACATATTTAGAATTGTGTGTGGCACTAAGACTTTTATACAAGTAGATGATGCATTTTATTTATACTCTATCTTATTCATTTTGGAGGGAAAGAATAAATATTTCAAGGCCCATTCATAAGACTGAGCAAATCAGCATGACTGATGATGGGTCAGATGTGGATGGTGATGACTTACAAAAGATATGTGATGATGAGTCTTGAATATTAGGCTAAGAATTATATACATTCCCCCTAGGGATGAGGGGATACTGAATATCTTTTGGAAATGAAGTTTTGTGTTGCAAACTTTGAAGTTGTTGTGATGCACTGGATAAATTGATGGAGACAAATTCTAGAAGAAGAAGACCCACAGAGGAAGCTAATGTCATATGTGAATTTGATGCCATACACAATATATAATATGGAACTTGTCTCCTTGTTATATATAATGATTTTATTTTAAAAAGTAATGGAGTAAAAGTAATAGTAACCAACTAGAAAAAAAATTGTAAAAATGTTTCTGAAAGATTTGATAGCAATATAAAGAGTTAAAATTGAGGGTACAGTTTTTAAATAATTTATATTCACCACCATTATGAAATATAACCATAAGTCAAGAGATCATAATATTATTTTTAAAAAGCAAGAGAGTGGAACTTTTACTTTCAAGGGCATTTATCTAGCCAAATAGTTATTTAGTTTTTGAAAAGAGTTCAAAAGGCAAAGAAATAACATATTAAATTAGTTTAACATAAAACTTTCAGGTGTGGAGGTTAATTTGTGTGGAATTTAAAAGAGAAAAAATATGGCTTCTATGCTACACGGTTTATGTAGGTCAGAGCACTCTTACTAAGAGGAAGATCTTCCACTTAAAATGAAGAGGATTCTCCAGTTAGAGAAGTACCAGAGGAAAAAAAGACAGAATTTACTGGTTCTCTTTGATAATTTCTGTCCTAATACTTAGCAGTTGGTTAGCAGACCATATATAAAATCATGTGGTCCTTAGGCCAAGAATAGAAAAAAAAATGAAGAAGTAAGCCTTTCTTAATATGCTTTCACCTTAAAATTACTCTCTTAATATTCAGAGTGGGGATAAATAAAGAATTGCTGTATTTTTGACAGAAGCAATTCTATGCTTCAAGAATCAGTATGAAGAAAAGGGAGAAATATCACACTTAAAGCAGAAATGAATCCTACCCTTCACTTTCCTTTCCTTTCCTTTCCTTTCCTTTCCTTTCCTTTCCTTTCCTTTCCTTTCCTTTCCTTTCCTTTCCTTTCCTTTCCTTTCCTTTCTTTCCTCCTTCCTCCCTCCCTCCCTCCCTCCTTTTTTTTTTCACTAAAACCACTCCGCTTTGGGATATCCCTGCATCAACTATACACGTACATTAATGTGTTTTTAATAAAGACAGCGGTCAGTCTTTTACTATAAGTGATAACACAGTGATCTGCTGATTGAAATAATCCAATGTTTAAGACAAGTGCAAAAGTGGGGACTGAGGTTGAAGGTAAGGAAGATTTTAACCAGTGCATATTTCTGTCACCTTGTCTAATTCAATCTCAGCCTACTCTTTATAATATTTCATGAGCTTTAAATAAACTGCTGCAGAACACTGAACCAGAACACAGTTTCTAAGGCTCATGCAATGGCATATAGTGTAAGAAAATGAGCATGAGGTAATAAGACTGAAGTTCACAGCCCTACTCTGACTTTTGTTATCTGAGTGTCCTTGGGTAATTTTTATCACTTCTGTAAGAATGAATTTACTAAATTAGCTAAAAATTGTGCTTGGAGCTTATAAAAAAAATCTGACTAGGCAGAGTTAAATACATAAAATTTGATATACTCATGTAATACTAAGTATGGAAGTAGGAGTTTGATGTTGTGTGTTTAGCTGCTCAAGGATGGCAAGGCCAAGTCTGTGATATGCTCTTGATCTTTGTCTCATAATTCTCAAATGGCTGTCATTGTTCTGTCTAGTTAGCAGCAATGCTTAGAATCATGAAGCATTGTCCTGGAAGTCCCATGAACCTCTGCTTCTTTTTATTGACCATCTCTACCTGTAAGAGGATAAAAAATGTGTGAAAACATTGCCTGGGATCCTGTTAATAGAGAAAAACAAATAAACGAATAGAGAAATAAGATGTCTTTTATACAAATACCTCGTAGTATTGTGGTAGAGATTAAATGAGAAATGCAAGACTCTAGTTCTTATTAATAGAAGAAGGTGATATTTATATATTTTAAGAGACGAACTAGAGCACGTTATTCTCTGTATCAGGTAAAATCTAAAATAGTAAATAAAGTGGTGATTCAGTAAAGCTTTTCTCTCTGGGCAAAGTATGTTTAATTTTGAGTTGTGCCAGGGAGTATGGCAAACATCAGGATGAACACTGTATATCACATAATTTCAGGTCATCTATTCTAATGTAACATTTCAGAGGAAAATTTTATACCCAAAAATAATGCTTTCCCTTCACTATATCCATCACCTACCCATTCCTATTCTAAATACAGAGATAGATGGATGATAGATAGATAGATTAATATATATATAATCAATGAATAGATAGATTCATATAGATATATATGTAAGATATACATTTGAGCATATGGAGCATACTCATGCAAATTTCTGAGTAAAATTTCTATAAAAATATTACAAAGCTATGTTAATATAGTTATATATAGTGTCCGTAAATATACATGATATACACATACTACATGTATATATGTGAGTATATATAACTAGTTATAGCTCTTTTCTTTTTTTCTTTTTTTTTTTTTTTGAGATGGAGTCTCACTCTGTCACCCAGCCCGGAGTGCAGTGGCACCATCTCAGCTCACTGCAATCTCCACTTCCCAGGTTCAAGCAATTCTCCTGCCTCAGCCTCCCGAGTAGCTGGGATTACAGGCAAATGCCACCACATCTGGCTAATTTTTGTATTTTTAGTAGAGACAGGGTTTCACCATGTTGGCCAGGCTGGTCTTGAACTCCTGACCTCAGGTGATCCACCCACTTCAGCCTCCTAAAGTGCTGAGATTACAGGCGTGAGCCACTATGCCCGGCCTAGTTATAGTTCTATGTAATTATATTATGAAAATATGTTTTGTGTTTGGTTGTGTTCTATGCTTTAGTAAATAATAAAAAAAAAACAGCCTAAGAGGAGCTATTGGTTATATAAAATCCTTTCCTGAAGTCCTACATGCCCAGGTTGTATCATAGGATGAATAAATGACACTGTACAATTGTGGAATTATATGGTCCTCTTGTAAAGGCAAGCAATCAATTCTAGGTAATGATACCACAAGAGGCTAGGACATGGAACCTTCCTTCAGCAACATCTGATGAAATACTTAAACGTTAAAAACAAAACCTGACACACAATAAAATTCTTACAGGCAAATCAGGAGTTGGGTAGGGCATTAGGTAAAGGATTCCAAAAGCTGCAACCAGAAAAACAAGTATCTGACTTGGGCAGCTCCTGAGTGCTGTCTCTTCTGAGAAGCTGTGCAGAGAAAATAAGACATGGTTGAGACATCCATATACAAGAATTACATTTCCCAGGACCCCTTGCAGCATGAAAGAGCCATGTGACTAGTTCTGAGCGGGTTGTCAGAGGGAGTATTGTGTGTGAATTCTCCATGGTCTCTCTTCCTCTGTTGTGGAAAAACATAAAGCCACATGTTGAGATGAGATGGCAGAGTCCTAAGTTAGAACACTGGATCCTGGAGCCACTTCCCAGTAGGGAGATGCACTAAACTCATAACAACGGAGACTTTGCGTGGAAAAGAAATACAGTTTTCTACATTAAGCAAAAGATATTTTGGGGTTTGTTTGTTACCACAGCATAACTGATTTAACCAGATCAATACTGAAGGTGAGTTGATGAAATGATGAAAATTACTTAATCTGGAAAGAAGCTGGATGAGAGTAGGAAGACAGACTGCAAAAGAGTCAAAATAAATTTTCATAAAGCTGAAGTCCAAATGTACCAGCACATTTTAAGATCTATATTGGGGAATTAAAAAGAACACACCATGTTTTGCAATTTCTTGCAATTTATGCTACCTTGGAAAAATGTTCTGAAACACGGGGTGTCATGCAATACGAACAAGATAAACCTCCACATTGGTAAAGTAAACTCTGGTACAAGAAGTTTAAGAAAAACAAAACAAATAATATCATTTTACTTTTTAATAAAATCTGAATTTTGAAAGGAGATATTGAAGTATTAGAATATGAATTTCTGAAATAAGAATATAAATTTACAAACTTATAAGTTACCAAGTTTCCCTTTACACAATAATTTCTATAAAGATATGCTTCATATTGATTGTTCTCCACTTATCACCATAGATTTTTAAATGTGTCATTATCAACATCTAAGAGATGCATGCCTTTACTGAGCATCTACTAGTGTTAGGCACCCAGAGAACTAAATAAAAGACAACATTCCTGGATTCTAGAAACTTATATTTTGGTGAATGAGGTATAAAAGTAAACAAAGTAAGGTGGTGTATGCCAGAAAAGGGTGGGTTAGAAAAAAGTCTTTTGGATAATCTATGGAGGTGGTGATGTGAAAACTAAAATTTGAAGGGTGAGAAGAAATTCACTGAACACACAAGTGAAACTAGAGGATCTCGGTCAAGGAAAACAATGTGAACAAAAACAGTTAACTGGAAGATAATATGTATTATTCAAGGAACTACACAAATGAGGAATAACAACAAATGCTTCCAGAAATACAGTCAGAGAAAAGATTTTAAATTTTATGCCATGCTAAGTAATAAATACTGTATAGGTAGTAAGGAGTCATGAATAAAAAGTAATAAGTGCCTTAATCATAGTTGTAGTCTACAAAGATTAATCTGACTATTGTGTGGTAGATGGAATGCAAAAGACAAGGTTGTAGGCAGAGTTCAGTTCTTACATGATAATGGAGGTAAGAAGTTATGAGTGTAAATACAGGAAGAGAAACCGGAGATAGATAGAAGTAAATGCATTGGTAAAATAAAGAAAGACATTCTTACAGTTGTTGATTAACTGGATATGGTTCTTAAGATAAAAGTCCAGAATTATTTGGTGTTGTCAGGTGAAATAATCAGTATAAGAAGAAGAATTTGGGTTCAAGAAGATGACTTGTTTTAAGCAAATTGATTTTGGGACTTCGATGGCAATTTCAGATGTTCTCCAATGGCCTCATCTAATAGAGAAATTGCAGCACATATTATAAATTTAGAAATCATTGGTGTAAAGTTGAAAGATAAAGCTGTATTGTGGGTGTACCAGCCAAACAGTATATAGAATGAGGAAAAAGTAACCATAAAGCTAAAATCCTAGCAAAACCAATAATTAGAGTAAACATAGAGGCAGTGTGTAGAGTTTATGAGGCATCAGTTGCTTTGAGATGAATTTACAAAAAACGTTTTCCCCCAGGCAAATTTAAATGTCCATATGCATGACTAGTACTTTGGAATGAGCTGCTGCTGTGTTCTGAAACCCAGCCCACTCCCAGTGCAATAGAGACGAATATGTGTGGGGTGGTGGTGATGATGATGATGTTTAACTCTCACATCTAGTCTAGTGAGAAGAGGTTAAATCACATTGAAAATAACACATCATTAATTCTGTACTATTCTGGCTGGAAATGCTTAACCTAACTTGATCACAAAGAAATGCAAGATAAACTCAAATTGTGGAATACCCTATAAACAAATGGCCTGCATTCTTCAAAAAATCCATGCCATTAGGGGCAAAGGACAGCTGAAGAATAGTTACAGATCAAAAGAGACTGACGAGACATGAGAACTAAATGCTATATATGATCCTAAACAAGATTCCAGACTGGAGGGAAAAAAATGCTATAAAAGACACTTTTGGGGCAATTGGTAACATTGGAATATGAATGGCAAATTAAATAAAAGTTTTATGGCAATGTTAAATTTCCTGAACTTGATAGCTGTAGTTTGGTTGTGTAAAAGTCTATCTTTGTTCTTAGGAATGAGCAAAGTTTTAAGAGATAAATTGGCCTAATGTGTGCAACCTACACTCAAATGGCTCTGAAAATAAATTGTGCATGTGTGTGTGGAGAGAGAAAGAAATAAAACAAATAGAAATAAAATCAAAAGAAGAAATAAAACAAATGTGCCAAATTGTAAAATGTGTCATTAAAATTAAATTTAAAATTAATTAAACATTATAAAATGTGGCAAATTCTAGGAACAGATTTTAACTGTCTACCTCTCTCTCTCTCTGTCTCACACACACACATGCATACACACACACACATACAGTGGCAACTACGGATGCTGATGAATGTGTAATTTGTTTGACTGTGGTAATCATTATACAACATATATGTACATCAAATCATGACATTGTCCTCCTAGAATCCATACATTTTATTTGTCAATTAAATATTTTTAAATAAAACATACATAAACTTATGTGAATGAATTTAAAATGGTTCAGGATTTGTTTATTGTAGTGAACATTCATCTTTCTTTTTGACCACACAGCAACTGAATTCCCATCTTGTGGCTGAGGCATAACCATGCATCTGAAGCAGTCTGCCTCTACTACAGAAGAGAAATATAAAAAACTGCAGACTTTCCTATAGCCAACAAGTGGGCAATTATAGCTACATGCATCCTCAATGCATTAGATGCATTGACTCCGTACTTGGATTAAGGGATGTCATTAAACTGTTAATCAAATAAATGGTCATACAGGCAATTCTTTAATTATCTCAGAAATGATTATCTTGTCTATGTATTAATTGTCCTCCTTTTCGTTTTCCTATTCCATTCACCATTAGGACAACAAAAAGGAGAACCTTGAAATGTTTCTACTTACTAAATTTAGTAGGAAGAAACTTAAAATAATGGTTAAAATAAGATATTTAGATCAATCATGTATTTGACATCTCTATAATTTTCCTATCTCTTATTTCTGTGGCTGACAGAGAAAAATTAACTCTCTCTCTCTCTCTTTCTTTCTCTCTTTCTCTATATATATACATAAATTATCTGTGTATAAATCTAGTTTAGCTCAGAAATCACACTGATTATACAATTTGTCTCTAGATATTTATTATAGGAAATGTTTTATATATTCATTGGCCTTGATCCTTTAAAGTGCCAATTAGGGTTGATTGTGATAACATAGATCTTTTTCCTAATTTTAATTAAGTATACTCATATAGCAATTGACATCCTACTCATTCCAAAGTGTTGACATAAATATTCTGAATCATGACCTTGGACTTCTGAGAATGCTGCTTATGTTGAGCAAATTAAACACGACTGTTTTCAGCACTATAAGAATCAATCTCGTTCATTACTTTGGGCAGGTTTACAGGAGAAACTAAACTGAAAATATTTAAAAACACAAAGACAAACTATAACAAGGTCCAAGGAACTTGGAACATTTATATGGGAACAACTTTTTTTTTTTGAGACTAGTGGCAGCCTAGGAACCAGATTTGGCAAGGAGATAACAAGTAAATATTTCCTGAGCTTAACAAACAAATATGCTACTTGACGCTTTCCAAGCAATTAGTAAAATAGATGAGTAATTATTTAATTCATCATAACTTTATAAAGTTGGATTACAGTGAAGAGGGGATATAGTTTTATATTTTGAAAAAGGTCTTAACTAAACATAATTAAATTCTATCAGAGAAAGTCTGCCTCACCTAATGATACTGAACCTATGGATTTCTCTAGGAATTCTTTTGAAAACTGATTAGCAAGCATGTCATTTGTTTAACTAGTTCAGGGGTCTAATTGTGGGATTAAGTCAATTATATTATGGGATGAGGTTTTTTTCCTATTTTAGAAGATGTTGATCTTTTTGCTGTCTATTCACACTTGTTTTATAACTTTTTTCAAAATGCACGTTGCAAACCATATGCAATGAGTGACACTTTACATCACGTGTTTTATGTCACAAAACAAACTCAGAAGTAACTGCAGGTATTAATGTGGCCGATAATGATAACATAAGGCTATAATTTAACAAAGCTAGATTTTAAAAATAAAAGTAAAAACTAACTAAATAAATAAATACAGAAAGTGTCATACTGTTGCCTGGCTATTCTAGTCATTTTCTCCTCCATAGGGCAGTTTTAATTTGTTTTTTTGTCTTATTCCAGTGAATGGTGTTCTTGATCTTCCTTGCTCCATTATTCAGGTGTAATTGTGGTCTATTGGCCTGGTTCTCCTTGCTTGCCTTTAGCTGCCAGAAAGCAATTATACCTGATCATTTGTCGTGGTTATTGCTGTTATTATCACTTGCCTGCCCAGGACCTGCCAAGATTTTCTCAAATACCATCACAATTTTGCTCAAGGAAAAAAAAATAACATAGGGTCATTTCATTCCCATATTTGCACCTCCACTGGGAAGCACAGCTGTGATGTTTGTTTTTCTGTGACATTTCCTTTTTGCTAATTTTCATATTATACCTCGCAGGTGGAATGCAGTCAGTCAGAACTGGGTATTAAGCCCCTCAGTTTTTGCTTTGCATGGTTTCTATAGGGCCCTGTTTGTTGGCATACTGTCCTGCTAATCCAGATATTATTCTTCAGAGTATGATTTATTCTTCTCTACTTCCAATCTAAAATCATACTTTTAAAACGCAGGTTGCAAAATGTACAAATATAATTGCATGACACTGTCAATTTCTTATTGTCTCCTTCTTGTTTTTTCAAGTAGACCTGATGTTCAATACTTCCTCTACATCTACTCATGGCCCTTGATTATTTACTCCATCAGTTTTAATGACTAGACTGGTCTTTCATCCTGCTTAGATGGAAGAAAAGTTTATTTTAAACTGAAGTATACTTGACGGTGGTGCCAACCGTCCCAAATGATACCTAAAACAACATATGTACGGGATTGTTTTTGAAACTATTTAAAAAATAGTTTTTTGAAACTATTAAAAATGGTTTAAAACTGCAGTCACTTTTGCACCAACCTAATAACCCAGTCTTTGTGGGAATAATCCGAATAATAGACTTTTCATACTTCCTTATCTTTTTGGATTGTTCACATGCATATTAGAAATTGCTTTTGGATCTAGTTATTTCGGTTGTACACTTACTTCTGGCGTATAAGTTAAGCACATTAATTAATTAATTAATTAATTAATTAATTAATTTAGAAGGATTTTCACTCTTACTGCCCAGGCTGGAGTACAATGGCGCAATTTCGGCTCATCGCAACCTCCACCTCCCAGGTTCCAGCGATTCTCCTGCCTCATCTTTCCCAAGTAGCTGGGATACGGGCATGCACCACCATGCCCTGCTAATTTTGTATTTTTAGTAGAGATGGGGTTTCTCCATGTTGGTCAGGCTGGTCTCGACCTCCCAACCTCAGGTGACCTGCCTGCCTCGGCCTCCCAAAGTGCTGGGATTACAAGCGTGAGCCACCACACCTGGCCAGCACATTATTCTTTCTTTATGAATGCTCTATTTAGCTAAGAATGCACTTAAAGAAGATAACTTTTACTATTTAAAAAGCATAGATTTAAGTTTATCAATAAATCATGATAAATCATGCACACTTGTAGTTGACCATGCTCAAAATCCTATTGTTTTGGGGAATATAAAATATAAAACCTAACACACTTGCCTTCCAGGAACTTGCAGTCAATTTCTGGAGAAAGATTTATGTAGTTTTAGCTGTAAACAAATATAAAAGAACTAATGATTAAGGCAGGTTATGATAGCTGTCAGGGTCTATTTGGTCTTATCCCCATCACATATGGACTCTAGACCCACAGTAGTCTCTAGATTTGCCCTGCCCCCAGGACACAGGAGCCCTGCTTGGTGATATAGTGGAGCTTTTCTTTGCACTGTCAATGTGGTGATTGGATTTCCTTCTCCACCTTTGACCTAATTTGTGCCTGCCTCATTAACTGGTGGTTTCTAATGTCTGTATCTTGACTTGGCTTCATTTCTAATTGCTTCCTTCTTACTAGCTCAGCCCCTCCTTACTTCCAGTGAATCATATGGCCAGTGCTGCACCAGAGTTCCTGAGAATCCTTTGATAACTGTAAATACCAAATGAGAATACCAACTTATGAACTCTACAGGAATTAAAATAAGTTAAAGGTTACTCTGGATTTGGTTATCAGGGATCTTAGTCTGCCTAGAAATCAGAAGGTATAGAGAAAAAAGGAAAGCTTTCTAGGTGGATAAAATAACAAGCAAAGTTGAAGATAAGAAAACATTTAAGTGCAGAATGATGATATGAATTTGCTTAGATGAGAGGGATTGTAGAAACATAGATGAAATCCAAACCTAATCTGCAACTTGAAGCCAAGCCCAGTTGAGCTCAACCTAGACAGATCAACCACAGCTGATAAGTAGATACGTGAAAAAATAAAATTAACACCAAGAAGATCTCTCAAAATCATATAATTATGTGGAAACCCGAAAACCTGCTCCTGAATGACATTTGGGTAAACAATGAAATTAAGACAGAATCAAGACATTCTTTGTAAGTAATGAAAACAAAGATACAATATACCAGAACTTCTGGGACAAAACTAAAGCAACGTTAAGAGGAAAATTTATAGCACTAAATGCTCACATCAAAAAGTTATAAAAATCTCAAATTAACAACCTAACATCACACCTAGAGGAACTAGAGAAACAAGAGCAAAACAACCCCAAAGGTAGCAGAAGACAAGAAATAACCAAAATCATACCTGAACTGAATGAAATTGAGACACATGAAAAAAAACAAACAAAAGATCAAGGAAACCAGAAGCTGTATTTTTTCAAAGCATAAATAAGATTGACAGACCACAAGCAAGACTAATAAAGAAAAGAAAAGAGAGAAAGATAAGATTGAAATAAAATCAGAAATGACAAAAAGGACATTACCATCAACCCTACAGAAATGCAAAAAAAAAAAAAAAATCCTCAGACTATTATGAACAACTCTATGCACAAGAACTAGAAAACCTTGAAGAAATGGAAAAATTTCTGGAAACATACAACCTCCCAAGATTGAAATAGGAAGAAATGGAAACCCTGAAAAGACCAAAAATGGGTTCTGAAATTGAATCAGTAATAAAAAGCCTACCAACCAAGAAAAACCCTGGACAGGACAGATTCACAACTGCATTCTACCAGACATATGAAGAAGACCTGTTACCATTCCAACTGAAACTATGCAAAAAAACTGAGGGGGATGGATTCCTCTCTAAATTTTTCTATGAGGCCAGCATCATCCTGTTACCAAAACCTAACAGAGACACAACAAATACAGAAAACTTCAGGTCAATATCCTTGATGAAAATCGATGTAAAAATTCCCCCAAAAAATGCTAGCAAACCAAATCCAGCAGCATATCAAAAAACTAATTCACCACGATCAGCAGGCTTTATCCTTGGGATGCAAGGTTGGTTGGTTCAATATACATGAATCAATAAATGTGATTCATCACATAAGTACAAATAAAAACAAAAACCACATTATCATCTCAATAGACGTAGAAAGGCTTTCAATAAAACTCAATATTCCTTCATGTTAAAAACTCTCAACAAACTAGGTATTGAAGGAATATACCTCAAAATAATAAGAGCCTCCTACGACAAAACCACAGCCAACATCATATAGAATGGGAAAAAGCTAGAAGCATTACCCTTGAGAACTGGAACAAAACAAGGATGCCCACTCTCACGACTCCTGCTCAACATAGTACTAAAAGTCCTATCCAGAGAAATCAAGCAAGAAAGAGATAGAAGGCATCCAAATAGGAAGAGAAAAAGTCAAACAATCTCTGTTTGCCAACAATATGAACTTAGACCTAGAAAACCCCATAGTCTCTGACCAAAAGCTCCTTGATCTGATAAGCTTTACGAAAGTTTTGGGATACCAAATCAATGTACAAAAATCAGTAGCATTTCTATATACTAACAATGCCCAAGCTGAGAGCCCAGTCAAAAACAGAATCCTACTCACAATGGCCCCACATAAAAGTACCTAGGAATAAAGCTAACCAGGGAGGCAAAAGATCTCTACAATGAAAATTATAAAACCCTGGTGAAAGAAATCAGAGATGACACAGACAAATGGAAAAACATTCCATGCTCATGGATAGGAATAATCAATGTTGTTAAAATGGCCATACTACCCAAAGCAATTTACAAAATCAATGCTATGCCTATCAAACCACCAATGGCATTTTTCACAGAATTAGAAAAAGACTATCCTAAAATTCATATGGAACAGAAAATGAGCCTGAATAGCCAAAGGAATCCTAAGCAAAAACTGCACTCCAGCCTGGTGACAGAGTGAGACTCTGTCAAAAAAAAAAAAAAAAAAGAAGAAGAAGAAAGAAAGAAGAAAGAAAGAAAGAAAGCTGGAGGCATCACATTATGCAACTTCAAACTATACTGCAAGACTAGAGTAACCAAAATAGTATGGTACTGGTACAAAAACAGACTCATTGACAAATGGAACAGAATACAGAGTCCAGAAATAAAGCTGCACACCTACAACCATCTATTCTTTCATAAACTTGACAAAAATAAGCAATGGGGAAAGGACTCCCTGTTCAATAAAATGGTGCTCAGACGACTGGCTAGCCATATGCAGAAGATTGAAACTGGACTCCTTCTACTCACCACGTACAAAAATCAACTCAAGATAGCTTAAAGATTTAAATGTAAAACCTAACACTATAAAAACCCTAGAAGAAAATCTAGGAAATACTATTCTGAACACATGCCCTGGAATGATTTCATGATGAAGATGCCAAAAGCAATTGCAACAAAAACAAAAATTGGCAAGTGGGACCTAATTAAAATACATTATAGTATTCTGTACAGTAAAATAAACTATCAACAGAGTAAACAGACCACGTATGGCGTTGGAGAAAACATTTGCAAATTCTGCATCCAACAAAGGTCTAACATCCAGAATCTATAAGGAATGTAAACAAATTAACAAGCAGAAAACCGACAACCTCATTAAAATGAGGACAAAGAACATGAACACACGCTTTTCAAATGAAGACATGCACTTGGCCAACAAGCATATGAAAAAATACTCAACCTCACCATTTATCAGAGAAATGCAAATCAAAACCACAATGAGATACCATCTCACACCAGTCAGAATGGGTGTTACTAAAAATTAAAAAAATAACAGATGCTGGTGAGGCTGCAGAGAAAAGGGAATGCATACACGCTGTTGGTGGGAATGTAAATTAATTTAGCAAAAAAATTTTCCCCAAAACTGTGGAAAGCAGTTTTGTAATTTCTCAAAGAACTTAAAACTGAACTACCATTTGACCCAGCAATTTCATCATCAGATATGTATCCAAAGGACTATAAATCATTCTACCATAAAGACATGCACTCATATCTGCATTGCAGCAGTATTCACAATAGCAAAGACATGAAAAATCAACCTAAATGCCCATCAGCGGTAGACCAGATGAAGAAAATGTGGTACATATACATATGGTATAGTACACAGCCCAAAAAATAATGAGATTACGTCCTTTGACAAATAATGAGATAATGTCCTTTGCAGCAACATGGATGGAGCTAGAGGCCATTGTCCTAAGTGAACTAATTCAAGAACAGAAAACCAAATACCACATGTTCTCACTTATAAGTGGGAGCTAAACATTGAGTACACATGGACACAATGAAGGTAACAGTAGACACCAGGGCCTACTTGAGGGTGGAGGGTGGTAGGAGGGTGAGGATCAAAAAACTACCTCTCAGATACTATGCTTATCACTTGGGTCATGAAATAATCTGCATACAAAACCTTCTGACATGCAATTTACCTAAATAACAAACCTGTACATGTACCCCTTAACCTAAAAGTTTTTTTTAAAACACTAATTTCTAATTTTTCTACAATCAAGCTATCTATTTTAAAAATAAAATATATTACATTAAGGGAAAAACTATGTCTTTGCAAAACGGTTATTTAAAAATCAGTAAGTATTAGTTGTATTTTTCCATTGGGCTTTAGAACTTGTATAGAGTACTTCAGAAATATTCTGAACACTATTCTAACATTACATCATCGTAATCATAAAGAAATTTAGAATAATTAATTTTCATAAGAAATCAGTACTCTGTTTAACATTTATTGCATATCTACGTTTCACATACTACATGTTCTGGAAACCAGAATATAAACCTGAAATGATGCTTGCTATCAAGTAAAGTTAATGAAGGAGATATATAGGCAAATTGTAATAGAACAGTGGATGGCAAACTGCCATCTGTGAGCCATATTTGGAGTGCCACTGTTTTTGTAAATAGAGTTTTATTGGAACACAGGCACATCTATTTTTAAAATTGTTTTCAATGGCTGTTATCAAGCTACAAGGACAGACTTGAATAGTTGCAACAGAGACCATATGACCTACAAAGCTGAAAATATTTGCTATCTGCCACTTTACATAAAAAATTTGCCGACTTCTAACATAGCGCATGAAAATGGTTGAGATGGAGGTATGCACCAAGTGCATTGGGAGAACAAATGAGTGGCATCTCAATCAGTTTCATTCACTGAATGGGCTCTCAAAGCAAAAACGAATAGAAATTCAATATCAGTATACTAATTACCCCAAATCTGAATGACTATCTGTACATGGATAAGCCATCTTGAAGGCTAGCTGAACCTCTGAGACATTGTAGTTTCTTGTAGACACAGCATGACAAAAAGGGCTAAGCACAGCTGTGTTCATTATGGTCTGTGAATTATCATTTGATTCTGTCAAACATAAAATGATTAAATCATAGGTTGGCTTAAAACAGTGATGCTTAGAGTAAAACTCTCTGAAGTATGACTTTTTATATAAAGGCCCTATTGATTTGTTGCATTCTAGTGGTAAATCACATAAAATCAGTCTTCATAAAGTATCTCTCTTTCCTCATGTGAAAAGTCTTATGCATCTTGAATTATTTCCTTGATTTGTTTTTTGGTTTTCCATGGTGGTTTCATATCTAAAAATATACTTAAAAGAGGCTGAATACATTTACCACAATCGTGTTATTTGCAATATCATTTAATCATTTATAATTTTTTCTTAAACTTTCTGATATGTGTTCCAAAAAGGAGAAAATAAATGTTTATAAAACTTATTATGCTCTTACTTAGTCTTCACTGTATTCTGACCTTGATCCACTTTAATGACATACATGTATTAATAAAGCATGTAAAAAATCTAACTCAGGTTTCATTCAAATTACATATATATAGTGATACAAAATCAAAAGTGTACCTGTTTTGGATTCAATAATAATTCACTAATGAAACCTGTTGTTTAAGTAATTGTATGCTGAGTCTCTAAAATTAAGAACATGCTTATTGGCCGGGTGCGGTGGCTCATGCCTGTAATACCAGCAATTTGGGAGGCCGAGGTGGGCAGATCACGAGGTCAAGAGATCAAGACCATCCTGGCCAACATGATGAAACCCCATCTCTACTAAAAAACTACAAAAATTAGCTGGGCATAGTGGCACACGCCTGTAGTCCCAGCTACTCGGGAGGCTGAGGCAGGAGAATTGCTTGAACCTGGGAGGTGGAGGTTGCAGTGAGCCAAGATTGTGCCATTGCACTCCAGCCTGGCAACAGAGCGAGACTCCGTCTAAAAAAAAAACAAGAACATGCTTATTGTTTTCTTAATTAATAAAGGGAAAAGTAATCTGAAATTATTCATCTGCTTAAAGAAAGAGGACAGTCCAGAACTCCTAATGGTCTCAGTAGCATTTTCCCTCCTCCTCCTACTTTCCACTACTTCAACAGCTTGAATAAAGAATAGTCCTCAGTCACTTAGTGTTCAGAAGGCTCTTCCATACCTTCACATGTGGTTGTGTCCCAGTCCGTCTGGAATGCTACAGGAAAATGTCAAAAACTAGGTGGCTCATAAACAACAGAAATTTATTTCTCACAGCTCTGGGTGTTGGGACCTTCAAGATCAAGGCCCTGGCATATTTAGTATCTGGGAAAGGCCTGCTCTTCACAGATGGCGATGTATTGCTGCATCCTCACATGGTAGAAAGGGCAAGGCAGCTACCTGGGTCCTCTTTTTAAGGGCACCAATTCCATTCATGAGGGTTATCTCTGCCCTCTTCCTCTAATCACCCCCCGAAAGCTTCAGCTTCTAAAGTCATCACCTTGAGGATTAGCATAGCAACACATAAATTTTGTGGGGACACAAACATTCAGACTCTAGAAGATTGCAAGAGAAAAGACAGGCCCCAGAGACCAGTGTTCTTCATAACAGCGATATCTCTCCTTCCTTTGTCCCCAAAAATCACAACCTCACCATCTCAAGATTACCCTGTCTCCCTCATGTAACTTGCTGCAGTCCTTCCCATGACTATAACTAACAGCTCTATCCTATCAGCATTACCAGTTCCAAAATAGTCATCCTTATTCTTTTGCTCTTACCTCCCTTCATATCATACCCCAACAAATCCTACTTGTTCTACTTTCAGAGTAGCTACCAAAGTCAACCTCTCCTAGCCATCTGGACAGATATCAAGTTATTATCATCTCTGGTCCAGGTTACCACAATTTTAGCCATAATTATTGTAATATTTTTAAATTTAGCCTAATTTTTCAGCCCCTTGACCCCTAATGTGCATTCTTAGTACAATGTCTCAGGTGTTTAATTTAATAGGTGCTTGAAGATATCATACTTCTATTTAGAACATGATTGTGGCTCCCCTTCTTTCTTCATTATGAAAGTCAACATAATTACTATAGCCTGCATAGTCTGACTCCCTGCTGTCTCTCTGATCTCAGTATTTCACATTACATGAGATTGGAATAAATATGTTGTATTTTGCTTTAAGTTGAATTAAAAGCATTAAACCCAAGAGAAAAAAAAAAACATCATGGTTATGTAAATCACATTCACCAAAGAGTTGTTTTACGTCTGCCAAACTTCCCGCTGTTGGCCACACATATTCTTTTGATCACAGTGAGGTGGAAGTTTCAGTAAACAAAGGTTCTAGTCAAGGAGCCCACTTCCTTCGCTATTTCCAATTGAATATGGAGACAGATTCATCATTTCACCTGCCCTCATTCAAGCACTCTGTATGAAAATTGGAAGCTTCAATGATATCAAAGTTTATGATCTCCAGTGTCATTTTTTTTTAACTTGGTGACTGAGAGTCTTGAAAAACCTAGACCCAAGGTCTCTATCAGGAACACTTGACAAGCACAACAAAAAGGAAAAGGTACTCCTGATTTTATCAATGGACATGAATATATCAATAACATAAAAAGCAATATTCTTAATGTAAAAAGACACGATTTTAATCAGGTGATATGCAAACTTAACTTGCTCTTCCTCAGAACAGTTCTTGATGGTGTCTTTCAGGAAAGGGCCTAGTGATTGGCAATAATAAAATATGGCAGCTAAAGGAACCAGACAGCCTGGATTTGAATCCTGGCTCTGCTACTCTGTGCCACCATTAACTTGCGAGTATACTAGTAGTCATCTCTCAAGGTGAATTTACCATGAAGCGAATGGAACTTAAACTTCAGGGTTCTGCCTATGTGTGAGGTCCTAAGCAATCAAGGAAGCAAGTCAGGGCTAAGTGAACACATTATATAAAAGTGATTTCTGGAAAATTAACTAAAATTTCTCAAAAGGACCAGTTCCAATGCTCCAATAATTCGCCATGGCATCTTTTCCCATTCAAATAAATATTTACTTTCAAAACAAAACCACAATGAGATACCATCTTATACCAGTCAGAGTGGCTATTATTAAAAAGACAAAACAAAAAAACCAGATGCTGGCAAGGTTGCAGAGAAAAGGGAACTCTTATACACTGTTAATGGGAATGTAAATTAGTTCAGTCCCTTTGGAAAGCAGTTTGGAGATTTTTCAAAGAACTAAAAATAAAATTATCATTTGATATAGCAATCTTATTACTGAGCATATCTCCACAGGAAAATAAATTGAAAAGACACAAAAGACCAAAGATCACATATACCAAGATCACAAGACCAAAAAGACACATATACTCACATGGGTATTAGAGTACTACTTACAATAGCAAAGTAATGGAATCTACCTAAGTGTCCATTAATGGTGGATTGGATAAAAAAAATGTGGCACATATCACCATTGACTACTATGCAGCCATAAAAAACAATATGTCCTAGTCAGCAACATAGATGCAGCTGGAGGCCATTATCCTAAGTGAATTAACACATGAACAGAAAACCAAATACTGTATGTTCTCACTTATAAGTGGAGGTAAACATTGGGTATGTACGGACATAAATATGGAAACAATAGACCCTGGGACTCCAAAAGAGAAGAGAAAAGGAGGGTGGAAAGGGCTGAAAAATTACCTATTGGGTACTATGTTCACTATCTGAGTGGTGGGTTCAGTTGAAGCCTAAACCTCAGCGTCACGTAATATATCCATGTAAAAAACCTGCATGTGAACCCCCTGAATCTAAAATAAAAAACAAACAAATAAATACTTGCTTTCATACCAGTTTTTGTGTTGACAATGTTATACTGTTTTTAATGAAGAGTGCCTTATATTAGCCTTAGGTCCCAGAAAATCTGGACGTTTCCCTACCTACCACTTAGGGTTTCTGTAGAGATTAAAGGATGTAATCTATTTTAGGTACTTAGGACAGTGCCTGGCACACAGGCAGACCCCAGGAAATGTTAGCTATTATTATAAATAGGTTGCTCAAGAATGATCATAATATTGATTAGCCAAATAACTTTGCCACAGGGAACCATGTTTTCATGACAGTGTCAGGGAACTCAAGCTTCATGCCTGAAGTTCTCTCAAAATAAGGAGTATCGATTGAAGTTTGCTTCTATGGGTCACTAAATACCCATTAGTTAAATGAGAATGCTCAAGTGACAAAATCAAATGACTACATCCTAAAAATATCTTGGGCTCTTTTTTATTTCTGTTAGTATGGGTTTAAATCTGAAAAATATTATTTAATATGATATTTCTCTTAATTGATTATTTCTTCCCCTCCAGTACCCTCCATTACCTGTGCTTTGGGCTTCTAGAATTCCTGTTGTATATCTTCTGGAGAAATTATTCTTTCCTATTAACTTCCATCTAATATTTCATGTATATTTGTTTAGTCTTATAATCTGCATAATTTACTCAGTTTTATCTTCTAGAAAACAGATTCAGTCTTTATCACTACCTGGCTATAATCCACTTTGTGCCTAAAATTATTATTTTTTAATGCCATAAATAATATATATTAATTTGCTGCAATTCTTTTTCCCCTAGCTTTTAAAATAAGTTTATTTTCTTTACAATTACTATATAAATTCAAATCACTTGATATCAGATAATTTCATTATTTTATCTAAATTTTCTTTGATTTCCTATGTATCATTGCATGTGTGTGCATGCACATGTGTATGGTACAATTTTTATTTTCATTCTTTTTTATGACATTGTTTTTCCATTATTTTACTGTGGGCTATTTTTCTGTTCCATATACGTGAATGGAGGAATAGGTTAATTAATTAAGACACCTAATATTAGACTTCTCTGCAGTTATGAAGAATTGTTTCCCCAATTTTTTAATATATTTTTTATTATACTTTAAGTTCTAGGGTACATGTGCACAACGTGAATGTTTGTTACATATGTATACATGTGCCATGTTGGTGTGCTGCATCCATTACTCACAATAGCAAAGACTTGGAACCAACCCAAATGTCCAACAATGATAGACTGGATTAAGAAAATGTGGCACATATATACCATGGAATACTATGCAGCCATAAAAAATGATGAGTTCATGTCCTTTATAGGGACATGGATGAAGTTGGAAGCCATCATTCCCCAATTTTTTTAACTTGGGCTATTGCCATGAGTGTCTAGAGAGAACTTTACTCTCAGAATGGACATATTAATGTATTTCACCCATGGCTAAAAGGTATTTTCCATGATTCTATACCCCTACATTTTTCCATCGTAAGATAGTCTCTTGTGAAAATACTAGACACACATTAAATTCTGCTCTGCTTCTCTCCCATGCCCAAATACCATGAGTATGATCTCTTCTTTGAATGACTATACACATTCTTCAAGTACTAAGGCCTTGGGTCAAGAACATTTCCCTGTAGCCATCTGCTCAGGAAAGGAGGAGGGGATGGTGTCCTAGGGCTTCAGAATGCTAATCCTTAATGAAGTGTTGTGATGAGTAACAGTACTAGGCAATCTCAAAGACAGCCTCCAGTGAACCATGTCTCCAAAGTCTATACAAGGCTTTGGTATCCAAAGCCTTTTGTATTCCCCTTCCACAAAGAAATTGAGCTGGTTTTGTGACTCATTTTATCCAATGGAATGCAATAAAGGGATGTTGTACCAGTTTCAGATTTAAGCTTTAAGAAGGCCTGGCAACACTATGCTTTTGTGTTCTTGGAAATGCTGAGCTGCCGTATAAAAAAATTTGACTGCCCTATTGGAGAGATGTTGTGTAGAGACCATATGGAGAAACCTGCCTCTACAAGGAGGAGAGGCCCTGACACTACATAGAAAGAGAGAGAGGTCCGATCATTTCAGCTCTTTAGCTATGCCCATTAATGTGCCAGGCCTATGAATGAGGCATCTTGTATAATCTAGCCTAGCGGAGCCTCCAGATGATTGCAACCCAACCAGGAATCACTTGCAACAGACAAACTGCCCAGCTGAACAAGTCAGATTACAGAATCATCAAAACAAAACAAAACAAAGCAAAACAAAACAATGATAATAACAACAAAACAGTTGTAAGTGACTAAGATTTTGAATGGTATTTACTTTTAAAATAGCAATGTACTTTTATTTTGAAGAGCCCCAAAAACCTCTTGAGAAGATCTTGCATTATCAACTGAGTTTCTTTTGTTAGTTAGTTAGTTAGTTAGTTAGTTTTTTCCAACTTTTATTTTAAGTTCAGGGGTACATGTGCAGGATGTGCAGGTTTGTTACATAGGTAAATGTGTGCCATGGTGGTTTGCTGCACAGATCATCCCATCACCTAGGTATTAAGCCCAGTATCTATTAGCTATTCTTCCTGATGCTCTCTCTCCTCCCACCCCCAGCCCTCCAAACAGGCCCTAGTGTGTGTTGTTCCCCTCTATGGGTCCATGTGTTCTCATCATTCAGCTCCCACTTATCAGTGAGAACATGCAGCATTTGGTCTTCTATTCCTAAGTTAGTTTGTTGAGGATAATGGCTTCCAGCTCCATCCATGTCCCTTCAAAGGACATGATCTTGTTCCTTTTTATGGCTGCATAGTGTTCCATGGTGCATATGTATCACATTTTCTTTATCCAGTCTATCATTTAGGGGCATTTAGGTGGATTTGATGTCTTTGCTATTGTGAACACTGTTGCAATGAACATATGATGATTTATATTCCTTTGGGAAGTATCACCCTTTGTATATTTTTACAAGTATTTTTACCCTACTTAGAAGTAGCCATATTATTCATTTGTGTGCATGAATTAATAGAGGTGCCGAAGGTGACAAAAAGGATATTGCTCACATCAAGCAATTGCAATGTGCCTCATCCCACTCTTATCCTAGATGGCAACCTAGAAGCCATGTGTTCAGGTGGCATAGTTTCAGGATGGAAGACAGCTACCTGCCTACTTTAACCACAAAAGAATGCATAAATGAGAAATAAATTCTCATTTTGTTAAGCCACAGCATAACTTTGCATTAACCTCAATAATACAGGTATTCACGTGGCCAACAGGAAAATTCACAATCTTACGCTTCTAAATTATGGAAATCAACTTACCTAATTGTAATTCCCATCAAAGGCAGCATTGCCCTGCCATTTGCCTTTAGACTTTCTTGAGAAGTTTTAGTTTTTCTCCCAAATTCCTGAGGACATGTCAGGTTTATCTAAGAACTCTTTAGTGCTCTAATCCAGCAGTGTTAAACAGGGAGCCTACCAAAGTAAGAATCCAGCAGGGGTGAATCAAAATTTCCATGGGTGGGTGTCTTGGAGACCATTAGATTTGTTTGGATTGAGGGATGGAGGGGAATGTCATAGCTTTCTCTACTCCTGTGAAGTTCTTCCTACAAACAAATCTACTTAAGGAATTTTCAGCTTATTTTCATATATGGTAGACATGACTGGCATTCATGAAACCAACTTGGTTACTGTTTTTTCTGCATTGACATGTCTAGAGTATTCCATTAGAATATTTGAGCTCTTGCCCTCCATTAATGTCAGCTTTGGCTCTCACTCAGAAATATAAGAAACATTTTCAGCATTCTGTTACAAGTAATTGAGTAGGCAGTCAAACAGGATTTATTTTCTTAGCATTTTCATTATATAACCCCAATTTTAGAGCAGATGCAATATATTCTAAAGTATATTTTTCATTTTTTTCTTTCTTATTTTATTTCTAATTCTCTTTTCTTTTTTCCTCCAAACTCAACCTGATATATGGGCAGTAATTAACTAGTTTGGGGTATGCTGTAATGGGAACAAGTCCAGCTCTATTTCCCACATGTCAAACCCTGGTCATCACTCAGTGACTGCTAAGAAACCACTTTCGAGATCTGTACAAAAAGAAAATCAGTTACACATCCTGATTCTAATCTGAAGTTGATGTGAAAACAAGTTTTAGATATAAATAAAATATAGAACTACATTTGAAGAAGGAAAAAATGGCTTAATAGGCAATAAGTACAATACTTTTTTTCTGAAGCAGTTTTACTACCTAAATCCTGAGTGTTGGATTATATTTTAAGAAATTACTCGTTATGTTTTAAGAGATCACTGATCACCAGGCAAAAGTGAAGAATGAAGAAACAGAGAAATGGGTCTGGCAGCATCTGGCCTGTGGTCAAAACGAGTCATGGTAACTCCCAAAACTTTGAAGATGGATTTGCCCATCAAACCCTCCCTTTTATATGGTTTTCCTTTGCAGCCTCACTACCAAGACCATTCACACAAAGATAGAGAGAAACAACCCTGGAGAGAGTTCTGAATATCAGAAGCTCCTAGAGGCAATTTCTTCTGATAAATGCTTTAGGAAACAGCAGGCCTCGGAATGGACTGGGACTCTGTGGGAGACCAAATGGGAGCAGAATTCCCTATGGACTCAAGTCATTACTTCCAGCTAGAAGGTCCTAAAAAGCCATCTAGGTTCCTTGGCAAGCAATTATTTTATCACTTGGTTGGAAAAAGTATATTAAAATACTAACAATCTGTATGACCATCAAAATGTTAAGAGTAGTACATGTCAGTATGGTCACTGTGGTAGAAAGCATCATGGCCTCCTAACGATACCCTGCCATAACCCTCAAAACCTGTGATTATGTTATGTTTCATGACAAAGGGGGCTTTGCAGATATGATTAAAACTAAGAACAATTGAGATGCAGAGATTATCCTGAGTAGGTCAAATGTAGTCACACGAACCCTTAAAAGTGGAAGAGAAAGGCAAAATAGGAGTCAGAGAAATGGCAGTGTGAGGATTCAATGCCTTATTGGTGGTTCTGAGATGATGGACTTTACATAGACTGGAGGAAGTCCTCTAGGAGATAAGAGACGCCCTTAGCTGACAGCCCACAAGACAGGGAGATTTCCTCATGGAATTCTGCCAACACTCAAATGAGCAAGAAAATGGATTTTCCCGTAGAGTATCCAGAAAGTAATGCATCCCTGTCATCACCTTGACTTTAAACTGGTGAGACCCACATTGAGCTTCTGGCCTACAGAACTCTAAGATAATAAATTTGTGTTCTTTAAGCCACTATATTTGTGAGTAATTTGTTATAGTACCGATAGAAAATGAATACAGTGACCATCAAGTAATAATGCTTTCCCTAACACAGCCATGTAAAGTTTTCTTTAAACATTGTACCTGTCAACAGGTAACCTGAATGACATATTTTACTGGTGACCCCTTCTAGAAGTGAATCTTGGCAGGTGATTAAATCTGTGGTTTCCCATCGACAGTAATTAATCTCTCTTGATCCTACAATTATGGGCTGTCCATGGAGGAGGCTCCTATGCACACATAATATCCAACTGTTACCCTTTCTAGGCACATTTTATGAGTAGCTGATACGGTTGCTGGTGTATTATTCCGCAGCCTATTGAATATAACTTCATTGCCATATGTGCTGGCTGCCAGTTGTGAGCCCTTGGGTAATTAAACTCATCATTTTGAGCCTCAATTATCTTTTTTGTTAAAAGGTAATTTCATGGTTCTTCCATAAGGATTGTGTTGGGATTCACGAAGATGGCACATTGTGAAGTGCTCATAACTATATTAATAAACATTATATTCTATCTCCTTTCTCTCCTCATTCTTTCAACAAATATTTAATGAATATTTATTAAATGTTAAATATTCTCCTATGCACTTGGGATACCTCAGTGAATAAAGGACAAAAATCGCTTTTTTGTGTGAAATTTATATTCTAGTGTAGGCTCCACTGATTACTCTATGACATCTATATGGTTTCATAGGAGTAATATAATGATGCATCATGCCAAGCCACATTTTTTTTATTATTCCTGGTTAAACATGTTTCTTTTCACTGGGACCCAAGAACTCGTTGCTGATTCAGAAGTATGTTTATCCTCTATAGAGCTCCCTCATGCATTGTATTGAAGGGTCCCTCACCCTTTCCATTTGGTAATTTAAGATAGAAATATCTAAAACTAAGGAGAAACATCAATGTAATAATCATGTATTTTGGGTGGTCCATAACACCACCAGAGATGTGATCTTTAAACATAGAAAACATTTTTAAAACTTAAGAAATTAGTAATGATCAATTTTAAAAGTCAAAGAAATCAAAATCAAAATAGGAAACCATCAATAAAATTTTCTGCAAATTGTCAGAAAAATGTCTTAACCATAAAATAATTGATAAATATTCTTAGAGCAGAATCAATTTTAGAATGGCATATCCAAGACCATTGTTACTTATACCTGGAAACAATTTCAAAATAAAGTTTTTAAGTTGAACAGATGGCTCAATTTCAGCAGTGTTACTATTAGCTATGCAATATAATAACTTTTGTTTGCTTGTGTTTAAGCGCCAATTATGTGTTTACTTAGCTTATTCAATTTTAATGGATTATTTTTCTCAGGCATGGCTTTTCTAAGAAGAAAAAGGATAAGCTAATTTTAAGTTGTAAAATTAACATTTTGTCTAAAAATAAACAATGTGTCTCAGGCAAATAATGATGTACACAGAGTTTTCTTTTTTTGTCATAACTCATCTTAGCACATAAAATATTTTCTGTTGATTATTTCTTATTTTTGCATTTTAAATCTAAATATTTCTTTTCAGACAATTAAAAAAATCTTACTATTTGAAATTCTAGAGACTCTGGTGAAACTGATAGTCATCTTCTTAGCCTTTCCTCTCCAGAAAGCATTTCACATACAATTGAGCAAACATCAGAGCAAACACAAGTTTTAAATATATATATATATATATATATATATATAGTATAAATTTAAGGTGTACAACATGTTTGATATACATATCCATAATGAAGTGATTACTACAGGTAAGCAATTCAAGATAATCATCACCTTCCAGTTACTTCTTCTTTTTTGGTGTGTGGTAAGGGCACTTAAAGTCTACCCTCTTAGCAAATTTTCAATATACAATGCAGTATTATTAATTATAGTACGCCTGCTGTACATTAGATCTCTAGATTTATTTATCCTTAGAGGAGAGGTCAACATTTCCAGATGGGAATAAATCCATATAAATTTGAATCAACGCTAACTTCAAGCTGCCCAAATTCCTTGCAGTGGCAAGTGGTTTGTAAAGTAAACATGAGTCTGGCTGGGCTCAGTGGCTCATACCCGTAATCCCAGCACTTTGGGAGGCCAAGGCAGGCAGATCACCTGAGGTCAGGAGTTCAAGACCAGCCTGGCCAACATGGTGAAACCCTGTCTCTACTAAAAATACAAAAATTAGCCAGGGGTGATGGGGCACGCCTGTAATTCCAGCTACTCAGGAGGCTGAGGCAGGAGAATCGATGGAACCTGAGAGGCAGAGGTTGCAGTGACCTGAGATCGCATCATTGCACTCCAACCTGGGCAACAAAGTGAGACTCCGTCTCAAAACAAAAACAAAACAACAGCAACAAAAAACTAGTCTAATATGGGCTGCCTACTGTTGAAAAAGACAAAAGGAGTTCTTCTCCTATCAGTTGCAAATAAAAGAAGTGAATTTGACCAAGCAGAAAGCTCTTAGGCAGGGAGATGGGAATTGGGAGGAAGGCAGGCTGGTAAGACTGACTGAGAGATTTGTGTGGGGTGTGTGAAAATTTTATACAGAAGTGGGAGCAAATTTACAAAACAATAGAGAGCGAATGCTCCAGTAAAGTAGCAAAGAACAAAAAACAAAACCAACCAAACAAACAAACAAAAAAACCACTCCAGTAAAGTAGCCAAAAAAAAAAAAAAAAAAAAAAAATTAGGAGAAGACTTCTACAGAGTGTTTTTTGGTCACTCAGACAAGTCTCACCTCAGAACTTGTCCCGTTGAGGCTGTCCCTTGCTCATACGGTTAGTCAAATACAGAGTTTTCTGCCTCTCTCCTAGCATCATAAAAGCAGATCCCTTCCCATGGAGTCTCCTTCATTTGGGCAATGCATCATGCTCTTTATGTAAGTCTCTCTGAATCCCCCCATCTCTTCTCTTCACTGAATGCTCACTCACACTTCAGATCTCCACATCAAAGTCTCTCCCACCAGAAAGACTTTGATCACTTTCCCAATCTATGTAAAGCATTTTTCTTCTGCCTTGTTTCCCTAGTATCTCTGACCCCAGTCATAGCACACATCATACTTGAATTTTTGGTTTAATTTTATGTGCTGCTTTGTGAACTCTAAGGTCATTGGGAGAGTGTCTACTATTGTTACCAGTGAATCCTAAGCACTTAGCCTGTAATACTATACATACTGTACTTGTGGAATTGTTAGGGGTGATGAATCCCTATGGGTCTGCAGCAACCTCCATTCTTGCCTCCTCAGAAGAAAGAATTCAACCAAGAGGCATAAGGCAGAGAGAGAGACTGAGGCAAGTTTTAGAACAGGAGTGAAAGTTTATTTAAAAACTTTAGAGCAGGAACAAAAGGAAGTAAAATACACTTGAGAGCTGTTTGTTTGACCTTTGACTTGGGGTCTTATATGTTGGCATGTGACATGGTTTTGCTGTGTCCCCACTTAAATTTCATCTTGAATTGTAGCTCCCATAATTCCTACGTGTTGTGGGAGGGACATAACTGGATATAACTGAATCTTGGGGGCGCTTTCCCCCATACTGTTCTCATGGTATTGGATAAGTCTCACCAGATCTGATGATTTTATAAGGGGTTTCCTTTTTTGCTTGGCCCTCATTCTCTCTTGCCTGCCACTATGTAAGATGTGCCTTTCACCTTTCACCATGATTGTGAGGCCTCCCCAGCCACATGGAGCTGTGAGTCCATTAAACCTCTTTTTCTTTATAAATTACCCAGTTTTTGGTATGTCTTTATCAGCAGCATGAGAATAGACTAACACAGCATGCTTCTAGAGTTACGTTACTTCTCCCCTGATTCTTCCCTTGGGGTGGACTGTCCACATGCACAGTACCCTGCCAACACTTGGGAGGGGCGACATGCACAGTGTGGTTACTGAAGTTGTACACATGCTCACTTGAGGCATGCTTCCCTTACCAGTCAAGTGTTTGTTGAGGAAGAAGATCATATACCAGTTAAACTCCACCATTTTGCCTCTTAGTGCTCTTGCTTGAGCTCACTCACCCAACTCCTGAAATCTTTAATGGGAAGCTGCTGAATACCAGTTTCAGGTCTTTCTATCTATTGGGAGACTGCCTTTCCCTGGCGCCAGCTGCAACCAACTATTATTTTAGAGCAACAACCTAACAACTGCCTGACCCCCTAATGGTCACCTGAAGTTCCTGGTGGGGGTGGGGGTAGGGACGCTCCTGTCCTTCTCATGTCTGACTAGGTACCTACTGTAACAGAATGACTGAATTAAAACCTGGGAGAAAATTAACTATTTAGATCAATCTGTGAACAGCCAGTGCTTCCCCCGAGTTCCCTTCAGATCTCCTTTATCATTGCTGTGTATTTAGATTTTCATAGTTTACGCAGTCAACTGAAATACTTTTATATTTCAGCTTTGCTTTACAGAGTGTGTATCAATAAGAATAATAAGCAATCTGTGACTGGGTCAAAATCAAACAAGCCATCATCGGCAACCTGGAAATAGTTAATAGCTATCTAAAATCAGAATTATATCAGAATTATATCAAAAGGGGGCTTAAAAATAGTGCTACCTGAGTATATGAATTGGAAATATAAATCCCAACATATGGAGGCTGCAGATTTTGCAACTGAGATTTAGTATATAAAAATCACTGAAGCTTTTTATAACTTCACTCATCAAAAATATCTTTGAGCATCAAGTTGGCATAATAAACTTGTAAATCAGAAACATAAGTAACATTGTAAAATTAAGTATCTTCAAAACTACAGCCTTAGTCTTAAAATTTATTACCAGATAGTAGAAATTCACACATTTTTTTCCCTTTTTTATAATCAAAATAACTCCTCCTCTTGATTCTAAAGCAATGAAATGGCTAAAATCATGTTATTTTATGATAACAATTTTACAGTTGCTAAGAGGAAGACAGCTTTAAATCTCCCATATCTATTATAAATGACACTGAAATTATCATCCTTAGATTGAACAAGAGGGTGAAATATTTGTCACAATATAGTCTCTCCACCCTATCATCCTGAGAAGAATGCTATGACTAAAATTAGAGTGCATGCAGCATTACTTAATTTCAGTCTTTTGCAGAAGGAGGAGAGAATTGGGCCTGAGGAGATAAATAGAGATCAGAACAAAGGGAAACTAGTCAGTTCATGTGAGTCTCTCAGCACCCTGGGTGGTAAGCCCACAGTCATCCAAGAAACAGTTGCCAGGCTTAAAACTCAATTTAGGGGTGTTGGTGAATTGCGTTAAAGCTTATATTTTGTTTTTCTTGTGAAGAAAAAAGAAAAATATGTTTCATTTATCAAACACAAGTCTGCTTTTTTCAGAGGTTTTGTTCTGAGGTTCTGCTTTAATTTCACATTCCGTAATGTGTTCAAGTAGCCCTTAAAAATGATGTTGACCCAATTTTACAGCAATAACTTAAATCTCACATGAAGAATCTCAGCAGTATAATCAACGTCGTCTATCTCCAAATGTCTCGACTTTGTAAGAAAATATAATAGAGCATGAGTCATACTTTTAGTGCTTCCACATATTTCTCTTGTTTTAAAGAGTAGTTTTGGGTTTGAGGATAGACAGGTAGCAGAGTGAGCAAATTGCCTTAGTAGCAAAACTACAAGGAAATATTTAATTGTCTGTAAAAAGAATAGCTTAAGATGCACTTGTATTGCATAGCCACTTCACATTTATTATGCAGTCTTGAGACAATAGAAGAATGCACTGATTGGGTATTGCTGTTAATAAGAGAACAAAAGTTACCCTTCATCAAGTGTTTCTAATAGAAGCTTTGCTATCATTTGGAGACTTCCCCATTTTTACAAAATTGTGGATTCTTGATCATGTTAAGAAAATTAAACAACGTGGCAGTATTATCACATTTTTGTTTACATATTTATATGCTTAAATATTTTTGAATACAGAAAGACACTGTGAATGAAAATATAGCTGTATTAATATAGATACTTTAATGCAAGTAATTAGGATTTGCATTGTAATGAATATTGTAACTAAATTCATAAACCAGTATTTTTCTTTGTTATTATTTATTTTTTCCCCTATTCCTCTCCTAGGGAGGGATAGTGTATATTGCATGTGCTGATTCATATTTTTTCCAGGAGCTTTGTGCCTTCATTTGACTGATATTTGAACTCTTGGACATGCCTTTTTTTCTAATAACTTTTAAACTCAGACTCTTACTAAATATTGGTAGGGTATTTTGTAATCTTTATATTAAATAATAGTTTATTTAAAAATGTGTTCACGAAAAAATTGATTAAAATACACTATTCAATCTGCATAAAGTATTCAATTTTTCATGATGGATATAAGCTAACAAAATAAAAATAATGTCAATGGAAATGAAATGAAAATATAAAGAAGCCACATATATAAAGAAGAAAATATAAAATTGAAATGAAATGAAAATATAAAGAAGCCACAATAATACAGAATCCCAATATTAAGATTCCCAAGTATGACTTTAATGAAGATGATTAGTTGGTGTGTAAAGTTATTTATCTGAATGGTATTTAATAGATTACATATGAAGAATTGTGAGAAGCAATTAAAAAAATACTTTTATTTGCCCAAACTTCTCCTAAACCCTGAATGAGAAAGGAGGAGGGTTCACCATTCTTTTTCAGTGGGATGCCTCCTCCTCATCCCCTTTTATAATATTGCAAGGAAAAGCCATATTTTCAGGTGTTTTAACAAAGGAAATAAAAGAGAACTATCAAAAGAACTTAAATTCATCTAGGCTGTTTTCAGAGACAATGTTGATCATTTTACATGGGAAAACTATGAATATAATGCAAATATGCAGGCAAAATAGATAAAGTAAATAACATATATTTTATGTATTATAATAGTCTTGGAATATAAGTTATTGAAAACAGATGGCAGTATTCTTCAAAAGCAATGTGACTTTGGTAATTGACATAGCTAAATGGAAAATTAGTGCATCCCAAACTAAAACTGTCAGACAATTAACCAAATCCATCTACATATCAGCTTCTCTGTTTAACAGTGTTCCAGCTCACACATTCTGAATAGGTGTAACTCATATCCTCCATCTTTGCAATAATACTCAATAAGTATCTTTCCAACAAATAGTAAAGATAAAAAGGAGTCTGTTGACCCTTTTTGAGAATATCTGAATTTGGGCCAAAGCATACATGTGTCTATATGTTTTGGGAGATAGTGAGTCTGTATGTGTGTGTGTGTGATCACTGACATTTGGTATTTTGCTTTAATTATTGGGCTCATTTTTCTCTCTTTTGGGAGCATAGATATAGCATACTTTTCAAAAAGTTTTTATATATTTATAGATTTAAAGTCCCTACTTAAATATTTCCTGGATTCAATTTTTATGACACATTGGTAACTAGCCAGATAAAATGCTAATTATTTCAGAACACTGTGATAAGTGCAACAAAATTATTACACATATACTCTCTATATAAAATTATTACACTCATTACATTACATATATAAAAGCCCGTTCTTGCTCTCTCTCTCTCCTGTTCACAGTATTCAGGAGGAACAAGTACTGTATTACTTGAGTCAGAAGCCAAGAAACAGAGGAAGTAGAAACAAAAACAAATAACTGAAGAGTCTCCTAATGGTACACAGTGATGGGCAACATGACAATTTTCCTATAATAGAAGTCTCATTTCTTATAATCACGATAGAGTGCATTTGATAAATAAAGTCAAATCAAAAAATTTAAAATTCAAGTAAAGAAAATCTTATCAGATAACTACTTTTTGATGCTTGTGTGATTGGCAATAAATTGATATTGAATACCAGTGAAGGGGAAAAATGCATGTAATGTTTTCTACTTGTGTATTATTTGTAGCTTCGGATAATTAAAAGATGCCTTATGATGAGTTTAAACAGTTTATTATAAACCTTGTGTAACGATAAATTTACAAGTTTTAAAATAGAATTTAATAATATAATAGTGAATACATATTAAAGTATACTACTAAATATTCTGAATGATTTGTTGCTTCAAATTCAGGAATTTCATTTCTATTTTCAAATCTGTGACACAGAAGTATGTAAAAACTTTCAAATCCAAGATAAACATTTTCCTTTCATCTTTGACTAATCTATACAATGAAAATCCTCTTGAAAAATTTGTATATGATTTACTTGTGCCAGATGTCGGCCAAGTGCCTGGGCCCAGACCACACTAGCAGGACGGACAGAGACTCTAGAATATGAATTAGCTGATGAAGATAATAATGGAGCCCTTCATTTAGATATATACCTCCTCAGAACAGGGAGATCCCTGGGCAACTTGTAGTCAAACCAATAGTTGCATTATTTCTATGCCTCTATGAACTCTGAGGACATGGCAATGGCTTTCTAACCATAAAAGAACCATAAAAGAACTAAATATGACAGTAATGAGTAGAATCTATTTAATAAGCAATTTCTTCTAGGAATAATAATTACCAATTTCAAATCTGTAACTCAAGGAAACTCTATAAAGAGTAATGAAGGTTTCTGGGTTTTGCCTCCTGCCAACATTTTTAAAAGTCTAACAATAGTCTCTGAATAAATTTTGTAAAGACCCTAGTGAAAATCATTTTCACAATATGAGGTCTAAGTGGGAAAAATAATAGGAGGGCTCTAGCTGATAAGAAAACGGAAAGCTATTGTTCTAATATAGAATTTCCCAATGTGAATTACTCAGAACACTATTCTGTAGGTTAATAACCATTACTAGAAACAAAAATAATTCAGTGGTCAAATATGTTTATGAAATGGTCTGTTTAAAAGAAATAATTTACCTTTCTATGAATCTCCAAGAAGAAAATAGGAAAGATTTCTGAAACTTAATTTTTGGCAATGGGATCCTGCTTTCCTTCACAGAATGTGGTAGAACTAAAGTTCCACTGAATGTATTTTGGGTAATACTTACTTAAATGATAGAGCCAACCAAACAGAAGTGGATATCTGAAGATAAATTCACTCAGCTGCCCTTAGATTTGGTTAGAAAATTTTCACTCTGGTGGAATAATCTGGATGCCATAGGCTTTTCTCTGGTGGTCTCTTCTGACCCAGTGACTCAGAGTCCATTTTCTTGGGATTCATCAATTGAAATTTGCTTTATGACTTCCTTCAGAAATAGTTTTCCCAGGGTTATGCTTTGTCTGATTTTTCACAACACAGATCCGAGAAAGAGCCTTTTTTCCTTAGCCTTCAGAGAGGGTATATTCCATTTCAACTAAAGTAGCACTTGGTGCCAGACATTCCAGCCAGGAAAATGTAATCCGGGATGGCTATGGAATTGGGGATCTTTGGAATACATGAGACGAATGAGTTAAACTGGGAAAGTCATCTGGACAAATACTCTTGTGTTACTCCTACTAAGCCTGGCATAGTGGAAAGCAACAGAATTTGCAAGCAAAAAAAAAAAAAAAAATAGGAGGTCTAAATCTCAACTTTGACCATTGGTAGCTCTGTGAATATGGGCAATTTATATAAGTTTTCTAAACCTCAACTTCCTCATTTGTAACAATAAGGCAACAATGCCAACTTTAAATACGTGAAAACATTAAATAAGATAATTTCACATGGAAGATTCTGGTATGTATTGGGCATTGAATAAATGGTATTATTATTAGTGAAATAGAATGCAAAAAAAATTCTTTTAAATTCTCTTGCCCCACCACAGTTTTTTGAACCTATGTCTTCCCAATCCTTTCTCTCATTTTGCACTTTCCCTAGAATCATAGACAATGATTCATAGCATAAGATGTTTCTTTTTTCCACAGCAATTTTCTACTCAGTGGAGGATATCTGATGATGGAAAACACTTACAGACAGAAGCAAATTCATTTCTCATGATGGATTTTCAAATACTGTAATGTGAAATAATATTAGGGAACCTATTTTTAGTTGGGCAATCTCCCCAGTATTAAATTTGTATCATTAAATCCCAATCTGTGGGATATTAAGTCCTCACAAAGCTAACCCTTGATCCCACATCCAACTCTCACATTTCTAGGACCTCTTGAACCTTTTAATCCAATGCTTTTGATAACGGACATTAGCAGCATATCATCCATTGTTTTTCCTGCGATTTTTCATTATTCCATCATGCTGTTCAAGCATGGAGAATAAGTCTTATTTTACACTGATTATGTTCAGTTTAAAATACTTATCAAATTTTAATCTTAGTTTTCATTTCACGTCTTTATTCTTTCTCCTACTATGACAATATAAAATAAAATGAATCACATGTCATTAGCACTAATTGTGAACAGCAAAAATTTGTGTGAAATCCAGGTCTGTTACTAAATTCACACAGTGGTTGCTCACATTGAAATTTTACATAAATGTAAATTTTAAAAATGAGATCATTTAGTAACATTTAAATGTTATACACTGCAAAATTGCTAATATTCAGTGCCCCCTGCTGATTGAAGTTATTTGCTATAAAATATTTTAATGATTTTTCCTATTATTGGCCAAGCTTTGTCATGTGTAATTTTACTAACAGCTCTAGCCAAGATGACTACACTCATCTGTGTTTCCTTACAGGTTGCTATTACCTGTCTCATGTTCTGTGCATGAAAAATGCAGTTTTGTTTGTTGTGTTTTCCCAAATGAGTTGTGCAATAGTAAATTGCAGAGCTCTTATTCATGCTGCTCCCTTTGACTTGTATGCTTTCTCTCCAGCCTCTTTCTCTGTTTTGCTAAGTTAATTGCTACTTGACCTTCAATAACTCCTCTAGGAAGCTTCTCCTGACACATTCAAACTGGGTTAAATGCTTCCTCATGTGCTTTCCTACCATTTAGTACTTACTTGCATTATGGTTTTTATATACTTTGGAGATTCTCCCTTTGCTTATCTGTCTCCACAGATTTAAGCATTTTAAAACCTTGAGCCATGTTTTATCCACTACTGTGTCTGTGTCCTCAAAGTCTAGCACAGCATCTGGTCCTTTAGAAATCTTTAAGAAATGTTTGTTCCATTAATAAATGTAGAAATAAATGTCTTTGTAGAATTGTGGAATCCTAATTGTGAGAGGGGTTCATGTTCCCCTTCTAAACATGTCACATGTACAGCAATATCTCTGGTGGTAGGATACGTAATTTCCGTTACAACAATTGTGATCATTTCAAACATATTATAGAGCTCATCTCATTTCTAAAATGTTTAGATTATAAACTTCTTTTTCATAATGTAGATCCAGAATCTAACTGGTTGATATCTTTGAAAATATTCTCATTTCTGTTTTCTACTAAATTAAAAAATAAATATAGTTTTGTATCGATTTAGGATTTTGTCATATCTGCACAGAGTAATTAATTCCTAATAATTTGTCTTGTTTTAGACTAAACCTTATTAGATATTTTAATAGTCCTTGTATGATATGTAATAAGGTCCGAAGTCAGCTTTTCTGTGGCTTGAACCCTAACCCTTTTATTCAGAAAAGGCTGAAATAGAGAAAAACCCAGAAATTATAAGAATGAAATTCCATCCAGAATCTGGCCAAATATCTTGTGTCCCCATTCAAAAACAAAAAATAAAGAATTATAACAATAAGAAGATCCAGCCTTATCATCATTTAACAGAGACCAGAGAAAGCCTACTTCTAGAGCTGTTGAGCTGAAGATCAAATGCAGAGTACAAGGTAAGAAAACTGAGGACAATGATCAAAAACTGGCTACAAAATAGTACATAGAAAATACAATTGTAGATCTCAGAAAAGACTAATTTGTTGCTTTTGAAGGCCTCTAAGCTGTTTTGTCTCTTGAGGATTCATTCTTCTTATAACATGTTTGTAAGATCTCATCTCCCACAATTTCCCAGTGGAGAAATACACATGTGATAAACTAAGTTTGACCACAGCTTGTGTTAGTATATTGTAATCTGTCTCCTTGCTCAGATTCCATTTTCATTATTCCTTCTCAGTTTAACTGAATTCACTGTTTATGATCAAACTGTGACAGGATGTACATATACATGAAATTGCTTTCATAGTACACTTGTATGACATATTATCTTCTATATATTAAAAATTAATATAGGGAAAGCATTCTTATCATTTTTAGTAATATAAAAGAAATATGGACATTTTTCTAATAATTGAGAAATATAAAAAATAAACTAATCAGGCTTACAAATAGTCCTCCAAACATATGTAAAGTACAAAGCACTCAATAAATGTGCAATAACAACAGCAAGCATTTACAATAAACATGACAGATAGAGCTTATGGTATTACGGTATTAGTATATCAACTTGATGAGCTACATATTTTTATAGACTCTATTCTTTGGATAATTTTTTTGACAAATTTAATCTTTGTATAAAATTTATAAAAACCATTTGGAAAGACTGTTGAGTTAATCTATTTAGTGAGTTATACTGAATTAATTTTACTTCTCTGGCAAGCATTTTCACTGATGCTTTGAATCTATAAACACATTAAAATTAGTTGTTTTTTTCTTTTACTGGGCAAAACAATTCCATAGCTAATGAGGTTTACATTTTACACTACAAAAGGTTTTCACATGAAAAAGGCTAATGTTTCAGCAGATGATAAAGACAACATATGGGTGGAAAAACGTGTACTTTTTTTTGACTCTCCAAAATATTTTTACATATTTTGGAAAAAGAAGTTGAAATTACCCATTTTTCTCAGTGAGTTAGACCCTCAATGCCCAGTAGAAATTAAAATGCTTCAAAATAATTCTGAATATTTTAAGGCACTAAAATAAGCAAACTAGAATTATTTCTTATATCTTAATAATTACACAGTGGAAGGCGGTTTTTCATTGCAAAATAGTTGGCTTAGAGTCTAAACAAATATCAAAAGTTTACTCATATTTAAAACATAATTAAGGAAGTTGCTTGTTTAGTAAAGAAATACAATAAGGAAAAAAACCCATGCAGCACAGAGGAATCATGCTTTTGTCATGCATCTTTTTTTATATCCACTGACACATTACTGGTGAATGTTCCTTACTTAGTTCAACCTGACTTCCTACCAACAAACAACGTGTAATTGGGATGTTCATAGATTGATACTGGATGAGTTTAATAAAGGGTTCTACTTCTGCACATCTCTGAAATTAAAACAAAAGGCACCAAGCCTACAATTAAGAGCCGGAGATAACATGTAATTTACCAGAGCCCAATAGCAGTTTTTATGTTACTCCATTGTACTTCATATATTGGCCTATTTGCTGTAGATTCTGCCCTGGGAAAGCTGAGAGTTTCTATTTGCTGAATTGGGGTGTCATTTTCTGTGACCTCTGAGTGTTAGTGATAAAAGCTATACTGTTGGGGAAACATAGGCACCATGTTGCCTTTTTTACTGTTAGAGATGTCATTTGCTTCTCACAACAGAAAAGCCTGTGGGTTGCACCACAGCCGAGACACAGTTTGTCAAACATCCTTAATCAGTAAATGCATCAGAGTATAGTCACGCTTGGAGCATCTTTTCCAACACTATGAATCACACGTTATTTAGTAAAACACTCTGCCAAAGACATCATTGAAATAATTTGATGGAGGAAAAGAACAATATTACATAAATCAAAGGAATGAACAGCAAAAATTTAAATTTACTTGTGTCAGCCTACTTGCTGTATGCAGTAAGTAATTTGTATGTGCAATTTTCTATTAAAGAAATACCAAGCAACTGAGATGATTTCATTGAACTGCATATACTCAAATTTAATAGTGTAAAAACAGGTAAATTTACAGCCAAAGAATAAGCCATAATATCATAAGAGGATAAAAATTTATCTTTAGTTTTGAAAATAGCTCATATAAAAATGCACATTGTGGAAATGTATCAAGATAAATCATGTCTAAACAGATTTAGAATACTTACATTTTTAAATTTATACAAAAATTACAGAAAATAAGCATTCATCATTTTATACTAACTGTTGAGCAATGGATTATAAAAGTCTTAAGTAAAAGTAAAAAAAAATATATGATTTTGAATAGTTTGTTATTAAAAAATTCAGGTGATACAGGCTTAGTAGGCTAGAACTTTCAGTTGAAAGTGTTCTCTCTATATAAGGGCTTATTTAAAAATATATTTCTTGCTAAATTGCTACTGAATCTGGGTTTTTGGATTTTGGGTTTCTTTTTACATTTACTTCACCTTTTATTCCAAATGCTGTATATGGTTATGTACAACAAGATGATACACAAAAAATAAAAACAAATAAGTATGTATTATTATAAATATATAAATGGAACATGGGAAGGAATTATATATGTGGGGAATACTATGAAAATAGAATATATAAAATTACTCTAGAAAAAATGCATGTGATAATGCCCTTGTGATACTAAAATTCAACTGTAAATTTTGTTCTGAAATTTCTGCAGATTAAAACAAAAAGTGAAATGAGCTAGGATATAAATTTACATTGTATGTTGTCTAAGTTTCATACCATAGATGCATTACAAGGAAGCATAAAAATAATGTGAGAAAATAAATCCCAAATAAAGCAGATAAAACAAATATGTAAACATAATAAACCCATTGTGATAAACTCACTTAAAATATCGAAGTTTTCTTTTGCAGTTGATGAAAAAAATTTGACTCAGTCTATGACATGATACACCAATATTAAAGAGCTGAAGCTGTAAGTATGGGAATTAATATATGATCTTACATATACCAAAATGTTTGACTTATTGAGATTGCACACCACATAATCCTTTGTTATTCTTAAAACAAGCCTGTATAATTTTCCGGGACAGAAGTATGTCATGGTGTGCTAAGGCTGGTAAGTATATTTTGGAATGATGGTAAAATGTATACAACTTTTATAGCTGATCAAATTTTCTGTTTTTTCTTTTGAGCCACAATTAAATCAATAAATGTTTATTTTCTAAAATATTTTCAATTTTTCATAAGTTTGCCTATATATGGGCATATAATTCATTTTATTATCTTATACATTTTAAAACACCTACTCTATGGTTTGCAAATATTTTATCTCATTCTGTAGGTGGTCTTTTCACTGGTGATTGTTTCCACTGTTGTACAGAAGCTTTTTAGCTTTTTAGTTTGACGCAATCCCATTTGTCTATTTTTTTAAATTTTTTAATTTTTTATTTTTTGCTGGTGCTTTTGGTGTCATATTCAAAAAATATTTGCCAAGACCAATGTCAAGAAGTTTTACCTATGTTTTCTTTTAGTAGGCTTATAATTTCTGGTCTTATATTTAAGTTTTTAATCCATTTTGAGTTGATTTTTGTATATGGGGTGAGATAAAGATCTAATTTCATTCTTCTGCTTGTGGATATCCACTTAACCAACACCATTTAATTGAAGAGACTCTCTTTTTTCCATTGTGTGTTCTCGGCCCTTTTGTAAAAAGATCAGGTAACTGTCAACTCATGGATTTATTTCTGGGCTCTTTACTCTGTTTCTTTGATGTATAAGTCTGTTTTGACGCCAGTCTCTGCTGTTTTGATTACTATACCTTTGTAGTACATTTTGAGAACAGCAAGTGCAATGCCTCCAGCTTAGTCACTTTTGTTCAATATTGCTTTGGCTATTCAGGGTCGTTTGTGGTTTCGTACAAATTTTAGGATTTTTTCCACTTCTGGGAAAAATGTAATTGGAATTTTTATAGGGATTGCATTGCATTGAATCTGTAGATCACTTTGGGTAGTATGGACATTTTAACAATATTAATTACTCCACTCCAGGAACACAAAATATCCTTCCATTTATTTGTATCTTCTTCAATTCCTTTCATCAATGTTTTATGGTTTTCAATATACACATCTTTTACCTTCTTGGTTAAATTTATGGCTAAGTATTTTATATTTTTGTAGCTATTTTAAATGGGATAATTTTCTTGATTTGTTTTTTGGAGAGTTTGTTGTTATTGCATATAAACACTACTGATATTTGTACATTACTTTTGTATCTCAAAACTTTATTGAATTCATTTATTATTTCCAACAATTATATATATATATATATATATATATATATATATAATCATTTTGTCTGTAAACAGAAACAATTTAACTCCCTTATCTATGAGTTGGATGTTTTTTATTGTTTCTCTTTCCTAATCACTTTGGCTAGGATTTCCATTATTATGTTGAATAGAAACGGCAAGATTGGGCATGCTTATACTGTGCCTGATCTTAGAGGAAAAGCTTTAACTTTTCACCATTGCATATTATGTTATGTGGGCTTGTGATACACGACCTTTATGGTGTTGAGGTACATTGCTTCTATAACTAATTTGTTGAGAGTTTTTATCATAAAAAATGTTGAATTTTGTCAAATGCATTTCTACATCTATTGAGATGATCATATGGTTTTTGTTCTTCATTCTGTTAATGGGGTGTATCACATTTATTGATTTGCATATGGTGATCCATTCTTGAATCCCACCTGATCATAGTGAACCATCCTTTTAATGTGCCATTGAATTCAGTTTGCTACATCTGGTAGGGGTTAATATCCAAAATCTATAAGGAACTTAAACAAATCAATAGCAAGAAAATAAATAACAGAATTAAAAATGGACAAAAGACTTAGATATTTCTTAAAAGAAGACATACAAATGGCCAATGCAGATATGAAAAAATTCTCAACATCACTAACCATCAGGGAAATGTAAATTAAAACCGCAATGAGATATCACCTCATACGTATTAGAGTGTATTTTATCAAAAAAGCAAAAGATAATAAGTGTTGGTGGAGACGTGGAGAAAAGAAAACACTTGTTCACTATTGGTGGGAATGTAAATGGGTAAAGTCGTTATAAAAAAACAGCATGGAGGTTCCCCAGAAAATTAAAAATATGATCCAGCAACCTCATTGCTGGGTATATATCCAAAAGAAGTGAAACCAGTGTTTTGATGCGTTATCTGCATTCCCATGTTCATTGCAGCACATTCACAGTAACAAAGATATGGAATCATGTGTGGTGGTTTTCTCAAATGCTGCTTGCCTTAGCAATGTGTTGGGCATATGAGCCAATACACTATGCCCTGCGTGACTGGGAATGCAGCGGTCTCAGGAAGCTTATCTCATGCACTAACCCTGTGCTCTTCGGACAGCAGGGATTTTTATTCAGTGATGCAGCAGTCTCCATTCCAGTAGGTGGCGCTTAAGAGTAACATTTGGTAGCCCTTTGATAAGTGGAGGCAACCCATCCTGATGGGGGCAGGCAGGGAGAGTTGTGTTGGGATGTACTGAGGTCTTGGGGGAAGAAGTTGGGGGGTTACATCTGTCTCTAGTCCTGGGCAGGGAGGAATGTGATTTGCTTCCCTGTTGTGCCCCTGTCACAGAGCTCATGACCTTCAGTTCATATAGACAGTGTCCTTTGACTCTGGCCACAGTGTTACTGAGGTCAGAGAAAATATTCTGGCAGAAGAATATTTTGAAATGACCCCAGGACTGAAATGACCCCAGGACAATGCTTCTTCTTCCAGTCCAGACCAGGCTTCATGGCTTGACTGCCTTCTGTTGCTGCGATGCTGCTCCTCTATGTACGGAGGGGGAGATTGGGCCCTGCCCATCATGCATGCCAGTGGGGTACAAGCTCACTTTCAACGGGGGTGCAGTTTCTGTGAATAGCACTGGAAAGGCTGTCTTCAAGTGCATTCGTGACAGTCTGCAGTGGAGAAAGCCTCTGCTGCATCTGGAACAGTGGACAAGGGGAATGGGAGATGACACCCCCCCACCCACCCCCCTCCACACACACACATCTATTCCTGGTCATTGGTGCTGCCTCCTTCAGAGATCCGCACTGGACCCATGTTTCCTTTGTCACAAGGGGTGCTTTTGTGGGCTATGCTCCCCACTCCCTTAAGGGTGGCCTGTGTGGAAGGTTACATCTCCAGGGATTCTGCAATTCCTCATGGTTCCACCAGTCCCCGTGGTTGCCAAGTCAGAGCAGGTTCTTGGGTACATTTGCAGGGAATCTGGCGATGCAGTGACACAAAGGATGAGGTTCCCTGAGCAGGACAGTGGCCCACAATAGGGGCACAACCAGTATGGTTTCTGCCATCTCAGTTTGGACCTGAGAGGAATGCAAGCACATCTGTATAAGAAGGCCACCTGGGGCTCTATTCCCAGGAAGTTCCCAAATTGCCACTGACAGCATTGCAGGGGTTAATGAGGGCAGAGGTGCTCCCCAATAATTTGTCAGTCAGCAGTTTGTCACAGGAATGAGTGGAGCAAAGAAACAGCACACTTACTCCCTCTGTGGGACTTCAAATTCCTCGGAGGTCAATCTCTGCCAGACTCTTGCTACCTTCCTTTTCTGTGTCCCAGCTTTTTCCTGTGGGCTCTGCAACAGTCCCGGCTCTCTTCCTTTAGCTTTCTGTTCACATCATGACCATTCAGTTGTAACTTTGATCTTTCTGAGAACTGGCATCTGATGTTTCCAGTCAGTCATCTTGAGAAAATAAGATCAGTCTCGCAAAAGAAAAACATCTTACCATTTGTAATAACATGGATGACCAAGGAAGACATTATGCTAAGTGAAATAAGCCAGGCACAGAAAAACTTAATTTTACCGTCAAGAATAATGGTTACTTATATGAAGCAATTTAATGAATTTAAATAACTACTAAACAAATGAGAATGCAAGATTCCAAAGTTAGCTAATTTATTTACATTCTCTCCTTCTTGAAAGACGATAAAATCATGCTGAGTTTGAACCGGCAGTCTCATGAACTCATCAGCTTCTTCACTAGATTACTGGATAGCTTGACTCAGTCCATGGTATGTTGTCAATATTATCTTAACAATTCCTCAGAAGTCTGTGCCCCATACTGCCTGGCATAGACCTTTTCCTGGGTCTCTGAGACAGTCCCTTCTTGTTGAAGACAAAGTACTCCGGTTTATAACCAAAGTACTCTGGCTAAGCACGTTAAGGGAAGCATTAGAGTGAAACAAAACTACCTGTGAATGGCAAAGAGAAAATAGCCATGGTTAATGATATAATGAGTTCAACAAAAATATTCCAATTGACATGGAAATTTGGTTGCTTCTGTGGCATACAACATAAAAAAAAAGTGAAGTTGACCAATAACACTACACTGTTGTCTTATATCAGGCAAAACTATAGCACGATATATCATAGACAGCATGAACATTGACAAATCTCAAATAACTTCATACAATTTGTCAAATATTTATATTAGTAACATTTTATTCATACAAATTTAAACTAGGAAAGGTCAGGCATTTCTTCTGATTTGACAATACTTCCTATGTAACTCATAACATTTCAATAATTTGATATATTATTCTAGCCCCTCTCTTTTAACAAGATGAAAGAGCCTTTGTAATTTTCCAGGAATCCCCCAGGAAATCTCAAAGCTTGAGATCAGGAAGATATTATTTAGGATTTGATTTCTGGAAGACAAAATATCAAAAGTTGTCAGGAGATTTCAACAGTTGATCAAATAAAATCATGGGTTGCTGAAAAACAATATTTGGCTTCTTATTTAATCAAATGACTATACAAAATTTCAGAAGTAAATATAGGAGGTAATATGACTTTATAAAACCTTATTAGCTTTTAAAATTGACAAGACTCTGTTCTCCTAAATAATCAAGGGCATAGTAAAGTCAACATAAAGCAGGGGAAATAATTCTGATAATAAAAGATCTTTAATTTCTAGACAGATTATTCTGAAGGTAAAGAAGAAATCTATTTTTTTCATAACCTCTCATTAAGAACAGACTAATAGTCCAAGTAAATTCTGTTATTTTAACAGAGAGTAAACCAAATTCTAATTTTGGACCATATCATATTTGACACTAAGTCTTTTTTTAATCTTAAAAATAAACCCATATAATCATAGTTATCTTTGACCACAACAAATACAATTCATTTTCCACGAACATTGTGCTACTTTTCCCTTCCACTTTGTTCTATTCCATTTTTCTTTTCCATTCAGATTTTCCTGTTTCATTCTGTAAAAACCAGTGATTTTATTTACAATAAAATTACTTATTCTGTAACAAGACATCCTTCATTCCTTGAATACTTAATTTTAGCATAAGCATAAGGTTTTAAAGTACCAAAAGATCTTTAAGACTATCTTCAAGCTGATACACTAAGAGCATAATTATTGTTGAAATGAAGTTTTACTGGAGTAAGCTCTAAACCAATCAAAACAGCAGTATTTGAAGGGATTTTTATAATCTAATTTGGTAATACTGTGTGGAGGCAGGAAACTATTACATATATATACATAGTACATAAACACACATACAGACACAAATAGAGAGCTTGTAGCTTCAATTATAAAATGTTAGCCATGAGTCAGAAACAAACACAGAAATACAAAATTCAGTGGTTGATATATAAGATCTAGCTCTTGTCCTGGCTCCACTTTTACATTTTTGCCAGGATTGGGTTTCTGTCGGATGGACAAGTTGTGCTTGCTTAGTTGATCTAGATCCTGTTGCTCATTGTAAAGAAAGCCAATCACTGAGATGTGAGTATTGCTAGGGAAGAAGACTTTAACTGGGTGCTGCAGCTGAGGAGAAAAAGAGATCAATCTTAAATCCACCTCCATGACCAACTAAAATCACGGGTTTATATAGCAGGGAAAACATGTAACTACATGCAGGAAAACAGGAATCAGGGAGGACTACAGAAGAGAAACTGGTCAACAGGAAGCAGGTGGTCACTTAGGCATTCATGATGGGTGAGGTGTCTGATGTCTCATTGTCCAGATGCAATGATCTGGTAAGTTTCAGTCCCTTGATACAATCTGGGAGGCCTGATATTTATTTTTCTGAGAAAGAAATTCTGATAAGACAAATTTTCTCAAGTTTTAAGACCGGGAGGGTCAATTTCTATGTTTACTCAAAAGCAACCATAAACATCAGTTCTATGGGACAATTAGGTCAGTTTCAATTACATACCATATGCCCATTAAAGTAACAATTACATCCACTATTTCATCATTTGGGTTGTTGAACTCAAAAAGTTTGAGAGCATTCTGTGGGGAAATATGTATTTTTATACATAAATGGTGGGAAGTAAAACTAATTTCACTTTGATGGTCACTTGCCATATCTATTAAATTGAAATGCACATTTATGTGATGCAGCAAATCTTCCATTTTATTTATACCAGTCAACAATTCTCACCTGTAGAAAGGAAGGTGTACAGTGCTGTTTGTTGCAGCATAATTTGTAAAAGAAAAGCAAGAAAAATAGGAATATTCACTAAAGGGGAACTAATTAAATCCATTATGGCTCAAACAATATTCTGCAACCTTTAATAAGAAACAGATATATTTATTGTTAAGGTAAATATGCAAGTGTAAAAGGGGAAAGAAAATGCTTTCATTTGCACACTGTGTGTATGTGTGTGTATGTATGTGTGCACATGCATATCTGTGGATGAGTGACAAAAATCTGTTTGGATGATTACCCAAAACCTTGGTAAAAATACTTGCCAGCAGGAAGTGGAACCGTGGATTTAACACTCTACTAAAGGATAAGGCATTTCCTTTTCACTGACATTACTTTTCACTGTGTTGTTCTTTGCAATTTTATCTTGTGTATGATCTCATTTAATATGTATGCTATTGATATTTCCTTTAGAGTCTTTAAAAAAAGAAAAAATGAAATAGTAGTGTAGTTACATTATGTAGAGAAACGGAAATAAAAAGGAAAACTAAAATAATCAATATAAATTTTAAATGTTTGATTTACAAAGGCATCAGCAATGGGAAACAGGGCAGGGGAATCTTTATTTTGTTAATCTTTCTATACTAGTTAATAAAAATCCATATGCCTGGTTAGCTAATTTGTTTTTAATCATTAAGAAAATATCAAACAACATACTGCCTTTGTTTAAAGAAAAACTATCAAACATTGTAGTTTATTTTAAAAACTATACAATGAAGTAATGTTAGAAAGGGGGAAAATCAGAAAAACGTGGGGAAATCATTACTCAAATAAGTCCACAAAATCCAGACAAAGCAATTATCAACTGATTTTAGAGTTTAATTTTGCTTTGCAAAACTCAATTTGAATACAATGATCTCTTCTCCTAATACCCCATATCGTTATTTGGTGCATAAATGATTGAAAAAAATTAAAACTTTATTGTAAATCAGTTGACATATTGTTTTATTACCTATTGAATAAAATATGCATTTAACTGTTTGTTACAAAATCTTAAATCTATACACATTTTATGAAATCTCTGTCCCAAATTTCTTGGTACCAATGGAATTGTTCAACATATTTTATTGCACAATTCTATAAATACATTATATTAACTATGCCACTTTCTTAATTTGAAAGATATTTTATCCATTGTTCTTTTAAAATTAAATATATTCATTTTTATAGCTGGTCATTTTATTAATGGATATTTTTGTAACTGAATCTGACTGTGTTTACAGTGTTTCTTTTAATGGCATAAGCATAAAGACTTTTTTCTTTCAAGTATTGATTTTTCACTTGCAAATTATTTACTATACTTTTATCAGACTTTCTGCACTCCTTTGTTACCTCAAATTAATTACAAATTCAGTTGTGACAAGGATGACAGTTAGTATTGGGTAGTTCTTGGAGCACAGAACAAATGAACCTCTTGTTTGGTTGTGTTTCATTTTAATATATTTTTTAAAATATTTCAGGAAAATACAGAATTTTTTCTTTAAGAAAAAAATTTTGTGTGTATTTTTAAAACACTAGTAAAGCTAGATTCTGTGGTGCAATCATATATTTGAATTGTTATGGATGTTTCTTTCAATGCCTAGTTATTGTATTCCTTGATATTTCAAGCAAAAAATCTAAGGAATACGATCTTTCTCAAGCAAGCCAAATGTGAAGGATAAAAGAAGAATGGCTTAAAAAGGAATATACCAGAACTTGTTTTTGCCCTTTCAAACTCAAAGGTTAGAGTGACAGCCCATTATTGGAATGGTAGGAATCCTGTGTCTGATGTGCTACCTAGGTGATATCCAGCTTGTAATTTTAAAAAGACAAAAGAACCTACTATTCCTTCATAGATGTAAATTAAAAATGTAAAATTGGCATTGAATGAACTAGACCTTTAATTTTTTAAATCTAAAACTATCTGGAAGCTCTTGACTAATAGCCCCAATCAAGCCCACAGAATTACTGAGAAATCATTATCAAGTAAATGGATCCTAACATCTGTTGTTTTTACTGCTGATCTTTTCTCTGCCAGCATATGAAGGAGACACTAGAAACAGGTGATACAAGGTCAGATAAAAAGAATTTTTTTCCAATGTCAAATCACTTTTCTCGAAACAAATTTTGTAAAAATAACAACATAGAGACTGAAAAAATATGATTTAAGACAATTACAACCCACCCCCATAATTCAATTACCTCCCACTGAGTCCCTTCCATGACTCATGGGGATGAACACAATTCAAGGTGAGATTTGGGTGGGGACACAAAGCCAAAAGCCAAACCATATTATTCCGTCCCTGGCCCCTCCAAATCTATGCCCTCACATTTCAAAAGCAATCATGCCTTCCCAACAGTCCACCAAAATCTTAACTCATTTCAGCATCAACTCAAAAGTCCACCATCCCAAGTCTAATCTGAGACAAGGCAGGTCCCTTCTGCCTATGAGCCTGTAAAATCAAAAGCAAATTCGTTACTTTCTAGATACAATGGGGGTGCAGGCATTCTGGTAAATATACCCATTCCAAATGGGAGAAATTGGCCAAAACAAAGGGTCTACAGGCCCCATGCAAGTCTGAAATCCAGCAGGGCAGTAAAATCTTAAAGCTCTGAAATAATATCCTTTGATTCCATATCTCACATCCAGGTCATGCTGATGTAACAGGTGGACTCCCATGGCCTGGGGCAGCCCCACCCCTGTTGCTTTGCAGGGTATAGCCTCCCTCCCAGCTGCTTTCACAGGCCGGCATTGTCTGTGGCTTTTCCAGGTGCACGGTGCAAGCTGTTGGTGGATCTACCATTCTGGGGTCTGGAGGACGATGGCCCTCTTCTCATAGCTCCACTAGACAGTGCCTCAGTGGGGACTCTGTGTGGGGGCTCCAACCCCACATTTCCCTTCCACACTGCCCTAGGAGAGGTGCTCCTGCAGCAAACTTCTGTCTGGACTTCCAGGCACTTCCATACATCCTCTGAAAGCTAGGCAGAGGTTCCCAAACCTCAATTCTTGACTTCTGCGCACCCACATGGTGCTCAACACCACATGGAAGCTTCCAAGGCCTGGGGCTTGGACTCTCTGAAGCCATGGCCTGAGCTGTACTTTGGCCCCTTTTAGCCATGGCTGGAGCTGCTGGGACACAGGGCACCAAGTCCCTAGGCTGCACATAGCAGGGGGGTTCTGGACCTGACCCAAGAAAATATTTTTCCCTCCTAGGCCTCTGGGCCTGTGATGGGAGGGGCTGCTGTGAGTTCTTCATGCCCTGAAGACATTTTCCCCATTGTCTTGGTGATTAACATTCAGCTTCTTGTTACTTATGCAAATTTCTGCAGCAGACTTGAATTTCTTCCCGGAAAATGGGTTTTTCTTTTCTATTGTATAATCAGGCTGCAAATTTTCCAAACTTTTATGCTCTGTTTCCTCTTAAACACTTTGCTGCTTAGGAATTTCTTCTGCCAGATACCCCAATCATCTCTCTCAAGTTCAAATTTCCACAGATCTCTAGGGCAGGGGCAAAAATGCCACCAGTCTCTTTGCATAGCAAGAGTGACCTTTAGTCCAGTTTCCAACAAGTTCCTCATCTCCATCTAAGACCACCTCAGTCTGGACTTTATTGTCCATATCACTATCAGCATTTTGGTCAAAGCCATTCAACAAGTATCTAGGAAGCTCCAACCTTTCCCATATTTTCCTATTTTCTTCTGAGCCCTCCAAGCTGTTCCAACCTCTGCCTGTTACCCAGTTCTAAAGTTGCTTGCACATTTTCAGGTGTCTTTTCAGCAGCACCCCACTCTATCGGTACCAATTTACTAAATTAGTCTGTTCTCACACTGCTATTAAAGACATACCTGAGACTCATAATTTAAAAAGGAAAGACATTTAATGGACTCACAGTTCCACATGGCTGGGGAGGTCTCACAATCATGGCTGAAGGTGAATGGGGAGCAAAGTCACATCTTACATGGTGGCAGGAAAGAGAGCTTGTGCAGGGGAATTGCCCTTTATAAAACCCTCAGATCTTGTGAAACTTATTAACTATCACAAGAACAGCACGGAAAAAAACCCACCCCTATGATTCAATTATCTCCCACTGGGTCCCTCCCACGACACATGGGGATTTTTACAATTCAAGTGAGGTGTGGGTCTGGGTTGGGACTTAGAACCAAACCATATCAGAGATATATGCAATACAATATGTTGAACAATCCCATTGATACCAATAAATTTGGAACAGAGAGTTCATAAAGTATACACAGGTTTAACTTTTTATAAAAATGATGAGGAGTTGGTAGGAGGGGGTATTTTTTGTTGTTAATTTAAGGACATCAAAATAAAATAATTGTCTATGTTAGTCAACCTGTGCTCAGCAGCTAGCCTTATTTTGTAGAGACCTGCTTTGGGGACAAATATAAATATCACACTATAGCTGACTATGTTGACAAGACAATGGACAAATCAATTGTGTCATATTTAAACAGAGTACATAATGCAGGGCTCTGAATTTGCAGAAAAGAAAATCATAGGGATTTACTGAATTTTGATAAAAGAAACAACCTTTAAAGTGGAATTTAAGCTTTTAAATATTATAAATCTTGCTGTTACTAGTAACCTCTGTTGCTGATTGCATAGCTAGCTTCCTTCCTTCCTTCCTTCTTTCCCCTTTCTGCCTCTCTATATCTGTGCTTTTTCTCCCCCTCCCTCTCTTTTTACTTTCATCATCATCCAATTTTCATGTGAAGAAACATCCCTACATATACCTTGTGATTTGGAAGGGTGTGACATCTGTCCCCACAACACCCATAGATGGCAACAAGGGGAAGTCCTAGCCCATTACAGAATCACATCACTGCCTCCAGGAATTAGTAAAGAAATCGCCACATGACTCAAGCCAAACAATAATATATATTTCTGGGAATTTTTCTGGTGATTATTTTAAGTGAGAAGCACTTTTCCCACTTGCCTCTGAAAAGAGTGCTCTTCTGAGAACGGAGACTATATAGGAGAAAGGAATCTGAGATATAACATCACCTGACAAACATTCTTTCATCTCTTTAAGGTTCTGAAACTGGTGCTTGTTCTCAATTTGTTGTAAGCTAATTTCTCTTCCTCTTAAGATAGTGTAATTTGTTTCCATGAGTTTTCTCCAAATAAAATATGACTAACTCCACAATATCAGAGGACTCTATTGTTTACTTTGCACAAGATTTTTACCACATTTTTGTTATGAAATATATAAAGTAGGAAATGTGTCTATATAGTGTAAATATGTTGATGTATTAATACTAATTATATTAATATTAAATATAAATGTGTATATATCAACCAGCCAACTTAAAATATAGAACATTGTAAGTGCATCAAATTTACCCTGCACGGAGTTTCTAGGTTGCAACTCTGTCCATTCTGGCCCCACAGATAACTAAATGTTCTTTCATTATTAACGGCTATCAGTATCTGGTTGTCCTCTAATTCTTGTACACTGCAGTTTCCACTTCTCAGGACCCATGTAGTTAGAGATGGCCATGTGACTAGTTGTATCCAATAAAATGTGAATAGAAGTGAGGTATATTTCTTTTTCAACAAAGGGATTCACTCTCTAGTATTCAATTCTCCAGCCCTATCATCTCCTTCTGTATTTATATATACATATATATAATGTTTTATAAATTATATGTGTATGTATATATATATATATATATATGTAGGTATGTATGCATGTATGTATGTATGCCACAAGTTCTAAATAGATTGGAAAAAGTAATCATCAGATGAACAACAAATGCTCTGGAACTCTGCCTGGAGATGTATCCAGCTATGTTTGATAGAGAAATAAACTTTTGGTATGTTAATCCTGCCACAATTTTTAAATCCTTTGAAACCTCAGCATATCCTAGCCTATATTAATATTTTTACAGCTATATAGAACTATAATTAGCAATATACTGCATATATTTAAAGTGAATAATTTGATAACTTTTGACATATATATATATATATATATATACACTCATGAAATAATCACCACAGTTAAGATAGTGAATATATCTATCATCTCCACCAATTTCCTCCTGGACTTTTGAAATCCATCCTTATCTTCTCCTCCTCCCTGTGCCCCTGCATCACTTCAAGCTACTACTGATTTGCTTTGTGGCATGATAGATTAATATGCATGATAGATTAATATGCATGTTCTATAATTTTTTATAAATTAATTATTACCATAGGTACTTATTTTAGTTTGGTTTGCTTCATTCAACATATTTACTTTGAGTATGTATAGGTAGTTCGCTCCTTTTTAATCTGTATGGATATAACACTTTGTTTATCCATTCACCTGTTGGTGGACATTGGAATTGTTTCCATATTTAGCTATTAAAAGTAAACCTGATAGGAACATCTGTGTACAATGAGATAGTCAGGTTATGTATTATTCTTCTGTTAGCTTTGGTAGTTGTGTCTTTGAAGGAATTTCTTCATTTCAGGAAATTGTCAAATTTATTGAAGGAAAGTTGTTCACAATATTTCATTTCCTTATTATGTTTTTAAAGTATGTGGGATCTATAAATGATTATTTTCTCTCTCATTCAGGAATTTGATAAGTTGTTTATTTTTCTTATTTTCCTTGAAGATTTTGGCTGAAGTTTTATTAATATGCCAATAAACAGCTTTTGGTTTTATTAATTTTGTCTATTTTTGAGTTTTCTAGTTCATTTATTTCTGCACCCATCTTTAAGATTTTCTTTTTTTCTGTTTAATATGGGGTTAATTTTTTTCTTCTTTCTTTATTCTGACTTTTTAAAGTGAAAGTGTAAGTCATAATTTAAGACCTTTTTAAAAAATATGCGCATGTAGAGCTATACATTTCTTTCTAAGCATTGTTTTAGCTGCATTCTACTAATGCCATGTGATGTTTTTATTTTCGTTAAGTGCTTTCAAAATATCACTTTTAATTTTTTCTTTGAACCATAGGTCATTTAAATGTGTGTTATTTATGGTTTTAAGGAGATTTTTCTAGATATATTTTTGATACTGATTTTAATTTAATTCTATTGTGGTCAGACAGCATATTTTAGGTGATTTTAATCCTTTTAAATTAATTCAGACATCTTTATGGTAAGTGTATCATATATGTTTATATATATTTAGGGTGCACTTAAAAATGTGTTCTGTTTTTAGTGAGTAGAGTGTTGTACAAATGTCAATTAGGTTGTTAGTTGATAGTGTTGCCGAAGTCTCGTAAATTCTTATTAGTTTTATAACTACTGGATCTTACAATCGCTGGCACTGGGTGTTTAAGTATATAACCATGATTGTGGATTTGTTTATTGCATGTTTTATTTTTATCAGTGCTTTGCTTCAACAATTTTGAAGCTCTGATATTAGGCACATAAACATTCAGGATTTTTGTCTTCTCTTTATGAATTATTCCTTTGTCATTATAAACTGGCCCTCTTTGTTCTTGTTAATATTATTTCTTCTGAAATTTGTTTTTTCTCTGATAGCAATATAACCAATTCAGTCTTGTTCAGAGTAGTGTTAGCATGATACATACTTTATAATCTTTTTACTTTTAAGTTATCTGTGCTTTTATATTTAAAGTGGGCTTCAACCGGGTAGCATAAAGTTGGGTCATGCTATTTATTATCCAATTTGCCAATATTTACCTTTTAATTGGAGCACTCTGATAATTTTCATTTAATGCAATTGAAGATGTTTGTGTTTCCATTGACTGTCTTGTTTGTTTTCTGTTTGTCTAAACTGTTCTTATTGCCTTTTTATTTTTCTCCCTCAGTTTGGTTTGAGTATTCTTCATAATTCCATTTTAACTCCTTTATTGGGATGTTAACTATGCATCTTTATTTTGTTTCTTTAGTGGATGCAATGATTCCATTTATATCAAGCCACTTGAATTGTCCTGCAATCATTGATGCTCTTTTCATTTTTAAAGTCTTTGGTATAATTTTATTTTGTATAGTTTCTATTGCTGTGTCTTAATGTTCATTAATATTTTCTTCTGCAGTGTCTAGATAGACTTTAATCCCATTCAGCGTATTTTTCATCTCTAGAAATTTATTTTTGTGCTCTTTATATATTTTTCTATGGTCATGATTTTCTCTACCTTCTTGAGCCTATGGTTGATGTTATGGTTATAACAACTGTGGTTCCATACCCTTGGCTACTAATTCTATCACATGTATCATTTGTAATTTTGTTTCTATTGCTTGATTTTTCATCACATTATGGATTGTATTTTCCTGCACCTTTGTATGGCTCATAGGTTTTGTATTGTATGCCAACCATTGTGACTTTTAACTTGTTGCATTTCAGAGTATTTCATGTTTTTTAAATACACTTATGCATTGTTCTATGATGCAATTTAGTGACCTGGAAGCAGTTTATCCTTTCAAATTTTGCTCCATCTTTGTTAGGGGAATAAAGCAGCTAATAACTTTTCTCTACTACTGAGAAAATATCCTTTTTAGTATTCTACCTAAAATCTCGTGTATTTCAAGATTTTTTTTCTCTTCGTTGCTGAGAAACACAAACTATTCCTGGCCTTGTGTGAACTTCAGTGATTTTTCTGCTTGCTTCTTTCCAGTGTTGGGGAGTTTCTTCCCATTCATGAACTGATCTGTCTGCAGCTGAGGACTCCAGTGGAATCCTCTGAAATTCTCTGGAGCTCTTTCTCTATGCAGTTATTTTCTTTCTGTGCAACTCTCTCTTCTCTGGGACTCTCATCCACAAATTCTTGCCATCTTAGCCTCTCTGATTCTTAGATCTTTCTCCTGAATTTCCGATAATTGTAAGGTTCCCCATCTGTTTTCCCTTCCTGAACTGCAGCCTGGTTACTTACTCTCTAGAGGCAGTAAACCAGGCCAATCATAGGGCTCGCTTAATTTGCTGTCTGTTTCTCAGAGATCACTGTCATGCTCTGAGAAAGTTGTCCAATTTCTGAAAACTTTTGGTGCATATATTTTGCTTATTTCTTTAGATGTTAAGGTAGAATTATTATTTGGTTCCTATTACTCCATCATGGCTATATATGGTATACCCTACTTTTTGCATTATTATTTCTCTGCTTTTTAGTTTTCCCACATATCTAGATATTCTTAAATAATGTATCATTTTGTGAACTTTATATAAATCAAATCATATTTCACATTCTGTAGTTTGCTTGTTTTCCCCAATGTTGTGTATTCGATATTCATCCAAGTTGATGGATGTAATTCCATTTTTTTTGAATATGCACAATTGATTTATCCATTCTTCTATTAACGGACATACAGTTTTTTTTGTTTTGTTTTGTTTTCAGAGACAGGATCTCACTGTCACCCAGGCTGGAGTGCAGTGGCATGATCATAGCTCAGTGCAAACTCAAACTCTTGGGCTCAGGGTAATCCTCCTGCCTTGGCATCCCAAAGTGCTGTGATTACAGGCATGAGCCACCACATCCAGCTGACATAGGGTTTTTACCAGTTTTTAGCTGTAACAAATATTGCTATGAACAAATTTGTTCATATTGCACAAATAGTGCATTTGTGCAATATTTTATCCAGAGCAATGCTTCATACATTTTAATATGAATACAATTTACCTGGGTATCTTGTTACAATGCATACTCTAAGGGAAATCTTGGGTAGGGCCTGATATTCTGCATTTCTAGTATCTTTCATTGCTTCTGGTCCTTTGACCACTCTGAGTAGAAAATAGTAGGATTGCCAAAATATGTCTCATAAGCCAAATCCTGCCTGCTGCCTGAGTACAGCCCATAAGCCAAGAATCATTTTAATATATTTTAAATGACTGAAAAAAGAAGACTATTTTGTGATACATGAAAACTACATAAAAGTTACATTTCAGTGTCTATAAAATTTTATTGGAATGACACCATGCTCATTTGTTTATGTATGCTTTATGGCTGCTTTCATGCTACAATGGTAGAGTCGTGTAGTTATGATAGAGACTCCATGGCTTCCAAAGGCTAAAATATTTACTACCTGACCCTTTAGAAAAACAAAAATGTCAACTCGTAGAGCACATTGATGAAACTACCAGTACTTGTTTTGGCATTTGCACATGTTCAGCTTTCTTATGTTTTGCCAAAATGTTTCAGAAGTGGTTGTACCAATTTATACTTTTAAGTAGCTGTGGGTAAAACTACCTATTGCTCTTCATATTGTCCAACACATTTTTAATTGACTTTCAAAGGGCATAACATCGCATTTTTTGTGATTTTAATTTTTGTTTCCCTGATAACTCATGATATTTTTTAATCGTTGTGGGTCACATGTATTCTCTCTTCTATAAAAGTTCTGTTTATATGTTTTGCCTGTATTTCTTTTGAGATTTTTTTCATCCTTTGAGATTCTTTATATTCATTATAGTGATTTTCTGTGAGTCATACATATTGCAAAGATTACCACCCAGGCTGTGTTGTTCTTTTACTTAATAAAATGTCTTAATTGTATTGAGCTGCATTTACTAATCTTTTCCTTTAGAGAATGCTTTTCATGTCTTAAAAGGTTTCCTTTAATCTGATCTATTAAATGTATTCAACTATAATATATTGCCTTTAAAGAGTCTTATAGTTTCACTTTTGGAAATTAAATGTTTAACACAGATAAATTACTTTTGAACATGGTTGTATTCTTCCATACGAGTCACCGAATATTCCACCATCCATATTTCTTCAAATATATGCAATGCCCACGCTAGCATAAATCAACTTTCCATATAAGCATGTGTCTGTTTATGAGCTCTTTACTTGCCTCCATGGTACCAAATCCACGTATCTGATATGTAAGCTCTGAAGTAGTTTTAATTTATGATATATCCTCACACATTTTTGGTGAGGGTGAATAGTCTCTTGGCTATTCTTGGACCTTTTAATTCTACATACATTTTAGAGGCAGCTTGTCAATTTCAATGAAAAATCCTGTGATAATTATGCTGAAGTAAAATTAAGTATAAAGAACAATTCATGGGTAAGTAACATCTTTCTGCTATTAAGTTTTTTTAATTATTTTTATTTTATTATTATTATACTTTAAGTTTTAGGGTACATGTGCACAATGTGCAGGTTAGTTACATATGTATACATGTGCCATGCTGGTGTGCTGCACCCATTAACTCGTCATTTAGCATTAGGTATATCTCCTAAATTATTATAACATATGCCACTATTTATTTAGGTCTTTTAAAATGTCATTTCTTGTAAAAATTAATTCACTATGGGATTGCTCATCTTTTGTTAGAAGCATTTCTAGGATCTTTATGTTTTGTTGCTATTGTAAATAGTACATTTCACTTCAATTTATCACATTTCAAATTTTTAGCTGAATAGTTGAAAGACTAAAACAATAGCCACCTCTATATCATCCACATAGATTCAAACATCATTCATATTTTGCTCACATTTGCTCTAGAGAAAATGGGAAATGAATATAAAAATGTAATTTTAATATGGACTCATATATATGCATGTGTGTACACACACACACAGACACACACACTAACACACACATTTTGGGCTATCTCATTTGAAAATAAGCTCCAGACTTAATGACACCTGACCATAGAAAACTCAGCCTCTAAGAAAAAGGACACTCTTACAAACAACCCCTAGACTATTATCACAGCTAGGAAATATAAGATTAATTCCCAAACATCATCTAACATATTTTCTAAAATGTCATTAAAATCAAACAGAAAGCAATCAAAGTGTATGATTGATTATTATCCTCTTTTAGTTTCTTTAAATCCAGAATGGTCTCCCAGTATTTTTCCCCCTCTTGGAAGTGACGTTGGAACATCTAAAACATTTCTTTTAAAATGTCCCATATTCTTGATTATCTGACTAGCGAATTATAATTTCATTTAACATGTTTTTCTATTCACTATATTGCCTGAAAACTGAAAGTGAGGTCCAAAGGCTTTATTAGACTCAGATTAAATATTTTTTGGCAAGGACTTGCCCTAGGTGCAGTTACGTGTATCATATTTCATCACATCATGAGGAATGTAGAGTCAGGTTGTCCCCACTCTTAGTAAAGCTAAAGTTGGTCACTTCATTAAGGTGTTGTTTCCAAATCTCCCCATATGTAATTAGCAATTATTTGGAGGGGTGATTTAATTTAGCTCTAGACAAATATGCTCTTCCCCAACAACATTTAAGCACATGGATTTAGCATTCTTTGATGATCTTTCCATGGGGGCTTTAAAATAATGATGTTCCTAATTATATCATTCCTTCTACATTTTCAAGTCATCACTTTTCTGTAAAGAAAAGCTTTCGGCTTCCCTTTTCCATTTTATTGTATATATTTACATTACATTAGACTTCCGATGTTATGTACCCAGTGCTTTGTAATTCATTTCATTACAATAAATTAATGTCATTTTTTAGATGCCCAGATTATTCCCAACTTTACCTGTCTGAACCCTTCAAATTTGGACCCTGTGTCTTATTGATATGACCCCATTAGCTTTTCTAGTGCCCTCTTGCTTATTGGCAAAATCAGATGTCCCAGAACCTTATACTTTTCCTTTCCCAGATTTAAAATGAAGATTTTTCCCAAGAGGCTGCTTTAGCTCTTGCTACTGCAGGGTCTTTTCCTCTAGGTCATTTCAATGGATAAACTGGAAATTATTCATATATATTTCAAATGTCCATGTCCATTTGGATAGTTTTCTTTCAAATTTAACACTACAGGGGTTTCCTTAAGATACTGTATTTTATATTTATATCTCCTTTTCTCCTAAAGTAAAAATCTTCGTTTCCAATATATTTACTTATATGTTTTGTATTATATTATATAAAATTGTTTCAAAATTGCTATTTTGAAATTTACTGCTTTTTAAAAATTTACTGCTTATTTTTATTCACTGCTAACATAAACATTCCTTGCAGTTCTTGCAGTTAGAGTACTGTGCTAAAAATTACAGGAAATAATTATTTTCTCTGAGTGGTTGTGTTATCAATTTGATATAGACTCAATGTTGTTTATTTTCTATTCAACTTTTTATTTATTTTTGTGTTTCAACATGAGTACTAGTTACATGGTTTAAAAATCTGAAGAACACAGGTACACTCAGAGATATCGAACTCCCATTTTATTACCTGAAACCTGTGATAACATTTCCATTAAGTCTTTTTTTTTTTTTTTTTTTTTTTTTTGAGACAGAGTCTTGCTCAGTCCACTAGGCTGGAGCGCAGTGGCAAAATCTCAGTTCATTGCAACCTCCGCCTCCCAGGTTCAAGCAAGTGGCTGGGATTACAGGTGCGCACCACCACGCCCAGCTAATTTTTGTATTTTTAGTAGAGACGGGTTTTCACCATTTTGGCCAGGCTGGTCTCGAACTCCTGGCCTCTAGTGATCTGCCCGCCTTGACCTCCCAAAGTCCTGGGATTACAGGCGTGAGTCACCATGCCCAGTCACATTTTTATTAAGTCTTGATTTATCCTTTCTGTATTACTTTCTGCAAAAATAAACGCATAGGTTATTATTCTCCTGTTTCTTAAACAAAAAGAAACATACATACTGCTCTTCACCTAGGCCAACCCCCGCCCTTAATCCCGTGAATTGAGATCCATGTCATTTAGTTCTAGTACTACATAGTATTTCATTGCGGAAGTGTAACATAGTTTATCCAACTAATCTTCTCTATTTGGATCTTTAAGTTCTTCTCAATATCTTTCTATTATAAAAAAGTCACAATAAATAATATAGTGTATATATTGCTTACACATTAGTAGATGTGTATCTTCACAACAAGTTTCTTAAACTAGGATTTGGGGTTCGAATGAATGATTTATGTTATTACCAAATTACCCTCCCAAGAGATTCTACAATTTTGTTTTCTCATCAGTATTGTATATATCCTCTTAATTTGGCCAGTATGCTTTGGAACTTTTGACAGTTTACAAATTGTATCTCAGCGTAGTTTTAACTTGCATTTCTCTTGTTAAGAGTAATACTTCACATTTTTTTCATATACATAAGGGCCAACTATTATATATGGAGAACTATATATTTATGTTTTTATTTCTAATTTTCTATTTTGTTTGGGATGTTTTTTGTCTCAAGTTTTAGGAGATCCTAAAAATTAACCTTTTGTCCAACATGTAGGTTGCAAATATTTTCTCTTTGTTTGTTATTTGCTGTTTACTTTATTCATGTTGTTTTGTCCTGTGTTTTTATTTTGATTATTATCTTTATGTGGTTGAATTTTCCAAGCTTTTATTTGATTGATTTTGGATTTTAATTTATGATTCAAAAGGCTTTTGGCAAATTTGTGGTTATAAAGTAATTGACCCATTTTATTCCAGCATTTGTAAGGTTTATTTAAAAAAATTAGATCTCTCAATTATTTGAAGTTTATTCTGAAGTATAGTTAAAGGTATAGATACAATTTTGTCATTTGCTAAATGGCTATCCAGTTTTCACATCTTTTTAAATTAAAACATCAAAAACTTCCCTCTGAACTTTCTATTTTACTCCATGGCTCTGTCTGTCCATTATGTACCAATATCAAATTGTATTTATGAAAAAACTATATTTTCATATGCAATAAGATTAGTGTCCATGATCCCATCTCTATATAATTTAGCATATTTATTTTTCCATGTAACATTTAAGATTAACTTGTCTAGTTTAATAAAAAATTATTAATTTTATTCAGATCATATTAAATGTATGTATCCGTTTTGGAAAGATAGATGTTTTTATGACGTTGAACCATCTTCCCAGGAGAAGCTTGTTCAAATGCATTCTATTGTCTTTTAGGGAAAAAGTAAATCTTTCCCTTATACAGATTTTTAAAATATATTTGGTTTTGATAACTGTATATTTTTAACATTTGCTGTATCTTTCTTGTAACTATTGTAAGGAGGCATTTATTCCATTGTAAATTCTAATTATTAATCATATATATTAAAATTATATTTTGCATGCTGATTTTATATTCCACTAACTGAATAACCTTGTTGTTTATATTATATTGATGATTATTGTGTTGTTAGTTTTAGTATTGCTTCCCCTCCTTATTTTGAATATATTATCTTATCATCTGCAAGTAGAGAGTTTTATCACTTAATTCCAATTATTATTATTTTTTCTTTTTTCTAATTACATTGTCTTATATATCCAGTGCATTAATACGTAGGTGTGGGCATCCATGTCTTCTTTCTGCCTTTTGCATGAATGCCTCTATTGTTTCACCCTTAAGTAAGATGCTAGCTAGCTTTATGCTGAGGCGTGTCTGTCTATCTATCTGTCTATCTAATCTATCTATCCATCATCTCTCATCTATCATTGTATCTAATCTATGTACTCTATCATCTATTGATTATCTTTCTAGTTATATAGTTATCTAGTTTATAGTTAAGGAAGTTCCCATTGATTTCTAGTTCATTACGTTATTTTATCAGGAACATTTGTTGAATTTTTTCAGTCCTTCTCAGCATCCAATCGCATTTTAATACCTTCGTAGAAATTTTAACTAAAACATTTGTAAACAGAATCCAAGCTTCCCACAAAAAATAAACCATGAACAAATAGGTTTATCTTAAAAAACGCAAAATAAACCATGAAGAAGTAGACTTAATTTAAAAAATGCAAATAGCTTAGAAAAACTATTAAAATAATTCACTATTTCTAAGATTTAAGAATAAAAATGAGATTGGTTTACAGTTTAATTTTTTTGCACAATATTTATCAAATTTAGATATCCATGCTATACTTCCTTCATTAATAAACCTTAAAATTAAAAAGAAAATTCCATATAATCCAGCAATTTCATTTCTAATTGTTCATCCAAAAGAATAGAAATCAGGATCTTCCAGAAATATCTGCACCTTCTTGCTCATTGCAGCATGGATGCACAAAAACCAAGATATGGATACTATTTAAGCGTCCATTGATGGATGAATGGATAAAGAAAATGTTATATATATATATACACACACACATATATATATGCATTATATATACACACACACGCACACACATATATATATACTCATATATATATATATATATAGAGAGAGAGAGAGAGAGAGAGAGAGAGAGAGAGGGAGAGAGAGAATGGAATATCATTCAGTTCTAAAAAATAAGGGAAATCTTACCATATGTAACGTCATGGATGTACCTGAACCACATTATGTTAAATGATGTAAGCCAGTCACAGAAGGTAAATACTCTATGATTTCAGTTATATGAAGCATTTAAACACATATGAAGCACAGAAACAGAGAATAGAATGGTTGTTGTTGAGGCTGAGAGGAAGGGAAAATGAGCCGTTGCTATACAACATGCATAAAATTTCAGTTACGCAAGACGATTAAATCTAGATATCTGCTGTACAACATTATGCCTGTAGTTAACAATACTGTATTGTACCCATAAAAGTTTGTTAAGATGGTAGACTTCATGGTATGTGCTCTTACAACAAGAAAAAGTAAAAATTAAAAACAAATTTTAAAAGTTTCAAAATTGTCTTTCTTTTTCTACACTCTGCAAGAGTAATGTTAGCAGCATCTGGTTTTGGGGGGTGTAGTAGGATTTCCAATAAAACAATTTGAACCTGCTCTTTTTTAAGAAGGAAGTTCATTATAAATTCTTATTTCTTCCAGTGGTCTGGTATTTTTTTTCCTATGGGGATACATTTTGGTAAATTATATTGCCTAATAAACCATCCATTTCACAGATGTTTTCAAAATTACTTGCAAAGCTTTGCAAATGACTTCCTCTGTTTCAATGGTTATTTCAGACTTATTGTGAATTGTATTTTTTTCTTAACTTGTTTTGCTGAGGATATTATTTCTTTGATTTTTCACAGAAAAAAGACTTTTGTTTATATTTGTTTGTATTATTTTTGTTTTCTAATTCATTAATTTCTGCTGTTGTCCCTATTATTTCCTTCCTTCGTTCTCTTTTAGTTTATTTTGTTATTCACTTTTAACTTTTTGAGCTGGATACTTAATTCTTGTATTTCATCTTTTTCATTTATGTTGATATGAGTATGTTAGGGTATGACTATTTTATCACTGCTTTAATTATCTCATTGAATCTAAAATGTAGTATTGCTTTTTAAAATTTCCAGTTGGAATGATTTAAAAATAATGATTTCCAACATATTGAATTTTGAACCATGAACATTGTTTATATTATTTGTATATATTGAGCTTTTCTGGTGACCCAATTAATCTCATTAATGTCTCATATGCACTTGAAAAGAATGTGCATTCCCAATTACTAGAGTGCAAAGTTTAATTTACACTCCATTAGATAGACTTTAGTAATTAATGTTTGTCTTCTATATCTTTACTGATTTTATATCCACTTGACTTGACATGAATTGATATAAACTGACAGTAGTAATAGTAATGAGTTAGTGAATAACTCATTACTGTACATCTGTTATTCCTAACATCTCATGAAATTTCTGCTTTATGCAAATATGCTATTTAATGCATAGATATTTGTAGCTATTATGCCTATATTGTGAATTTGACTAAAGAATTATGTTTTCTTTCTTTTTTGTATTTTTTTGCCTGAATTCTCCTTATTTAATATCAAGATTGCAATCACTAGTTTTTTATTGTTTGTAGTCTCCAGACATACTTTTTCTTATCACTTTATATTAGACTTTTTGAATTACTTTTTGAAAGTTATATCCCTTGGCCGGGCACGGTGTCTTACTCCTGTCATCCCAGCACTTTGGGAGGCTGAGGCGGGTGGATCACGAGGTCAGGGATCAAGACCATCCTAGCTAACATGGTGAAACCCCGTCTCTACTAAAAAATACAAAAAATTAGCCAGGTGTGGTGACACATGCCTGTAGTCCCAGCTACTCGGGAGGCTGAGGCAGGAGAATTGCCTGAACCCAGGAGGCAGTGAGTCGAGATCCCGCCACTGCACTCCAGCCTGGGCGATAGAACGAGACTGCGTCTCAAAAACAAGCAAACAAACAAACAAACAAAACAAGGGAACAAAAGTTATATCCCTTGATTTCAGCATAAACATGGGTTTTGTCTTATGAGCCACTCTGACAATAATTTTTATTTAATAGATGGGTCTGCTCAATTTGGTTTTGTTGGTATGGCTGATATAACGGAATTCGACTCAGTTTGGTTAAATTATTTTTATTACGTTTAATGTGTATCATGTTTTGAATGTGGTATTTTGCTCTATGGTCTCCTAATTTGAATTTATTTATTTGTTTATTTTTGAACATAGGACAGTTTAGATGTTCCTTAGTGGTTACCTTTAAACTAATACTCTGATATAATGCTATTATCCTTTTTTCTTATTTAGTCATATATTTGGTTTGTAATCTTTAAATATTTTTTGCCACCACATATTATGTATATGTCAAATCATGAGCTTATTCTACTTTTAATTTCTCCTCAATTTTTAAAATTCTATTACATCTACTTGACAGAATAAATACTACCTAATTTTCTCAAATTTTTTGGCATAGTTGGAGGAAAACTGGTATTAGTTCTTTATATGTTTGATAGAATTCATTGGTAAAGCCATGCAGTCCTGGGCTTTTCCTTGCTGGGAGACTTTTTATGACTCATTCAATTGCAATACTCATTATTGTTCTGTTCACGTGTTCTATTTCTTCTTGATTCAATTTTGGTAGGTTATGTGTGTCCAGTATTTTACCCGTTTCCTCTAGGTTTTCCAGTTTGTTACCACACAGTTGTTTATAATAGTCTCTAATGTTCCTTTGTGGTTCTGTTATATCAGTTGTAATGTTTACTTTTTTTGTTTCTGATTTTATTTATTTAGGTCCCCTCTCTCTTTTCCTTGCTTAGTCTAGCTAGCAGTTTATTGATTTTTGTTTCTTTTTCTTTTCCTTGATCAGTCTAGTTAGCAGCTTATTGATTTTGGCTATCTTTAAGAAAATTTCTTTGTTTTATTAATCTTTTGTATTTTTTTAGTTTCTATTTTGTTTATTATACTCTGATCTGTATTATTTATTTCCTTCTACTGATTTGAGGTTTGGTTAGTTTTTGCTTTTCTAGTTTTTTGAGGGCATCTTTAGGCTGTTTATTTGACATCTTTCTACTTTTTCAATGTAGGCATTTATTGCTATAACCTTCCCTCTTCACACTGCTTTTGCTGTATCTCAAAGGTTTTGATATGTCGTGTTTTCATCTTTACATGTTTCAAGAAATGCTTCGATTTCCTTCTTAACTTCTTCATTGACCCAATAATCTTTCAGTAGCATGCTGTTTACTTCCAATGTATTTGTGCAGTTTTCATACTTTCTCTTGTTATTGATTTCTAATTTTATTCCTTTGTGGTCTGAGAAGATACATAGTATGACTTTGATTTTTTAAAATTTATTAAGGGTTATTTTGTGGCCCAAACTATGGTCAATCCTGGAGACTATTCCATGTGCTGTTGAGAAAAATGTGTAATCTGTAGCTCTTGGATGAAATGTTCTGTAAATGGATGTTAGATCCATTTGGTCTAAAATGTAGGTTAAATCTAAGGTTTTTTAATTGATTTTATTTCTAGTTGATCTGTCCAGTGGTGAAAAGTGGGTGTTGAAGTCCTCAGCTATTATTGCATTGGAGTCTATCTCTCCCTTTAGATCTAAAACATTTGCTGTATATATATTGGTGCCCCAGTAGTGGGCACATATACATGTATAATTGTTATAATTTCTTCTTGAATTGATCCCTTTATCATTATATAAGAATCTTTTTCTCTTTTTACAATGTTTCTCTTAAAGCCTTTTATGTGGTATAAGTATAGCTACTCCTGCTCTCTTTGGTTTCTGTTTGCATGGAATATTTTTTGCCATCCCTCATTTTCAGTCTATGTGGCTTTAAAGGTGAAGTGAGTTTCTTGTAGGCAGCCTATAAATGGGTTCTTTTTTTGTCCATTGAGCCATTTTATATCTGTTAAGTGGAAAATATAATCTGTTTACATTCAAGCTTATTATTGATAGGTGAGGACTTATTCCTGTTACTGTGTTAATTGTTTCTGGTTACTTTGTATGGTCTTTGTTCCTTTCTTTCTCTCTTATTGTGCATCACTGGTTTGGTGATTTTCTCTAGTGGTGCCTTTTGAGTCCTTTCTCTTTCTTATTTATGTGTCTGTTCTACCATTGAGTTTTATACTTTTTTTGTGTTTTCGTGATTGTAGATATACTTTCACACCCAAATATAGGATTTCCTTAATCATTTCTTGTAGGGCTAGGCCAGTGGTGATGAACTCTCAGTTTTTGCTGGCCTGGAAAATATTTTATTTTTCTATTATTTTTGAAGAAGGGTTTACTGTTTATAGTATTCTTGGGTAGCAGGGTTTTTTTCTTTCAATGCTTCGAATATATCATTCCATTCTCTCCTGGCCTGTAAGATTTCTACTGAGAAATCTACTGTTAGTCTGATGGGCCCGATGGGGGTTTTTGGATATGTGACTTGATGATTTGCTCTTGCTGTTTTTAGAATTCTTGCTTTATCTTTGACTTTTGATAGCTTGACTATAATGTGCTGTGTAGAACCTTTCTGGGTTGCATTTATTTGAGGATCACTGAGCTTCCTGTATCTTCATGTCTATATCGCTTGCAAGACTTGGTAAGTTTTCAGATATTATTTTGTTAAATATGTTTTCTATGGCTTTCCCATCTTCTCTTTTTCTGGAACTCACAAAATTCAAATACTTGGCTGATTTATGGTGTTTCATATGCAATGTAGGCTTTCTTCATTCTTCTTTATTTAATTTTTTTCTGACTGGGTAATTTCTAAAGACTTATCTTCAAGTTCAGAAATTATTTCTTCTTGATCTGGTCTATTGTTGAAGCTTTTTATTGTATCCATAATTTTACTCACTAAATTCTTCAGTTCCAGGATTTCTGTTTGGTGCTTTTCTTTGATATCTAGCTCCTTGTCGAATTTCTCACTTTTATCATGAATTGTTTTCTTATTTTTTTGTATTGTTTATTTTTCCTCTTGTGGCTCACAGACTTTCTTCAATATCATTGTTTGGATTTTTTAGGCACTCTATAGATTTCCTTTTCACTGGGATCTGTTATTGGAGAATTATTGTTTCTTTGGACGTGTCATGTTTCCTTGCTTTTTCATATTTCTTGTGTTCTTACATAGATATCTGCACATCTTATGTAATAGTTGCTTCTCCTAATTTTACGGATTGGCTTTTGGATAAGAACTTTTGCCTGTAGGTATATGTAATACTGGTTGGGCAGTAAGTTTTGGCTTTGATTTTGGGTGGTCACAATAGTGTAATCTCTGTTTGATTTCTTTGCCTATAATCTGTTATTTGTATCTGTGATTTCTCAGTGGCTTATGCTGCAGTTGTCAGTAGAGGCCATGGCAAGGCTTTTCTGGGGACAGGGAAATTAGGCAGGCCAGTCTTTAAGCTCAAGTGATGGTGGTGGCTGACCAGGTATGCCAATCCTCGAACTCCCAGGTGATATACACAGGCACTGGTGATGGCAGTTTTAGGTGGCCTGATGTTTGGGCTTCCAGGTGGCTTACTCAGTGCCTGGCAATTGCAGCTGTGGGCAGGGCAGGTCCTTGGTCCCTTGGACAGGATGTGTGGCATCAACAGTGGCTGTAGTGGTGGTGGGCCAACCCTCATGTCATCAAGTGGCTTGAGCAGATGCCAGCAGTGGCAGTGGTAGGGTGAGAAGCCAGTCCCCAGTCATCCAGGTGGCATGCACAGGTGGGTGCTAGTGGCAGCAGCAGCAGCAGCAGCAGTAGGACCATTTTTTGGGCCCTCAGGAGGTGCCTGACAATGGCTGGCAGGATGATCCTATCCCCAGGACTCTTGAGAGTTCATGCAGGTGGCAGCAGCGGGGGGGGGGGGGGGGGTGGACACATCTTCCAGCCCCCAGAAGGCGTGTGTGGGCACCAGCAGTGGCAGGAATGGCAGGTCATTCCCCAGGGCCCCAAACAACATGCATGAGCACCAGTAGTGGCAGCAGTGGACTGCGCAGGCCAGTCATCATGCCCCTCCATAGTGTACACTGGCATTGGGGGTGATTTCCAGGCCCAAGGACATTGTACACAGGCACTGCCGCTAGCAGTGGCAGATCTTGTGGGCTCATCCTCAGGCCCCATGATAGGGTGTGGAGGCTCTGGCTGAGGTGTGTGGGACATGTCAATTCATAAGCCCCTGGGTGGCATGCTCAGGCACCAACAGCAGTGGTGGTGGGTGGGGTGGGTCTGTCCTCATGCCCTGGGATGGCACATAGGTAGACTTGTCCACAGGTCTCTAGAAATCACGTCCAGGTACGTGGAGGCTCTGCCACTGGAGGGGGTGGGGTTACTTTGTGCCAAGGGAAGTCTTCCTGGTATGCTGTACTGCTTGTTCCCCAGGGTTTATGTGTGAACTAAAATGCTGGGGACCCAGCTGCACTGCTGGATCCAGACAACATCATGACACTGCAACCCTCAGGGTAGACATGGGGGGATGCCAGCAGTGCTTCAGGGATGTGAAAATGCAGGGGCTGTTTGGCCCCAGGACACGCAGTAGCATGGTGGGTGCTAGGCTCTCATACTGGCTCCATGCTGCAGATGCTTGGGTCTTAAGGGGTATATGGGACCCAGTATGAACTTCCTTTCTGGAACACTACCATTGCACGGACTAAGGCAGGTTCCCATATTAGTCTGAGCGTCTGTAAAGACTGAAGTGATCTTCTGTAGCTAGAATTGCAGGAGTTCAAGGTGGGAGTATGGATAACTAGGGATCTCTTGCTTACCTTTTCCCCACAATGCGGAGTTCCTCCTGCTCTGAGTCAATCTCAGATGGGCCAGCTGCTTTGCTCTCCTGTCCTTCAATGCCTCAGAGGTTCTCTGTCACTGACCTTCTGAGTTACAGCATTTTGTCTTAGAAGGTCTACTTGATGTGTGGTTATCTAGTTACTGTTTTGTTTCCTCTTTGTGGAGAAGGTGAGTTCCAGGCACCTTAAAGCCTTCCTCTCAAGGAGTAATTTGGTTTTTCAAATGTTACTATTTAAGAAATACATTTCATAACACTATAGCTGTCATAGATAGTAATTCTTCTGAGGGATCTGGGCAAAATAAATTGGAAACCTTCTGTAAAGCATTCACCATTCTAGATGTTATTAAGAACATTTGTGATTCATAGGAGGAGGTCAGAATATCAACACTAACAAGAGTGTTGGAAGAAATTGATTCCAACTCTCATCTATTAAGGTGTTCAAGACTTCAATAGAGGAAGCAACTGAAGATGTGGTGGATATAGGAAAATAACTAAAATTAGAAGTGGAGCCTGAAGATGTGACTGAATTGCTGCAATTTCATGATATAACTTAAATGGATAAGGAGTCCCTTTTCATGGTTAAGTAAATAAATTGGTTTCTTGAAAGCAATCTATGCCTGGTGAAAATACCATGAACATTGTTCAAATGACAAAAAGAAATTGAATATATGATATAGACTTAGTTGATTAAGCAGCATCAGGGCTTGACAGGATTGAACCCAATTTTGAAATAAGTTCTACTGTGGGTAAAATGCTATGAAACTGCATTGCGTGCTACAGAGAAATCTTTGGTGAAAGGAAGAGTTAATTGATGGGGCAGACTTCACTGTTATTTTATTTCCAGAAATTGCCACAGCCACCCCACCTTTAAGCAACCACCACCCTGATCAGTCAGCAGCCATCAACAATGAGGCAAGAAACTCCACCATCAAAAAGATTACAAGTTGCTGAAGGCTCAGATAATGGTTAGCATTTTCAGCAATAAAATATTGCTTTATGGCATTATTCACTTTATCGCAGTGGTCTAGAACTGAACTGGCAATATCTCCAAGGTATGCCTCTATGTATAGTGTATACACATGCATATCTGTGTTTCTTCTTCTTTCCCACAATACCAAAATAATTCCATGAATATGTAACATTTGGTAATTTGACTATGTGACAATTCATCAACAAAGTTTTCACTGACTTTGAAAAACACTGAACGAGATTTGTGAATATGTGAAGACACAAAATAGACTGGCCACATTATTTCTGACAAAATTTTATTAGTTTACAGAAGATACATTTTTGGTTTATATTTACCTTGTTTCCTTTCCCTATACTGTGAAAATACTCTGAACAATCTTTCCTCAAAATTATTTTGAAATATCACATAAAAAACAGGTATTCATAATAAATGCATTAGGTCCAAAGTTGTGCTTCTCAAAATTATCATTTGTAAGATGTAGAAATGTTAAATAAATAGTAAGTCGGTAGGGAAGCTGAATTGTGAAGCCAAAATCCTTGGTTCTAGGAGAGATTTCACAACTATTAATTGTCAATGCATATAGAATTTTGGTAGTGATGGACAACACATGGTTATGTCTCTCATTTACTTGCATGTCTTACTGTAATCTATGTAATGGATACTGGCACCATGGCACATATCTAAAATTGTCTCAATTCTAATTTTACATATACGTGTTAAATACATTGCAAAAAAATCCCAACTCCCATATGCTCAGTTATTCTTGTTTTTAAATAATAATGAAATCAAGCTGCATAAAGAATAGAAGAAATATAGTTATGTTTGAATTTTAAAAACACATTTTTAGCACGTGGTTCTCATTAATGTATGATTGTTAAAAGTTTTTTATGGAAACTAAGTGTAAATTATGGAGGTAGTTTAAATTTTAATACTAATTCCTGGAACTTTTCTCATTAAAAGTAACTGAAGCACTTTTATAAAATTATTCATATTATAAAAACTGGTATCAAGGAGGGAAAACTTTTGCCTGTCCTTTTTTCCACTCTAGTAAGTTGTTCTTAATTTAACATTTTAAGTTTACGAAACTAAAAACAGTTTAGACAATCATTATCCACAAGCTATGTATGTGTGTCCTTAGGTTTTAACTACGGCTACCCTGAAATTAGAACTAAAGATGGAAAGCACATGGCTATGAGCTCATCATGCCATAATGAGATGGGCTTCAGAGATTGCAAAGTGTTTCACTTCCACAATATGCAAATTGTGTACAATGCCAGATGCAGAAACGCTGATCCAGTTGCCAAGTTCTATGGAGGGCATGGTGATTCATTCACAAATTGTCACAAATTTAGATACTTAGGAACTAGCAGCCTGTTTAAGGCTGCCTACATGCATGGTTACTGTGGACTATTGTATGACATTCTGGCACCTGGAAGGAGATCTCAACCTTAAATTTTGTCAAAGTCTACCATGATGTCAGATTTGTTTAACCCCAGGATATAACTCAATATTATTATATTCCTGTGGATATTGGATGTGTCTGCTCATGATAGAGAGAACCCATTCAATTCAAAGAGAAGATCAACCTCAATATAAGTTAGCACCTCTTTCCACATTAAGATTTACAGATTCCTCATTTGAATTTTTTGACAACACAAGTCAATTTTTTAACTTCTATATTTATGAAATATCCAACTTCAATTCTATATGATGTAAAATTATATATCACATATAATTTTCAGCATCTTGGAATAATATGTTCATTTATTCAGCAAATATTATTTGATGATTTATGAGGAGACAGAAACTAAATTGGATGTTAAGGAAAATAAAACAAACTGGAATGTGCCTTCAAAATGACTAAGTTTAGTGGAAATGTAAATAGTTCATATGTTCTTTGTTAACTATGTGGGACTAAAACAATTTCATTTTTTAAGTATTTGATATTTGGGGAGAATGTTTGAGAAGTAGAACAAAAATTTGATGCTGAAAATAAAAAATCCTGGCTCATTGTCGAGATATCATTCATCCTTCTGAATAAGAGGGCAGGGAGACTTTTACAAAAGAGTAAGTTGGTTTGATCACTCAATCAATTTTCTGCAGGTTTATCCCTGAGGTCTAATGTTTTGGCTTAATGACCTTTTTTTCCCTAAGATATCAATCTTTTGAAAGAATGAAATACTGAGAGTGTAAACGTTACCAGATCTTTGAAAAATTGACTTACTTTGGGAGAAGAAAACTGTATGTTTTTCTTTTATATAAAATAATATAGACACATGCAGTGTGTATATGAGATATCAACGGAGCATACGGAATCAAAAGTCTAGATAGTTTACAGCAGGGTCAATAAACTATGGTTTGTGGGACAAATCAAACCCACTACCTTTTTTGTAAATAAAGTTTTATTGGAACACAGCCATGCTCACTTGTTTACATATTGTCTATTACTGCATTCATGGTACAGCAGCAGAGTTAAGTAGTTGTGGCAGAGATTATATGGCCTGCAAAGCTTAAAGTGTTTACTAACTGGCCCTTTACAGAAAAACTTTGTGGACCCCGGTTCATAGTTTTGTATTACATTCCTATAAAAATTAGTGTTTCTTTCACTAACTAATATTTACAAAGTATTGACCAAATATAAAGTGCTAAATTATAATGCTTATGCAGATTAATTTATGTCAGTTTTCATATAAAATGCAAAATATTAAGCAGAATCAAAACAATCCTTTTGCAAAGAAGCCAACCTCTAGAAACAGAGAAGGTAAATGCAAGTACTAATGACTAATATTCTCTACAAAATGTACTAAATTTAGTGCTGTATTTTCCACGTGTATGAGGATCCAGTGGGGAAGACAGACTCACATCAAATAGTTCATTACAAAGTACTTACTGCAGGGAGCTAGTTATAAAAACATCAGATGGATTAAAATTGAGGATGATGAGCCAACTCAGAAATTAGCAATTATATGGTGTCAGTACAGTCTGTAGGGCTGAAAGAATAAAGAGGTACCAGAGGTGAGGAGCTAGGACTTCCCAGTAGAACCTGGATTCACAGCAGGTGCTGTCTTCTGCTACCTAGGACCAGAAAGGGGTGATGCATTAGTTCCTTTGGGCTGTTGTAAAAAATTATCATAAATTGAGGGCCTTAAAACAACAGAAATTCATTCTCTTACAGTTCAGGAATCCTGAGTCTGAAATAAAGGTGTCAGAAGAAACACTCTCTCTGAAGACTCGAAGGAAGAAATATCCTTACATTTTCCTAGCTTCTGGTGGTTGTTGACAATCTTTGGTATTTATTGGCTTGTTGCTGCATTATTACAATTTCTGCCTCCATCCTCACATAGTCATCCTCTTCCATGTCTCTGTTTCTAAATTTCCTTCTTATAAGGACTCCAGTAATTGGATTTAGGATCTACCCTAGTCCATCCAGCATGACCTCATGTTAATATAATTATGTCTGCAAAGACCCTATTTCCAAATCTGGTCACGTCCTCAGCTTCTGGGTACACATGAGTTTTGTGTGTGTGTGTTGGGGGGGCGGGCACTAGTCAACCAAGTACAGGTGAACTGCAGGCAAGAGGTATATCCACTCAGTAAATTGTTAGAGATGCCACCTGAAGCATTCTCCCACTCAGTGCCTTCCATTTGCCAAATCTAATAAAAATTCATTGGCAAGGTAGACTGGGCAAGGTGGTTTGCAGAGGAGAGCTCTTTGAGATACATATCAGATCAGGGGCTGGCTAGGTACACATCTAAGAAAAAAGCAAAGCCAAAGCAACAAATCAACATAAAGAAGGAATCTGGTTAGTATGGCTCAAAAATCCCTCAAAACCTCCTTCTCTTTTAGATAGACACCAAAAAAATCTGTGAAATTATATGATATGTGGTGTTTGCATCATTAATCCAGGGAAATGGGCAGAGTGCATTAAGATGAAAATCAAGATATTTCAACAACACCAACACTGACATTTCAGGCCAGGTAATTCATTGCCATTGGCAACTGTGCATTATAGGATATTTATCAGTATTTCTGGCCTCTACCCACTAGATGCTAGTGGTACCCTTCACGCATACCAGTTGTGACAAAAAAAAGTCTCTAAACATTGATGAAGGTCCACTTGGGAGCAAAATTGACACTGTTTAAGAATCATTGGCTTAGATTAAACAAAATTGAGTTTGCATTAATAATTGTTGAAGGTGGATAATAGGCACATGGTGGTTTGTTGTACTATTCTCTCTACCCCCATATATTTTAAGTTTTTTCATAACAAAAATTGAGCATAAAATGAACTACTTCAGAGCCTGTTCTACTTCTGCTAGATTTAGTATTTGAATTAAGGCTGTTGATAAAGGTCACATAAGTCAATACTTGAGCCAATTAGTAATGATGCTAATAAATTCTGAAGGTCAACTTCCGAAACGATTTTGTGCAGAGAGAAATTGAGCGATTTTACATGCTCTATATCTTCATCATCAATATTCATGTAATAAGTATATAAACATATACAACACCACACTATTTATTTTTAAAATATATGTACATATACATAACCCAAGTCTACAGAATTTTCAATGAAATACAGATCGTTCCTTTGCATGTAAATAAAGGTAGTTGGCTTGATTTTGCATTTGCCAATGCAAAAAAAGACAATTACATCATATCGCACAACATAAGATAGATGCATCCTAATGTGGCAAGCTAGGTCTCACTAACACAGGCCTCCGTAACAACTGTTTCAGTACTGACCGAGTGGTTAAGTTGAATATTAAAAGCCAGTGCCCTTAGCCAAAGTTGGGATGCAACAAAAGCCCACCAAGAGTTTTGCCTAGGCCTTTCCTGGGCCTTAAAGCGTGATAAAATAATGAAGGAATTTTTAACAAGACCCATTTAGGATTAGACAAGTTTTATTGTGGGTCTGAAGAAAATCCCCAGGCCTCCACAAACAAGTTTACTGGGCGTCTGAAGGAACTCCCCAAACCTCTGTGATTTAGTAGGAGACAAGATAAGGGTAATCACCCCAGCAGCTGGACTCATTTAGATTAAGTCAGTTTACTGAGGCTCCAGAGGAAGGTCTTCAGGACTCAGACCTTAGTTATAGATTAAAAGAAGTTAATCACTTATGTCTTTAGATGAATGCACACTTCCACGTTGATATATAACTTAGAAGGTATATAAGCTCTGGAAAACTTTGTAATTTTGAGTTAGTCTGGCGATAATTTCCAGGCCTTCTCCCTGTAACTGGCTGCAGAAATAAAAACTCTCTTCCTCCCCAGTTCATCTGCTTCTTGTTACTGGGCCATGAGAAATAGCAGCTCGGCCCTCAGGTTGGTCCAGGAACAAAATTTGGCAAGCCAGTCAGGAGAGACCAGGACAGTGCTGCGTTCAGTGGCCAGTGGCTTGCAATGAGACAGTCTTCAGGAGGATGCCAGCAGCTGCAGGTGAGATTTTCCTGGGGATTCTCCAGAGAGTAGTCCCATGGGCAAAATTGCACATCCCTTTCTCTACTGGGGAAGAACGGAGATTAGGAGTAGACACGCTCGAAGAGTGAGTTAATCGGTTTGTATGCCAGGAGCCTATTGTTTTCCTATCTGGACTTGTTAAGCCATTTGTCTAGTACTGCCAAGGGAAGCAACAGGGCTCGCTCACACACCCGTTTTGCATTTTGTTTGAGATCAGGTTTTGAGCTGGTTTTGAGTCTGTTTTGCCTGAGTGCACTCCCCCTTGTGTTGTCCAAAAATTGTCTCCACTTATTTGTGTATCTGTCTTATTCCTTTGATACCATGTAAACTTGAAAATGGGAGGTATTGGGTCCATTCCTGCTGAGAGGCCCCTTGGAAGGAAAAATACATTTTTGAGGAGCTCAGCTGTTAATAGTCAGCTTAATTAAAAGCTAACATCCAAGGTTTGCATATGTGTGTGTGCATGTTTGTATTTAAAAAGGCTTCATGTTTTTGCTTTTGCTTGTTTCTCTCCTAGGACCTTGTCTTTTTGAGCAAATGTTTTTCCTTCTCAGTTGACCGAATTCTGTTTTCTTCATTAATAGCTATTGCAACAGAAACTACTCTGGGGTTTTTAGGAAAAAGTGTAATTTAGACACTTACAAGTGTCTTTGTTTGGAAAAAAAATTAAGGGCACTGTAAAAGCATCACATGGTCTAGCCTCATAATAATTGTCCCCTTTGCAAACCCAGGATTCAGTTTGGGCTCTGCCCAGAGCTCAAAGATTCTGTTAAATGATAGGTAGTCAATATCTAAATAAAGTTAGTTTCCTTATACAATCCTATGATAAATTTATGTAATTTTATGTTCAATATGGCATCCATCTTTAATCTCCCTCTAGCACCACCCAGGCTTTTTCTCTGTGTACCTTGAGATGTAAACTTTGCCATTTGATTTTTCACCTAAGAGTTGTTTCCTTTAGTATGCAGATTTAGGGCTATTTGGCTGACAATTGCCAGAGTAATAAACCAGGTAATCAAGAGTTTGCAAGTCTAAGATAGGACAAAGGAGGTCTTATGAATCTTTAAAATGTTCTTCATGCCTAATACGTCTATGTATTTATGTCTTGTGCACACCATGTTTCACCACTGAAAATATATAAAATAGTTCTAATTGGCTCAAAGAAAAATAAAAACACTTAAATACTTTAACAGAAAAAAGGAAAGACTAGTCAAATGTTTTTCAGGTTTTTGTGACTTAAGTAAAATCTTTAATAAATAAGCTAGCTTTACAAATTATTGGTACAGTAATATTAGAAATGTCTTAATAGTTGCCAGCATAAATTTTTGTTTGTATTTATTGATCAAGCAATTTCATACTTATCTCTGCCAAATACTACAAGGTGTCAAAATTTGGCATAGAGGCTACAAAACTATAACTCAGCCCAAAACAAAATGATCTTTGCTGGTGTAATTTTTAATAAATAAAACATTAATATTGGTTTAATGAAGACAGCTACATCTTGAATTACTTAGTAAAATACTCTAACTTCTAATCTTGTGGCCTTAGGCAGTCTAGTCCACAGACATGAAGGAAGTTTGTTCTGGGAAAGGACTGTTATCATCTTAGTTTCAAAACTAAACTATAAACTAAGTTAATGAACAAGAATAGTTTGGAAGTTAGAAGCAAGATGGAGTTAGTTAGGTCAGATCATTTTCACTATCTCAGTTATAATTTTGCAACAGCAGTTTCATGACTTTAAATGATGACTATCACAGTTTTCATAAATAACCAGGTAAATTATCAAAATAAATAATTAAATAAATGTAATGGGGTAAATATTCATAAACAAACTTGTCACAATTTAGAATCTAAAGTTATATTAAGTTAAAGAACAGATATTTCATTATTTGGGTATTTTCCAATAAAAATATGTTGTAGGAAAACATTCTTTCTAAAAATTGTGTCCTTTTTAAAGGGTAACTAATTTTTGTCTAATTCAAAGCTTATTTAAAGGTTATATATAAAACAAGATAAAAGAAACCAGGAAATAAGAGAGATATGAAGAAAGGTATAAAAATAAAGAGAGTTTTAAAGATTATTGGTAAAATATAAATATCTTCAAAAATGTAAACATTTGGTCTAAATTATGCAGGTCAAATATTAGGTTTGCTAAATGCTTTAGGTCATAAACTGCTTCTTTTGACTTAAAAATTATTCAATTTATTTTGGAGTGTTAAATTCTAGATAAGTCCTGGGGACATATGAAATTAGCCATGTGCCTAGCTATTCAAAAAGATATTAAAGAAAAGAGATTTTATATAATAAAGGATCTTGTATGGTAAAGTCTTGTCCTAAAGTAAAATAACTGGTTGTCTAAAAAGAGGGATGTTGAGGACAAGTCAGAAAGTCAAGGCATGTCGTAGCTTGTCTGTGTAAGGCATGAAATAATTTATAAAAGAAAATTTATGCAAGAAATGCTGTACAGATTAGGCCTCCTAAATGCTTTATAAAATGTCATTATGACTCTTAGCTGTACAATTTGCCTGCTTTACAGCTAGGTAAGGCCTGGTACACGTGGAGTCAAATGCTGGAATAAGTCAGACCTTATCAGCACTACTGTCTAGGTCCTAGGCTCCACACCTAGTACATAATTAAAATCCCAAACTTCCCAAGGTTTTCACCAAAAGTAAAAGTTGCTAAGAGTTAACAGTGTGACATGTATTTAAGACTATTGAAGAAACTGTTAATGTGCAAGGTGTGTAAGGAAAGTCAAATATACTTATGGTAAAAAGATTATAAGGAGGCACAAGAATGTAGATTTTTGCCTAGATTAAAAGGTTAAAGGATTGTTTTAGGTTGGATAAAATAAAGATGAAGCTATAAGCAACTTATGGAAGGTTGATTGTAAAGGAAATTCTATGTGTAAACACATTGGCTAAAGTTAAAGAGTATCATCTAGTTTTTCTATGAATTGAGCATTAAAATAAAAGCACAACGGGTTTCTCTTAGAGCACTAACCTGCTCTTTAACAAAAATTGGTCTTTAACAAAAAAAGGTCTATAAAAATCTTACCTTATGGTCAAACATTAAAATTGGGTAAATATGTCTATAAAGTTTTATTAAGAATTGGGTTTAACATTAACAGTATACTAATGTAAAGGTGAAATATGGGTTATTTGGTACCAAAACTCATACAGGAAGCATTGCCAAATATACAATGGGGTTTGGCTTTCTTTGGGCTATATTTGTATAAATATGTTATTGCTATGTGTTCCAAAATCATGCAAAATTCCTATAATTCTGATATATCTTAGTGTACTTTATCGGTAATAATTATAATTGTTATGTTAAATTATTGTGTGCCACAGAGGTAACATTTTCTTGTCAATTGTGTCTTTAACTATGGCTACTCTAAAACTTTTTGTCATCCATAAACAATTGCTGTCTTGTTTTGGTCCTCTTTAGAAGGTGGTTTTATAATTAGCTATAAACCTCTAACAAGTGCTCTTGAATGCAAGTTTCTGATAACTTTGGAGACTGTGACATCAGAATAGAGGAAAAACATTCGGGACTCTTGAAGAGCTAAAATTTTCATTAATATCAAGCAGGACAGGAATTAACTGCATGAACTGAACTAATAGGAGACTGAAGTGACTTTTTTGACTTTTTGCTTAAAATGTTTCTAATCCTTTGTTTTGCTTTTCAGAGTCAAGGCAACTTTTCTTTTGAACTATTGACAGCTTTTAACAATTAAGTAAAGTATACTCCTATGAATAAACTTGGGAGCATATTTGTTTCTCTCTACCTGATTTCTCCAGAATTTGGAAACTATTTGTGAGTGTTCTTACCTTACGGCAATATACTGATTTGCATAAGTGCAATAAGAATCTGTTCTCTTTTGTAACAGGACACAATTGGAAAAATTGGTTATTTTACCAAGGCTGACTGGAATGATACATTCTCCTTTAAGAAATCAAACTTGACTATGGAGCTTATAATGCCCTTGGAAAACTGGCCTCATATTTTGTGTACACGGTCCCTGTACAGGGTTTCTGATCTGTGGTAAGTAAAGAAAGTCACTTTCTGACAGGCCAGGACCCCCAAGTTATCTTGGAACCTCAAGAGAAGAAGAATTCACCCAACTCATAGCTATTTGATGGTACAAATCCTTGGCTGGGCTCAGCTTTAAAAGGGTCTTATCTCAGAATCCTTCTATGGAACAAAGTTCCATCAAAGCCTATTTAAAAGGCCTATGTGCAAAATAATTATTCTTGTTGCACTGTATACAAATAATTAGGCCAAGCATAATAAATCAAACCAGTCCTACCATAATTTGTCTTTTAATAAAAATGGGAAACTGCAGAGAGAAAATTATGTTTCCAAAACTATAGTATACCTGTTATTAAATTCTAGTCTTGCCTGATATTTTTAAGTTTTTATTACTTTCTACAGTTTGGATTTAATTCTAATTTTTCTGGCTACAAGTCTTCAAAACAATGTTTTCAATTTTTTCCTTTTTCTTTTCCTTTTTCCCTATTTTTTCTATTGGAAATCACTAAAACCTAAGCTGTGCTTTCTTAAAGCCCTATGAACTGAAGACCAGACAACTTAAACTTCAGAAGAAAACAGCAGCAACCTATTTATATGTGTTGCTGTTGCATACTATTATGTTTCAGCAGGCACTGCCTCTAAGCCCCTGAAACAAAGAGCGCTACCGGGAACAAATTGACTTCTTCCACTCCAGCACTGCATTTGGTGCCACATAACAGCACCCCCCTCTCAGTAGGAAGTAGCCAGAAAGATTGTGATGCCCCATCTCCCTACAATTTTCATGATAAATCAATATACAAGCATGATAGAAATCATGCACAAATTGACAGAGGGGATTGTGGCAGGCCAGATCTCACTAACACAGGCCTCCATAACAGTACTGACTGAGTGGTTAAGTTAAATATTAAAAGCCAATGCCCTTAGACAAAGGCTGGGATGTAACAACAGCCCACCAAGAGTTTTGCCTAGGCCTTCCCTGGGCCTTAAAGCATGACAAACTAATGAAGAAATTTTTAACAGGACCCATTTAGGATTAAACAAGTTTTACTGTGGGTCTGAAGAAACTCCCCAGGCCTTCACAAACAAGTTTATTGGGGGTCTGAAGGAACTCCCCAAACCTCTATGATTTAGTAGGAGACAAGATAAGGGTAATCACCCCAGTACCTGGACCCTTTTATATTAGGTAAATTTACTGAGGCTTTAGAGGATGGTCTTCAGGACTCAGACCTTAGTTATAGATCAAAAGAAGTTAATCACTTATGTCTTTAGATGAATGCACTCTTCCATATAGACATATATCTTAGAAGGTATATAAGCTCTGGAAAACTTTGTAGTTTTGAATGATCTGGTGATAATTTCCAGGCCTTCTCCCTGTAACTGGTTGCAGGGAGCTCCTCCCCAGTTCATCTGCATCTTGTTATTGGGCCATGAGAAATAGCAGCCCAACCCTCAGTTTGGTCCAGGAACACTAAGATGAAGCAGAAGTGAGTTTGAGGGTAAGAATGTGAATTTCAGTAGTGACGTTATCTAGATTTCTATTTTGAACAAATGATCTCTGTAAACCTTATTCTCCTGAGGATAAAATAATTCTATACAATGCTACTAATATATTTTTAAAATATACACCAAAATTTTTCATTTTCACCTTATACTTGTTAACTCCAAATATCTGAGACAGGTCTCACTTAATTTAGAAAGTTTATTTTGCCAAGGTTGAGGATTCGCCCCCATGACACAGCCTCAGGAGGTCCTGATGACATGTGCCTAAGGTGGTCAGAGCACAGTTTGGTTTTATACATTTTAGGGAGACATGAGATATCAATCAACATATATAAGATGAACATTGGTTTGGTCCGGAAAAGGAGAGACAACTCAAAGCAAACGCGCGACAACAACTTGAAGCAGGGAGGGGGCTTCCAGGTAACAGGTAGATAAGAGACAAATAGTTACATTCTTTTGAGTTTCTGATTAGCCTCTCCAAAGGAGGCAATCAGATATGCATTTATCTCAGTGAGCAGAGGGGTGACTTTGAATAGAATGGGAGGCAGGTTGGCCCTAAGCAGTTCCCAGCTTGACTTTTCCCTTTAGCTTAGTGATTTTGGGGTACCGAGATTTATTTTCCTTTCATACACATTAAGTATGAAATGCAAAATCCTTAGAATGGTGTCAATAGTCCTTAAAATCTAGCCTTTGCTTATCTCTCTACTTATGTGTCCCTACTTATATCTCTCTACTTATGTATATTTCTCAAACCTCTATGTTCCATTCATGATAAACCACCTACGGTTCTTTGTATGTGCCAAGGTTCCTAATTTCTCTATGTTTACATACATTCCCTAGATCGACACACTCCCAATCTAGCCCATTTCGCTTTTTTATATTGCTAGCTTGACTCCATAGTCATTGAGTTGTAATCCCCTATTCACGCATGAAGGCTTTGCCCCTTTGTATGATACAAGGCATGCATCTAAATATCAAGCTTGTGGATGAAAATTGTAACATACTTTATTTAAAGAGTATTGCTAGTACCTACATTTGAATATATAATTATGCATAATTATATGTATTATTTTTCTGTGGCAATTTTTGTAGAGTAATAAAGGTCAAAATTTCTAGCTTCTCAGTCTTGTAGTGTCTCTCAACTCTTTTGTTCTACATTTACTGCTCTTCAATAAACTATTTCCAACAGTAACTTCTCTTTCTACTGACTCTCTTGACAGTGCTTTTGTTAATCAAGAACTTCCCCAGGTGACTATGAAATGAGATCCAGGCCACACCACTTTGTGCCACTCTATTTCTCTATAAGAAACAGAAAACACCATGACTAAAGCCAAGGGACTAGGCACAAGACAGCTTTCAGCTTATTTTTATCTTCAGGTGAGTCTGAAATTTGCCTTCACCTACTTTGGAGGTATGCGCAGAGAGTTCCCATTGAAAACACACAACATAGTAAAACAAGCCAGCAGCTCTTCCATTTCCTTCAGCCTGAGATCAAATGATTAAGCTTTAGAAATGTAGGAGATACTGTTGAGAAGCTTGAAGCAGATTTTGGCTTGAAACCAAGAGGTTGGAATATTATTTGTAACTAATAGTTAAGCAATATGATAATTTCCTTGAAGTCCTTTCCCCCATCTGTTGGAAACATTATTGAGTAGTCAGGGATGTTTGAGTCAGCTGAGTTTTACGGAAGATCTGCTATTAGTAGAGTTAAGCCAGAAAATTACATTCCAGATTTGAGACATTCATTATTCCAAATTTCCTGCCTGGTGAAAATCAGCACTTTTCTAGGTATGGAAAATAAGGAAAATCCAGAATTATTTATACTTCTTTTGTCAATTTGCATTTTTGAAATTTTTATAAATTATATAATTACTATGATATACTATAAAGCAGAGAACACATAAAATTGTATAATGAGACTATATAGGTATTATATAAACACAGAACTCATTAATTCCCATTGTTGTATGCATTCCTCTATAAGAGGACAAAGAAAAATCTTTGAAAATGTATGTACATGCATATCTTTATTTTTTTTTTATTTTTTTTTTTATTCTTTTTTTTATTTTATTTATTTTTTTTTTTTTTTGAGACGGAGTCTCGCTCTGTCGCCCAGGCTGGAGTGCAGTGGCGCGATCTCGGCTCACTGCAAGCTCCGCCTCCTGGGTTCACGCCATTCTCCTGCCTCAGCCTCCCGAGTAGCTGGGACTACAGGCGCCCGCTACCACGCCTGGCTAATTTTTTGTATTTTTAGTAGAGACGGGGTCTCGATCTCCTGACCTCGTGATCCGCCCGCCTCGGCCTCCCAAAGTGCTGGGATTACAGGCGTGAGCCACCGCGCCCGGCCAGCATGCATATCTTTCACTAAATATAATTAAGCCTTTGTGCATTACTTTGTAATATTACCTAAAATTTCAACTTTCCATTAAGATTCAGTCTCTATATATTTAATATATTTTTCTAATTAGGAGAAATAACATGAATAAACTTATACATAATCATAAGCCCAAATTATCTCTTATGCACTTTGATTTAATAAATATTCTAAATGACAAAGATGAAAGGAGATCATTGTGTTAGAACAGCATCTTCTCTTGGTTTCCTTTCCCACTTAGACTCTCATATCTGAACTTAACAATCTTTTTAATATGAAAACTACAGAAAACTTTCTTGTAAATTGTGTGTTTACAATATAATTCCTAACACATATGTCATTATTTAATTTTACTCTTTAGTAGCAATGTGCTTCACTACCAGACAAAGGAGATTTACTTGTAAACTAGAAATCAAAGCATTAGGTTGAAATGAAAGCCCCCTTAGTAAAGGAATTTTTAAGCAGCAGATTATTTACTGTCAAACTCTAAATACTACACAGGATGCTCAAGGGTGCCTAAAAACAAATTGTCCCCATTTCAGGTTTCACAATTAAAAGGTAAAGAGGGCTTCCAAACATCTGTCACTCCAGGAATATGAACGTGTTGAAAGTTACGACCCTGGAAGTGATCAGTTGCTGCATGTTAACAAAGCATGCCCCCAACTGCATACCTGGGATGAAAATGATGGCTGGCTTGGTGAGTCACTCAACCCCCGAGGACATTTTTGCAAATAGAGGCAAAATGTCAAGACCTTTCTCAAAAATTAAATCAGCAAGCCCCCTAGTTATCCTCCTGGCTCAAGCAGAGGGAGTAAATTCCTGTTCCCTGAAGCACCTTGTAAGAGCAACGCTGCCTGAGCACAGTTCAGAGATGCCTTTAGCATGAATGGAGGCTGGAAAAAAATAGCCTTTTCAGAATGTAAAGCAGGAAAAGTTTTCTCTTCCTCGAAACCTGTATGAAATACTTTTATTTAGAAAAATAATTACTCTGTAGGACCAATGCAAAGGAGATATATCAGTAATCCCTAAGCAAGTTCAAAATTTTAAGCAACAATTTCATTTACTTATAATGTCCTTTTTATAAAGACATATGAATATATGTTTCCATGGGTACATATTTCAGATACTGCAGTCTATTTTCAGCTTTATCTGTTTTAAACTTGGCTTTGCCAAAAGATTTTAATTACAACCATACCATACTTTCAGCCATGCTGTTCGGTTGAATCTTCCGCAATAATGAAGATGGTCCATATCTACATTGTCCAAAATGGTAGCCTCTATGTTTTGTGTACACAATATTGTGCATCATGTAAGAAGGGACTATGTATGCCCATGTATAATCAGTGAGAACTTGAAATGTGGCTAGCAAGCTGAATAACTAAATTTGTAATTTTAAAATTGTAATTAATTTAATTTAAAATAGCCATGTGTGGCTACTCTATTGGTATTGAATGGCAAAGCTATTTAGAACAACTCTCTCAAGCTTTAATATGTACCAGGGGATCCCATCAAAAAGAAAATTCAGATGTCATGTGTCTAAGGTGGATCCTGAAAGTTTGCATTTCTAGCAAGCTCCCAGGTGATGCTGATCCTCGTGCTCAACAAACTACACTTCAAGTAGCAAGGCTCTTAAAAAGTCATTCTCAAACTTTGCTCCACATTAAAATAACCTGGATAGCATTAAAACCCAAATGCCCACTCTGAACTCAATATCAAACAAATCAAGTGTTCTTGGTGAATCATAGTCATCAGTATGTTTTTTACATCTCTTTATGTGACTCCAACGTCCAGCTAAGTTTGAAAACTAGTGCTTTGAAAAAGTGCTTATTTTTACAGTGCATAAAAATCACCTGGGGATCTTGTTTACAGATTGGAATTCACTTGTGAAGTGGATCCTGAGGTTGTTGCATTTCTTGTAAGTTTCCAGGTAATTCCAAGGTTACTAGTCTGTTCTACACATTGCTACTCAAAGGATGTGTCATGGAACAAAATAATTGGCATCAACTGAGACCGTTTTAGAAATTTACAACTTAGGGCTCCACCCTAGACTAATTGAATCAGAATCTGTACTTGAACAGCATTCACAAGCAATTTGCACGTACATTATAATTAAAGGAGTACTGTCCTCAAAATCTTAACCATTTTTTGTTTATATTGAGTTTAAGAGTATTGGCAGGTTAGAATTTGAGCTCAGTGATCCCAGGTCCAGCAGTATCTCCATCACCAAGAACTTATTAGAAATGCAAATTCCACCTCATATGTCAGAATAATATTCTGGGGATAGGGCCCAGCAAGCTGTTTTACTGAACCCTTTTGGTGATTGCTCATGCATACTAAATTTTGAAAAATATTGTTCTGGCTTTTGTTGAGTTCAGAATCCTGAAAAAAAGTGCTTTATTAATATTTAATTTGTATCATTCTTGAAATGTATTTGAGACCCATACCAGTATGATGTCCTCTTCACTTGATCACGTCTGCAAAGTTTGTGTTTCCATGAGGTTCCGAGTGGACATGAATTTTAGGGGACACTATTCAACCTAGTACAACCTCTGTCCCCAACAAGGGGATAAAGGTTTGGAAAGAAGGCAAGCAAGGAACTCTTGTTAGGTATCTACTTATTCATTTAGTCTATCTTTCACAATTTACCCAATAACATTGTGAAGTAAGTAGTATATCTCCATTGGACAAATGAAAAAAGTCCAAAAACAAGGTTAAAAGACAGCAAGTAATGATTAAGGGCATATGTCCAATTTGTAGCAGAACTTGATTTAAACTAGATCTTGTCTGATTTTTAAAATTTTAATTTAATTTTATTAATTGACTAATAATAATTGTACATATCCATGGGGTGCATAGTGATGTTTTAATATATATAATGTATAGTGATCAGATCAGGGTAATTAACATGTCCATCATCTTAAACATTCATTATTTCTTTGTGTGGGGAACATTTAACATCCTCCTAGCTATTTGAAACTATACTGTTAACCGTAGTCATCCTACAGTGGTATAGAACACTGGAGTTCATTCCTCCTATTGATTTTTAACTAAAATCTATGCTCTTTCTATCCCACCATGATCCATATTGGCTCATAACAGACCTCCCTGCCCTACTACATCCCATAAGATAGAATACTATACTTCAATTGTATAAACTAAATATTAAAAGCATTGTTAAAGTGTTGAAAAGACAATACATTTATTCTTAGAGTCCTACATATATGCATTGCCTAACTTTCAGACACAGGGGACTTTCCAATTCTGCCTATTTATCATTTTAACAACTACCTTCTGATGTAATGTCAGGGGCATGACGAAACACAGCATTTGCCAAGGGTAAATCGTGTTCCCCTTGGCCTTATATATTATTCTCCTCCTTCCCTGATACCTACATATATGTACTAACTGGCCATTGATGTCATAGTGAGAGGTGACAGCGTGCTGGCAGTCCTCACAACCCTCGCTCACTCTCGGTGCCTCCTCTGCCTGGGCTCACACTTTGGCGGCACTTGAGGAGCCCTTCAGCCCACCGCTGCACTGTGGGAGCCCCTTTCTGGGCTGGCTAAGGCCGGAGCTGGCTCCCTCAGCTTGCAGGGAGGTGTGGAGGGAGAGGCGCGGGTGGGAACTGGGGCTACGCGTGGTGCTTGCGGGCCAGCGTGAGTTCCAGGTGGGCGTGGACTCGGCGGACCCCGCGCTTGGAGCGGCCGGCCGCCGGCCCCACCAGCCCCGGGCAGTGAGGGGCTTAGCACCTCGGCCAGCAGCTACTGTGCTCAATTTCTCGCCGGGCCTTAGCTGCCTTCAGGTGGGGCAGGGCTCGGGACCTGCAGCCTGCCATGCCTGAGCCTCCCCCGACTCCGTGGGCTCCTGTGCAGCCGGAGCCTCCCCGACGAGGGCCGCCCCCTGCTCCACGGCACCCAGTCCCATCGACCACACAAGGGCTGAGGAGTGCAGGCGCACGGTGCGGGACTGGCAGGCAGCTCCACCTGCAGCCCCAGTGCGGGATCCACTGGGTGAAGCCACCTGGGCTCCTGAGTCTGGTGGGGACGTAGAGAACCTTTATGTCTAGCTAAGGGATTGTAAATACACCAATCAGCACTCTGTATCTAGCACAAGGTTTCTAAATACCAATCAGCACCCTGTGTCTAGCTCAGGGTTTGTGAATGCACCAATCAACACTCTGTATCTAGCTACTCTGGTGGGGCCTTGGAGAACCTTTGTGTGGACACTTTGTATCTAACTAATCTGGTGGGGACGTGGAGAACCTTTGTGTCTAGCTCAGGGATTGTAAACGCACCAGTCAGCACCCTGTCAAAACAGACCATTCAGCTCTACCAATCAGCAGGATGTGGGTGGGGCCAGATAAGAGAATAAAAGCAGGCTGCCCAAGCCAGCAGTGGCAACCCGCTAGGGTCCCCTTCCACACTGTGGAAGCTTTGTTCTTTCACTCTTTGCAATAAATCTTGGTACTGCTCACTCTTTGGGTCCACACTGCTTTTATGAGCTGTAACACTGCGAAGGTCTGCAGCTTCACTCCTGAAGTCAGCGAGACCATGAGCCCACCGGGAGGAACGAACAACTCCAGACGCGCCACCTTAAGAGCTGTAACACTCACGGTAAAGGTCTGCAGCTTCCCTCCTGAGCCAGTGAGACCACGAACCCACCAGAAGGAAGAAACTCCGAACACATCCAAACATCAGAAGGAACAAACTCCAGATGTGCCACCTTAAGAGCTGTAACACTCACCGCGAGGGTCCGCGGCTTCATTCTTGAAGTCAGTGAGACCAAGAACCCACCAATTCTGGACATAATAGGTCATGCCGAGACACAATATATATGTTCTCTTTGTAGAAACTAACTAAGAAATTAACTACGTTAGTTTAGAAACTAACAAATTAACTGCTGCCATCAGAATTTACCATTATTTTCAACATTATTCTAAGCATTCCCTAATTAATGCTTTCTATGAGTGATGAGTGTTATGTCATTACGTTACCTCTATATACAGTGATATAGTTGGGAATATGTCCATACCCAAATTTTATGTTGAAATATAATCCTCAAAGTTGCAGATGGGGGCTAGTGGGAGGTGTTTGGGTTGTGAAGGTGAATCTCTCATGGCTTGGTGCTGTCCTCACCATAGTGAGTGAGTTCTCACGAGATCTGGTCATTGAAAAGTGTGTGGCTCTTCCCAATCCCCTTGATCCTGCTCTACCATGTGAGATGTTGGCTCCCCCTTTGCCTTCCGTCATGAGTAAAAGGTTCCTGAGGTCTCTCCAGAAGCTGGGCAGATGCCAGCACCATGCTTCCTATACAGCCTGGAGAACTGTGAGCCAATTAAACCTCTTTTCTTTATAAATTACCCAGTCTTAGGTATTTCTTTTTCCTTCCTCTTGGTAATGAGTGCACTCTTGCTCTGAGTTCACAGGAGAGTTGTTTAAAACTGTGTGGCACCTCCCCCTGCCTCACTCCTACTTTCGGTATGTGACATGCCTGCTCCCACTTCACTTTCTGTCATGAATAAAAGCTCCCTGGGGATTCCTCAGAAGCTGAGCAGATGCCAGCACTATGTTTGTACAGCCTGCAGAACTGTGAGCCAATTAAACTTATTTTCTTTATAAATTACCCAGTCTCAGGTGTTTCTTTATAACAATACATGAATGGTCTAACACAGACTATTGGTACTGAAGAGTGCGTTATTGCTTTAAAGATACCTGAAAATGTGGAAGTGGCTTTGGAACTGAGTATTAGGCAGAGGTCAGGAGAGTTTGGAGGGCTCAGAAGAAGACAGGAAGATGAAGGAAAGTTTAAAATTTCTTACAGACTGGTTAAATGGTTGTGACCAAAATGCTGATAATTATATGCACAGTGAAGTCCAGGCTGACAAGATCTCAGAAATGAGGACCTTACTGGAAACTGGAGCACATGTCACCCTCATTAAGCCTTTGCAAAGAACTCGTCTGCATTGTGTCCATGCCCTGGGGATTTGTGAAAGTTTGTACTTCCGAGTGATGACCTAAGGTATCTGGCAGAAGAAATTTCTAAGGAGCAAAACATCCAGGATGTGTTTTGGTTGCTTCTAACATCCTGTGCTCAGATATGGGAGTAAATAAATGACTTAAAGTTGGAATTTATATTTAAACAGGAGGCAGAGCATAAAAGTTGGGAAAATTTGCAGCCTAGCTATGTGGCAGAGAAAGTAAAAGCTTTTTTGGAAGAGGAATTCAAGCAGGCTGTGGAGCAACCACTTGTTAGGGATATTTGCATGCCTAAAAATGAGCCAAATGCTGACAGTCAAAATAATGGGAAAAAGGCCTCAAAGGCATTTTGCAGACCTTTTTGGCAGCCCCTCCCATCACAGGTCCAGAGGCCTAGGAGTAAAGAATGATTTAATGGACCAGGCCAAGGGTCCCACTGCCCTGTGCAGCCTCAGGACACTGCTCCCCACATCCCAGTCTATCCCGCTCCAGCCTTGGCTCAAAGGACCCCAGATACCGCTTGGTCTGCCACTTTGCACAGCACAAGCTGCCATAAGCCTCAGTGGCTTCCTCTTGGTGCTAAGCCTGAAGGTGCACAGAGTGCAAGAGTGGTGGGGGCTTGGCAGCCTCTGCCTAGATTTTGGAGGATGTACGGAAAAGTGTGGCTGCCCAGGCAGAAGACTGCCACAGGAGCAGAGCCCTGACAGAGAACCTCTACTAGGGCAGTGAAGTGGGGAAATGTGGGGATGGAGGCCATACACAGAGTCCATGTGGGAGTTCAGTCAGGCTGGTGGGAAAAATTTTAAAGATAGTTATAAGTAATAGATGCATACTTTCTTGGAAGGCCAGTGGGTTGGGGGTGGGGGGCGTTGCATAAGCTCCAGTAATAGATCTGGCTGAAGGCAGCCTAATCCTTACCTTGAGTAAATAACTTAGAGTAGATACATAGGAATGTAGAGGAGTTTATCTAAATAACTTCTTTACTCATGTGGTCCTAAAACTAACCTTTGATCATTCACTGGCAGGAAGGCTTTCTCGGGGGTGGTGGCGGGGTGGGGCTGAAAGTGACCAGATTAATTACCTTCTAATGATGTTGACACAAAGCCTTTGTCATTTAATGTGTGCTGAATAAACGCTGGCAGGGCCAGCGAGTCAGGGCCGTGGCTGCCAACTCTTTACAGCACTCTTCTTGGAGTCTGTAAGTGGCCCTCACCCTTAGCTGGACTGACAAGCCTAATATCTGTGTCAGTATATGTTATACATCCGTCATTGGGTCAGGGTCTGCAGGACAGACCCCCGCAAGTCCCTCACTGAAGCACTGCGTAGTGGAGCTGTGGAGGAAGAGGGTCACCATCTTCTAGAACCCAGAATGGTAGATACACCAGCAGCTTGCACCCTACACCTGGAAAAGCCACAGGCACTCAGCTCCAAACTGAGACCAGCCATGAGGGTGTACTCTGCAAAGCCACAGGGGCAGAGCTGCCCAAGGCCTTGGGAGCCCACCCCTTGCATCAGTGTGCCCTCGATGTGGGACATTATTTTGGAGCTTTAATATTTAATGACTGCCTTTCTAGGTTTCAGAATTTTGTGGGGCCTATGGCCCTTTACTTTTGGCCAATTTCTCCCTATTGGATGAGGAATGTTTTCCCAACCCAGGCACCCTCCATTGTATCTCAGAAGTAAATAACTTGGTTTTTTGTTTTTTATTTTATTTTACAAGCTCATAGATGTAAGGGACTTTATTAGAGCAGTGAAGAGGGGAAGATGAGACTTTGGACTTTGGACTTCTGAGTTAATGCTGAAACAAGACTTTGGGGGACTACTGGTAAGGCATAATTGCATTTTGCAATGTGAGGGGGACATGAGATTTGGGGGTGATAAGGGTGGAATGAAATAGTTAGATATTTGTTCCCACCCAAATCTCATGTTGAAATGTAACCCCCAATGCTGGAGTGGGGCCGGGTGGGAGGTATTTGGCTCGTGGAGGTGGATCCCTCATGGCTTGGTGCTATGCTCACCATAGTGAGTGAGTTCTCATGAAATCTGGTCATTTAAAAATGTTTGGCTCCTCCCCTGTCTCTTGCTGCTGCTCTGCCATGTGAGATGCTAACTCCCTCTTTGCCTTTTACCACGAGTTAAAAAACTTCCTGAGGCTTCTCCAGAATTGAGCAGATGCCAGTGCCATGCTTCGTGTACAGCCTACAGAACTATGAGCCAATAAAAGCTCTTTTATTTATAAATTACCCAGTCTCAAGTATTTCTTTATAGCAACGAAAGAATGGCATGATACATACAGCAACATACAAAATAATTTTAAGAGTGTTTGATCTTCAATGTTTTCTGATGATTTATCTAGTGATTACAAGGAACATCTAATTCTATATGAGCTATTTCAACATCTAATTCTATATGAGCTATTTCACTAGACTAGAAATATCAAGGAAAATTAAAAAGTACTCTGAATCCTGGAAATACATCATTTTAATCTAACTAAACAGTATAAGAAAAATATTTTAGTAATTTCTAAAATGAAAAATACAATCATCTGAAGATAGTTCTTTATTAAAAATAAAAAGTTTATTTGTGTGTATATATGTGTAACTTTCCTGTTTTAAAATTATCTGATATTTTTAATGAATAAGTCACCATTGTTTTTAAAGCATATTAAGGATATCAATTAATACTTTAAATAAAATAACTTAATTGGGTAGACTAAATTATTCTACAATAAAAACAAGTTCCAAACTTTGACTACTTACAAAATGCCATCCCCATCAAGCTACCAATAAATTTCTTCACAGAATTGGAGAAAACTACTTTAAAGTTCATATGGAACCAAAAAAGAGCCCGCATTGCCAAGTCAGTCCTAAGCCAAAAGAACAAAGCTGGAGGCATCACGCTACCTGACTTCAAACTGTACTACAAGGCTACAGTAACCAAAACAGCATGCTACTGGTACCAAAACAGAGATATAGACCAATGGAACAGAACAGAGCCCTCAGAAATAATGCCGCATATCTACAACTATCTGATCTTTGACAAATCTGAGAAAAACAAGCAATGGGGAAAGGATTCCCTATTTAATAAATGGTGCTGGGAAAACTGGCTAGCCATATGTAGAAAGCTGAAACTGGATCCCTTCCTTACACCTTATACAAAAATTAATTCAAGATGGATTAAAGACTTACATGTTAGACCTAAAACCATAAAAACCCTAAAAGAAAACCTAGGCAACACCATTGAGGACATAGGCATGGGCAAGGATTTCATGTCTAAAACACCAAAAGCAATGACAACAAAAGCCAAAATTGACAGATGGGATCTAATTAAACTAAAGAGCTTTTGCACAGCAAAAGAAACTACCATCGGAGTGAACAGGCAACCTACAGAATGGGAGAAAATTTTTGCAACCTACTCATCTGACAAAGGGCTAATATCCAGAATCTACAATGAACTCAAACAAATTTACAAGAAAAAAACAAACAACCCCATCAAAAAGTGGGCGAAGGACATGAATAGACACTTCTCAAAAGAAGACATTTATGCAGCTAAAAGACACATGAAAAAATGCTCATCATCACTGGCCATCAGAGAAATGCAAATCGAAACCACAATGAGATACCGTCTCACACCAGTTAGAATGGCGTTCATTAAAAAGTCAGGAAACAACAGGTGCTGGAGAGGATGTGGAGAAATAGGAACACTTTTACACTGTTGGTGGGACTGTAAACTAGTTCAACCATTGTGGAAGTCAGTGTGGCGATTCCTCAGGGATCTAGAACTAGAAATACAATTTGACCCAGCCATCCCATTATTGGGTACATACCCAAAGGATTATAAATCATGCTGCTATAAAGACACATGCACACATATGTTTATTGCGGCACTATTCACAATAGCAAAGACTTGGAACCAACCCAAATGTCCAACAATGATAGACTGGATTAAGAAAATGTGGCACATATACACCATGGAATACTATGCAGCCATAAAAAATGATGAGTTCATGTCCTTTGTAGGGACATGGATGAAGCTGGAAACCATCATTCTCAGCAAACTATCGCAAGGACAAAAAACCAAACACCGCATGTTCTCACTCATAGGTGGGAATTGAACAATGAGAACACATGGACACAGGAAGGGGAACATCACACACCTGGGACTGTTGTGGGGTAGGGGGAGGGATAGCATTAGGAAGTATATCTAATGCTAAATGACGAGTTAATGGGTGCAGCACACCAACATGGCACATGTATACATATGTAACAAACCTGCAAGTTGTGCACATGTACCCTAAAACTTAAAGTATAATAATAATAATAAAAAAGATGTAAATCTCACTCATCTTCCATGTGCATGGTCGATTGGCTGGAAAATTTGCACTACATTGTCTCAACTCAGGATCAATGCTTATGTAGTAGCCACTATCACAAACATTGGGGTTGTTTTGGCAAAGTTAAAGACAGAGCATCATGAATCTCATACTTCTCTTAAACTTCCTTAAGACTTCTGCTTCATAGTGGCACACATCATTTCCATTTATGTTTCATTAATTAGAACAAGTCACCTGGCTTCAACTTCAAGAGGGCAGATAAGTGCAATTCTGACAAATATCTGGAAAAAGAACCAGAAATATTGGTGTAAAGCTGACTGTCACAGTCTGCACTGCTGGTTAGCAAATATTAGGCTTCTTCTTCTTGCAGGCAAAATACACACATCTCCCTGTCACCTCTTCAAGAGAGAAATGTTCACAACCCCATCTTGTTACATATTTGTTCAAATTTCAGAACTTCTGAGTGATGTATGAGAATCTATACATAAGTTCAGGCATGATTACTCTTGACTCAGAGTCCTATGATCTATGAAATTAAAAAAAAACCAAACAAGTTATATGTTCCACACCAATAACTATATATATTCTATAAATATATGTATTTCATATATACATGAAACTGGGAAATTATAATCAGTTATCATGTGTATAAGGGAAGAATGAGAAACATAGAGTGTCCAGGGTTCATAGAAATTCTACACTATGACTGAGCAAATGTTAGGAAGGCCTGCTTTTCAAGTATAAAAGCTGGAGGAAGTGTGAGTTAGTAGAATGTTCTTTGACTGGGCCCTGATTATGCTATGGAGAAGGTATGCCCAGTTCATTGCTCTCCACCATCTCTGGCTACAAGCTCTGAAGATTTTTCCTTTTCCACTATCCAAAATGTATCCAGATGTATCCAAAGTGGAACATCTGAAATAAGCACTGAATAACATCTTTCCTTGGGGTCTTTGCGGTTTTCTGAGCCTGCTGCCACTAGAAAGTTGGTGGTATAAGGATTATTTTGAGTCTTAAAGTGTCATAAAGTTTTCTGTTTCTCTTGCGGTAACATTCTCTTAAGAAATTTAGTAGGCTTATTATGTATTTAATTATAGTTGGCTCCTTGATCTAAAAGCAATGCACACAGTCCATTTCTGCACATGCCTAGTAAATTTGTTCCATTTCTTTACTTTCTCATTTCCATATCACTCTTTCAACTTAATTGCTTATTTCTTGAGTTAGTCAAGTTCTAAAAGGAGAACCATAACTTTATTCTCTTTTTCTTGAGCCATTTTGTACAACTGAAAGTATTTACTGGGTGTAAACGCCTTAACTGAGTCTTCTCTCTGATAGACCTTAATCTGTTCAGAGATTTTAATAGTGAGGGTATACTCTAGGTTTGATTTTTGCCATAAGGCTGGATTTTAATTGGACTTTGTCTCACAAAGCCTTTCTCAGATATACATTTTACCAATTAGTGTTAAAAAGTAGTCCTCTTCTAATTTCAGAAATTCCCAAATTTCTAGACTCTCACTCTTTCCTTTTATTCCTGCATGTTAACCAGGCCATGTCTTTTTTTTTTTTGACATGAGTCTCACTCTGTTGCCCAGGCTGGAGTGCAGTGGCGAGGTCCTGGCTCACTGCAACCTCTGCCTCCCAGATTCAACCAATTCTCCTGTCTCAGCCTCCTGAGTAGCTGGGACTACAGGCGTGTGCCACCATGCCCAGCTAATCTTTTGTATTTTTCCTAGAGATGGAGTTTCACCGTGTTAGCCAGGATGGTCTCGATCTCCTGATCTTGTGATCTGCCCACCTCGGCCTCCCAAAGTGCTGGGATTACAGGCATGAGCCATCACGCCCAGCTGCCATGTCTTTTTTGTAGTACTTTATCAAATGTAGCAAAGAACATCCAATACACACTTGCATTCCTTTTCAATCTTTATTTCCTGATTTACAAATTTAGTAGGTGCACAATTTTTCTTCCAGATTCACTCTGTCAAAAACTTTATCAAATGACTAGCCACTGCACAACATGAATCACCATCTTTACAGCTTCTAATAACTGTTTCCTCACCACCCACTGCTCCTTGCCACCCACTGCTCTTCACCACCCACTGCTCGGTCCTTATTTTAAGATTTTGTTATGACAGCACCACATTTCTAGGTACAAATTTCTGTAGTAATCAAGGTAGATGATGTTATGTAGATTATCTTGCAGTTAAAAACATGTGAGTGGCTTATATCAAGGTATCTTTCTTGTTCCCACTATGCAGGAGAGCTATATGCTCTCTTCATTTTAGGGCCTAGGCAATGTTAGAGGGACAGAGGGAAATTGGTGATTCAGTCTGGAAATGACACATTATGTTCTACTCACATTTGTTAAGCCAAAGCATCTCACATGTTCAGTTACAAATTCATTCGTCAGGAGATTAAAAATTCTGAATTGCCAGAGAAACAAACATATTTTGTAAATTGAACCAAAGGCTATCACACCAAATAAATGAGTCAATTTGACTACCTAAAGTATTGGAAGGAAATTTGACATGAATCTACAATTTTACTAATGCTCCAAAATAACTTAAAATTTATATATTTCCCTAGTATTATTAGTATGTCATATCAAACTTATATTTCTAATGCATGCATTTTCTTATTATTTTCGGTATTATGGAAACAAAAAGTTTGTGACTGTAGTAACTATTGAGCATTTACTGTGATCCGAGTGCTGTTCTTTACACTTTATGCATGTTAATTCACCTTATTCTTACAATCACTCTATGAAGTAGGTGTTATTCTTCTTATTTCAGAGATGTAGAAATATTAGGTGTTATTGTTGTTATTTCAGATATGTAGAAATAGTAGTATGAAATACACATGCCCAAGAATTGCACTCACCACTTTATAATAGTGAAGATAGGCAAAACTCACATTTCCAGTCACTTTCTGGACAGCTCACCTGATTGTTCTACAAGTGCTCTGAGATTAACAGATTCTAAAACAACAATAATCACAATAGTCCTGATGATGATGATGATGATGATGATAATAATAATAAGAAGAAGAAGAAGAAGAAGAAGAAGAAGAAGAAGACAATGATGATGTCATCTCCCACCCCTAGCCAAGATTTTTTTTTTGTCTTCCTTATTCTGGATAATGTGTCAACACCATCAAAGTTAGGTAATGCAACTTTATTTTTGACTCTTACCTATTACCACTCCTCAACTCACCAATGTTCTACTGATTTTATCTTTTTAACTGTTCTTACATGTGCTTAAAACCACTCTATATCAGGTATTTACCTTCTCTATCTCAGTTTTTGCAATAGTCTTCTTTTACATATGGGATGACATTATAGAACCTCTAATGCATTTTTTATGGTGGGTAGCTGTTATTAAATATCGAAGGCTATCAAGTGAATTCTATTTGGTGCCAGAGTAGAATACTGCCTAATAAGTAAAAGCAATACAAATATTTAATATGTGACAAAACATAATATGGAAAGGAGTTTTCATCACTAGTGGTGTCAATAAAACTTTGAAACAAATGATAGGTAAATAAATTAGAGAAACTATGAAGAACAATCTCAAAACCTAGGATTCCACAACTCCAATGTGCCTGTAAGTGACCTACTTTTTTCTCCTTTTCACGTTTTGAAATAATATTTTATAGCATTAGTACAGATAGGGCACTCAGTTTGAGTTTTGCTTCTAAGTTTCCTAACTGGAAATTTGGTATCTCTGAAGTGATTCTTGTATCCTTCAAATTCTTCCACCTTTTGATTGAGCTCACAGTACCCTCTGCTATCATGTTCATTTTTAGTTCCTATTTTCCACCCCTTTTCACTCCTTATTTACTACTCACCCACTTACGTTGCAAAGGTTCAGGCATGTCAGAGCATAACTACTAGTGATTTTCCTGTAAACTATAGTGTCATCTCAGTATATGCTAAAAAAATGACAAATGTCAATACCTATTCATATGAAAGGGATTCAGCAAACTAGGAAGTTCTTTTAGGACTTTCTCTACCTAATATAGTTATAAAAAATTTCTATGAAAAATTTTACAACTAACATCATATTACTTGTGTAATACTGCATTTTTATCCCTAAAATCAGTAATAAAGATGTTCACTCCCACAACTTCTAGTCCACAATTTAATGAAAGATCTAATAAATGTGAAAAAAAAACAAGAAAAGGTTTAGAGATTAAAAATAAAGAAATAAAGCTATCTTAAATGTGTATAGTATGATTGTACACTTGAAAATTCTTAGGAATCTCCAAAAAGTTATTAGAACTGATTAGTAATCCAAACAAGATTGCAGGTTATAATGTCAATAAGCAAACATGAATTGCATTTTTATAAATAAGCAAAGAAAAATTGGAAATTTGAATTTTTGCATCTCAAAACATGAAATGTTTAGGTGAAGTCTAGAAATCTAGGTATAAGAGTTCTACATTGCATTAGTCTGTTCTTGCACTGATATGAAGAAATACCTGATATTGGGTAATTTTTAAATAAGAGAAATTTAATTGGATCATTGTTCTGCAGGCTGTACAGTAAGCATAGCGGCTTCTGCTTCTGTGGAGGCCTCAGAAAGCTTCCAATCATGTTGGAAGGCAAAGGGGAGCAAGGTGTCTAATATTTGGGAGCAGGAGCAAGAAAATGGGGGAGGTGCTACATAGTTTTAAACAACCATATGTAAGGAGAACGCACTCATCATGAGGTCAACACCAAGGGGTTATGTGAAACCATTCATGGGAAATCCACCTCCATGATCCCACCACCTCCCACCAGGTGCCACCTCCAACACTGGGCATTACAACTTGACATGAGATTTGGTGGTGACACAGATCCAAACCATATCATACATTAAAGAGAAATGAGCTATAAAGCCATATAAAGACATGAAGGAAACTTAAATGCATTACTAAGTGAAAGAGCCAATCAGAAAAGGCTACATTCTATATGATTCCAACTATATGACAATCTGGAAGGGGCAAAACTATCATGACAGTAAAAAGATCAGTGATTCTAAGAGGTTGAGGGGAGGAAGAGATGAATAGGTAGAACACCAAGGATTTTTTGACAGTGAAAATATTCTGTGTGATATTACAATAATGGCTATACATTTATCAAAATACATATACACTTTATACATTTATGTATAATGAATATATATAATACACTTATCAAAACCCATACAATGTGTATAATGAATATCCATTATACACTTATCAAAACCCATACAATGTACACTCCCAAGAGTGAACTCTGGTGTGAATGATGTGCTTTGGTGATAAAGATGTGTCAAGGTAGGTTTGTCGGTTGTAACAAATATATCACTGTGGTGCAATGATTGTAACAAATGTACCACTGTGGTGCAGTGTAACAAATGTATACTGTGGTGTTGATAGTGGGGGAGGTTATGTGAGGAGAGGGAGTATATTTAAACTATTTCTACCTTCCAGTCAATTTTACTGTGAACCTAAAATTACTCTAAGAAAGAGGGTTTATATATCACACTTTACTTAGAGAAAATAAAAACAATAACTAATCAGATAGTGTACCATACTCACAGATTTGAAGATTCAATCTTGTTAATATGTTGTTTCTACACAAATTTATTTACAGATTTACTTAAATTTCAACCAAAGTCACAGCAGGAAGGACCTTTGTTGAAATGGACAAGCTAATAGGACAATATATGTAGAAATGCAAAGAAACTCAAATAGACAAAATCATTTGAAAAATAACAAAGTTGGAAGATTTAGACTACTTGATGTGAAAACTGTAAATCAGTAACAATTAAAACAGAATTGTTTTGGCATGAGGACAGACGTAAATCAACGGAATAGGATATGTGCAATTGATTTTCATCTAATATGCCTTGGTGTTTCAATGAGGAAAGGATTATCTTCTCAACAAATGGTGTTGGAACAACCGGATAACCATATGGAAAAATATAAACTATGACTCTTATCTTGTACTTTACAGTAACTTGAAATAGATCACATACATTGAGGTAATAGTTAAAACCAAAAAACTTCTGGAATTAACCATAGGAGAATATCTTTGCACCCCTGGGGTATGCAAACATTTCTTAAGATAGAACACAAAAAAAATCACAAATCATAAAAAATTGTTTTTTGCTGTAAAAATAAACAAAATATAAGATTTACCATTTTAATCATTTTTAGTGCACAGTTCAGTTCAGTCACATGAAGTTCATTCATGTTGTTAGGAACTACCACCAATATCCATCTCTAGAAATTTTTCACCATCCCAAACTGAAACTTTGTACTTATTAAATAATAATTCTCCAATCTCTTCTCTCTCTAGGCTCTGGTAATGGCTATTCTTTCTGTCTTCATTTATTTAACTATCTAGGTACTTAATGTAAGTCAAACCATAAACATTTTGTTCTTTTGCATTTGTTGATTTCACTTAGTATAATGTTTTCAAGGGTTATACGTGCAGCATGCATCAAAATTTTATTTCTATTTAAGGCTGAATAATATTCCATTGCATACATATGCCACAATGATTTTCTTAATCTATTTAAAAAATACAATGATGTGCATTTGGGTCTTTTTACCTTTTGACTATTGTAAATAAGGCTGCTATGAACATTGGTGTACAAACATCTTAGTCTTTGCTTTCAATTTACTTTTTTTTTTAAGATATATACATAGAAGTGGAGGAGATTGCTTCTGTTGGCCTGGAGGTTTTAGAGAAATCTGTGAGTGTAACATTCTCAGGCTCATCTACCATATGCCTCCATTCCAGATTTTAGGACCCCATTTTTTTTAATCAGGGTCCTAATTTTGTCATAGGATACTGTCAATGCTGCATATTTCATCTTTCTTTTGTAGTTGTGCTACAAAAGACTCCAACCAACTCCTAGACCTGATTTTTAAAAAGAATAATACATAGTATAGACATTTTCAACTACTTATAAGGATAGATAAAATAATAAAATGAGGGACTATGCACTCATTGTCCAGGTTCAAAAATCAATGCTTCACAAATCTTGCTTTAACCATATCCCTACTGACTCCCATCACCCAATCATTTTGTGGCAAATCTGTGCCATAGTTATTTCATTGTAGATATATACATATTTGTTTCCATTATTGTGTTAGTCATGGTTCTCCAGAGAGACAGAACCAACTAGAGACATATATAGACAGACAGAGAGAGAGAGACAGAGAGAGAGAGAGATAGACATAGATATAGATGTAACCAAAGTACCTTTATAACACCAAAAAATTAGTAACAATTCCTTAAAACCATCAAATATCCAGTCAGTGTTTATTATATTTTTTATAATATCTTATAATTGGTTGTGTATGTGTGTGTGTTTAACAGCTTGTTTGTAACAAGATCTTACCCTGTCTGCCTCACAGCTATTGGGAATATAAGGTTCTCTGGCTTTTATAGCATGCTACGCATTGTCAGTTGGCTTCCCTAAAGCTTTTATTTCGTTTTTGCTAGGCTTTAAATGTTAGTAACAGAAGCCAGCCTACACCACAACCATTCAAAATTATCTTTGGCTTCATACAATTCAATTGCTATAGCAACCATGTATTTCAAAATCTCACCATCAAACTACAATTCATTCTAATTAACCAAAGGATTTTGTTTTTTTTTTTAAAGAGACTTTTTGATTTTTGATGCCATTGCATGACATTACTACCTCACCTATCACCAGAAAAGGAATCCCTATTGGCATTAATGTGATGATTAATCCAACTCCAAAAATTCACCTAAAAGAGGAAGGATATGTCTGTTTTCTGGGGTCCCTCCCGATATCAACCATCAGTCTGGATTCTCCAAAAAAGAAAAGCCTGAGAGAAATATTACCTGCAACTAGTTTATTAGGGATTGCAATCCTAGGGGAGCAAGAGTAAGATAAATAAAGACTGAGATGGGGAAGAGATAATATGAGGATTACCAAACTGGCTTCTACTTGGCATCAGGTATAACTGGTTATTAATCTCAATGAACAGCTTTGTGAAAAGTCTTATGAACTACTGAGACCCAGGAAAGTTTGTTGGAGGGAAGAGTAGTGAACATTTCATTTATTGGCTTCTAATTCATAGTTTAAAGCTAAAGTTTCAACTCTCCCATATTTTTTGTTATTTTTTTCTTTTATCCCACACCTTAGTAGCAACAGGGAAGTTCTAGGTGGAAGGCCAGAGGCACAATGTAAAAGAATGAGGCAAGGTCATGTTAGGTTGTGGCTGCATATATCACACAGAATTGATAACTTCAGCAGTGGTTGCTGTGCGTATCAGAGGAAGACTTGAAACCAGTAGCCAAGAGCTACAGAAATAGGGGAAATCAAGACAATCTGATGTGGCACGTAAGAGCTGTTTAATATGGAGCAGTGTCACAAATCCTAACCACTCGGTACTTCATTGTACATATAAACTGTGACTTTTCAAGTTAAAGCTAATATAAGTCACTAGTCAAAATTGTTCTAAGAGTGTAAATCTGTACTGTGGAATGTGAATTATTGAACCAAAATTCTCCATCCCTAGCAAGTTTGAGGATGCCTTTTGAAGTAGACAATGGCAGCAGTTCACTTACATTAAAGTTACCAAGAACAAATAAAATGTGTGGCAGTGAAGGGTGACTACACTAACTGTCTGAAAGTTCTATATTCATTACATGATAGAGGATCAAAGAGATATAGGTGCATTTTCTTACTTGCAACATACATAAATTAATTGAAATATTGTATTTTCTGGCCAGATGTGGTGGCTCACACCTGCAATCCCAGCAATTTGAGAGGCTGAGGCAGGTGGATCACTTGCACCCAGGAGTTCGAGACCAGCATGGGCAACATAGCGAGATCCTGTCTCCACTAAAAAATACAAAAATTAGCTGGGCATGGTGGTATGCACCTGTAGTCCCAGCTACCTGGGAGGTTGAGGCGGGAGAATTCCTTGAGCCCAGGAGGCAGAGGTTGCAGTGAGCCCAGATCACGCCACTGTACTCCAGCCTGGGCAACAGAGCAAGACTCTGTCTCAAAAAAAAAATTTGGGATTTTCTAAAAGGAAAGGACACATTTAAAATATTAAATGACAAAAGATACTGCTCAAGTATTGCAGATGAATTTTTTAGAGATCCTTCGGTGGTAACATTTGTGGTAACCATAAAATACTTACCACCAGGGAAATTACTACTTCAGGCAGGTTGGAAGAGTGAAGTAAACAGCAGACTTGTTCCTAGCTGAGAAGGTGAAAAGGGAAAGAACCAATAGCTCTTTGCTAAGAGTCAAGGATGTCTCTAAGTATCTTAAAACTATTACATAACATACCTAGATTAGATGTTAATTTATTACCGTGAGTCCTGCTAAGTACTTCAGCACTTAGTGATAATAGGATGAAAAACATGGATGTCATCAACATACTGCTCTTTGCGTTGAAAATGTTAGCTGATGACTCAACTCATTTGGTAGGGGAGAAGAGTTTAGCATGTATCTAGATCCAGTAGTTTGAATGGATGACAGCAAAGAATAAATCCAGATCAAATGCCTGGAGACTTCACAGAGATGAAAGTATCTAGAAATAGAGTTATTAGACTTCATCTTATTAGACTATGACTTCCAGAATTTAGAGAATATAATTGATGACATGCTTACTTGACTTCCTATGCATAAGCTTATTTCACTAAGGACCATAAAGTATCCACCATTGTGTCATTCTGGGTAATATACCATTCACTATATAGCTTTAGTGGTAGAAATCAATATGATCAAGGATTAGATTATGAGAGTTGTTTTCTGTGGGAAGCACACAGACCTCTAGAATGTAGAAAAGCAGATTTGCTTCTTATCACCCACAAATAAGTACTTTCATTAGAAAATATTAACTTAATTTTACTAGTTATTTTATGCTATTGCCACTAAACCGAGGAAATTTTTCAGACAATGGGTTGAATTGTTACTACATGCCTAAAATCCTATGAGGATTTTCACCATTGTTAGTCACAGTTCTCCACAGAGACAGAACCAACAAGATATCTGTCTATCTGTCTATCTATCTATCTATCTATCTATCTATCCATCTATCTGTCTATTTAAATACAGATATAAGAGGGGATTTATTAGGGGAATTGTCTCATGTAATTATGGAGGCTTAGAAGTCCCATGACAGGCCATCTTCATGTTGGTAACATGGCTCAGTTCAAGTCCAAAAGCCTCATAACCAGGGAAGCCAATGGTATAATTCTTAGTCCAAGGCCAAAGCCTGATAACCTGGGGGCCTCTAGAGTAAACTTTGGAGTCCCAAATCTGGAGAGCCTGGAGTTCTCATGTCCAAGGGCAAAAGAAGGAAAGCGTGCCAGCTCCAGGAGAGAGAGAGAGAGAGAAACCAAGTTGCCTTTTCCTCTGTTTTTGTTCTATCTGGGTCCCCAGCTGATTGGATGGTGCCTAGACACATTGAAGGCAGATCTTCCCCACTTAGTCCACTCATACTCACATACTAATCTCCTCTAGAAACAAGCTCAAAGACACATTCAAAAATAATGCTTTATCAATTCTCTAGATATTTCTTAATCCAGTCAAGTTGACACTTAAAATTAACCACCACAATTGTTTTTTCCTTATTTCATAATCTTTGGCAAGAAACTAGGTTGCCTATTAATTTCTTTTTAGGTATGCATTAATTTCCTTTTAGGTATATCAAATAAACTCACTCCATATGCAGCTAAACTTATATACATGTCGAGGCTGTAAATTGTCTAGCCATATGCCACTCAGTGGCAGCATAGAGATTCTGAAACATGGCAGAGTCTTTCAATAGCACAACAACTCTGAAGATTCTTTGTAGGAGCATAATAAATAATACTTAAAATCAACCTTCTGTTTTAAGGGTGGAAGAGTAGAAATATGACATACCTGTATACCAAAAGTGAGGTGAATGTGGGTTAGGGGAATTTAAGATGATTCACAAAGCCACTTTATCGTTCATATGGTAAGTTAATGGGAAAATCACCCCCCATTTTCTAATGCAGAGGGAGCCTGTCCAGATGAAGTGTAGAAATAGCCCTTCAAGCTGAAATACTAGATTCCTCACTATAAACTCGCAGGACACTAAAAGGAAATGTCAAGCAGTGAATCACAGTAGGGAAGTGGAGACTACAATATACTGTAGCCCCAGTTCCTCAAATTTGCTATTAAATAAAGTTACAGATCACTTTCTATTATATCAGTTGGAATTCAAGTGTAATCATACCATATGGTAAAATATTCTGATTCCTTATGAGAAGGTTCACATGGGAAAGATTTAAAAGGAGTTCCAATTTGTCCTGGAATGTCTTCCTGGAATAATAGTAATAAATATTTTGATATAAGTGTCAGAAATTTCCTCAGAAGTGGGTCTAGAATTGAATCTTTCGTTCTCTTTATTGCTCATCACTAAACGACCTTTTCCAATCTGAGTATATATTAATCTTTCATCATTTAACAGAACTCTTGTCTACATTTTTAGTGTATTTTCTTCTGTCTGAGTTTTGTTATTTTGGTAGAAAATTTCATTGGATGGGTTCTGGTGTGTCTAGTTTTATCCTGTCACTTAACATTTTTCTCATATTTCTCACTCCTTTCTTATTTTCTCCTGAATTTTGAAATATCCCCCAGCTCATAAATTATGTTCTCTGAAATCATCCTTTCTACAAACTAGCCTGTAATTTTGCTTTCTAACTTGAGAAATCTTGATTTAAATTTAGTTACATTTAATAATTTTATCTTCAATATCTGCTTGTATTATTCTGAAAATATGCATTCTATTTATTTTAAATCTGTTATGTTTTCCGTTTTAACTCTCTTGAATTGTGAGTTTGTTCTTCTTTTTGATGAATTTGGCACTTCTCTTCCATGCAACTGGTTTTCCTCAAATGCATGGCAATACCTGGTTTTCTCTTCATACTGTAGATGAGATTCTAGATTTCACAATATTTATAGCTTGCAAATGTCTCTTCAGCACAAGCAAAAATATTAATCTGGCATTGTTTAGATTCTGAGTACAGAAGCCCTAATTCTGGAAGATTCATGGTAGAAGAAACTATGTCTAAGCAGTTTATTCCAAATGTTGTAATTTACCTTTTCTTGTGGTACCTGCAAGTTACCAAAACATTTCCTATGTATCCTGCCTTTATGACCACTATGTCAATACTTAGGATCACAAAGCCCTGCCTGAGAAAACTGTATTCTACCAACAACATTGAGAGCAGGGCCTTTGCAAATGTTATGGATGCATTATATGCCATGGAATATTTGCCATGAAATTGGATCTAATCTAGAATTGTCACTTATAATTTAAAATTGTAAATCACTTTATCATCAAATTAATTTAATTAATTATGTTTTGTTTATGGAACTATGGTAAGAAGGGGCATTTGATGCATTTTTTGATATAATGGTGAATAAGAAAGATGAGGTTTCTACTCTTTCTTGGTTGATAGTCTAGCAGAAGATCACAAAATACCTTATAAAATAATGCAATTACTGCTACAATTGAAGTAGCACTGATGCAGAACACAGCAGGCGTGATAAATTCAGTCTGAGCATGCAAAGGAAGACTTCCTGGGAGTAGTCAAATCTAAGGTGGGATCTGAAAGATAACTAGAAATTATCCAAATGAAGTTGAGAGAAAAATTATTCCAGGTGTAAAGAATAGCACATATAATGGCACAGAAGGAAGATAAAATATGGCACCTTCAAAGTACTGTAAAAGATTGAGTATGGTTCAGAGCATGGTATACAATGTACAAAGTGGAAAGGGATGACGATAGAGAGGTAAGCGGGTTAATAGCCTGGAGGACCAACTATGCCATGTTAAAGGATTTGGCCTTGATTTTAGATATATAGTTTTAAAGTTTTAAGAAAGGGGTTAATGTGGTCAGATTTTCAATTTAGAAAGCTGAGTCTGGTTACATTGTAAAAAGTAGAATGTTGGGAGGAAAACTGGAGGCAGGGATAGTGATCAAGTGTTTCACAGTGCTTAGGTATGTGATATCAGTGGCCTTGACATGAATTTAATAAGAACAATAAAACTTCATTATTGTTGGGCTGTAAGAGATTGGTAAAAATGTCAAGACAAACACACAGGTTTGTGGCATTGGTAAGTTGGTGGAAGTTGATTCCATCTCTTAGAATTCGAAGTATAGAAAAAAGAGCTCTCATCCCCACATTATTTTGGGGCAGTGAAGATGACTTTAGTTTAGAATATGTTATGTTGAATTTACCATAAGATATCTATGTTTATATTTCCAGTAGGCAACTGATCTATGTTAGAATCCTGGAAGAAAATAGGAAGCACCTCCTTAATGAATAATTAAGAAGATTTTATTGTAGGACTGCTATAAAATATAGGTAGTGCTTAAGGAAAACCAAAAGATTGATGAAGCACTTGATGCTAGTAACAGATGGAAGCCTTTACTTAGGCCTAAGGTAGAAAGGCGAATGAGCAGTAACCAGGATTTGAGAAGACATATAGCTATAGAAGAGCATCACAGGAAAAAAGACACTGCCTTCAGTAAAAGAAAAAAACACAGTCAAGTTGTGTTTTGTCAGGAAGAGAGTCAGTGGAATACATACCCTGACCCCTTTCTTTCCTTTTGCCCTTCCATTTTAAACTAGAATTTTCACTTGAAGTAACCCAATTAAAAGAAAAGGGCAAGAGAATCCAGTCCATTAGAGGCTAGCTTCTTTAGTCACAAATCAGAGTAAAGTAGTGGATAATGGAATGGATAAATGAAGGGAGAATATCCAATACAGGATTTGAATGTATTGTCTGAATTAGAGACAGGATGTTTGGGAGTTATCAGCTACATAGATGATAATTTCATCGTGTGTGGTTGGTGAGCTCATTTACGGAAGTTTTATAGTGAAAACAGAATAAAACTCATATTAGATCTCTAAGTCATGGATCAACAAACTTTTTCTGTAAAGGGTCAGATAGAAAATATTATAGGGTTTGCAGACTATATGGTCTCTGTCACAACTACTCAACCCAAGTATTGTGGCATGAAAGCAACCATAGGCAGTATGTGAATGATCAGTTATGGCTATGTTCTAATAAAACTTTAGTTCCAAAAAAAGGCAGAGGTCTGGATTTGGCCTGCAGCCCATGTTTGCTGACCACTGGTCTAAAGGAAACCACAGTTTAAGGGATGAGCAGAATAGAAGGAATTATCAAAGAACACCAAGAAGAATGTGATAGAGTTGTTAGAGTAAAACCAGGAAGATCAAGTGTTATAAAGTCAAGGGAGTGTTTAAAGGACAAGTGAATGTCTCATTATATTGAGGGAAACAGGGAATTTCAGTCAGAAAAAAACTAATAAATTTATACTGGATTTAAGGGTAGCAAGATGATTGGTAATATCATTTTCTGTTGCATTCCAGAAGTTAGATTTCACTGAGTTGAAAAAATGAAGTGAAAGCAAAATCACTGAGTGTAGCTGTCTTTTAAATTGTTTGGTTGTAAAGGGAAGAGAAAAGGTGCTAATAATTAGAGGTGATGATAGAGCTGAAAACTATATTTTAAGATAAAACAGAATAAAATATATTTAAATGTGAATAGGAAGAAACTAATATAAAGGTAATAGTAGAAAACACATGATATACGTGAAAAAGAAGGGATAATTGACAAAGGATAAATGCAGGAAAGAATGGGCCAAGATGGAAATTCAGTTTTTGAGAGGAAAGGAATATGTTTTTTGTTATAATCACAGAGAAGGAGATTATAGTGGGATTTGAGGCTTTTATCTATTTTCTATTCCTACATCACAAATAATTCCCCCATATTGTCAAGGATTCATTAATTACACTTCTATAGTTTGGTAGGGCTCACTTGGTTAGTTCTTGTATATTGGCCTGAGATCATTCATGTGGTAGCAATTATCCAGAGACTAAAATGGGGCTGGACAATTAAAATTGCTTCACTTACGTCTGGCAATTGGGGCATGTAACCAAGACCTCTAGCTCACTTTCCTCTTCAGCAGTATAGCCATGGCTATTCAAAACCTAAGAGGGTGAAAATTGAAGCTTCAAGGTCTCTTAAAGCCAAGCCTCAGAGTTTGCTTAGTGTCCCTTCTATCACGTTCTTCTCATAAAGAAAGTCATAGGGACAGCCCAGATTCAAAGACATAGCAAGTATACACTGCCACTTAGTGGGAGGAGTGGAAATGTTCCATTGACAGAGGGCAAGTAGGATGGGTGAGGTTGTTTCTAGAATCTTTCAAACCACCTCCCACAAGGCTTTATAAAACCCATTCATTTTAAAACATTCCAATTCCTCTTCCTGTTCTCAAAACAATGGACTGATTAGAACCAGAGTGTTGAAAGTATGTAGTATAAGGCATAATCACTATTAGGTAGGATTAAGAAGAATCTTTATTTTATTCAGATCTTCCTGATAATATATAAAAAATAAACAAAAGAAGCTGGAATACATTAGATTATATAATCCTTAACAAATTAAAAAAATGTGAAAATGCTTCTTTACAGCTGTTTCAAACACTTTTAAAATCCAAGATATGATATGACAATTCTCTGATTTTTGTCTTACAATTTCTATTAATAACTTTCTTTCTACTTTGTGCTAAAAAAAAAAAAAGGATTAAAATTTAAAATTTGGTCCCATTGAAACCCACATCCAAAGGGTTGAGATAGGACAAAAGTGCTTTGGAATTATTTGGTATATTCAGTTGATTTCTTGAAATGTGATTGAAAAGTGGCACAAACAATTCTTAACCATCAGAATTTAGATTGATCCCTTTATCTGAATAGAGTCTCAGTGGGTGAAAATCACTGAAATTGTAGAATATCTGAAACAACTTCAATCCATCACACTACAAAATATCATCAGTGTGCTGAAAGGAATACAAGATAATGTTTACTTGCCTATTTTTGATTCAAAAGTTTTCACTCCAAAAACTAATAAGTGGCTCCAGGTTTCTGAGTTGACATATTTCTTTAAAACTACTTTTATAAAATTTCTCCTCTATTCAATAATTCTGAAGTGCTGGGTTCAGCATTGATGATTTTTGAGAATGCTTTTATTTTCTGTCCCTCACTTTTAGTATTTTTAGTGTCTTTTTCTTCCTTGCCTTCCTCTGTTCACTGATTCACTGATTCCCTCTTTTGGGTCTATAGATAAAAGGGAATATATATATATATATATATATATATATATATATATAGTATGTATGTATATAGGTTTGAATGTACTTATTTGTAAATGCATGAATATGAGATTTTTATGCCTAAGCTCATTTTAATCCAAATGTGTATTAATATAGGAGGGGACTACTCTTAATTCTAAATGGAAATTGAGCTGTGCCCAGACAGGTCTACAAAGGTGGTGGACTGCACATCACCAGGAGACAATTTGTGAAATGAGAATTCCAGCCTAAATGAGAACAAGGAAAAAAGTGCTTCACTTTTTATGGGGGAACTTGAGGTGGAGCACATTGGAAAAGCCAATGGTGACCTCTCTGTCATTGTTTTATTATCCTGGGATACATCAACTCCTATATAAGCCAATTGAGACTAAAATCTAGGCAGAACGTACAGGTGCTTTTTCGACCAGGGACCCTGTAAGAAATGGGAGCCCATGCAGCAGAGATCTAGCAGGAGGATGATCATATGTCCTATTTTGCCCTGCACAGTCGCGCATTATTCTATTGACCTGATGTCCCAATTGTTTAGCACTCCCATTTACCACAGCTTTGACAATAAACTGTATGATCACTATACCTAGTACCTATGTGATGAAGTAGTGGGGGAAAAGAGACACTCTTCCTGATAAAGAAAACAAAACAATGTTTGGATTCAACAAGTTTGTATGCCTGTGAGGATATCAACTGTGTCTTTTTCACCATATCAGTCTTGGCAGTGGTGTCTTGCTACCTCCAAGTGTCTTCTATTGTAATCATCATCAAGAAAGTAGTCCAGAGCAGAACATGAGCCATATGAGACACCACTTTGGACCCCAACACTGGGTAAGACTTTGAGTGGCTTGAGTAACCAGCATAGGCAAGTAAGAGGAAGAATAAAATGTAATCAATCATATTAATATTTCCTTTATTTATATATATGGCCTGGAGAACTTTGAGAGAATTAGGCTATACTTATATAGCTTGCAAGTGAGTACAGAAGGTCTCTGACTTATGATGTCTCCACATAATTTTTTGACTTTATGATGATGTGAAAGTGATACACATTTCGTAGAAACTGCACTTCGAGTACCCATAAAACCGTTCTGTTTTTCACTTTCTGTATAATATTCAATAAATTACTGGAGATATTCAACACTTTATATTGTAAAATAGGCATTGTGTTAGATGATTTTGCCCAACTGTAGGCTAATGTAAATGTTCTGAGCATATTTAAGGTAGGCTAGACTAAGCTATAATATTCAGCAAGTTAGGTGTGTTAAATGCATTTTCAATTTACGATATTTTCAATTTATGATGGCTTTATCAAGATGTAACCCCATCATAAGTCAAGGAGCATCTGCATTTATAAACTTAATTGCCAAGCAATGTCTGATTTATGCAGGACTTGATATTGAGCCTATTAGCAGATATTATCTGTATGTTACTTCTCAATAAAATTTTTCTGTGATAAGCAAATAGATAGCTTCTTATTTGGGCCGAAGATTGTGTAATTTCCCTATTTGAAGTCATAGATAACTGATTAAATTATACAAATAAATCATTGTTCATAGTGTGGTTTGGGCCATCAGGTCATTAGGAATTTTGAAAGAAATTGAGGTTAGCTGCTACTAGGTAAATTTACACATATAGGCAGTACAAACACCTAGACATGAACAGAGCTATCCCATGATCATAACAAACTTCGAAAATGTAACTCCTTTGTTAAAATACTGGCTTTCTTCAAAAATGATTCTTAAATTGGGTGAGCTATACTGGCAAGGATCATTTATGTCCCTGATACACTGTGCATGTATACAAATGTGTGGTGCAAAAATAGCTTGTAAACGTCATTGTATAAATATTTTGTGCACATATTGCTAAATATTTTAAAAATCACATAATTTTTTTCAACCTTAGCCTTCCTTTTTTTGCACGCTTCTAGTTTTTTTTCTTTTATCCAGTATTGTAATGTCCCACTCTTGCATTGACCTTAGGTATTCTCTCACCAAAATCTAATGTCCATTTGTTCAACTAATTGGTTACATTCTTTTTAAATGAGTTTCAATTTGTAGCTTTTACTATTGGATTGCAGCTTAAGCAATTTATCTGCAATGATGAAATTAAAGACTTGATTTTGACAAAAGCACTTTATTGTCAGCGATGAAGTCTGCTAAATTGCTTCAATGCAGGAATTCTCTGTGTAGAGCCTCACATTGTGGTTGAGCTGCCAGGCTCAATTTGTTTATAGATAAATGGCATAATTTGGGAAGTGGTGGTTTAGTTCAATTTGAGGTTGAAATCAGGTTTTCAGGACTGAATATATTTTATTCTCCTAGTCATGAAAATTGAGATTAAAGGTAGAAAAACTTTGGCCAGGGGTTAGCCTCACTGAACTACAAAGAGGAAGCTGGTTGCTAAGAGAAGTAACTCAGGCTAAGCCACTCTTATATTTTGCTTGGCCAGTTTAAAAAACATAGGCCAATGTGATTAATTCAGATTTTCCACAGATGATTCATCCTCTGCCTAGGAACATTATGATCTAGGCTTTTTTTATTTTATTATTATTATTTTTTTTTTTTTGAGGCAGGATCTCTCACGGTGGCACAGGCTGGAAAGCAGTGGTGCACTCGTGGCTCACTGCAGCCTAGAACTCCTGGGCTCAAAAGAACTTCTCACCTCAGCCTCCAGAGTAACTGGGACTATAGGTGCATGCTACCATGCCTAACTCTTGGTCTCAAGTGATCCTCTTGCCTTGGCCTCCTGAAGTGTTAGGATTACAGGTGTAAATCACCTCACCTGGCCTAGGCAACGCTTATTATTGAAGTGGAATTAAGCCTCACTTGGCTTTTGAATCTCCCTTTGGGCCATGGCTTGGCATGCATCTCAATTCATGAGTGTACCAACATGGTATAGTGTTATGGTTACATATGTTGAATTTGCATCTTCTTATTTTTCGAGGCGGGTAGGGGATTGGTGACTAGGCTCCACAGCTGAAGCAAAAGAGAAATAAGTACATATAGATTATTGGAATAAAATGTAGAGTCCACCAACGCACCCTTATATTATAGTCAATTGATATTTGATAAGGGTGCCATGATAAATTAACAACAGTGGAAAGAATACCTTTTTTCAACTAATGGTCCTGAGAGAATTAGACATCCATACTCAAATATAAAATGGATGATAGACCTAAATATAAAATGTGAAACTATAGAACTCTTAGAAGAAAACATAGAATTGAACATTGGTGACCTTGAATTAGGAAATGGTTTCTTATATATGACACCAAAAGCATAAATGACAAAAGATAACAAACACATAAAGTGGATGTCATCAAAATTAAAATGTTTGTGCCTGAAAGTGCATCATAGAGAAAGTGAAGTGACAACCACAATATGGGACAAAATGCTAATCATATACTTGATAGGGAACTGGCTTCAACATACATGAACTCTTATAATCCAATAATTATAAACAAAACAGAACAAATGAACTAGTTTAAAATGATCAAAATATTTAAATAGACATTTTTTAAAGAAGATAAATAAATGGCCAATAAGAACATAATAAAATACTCAAAATCATTGACCATCGGGGAAAGGCAAATGAAAACCAAAATAAAATGCCACTTCACACCTGCCAGGATAGCTATAATCAAAAAGAAATATAATAACACGCTTTGGTGAGAACATGGATAAATTGGACCCTCACATACTGCTGGTGGGAATGTAAAATGATGCAGCTGTTGTGGAAAACCCTCTGGCAATTCCTCAAAAAGTTAAATATAGAGTTACCATATGACCCAGCAATTCCACTCCTAGGTATATACCCAAAATAAATGAAATCATATGTCTACACAAAAACTCGTACTTGAATGTTCATAGCAGAATTGTTCATAATAGCTAAAAACTGGAAACAACCCAACTGTCCACAAACAGATGAATGGATAAACAAAGTGTTATATATCCATATAATGGGATGTTATTCTGTCATAAAAAGTAACAGAGTACTGACACAGGCTACAACAGGGAAACCTGTTGTAACCCTGAAAATATTAAGCTAAGTGAAAGAAGTCAGTTAGAAAATACCACATATTATATGATGCCAATTACATCAAATAGACAGAAAAGGCAAATCTTTAGAGACAGAATAGATTAGTGGTTTCCAGGAGCTGGGATTGGGAGTAATGGGGAGTGACTGCTAATGGGTATGTGGTTTCTTTTTGGAGTGATGAAAATGTTAAAGATTGATTGTGGTGATGGCTGCATAATTGTGTGAATGTAAAACCATTGAATTGTATGCTTCAAATGAGTTAATTACATGGTGTTAGAATTCTATTTCAATAAAACTGATAAATAAAAATATTTAAAAATAAATAAGTACTCTGAATTCTAAAGAGGACTGCCTAAGCCTGGGGCCACACACCTCCTCTTGGACCTTAAGTGATTGCCAAGCTGACCCAGTCCCTCTATGCACTATCTAAATCCATTCGTTCTTCTGGTTTGTATAAAAAAGTCTTAGGCATGGAGATATGGAGTAGAAAATGTCAGAATTGTTGACTGATGGTTTTAAAACATATCTGCAGATTCTTTGACACTCCTCCCATTGAGATGTTAATTTCCTGGATCTGAGCTGACTGACCTCAGTGACTTGCTTATAACCAGTAGAATGTGGCAGAAGTGAAACAGTAGAACTCTCACGGCAAAAAAAAAAAAAAAAAAAAAAAACCATGGAACTTCTGTCTGGTTCTCCCTAGCTATTTGCCTTGTCTACTTGCATTTGGATCCCTGAGCCACCATGTAAAAATTCTGAGGCCAGCATGCTGTGATGAATTTCAGGCCACAAGGAGAGTCCTAATGTAGGTGCTCTGGCTTACAGCCCCAGCTTTACAGCATTAACTACTGGTCATATGAATTAAGAGACCTTCAGGTGATTCCAGCCACCTGCCACCATGTCTGCCCAACTTAGACAAAAACTGTTTAAAAATTGCTGTTTTCTGCCACTAGCTTTTGGAGTGGTTTTTATGTAGCAGGAGTGAAAACAAAGTATGATGAAAGGCTAGTTCCCAAATTCGAGGCCATATAAAAGGAAAAAGTTCAAAGGGAATCACCGACGGAGATTGAAAGTATATTACGAAGGAAGACATTGTCTTTCTATTAATCACCTTGATGTCTGCTAATGGATCAGGTTCACTAATCTGTCCATGTGTTTATGCAAGTAGGGAAGTAAAAAGGAGAGTTGTCAGGTCATAGAGAGGCAGAGACAATAAATCAGTCTGGATTCCCTGTTTTGGATGGCAAGTGAACACCAGGTCAGGTAACTGGGTTTGTGCCATCTTGCTGGTATCTTTCCCAAGATGGCTGGCAGTCTGTCACTCAAGGTGACTTTAGGAACTCTGTGGAATGCTCTTATGGTAGGAGCTAGGATTTGGGTTTGGAGTAAGTATGAGTGATTGAAGAGAATTGGAGGCAAATCATTCAGGTGTACTGTACTCATTGGAAGTATCCAGGTTACAAGCTCAAGGATGGGGACTGCAGGCAATTAGCACAGGTTGTCTCTCCAAGATTAATGGAAGTGTGTGTCCGAACAAAGGCCATGATAGTACAGAGACAAATGCAGGAAATCAAATAGCAAGGCTTGTCAACCTAAATCACAGAGATTCTCCAGTGATATTGAGTTTATTTGAGAGTGTGCAGGGAATTTGAAAATCGGGATATATAGGCTATGGGGACCATATGCATATTCAAAGTGGTTGAGGCAAGAGGGTGATATTTTAAAGGCAAAAGAAAGACACTTAATTTTCTCTGAAACAAAGACAGCACTCGTTACAGGGTCTTATCACAGTAGTTGTTGCCAGTTCATTAGTGGAGAGAATGTATCAGGCAAGCTTTTTTGTGTATCCGGCTGGCTATCCTTGTGACTCATGCAGCAAGCTGCAGTTTAGAAAGTCCTTGGCAAAAGTTCTCATTACAGGCATGTGTGTGTAAGAGCTCTTTGGAGAGTCTTTGTAATGGTTTTTACCATAAAGATGTATGCATAAGGGCCCTCCTTCCTCAGCCTCCTGGAATTCTTTATTTACTTTTGTCAGGGTTTGATACAAGTGATTTCATTTTGATTCTGACAACTTTCATGAGCTTATGCTAGAAATAAAAAGGAAAGGAAAGTGGTATAGTGTATCAAGGCTTAGGGCCAATGGCGGAAAGAAGCAGTGTGGTAAATTGCTAGAAAAACTGATTTAAAAGAAATAAAGAGCTCGGGGATTGCTTTCCATCATTTTTTGGAGTCCATTGTCATAAAAAGACCTGAATTGGCTCTGAAAGATTCCAGTGCAGTCTTTAACATTAATACAAACTGAACCAACAAAATTAGAAATCCAAGGAATTGTGGATCAAGAATCCCTTAAGGATGTGCCTCCACAAAAAGACTGCTTTCGAATACTTGCCACAAAGATATCAGTCAGCACCAGCCAAAGAAGCAGTAATAAGCAAGAAAGGAGAGGGAATTATAACCACTGTGAGCTAAATAAAAAGGCCTTTTCTTTCTCATGTCAACTCTCTGACCATTGAAGAGAGTTGGAGATAGGGGTAGGAGATGCCTACAAGATGATCTTGCTACCTTCAACCACTATAGGCAGTCAGGGTCCTCCATCAAACCTGCACTGGGAAAGAAGACATGAAAGAGATTCAACTGAAGGTGCAGAAAATATTATTAAGAGAACAGGGTATTAATAATCTTTTATTTCAGGCAGTAATTATTTATATTCTTCTCAATTAAAATTCTTCAATAAACAAGTTACATGAATAAAATGACTTTATATCATTGAGCCTCGGGGTGCTTATGTAAAGTACTGGGGTACTAAAAGTACTGGCTGTGTAGGTTTGTTGCTGTGATTAACTGCAAAGCCCTGAAATGATGACAAAGAAAAGCACGGTCTCAGCATTTAGCCAGTATTATCAATGTTCTCATTCGACCATGGGAAGAACAACCAGAAAGCTATTTTGGATTTCTAAAGCTTAAATAGAATTTTAGTAAACTGCTTTGAGTTTTAAGCATGAGAGTTAGAGACTTTCTAGGGCTTCCTTAATTTTCTCCCTCATATTCGTAATTTAAGAAGTTTATTATTGAGAATGCCCCTGCCTCTACTCATACAGAAACATTTTGTTTGTTTTCTAATCTGACTTAAGAGTCTTCAGTGACATTTATTTTATATATTATATGGGGAAAGATCCATTACCTCTCCACCCTCTTAATATAATCCTGAGATAGGGCAGAGTAAAATTGCTTATAAGTAGGAAAAATTGCTTATAATAAATATGGTGATTTATAGGAGATAACTGAGGACAAGCATCTTCTATACTGCTAACTGCCCTGAAATACATCATTGACTTATTATGGGGTATTGTTGCTTTGTTTATAAAGGTGTAGATTTATTGGGAGGGGCTTCTAATAATGTGTAGGAGAGAGGGGTCGAAAGATACCATGAACCTGCTCCCATGATGCTGGTAGTCATATGAGACCAAACGTCTTTGCATGGTTTATATGAGCCAGAGTAGTCTCTGACTTCTTGAACAAGAATCAGCTACATGGGCGCCTGCTATCTATTAATGAAAAAGAGGAATGGCCGTAGAATTCAAGGCAAACTAGTTGGTATCTGTTGCTTTTAGGAAATTTCAGAGAAGCAAGTCAGAAAAACTGTTTTCTACACGCTCTGTTAAGAAAAGTTAGGCAATACTTTCACTTTGACTTTTAACTGAACATTTATTTGTGCACGGAAAACTCTTTTATCTGACTTAAAATTTTACCTTCTCATATTTTATTTATTATTTTAAATAGTTCTACTTATTATCTATGAAAATATTACTTATATTTTAAAAGAACATTAGAATATACAAATATTGGTGGCCAGGTGCGGTGGCACACGCCTGTAATCACAGCACTTTGGGAGGCCAAGGTGGGTGGATCACAAGGTCAGGAGTTCGAGACCAGCCTGGCCAATATGGTGAAACCCCGTCTCTACTAAAAATACAGAAATTAGCCGGGCATGGTGGTGGGCGCCTGTAGTCCCAGCTACTCAGGAGGCTGAGGCAGGAGAATAGCTTGAACCCGAGAGACAAAGGTTGCAGTGAGCCGAGATAGCACCACTGCACTCCAGCCTGGGCGACAGAGTGAGACTCTGTCTCACACACACACAAAAAAATACACACACACACGCACACACACACACACAAATATTGGCATGGTTTGGATGTGGTTTATGCCCATGAAAACTCACGTTAAAATTTGGTTGGCAGTGCAGCAGGGTTGGCAGCTGGGGCCTAGAGGGAGGTGCTTGGGTCGTGGGGTGGATCCTTTGTGAGTAGATTTGTGCTATTCTTGTGGTAGTGAGTGAGTTTTCGCTCTGGTGAAACAGACTAGATTAATTCTCACAGGAATAGATTAGTTCCCATGGGATTAGGTTGTTATAAAGTGGATCAGCTTCCTTGGTTCCCCTTCTTCTTTGCCCACATCCACTTGCCTTTCCATTACTCCACCATGCTTGATGCATTACATGTCCCTCACAAGAAGCCAAGCAGATTCCAGCACCAGGCTGTTAGACTATCCAGCCACCAGAACTGTGAGATAAATAAACCTCTTTTCTGTTATAACAACACAAAACAGACTAAGACAGACATCTTTTAAATGTATTGTCATTTTTAATTTTTATGATGTTATAAAATAAGAAGGGCTAGTTTTAGCATGCTCATTGTATAGGTGAGAAAAATAAAGCACAAACCTTTTAAAACTTGTTTGAAGTCACAAAGTATAACTAAGTGACAACTCTAAATTTCCAGCTTATTCTGCTTAGTAGTGTTGGCTAACATTTTGTTTTTGTCACTAGACATCTGAAAATGCATATACACAACATGATATGAATATAAAGGTAGATTTTATGTGACAATGAAACAATAAAACATTACCATAAGCTACACAGGAAAATTAAAGCAATATTTTTAAGTCAGAAAATATTTTGTTGAACTTTCCCAAGAGGCATAAAATGTTAAAATGCATAAATGTGAAAAATGGCAATTTATCTGGATATGTATATTGAAATATGATAAATAGCCCAAAGTGAAATGTTTTTAAAATCCTCTTTAGTTTCTAACGAAAAAAGGAGAGTGTAAAACATTGGGTGTCACATTTAGAAATGTATATAAAGGTTTGCTGATATAACAGATAAAGTTGAATTATGAATAATTTTTATTAACTTGTTGACCACTAGAATTCCTATAGGTTTCTCAAACTACGAAATATATTGAATTTAATTAAGCACTATATACCAAAGATTATCTAGGTCTGTGTATTCTAGTGGCCCCTGTTTTTTTGGACTGGAACAGGGAATAATCAGCATGTTAGTCTTTGACTCTTTTTCTACTCTTCTCTTTTTTAGTTTGTTGATCCTAGCTAACTGTAGTGATTTATTCTTGATTTGGCTCCTTGTTTTCTCTATTGCATATTTTCCCCAGCAGTCAATGAGAATAAGGGAATGTTATATAGATTCAAGCAAATTCTCATTATCATATCGCCTCAGGAAAATATAATATTCATTGTAAGAGATCCTTAGAATACTCATGCTTCTCCTTTGTACGTGTGCCTGTGTGTGTGTGTGTGTGTGTGTGTGTGTAGGTAGCTAGTGAGTAGGAGGGAAGGGTTCAAACTCCAAAGACAGAAAAAAGGCCTTTTATGATATTATAGAACTGTAATACACACACACACACACACACACACACACAGACACACATATATAAGGTACTGTTATATATAACTGATTATATGTATGTATATATCTCCTCACTATGCTTGATGAACTGATTCCTAATTTTGTTGGTTCAGTTTAGATTAATGTTAAGGACTGCACTGGAATTTATCAGACACAATAGTTCAGGTCTTTTTATCTGACTAGATACTAAACAACGATGGATAGCAAGTTCTGAACTCTGCATTATTCTTGGATCACTTCTGGAAATTCACCACAGTGTTTCTGTCCCAAATTGGTGTTCAGCGTTCATACTTTATTCGACTTAGTTTCCTTCCTTTTTTGTTTCTAGCTTCAGCCTTGTTATTTGATTTCTGTATTTGTCTCCGTATTCTCTATCATCAACCTTATTCAGACATCTACACTTTCATAAATCCTGAAGAAATACCTGCACTAATTGGCTGTAGTCTCTATCTTGGACTTGTAGTCTGTTTAGTTCTAAAGAGTTATGCTTGATAAACACCACTAAGAAATTCCCAAATAACTGGGCAATATTATCACTTCCAATTTATGCTTCAAATTATTTTCCAGTTTTTAATATCAATTTCTCAGTACTTCAGCAAACACCTAAGCTCTGAAACTGCCACCTCCCTCTACATTCTCAACAGGTGACTTTCTCTCTAAATCATCAGTGAAATAAATACAATTTTGTGAGGTATACCTTAACTTCATGCCGTAACATCTATACAATTAACTATACTCTTTATCCTTTTCTCTTGTTAAAATATATGACATGTATGGTAATTTTACAACATGTTTCAAATTCTCTTATCAAAAGTTGGATTCTAATTCTGCTTCAGTTTATGTATTAACCTTAGTTAATCATTTCTTATAAATAAAGTGGAGCTGAAGGAATAAGTGATGCTATATGACTTCTGAGTGTACTCTAGAAATAGGTGATACTTTCTCCTGAATGCACTATCTCTCTCCCTATCTCTCTCTGCAGATGATCATCCTTGTAACTCTAGCTATTAGGTTATAAGCAAGACTAGGCCACATGTAGAAGCCATGTATGTATGTTCCGTCATCCAATCTCAGGCAGGGTTCCAACTGACAAATTGAAAAAGAAGATGTCAGTTATCTCTGTTCATAGATAACATGATCATTTATGTAAAAAGCCCTAAAGATGACACACACATGGACAAGCACACACATACAACTGTTAGAACTAATATATTCAAAAAAAGATACAGGATAAAAATCAAAATCAATATGCAGAAATGAATTGCATTTTATACAGTAACAAGGAATACTCAGAAAAAGAAATTTAGAAATCATTTCCTTGTAGAGGTCTTTCACTTCCCTTGTTAGTTGTATTCCTAGGTATTTTATTCTCTTTGTGGTAATTGGGAATGGGAGTTCATTTGTGATTTGGCTCTCGGCTTGTCTGTTGTTGGTGTATAGGAATGTTAGAGATTTTTGCACATTGATTTTGTATCCTGAGACTTTGCTGAAGTTGCTTGTCAGCTTAGAAGCTTTTGGGCTGAGACGATGAGGCTTTTTAGATATGGGATCATGTTATCTGTAAACAGGGATAGTTTGACTTCACCTCTCCTGTTTGAATGCCCTTTATTTCTTTCTCATGTCTAACTGCTCTGACCAGAACTTCCGATACTATGTTGAATAGGAGTGATAAGACAGGGCATCCTTGTCTTGTGCCAGTTTTCAAGGGAAATTCTTCCAGCTTCCACCCATTGAGTATGATATTAGCGATGGGTTTGTCATAAATGGCTCTTTTTATTTTGAGGTATGTTCCTTCAATATCTAGTTTATTAGAATTTTTTAACATAAAGGTATACTGAATTTTATTGAAAGACTTTTCTGCATCTATTGAGATAATCATGTGGTTTTTGTCTTTAGCTCTGTTTATGTGATGAATCACATGTATTGATTTGCATATGTTGAACCAACCTTGTACCACAGGGATGAAGCCTACTTGATTGTGGTGGATAAGCTTTTTGATGTGCTGCTGGATTTGGTCTGCTATTATTTTGTTGATGATTTTTGCATTGATATTCATCAAGGATATTGGCCTCAAGTTTTTTTTTTTTAATCTCTGCCAGGCTTTGGTGTCAGGATGATGTTGACCCCACAGAATGAGACAGGAAGGAGTCTCACTTCCTCACGTTTTTGGAATAGTTTCAGCAGGAGTAGTACCAGCTCTTCTTTGTACATCTAGTAGAATTCAGCTGTGAATAAATCTGGTCCTGGGCTTTATTTTGGTCGATAGGCTTTTTATTACTGCCTCAATTTCAGAACTCATTATTGGTCTGTTCAGGGATTCAATTTCTTCCTGGTTCAGTCTTGGGAGGGTGTAGGTGTCAAGGACCCCTTCTGTACACCATATACAAAAATTAACTCAAGATAGATTCAAAACTTACATGTAAAACCCAAAACTATAAAATCCCTAAAAGACAACCTAGGGAATACCATGTAGGACACAGGGGCGGGCAAAGAGTTCATGACAAAGATGCCAAAAGTAATTGCAACAAAACCAAAAATTGACAAATGTGATCTAATTAAACTAAAGAGCTTCTGCACAGCAAAAGAAACTATCATCAGAGTAAACAGACAACCTATAGAATGGGAGAAAAATTTTGCAAACTATGCATCTGACAAGGGTCTAATATCCAGGATCTATAAGGAGCTTAAACAAATTTAAAAGAAAAAAAAAAGACCTCATTAAAAAGTGGGGAAAAGGACATGAATGGGCACATTGCAAAAGACATACGTGTAGCCAACAAGCATATAAAGAAAAGCTCAACATAGTAATTATTAGAGAAATGCAAATCAGAACCAAAATGAGACACTGTGTCACACCAGTCAGAATGGCTATCATTAAAAAGTAAAAAAATAACAGATGCTGGCGAGGTTGTGGAGAAAAAGGAATGTTATACACTATTGGTGGGAGTGTAAATTAGTCCAACCGTTGTGGAAGACAGTGTGCTGATTCCTCAAAGACCTACAGGCAGAAATACCATTTGACCTAGTAATCCATTACTGGGTATGTACCCAAAGGGATATAAATCCTCCTATTATAAAGACACATGCATATATATGTTCACTGCAGCACTCTTCACATTAGCGAAGACATGGAATCAACCCAAATGCCCATCAATGACAGACTGGATGTGGTACATATACAGTATGGACTACTATGCAGCCATAAAAGAAGAACGAGATCATGTCCTTTTCAGGGACATGGGTGGAGCTGGAGGACATTATCCTTAGCAAACTAACACAGGAACAGAAAACCACATACTGCATGTTTTCACTTATAAGTGGGAGCTAAATGATGAGAATACATGGACACATAGAAGGGAACAACATACACTGGGGCTTATTGGAAGGTGGAAGGTGGGAGGAGGGAGAGCATCAGGAAAAATAACTAATGAATACTAGGCTTAATACCTGGTTGATAAAAGAGTTAGTACAAGAAACCCCATGGCACATGCTTACCTATGTAACAAACCTGCATATCCTGCACACGTACCCCTAAACTTAAAAGTAAAAAAAAAAAGAAAAAGAAAAAGAAAAACCATCATTTCATTTGAAATAGCTTTTAAATGAATTATTAGGTTGGCACAAAAGTAATTGCAGTTTTTGCCACTACTTTCAATGGAAAAAATACAATTACATTTACACCAACCTAATACTACTTAAGAAGAAACCTAACTTGGAAGGTTAATGTCTTGTATGCAGAAAACTACAAATCATTGCTGAAAAAAATTAAAGTGTACTCAAATAAATGGAAGGACATTCTGTGTTTGGGAGTTGGAAGACTTAATATTAAGATATCAATTCTACCCAACATGATTTATAGATTCAATGCAACTCTATTAAATCTCAACAGCAATTTTTTTAGGAAATCAAAAATTCTAAAATTCATATGGAATTTCAAAATACTCTGAATAGCTAAAACAATTTTCAAAAAGAAGAACACAGCTGGAGGCCTCATGCTTTCAGATTTTAAAACATATTACAAAGCTACACTAATCAAATCATTGTGGTACTGGTATCATGACAGATATATAAGACAATAGAATAGAATAGGCAGTCGAGAAATAAACCCTCATGTGTATGGTCAAATTATCTTTCACAGTAGCTCCAAGACTACTCAATGGGGAAAGCATGATATCTTCAACAAATGGTGCTTCTAAAACTAGATATCCATATGCAAAAGAAAGACATTGGACCTACATCATTTATGAAAAACAAATCAAAATGGATTAAAGACCTAAATGTAAGTCCAAACTATAAAGTCCTAGAAAAAACCATAGGAGAAAAGGCTCCATGACACTGCATTTGGCAATGATTTATTGCATTTGAAACCAAAAGTACAGAAAAACAAAAGCAAGCAGACAAAACGGACTACCTCAAACTTAAAAAAACTTTTGCTAATAAAAGGACACAATTAACAGAGTAAAAAGGCAACCAATAGAATGGGAAAAATATTTGCAAATTATATATCTGATAAGGAATTAATTTCTATAATATATGAACAACTACTAAAATTCAATAACAAAAATATCAAATAACCTGTTTAAAAAATGAGCAAAGGACATGAATAGACATTTCTAAGTACATAATATACAAATAGCCAAAAATCATATGAAAAGATGCAAAACATCACTAATCATCAAAAAATGCAAATCAAAACTACAATGATATTTTATCCTACACCTATTAAAAATAGCTACTACCCCCCAAAATAGAAAATAACAAGTTTTGGTGGGGATATGGAGAAGGTGCGTGACCCTTGCAGCCTGTTGGTAGAAATGTAAAATTATGCAACTGCTATGGAAAACAGAATGGTGGTTCCTCAAACAATTAATAGAATGCCATATGATCTGACAACCTCACTTCTGGGTATAGAGTGAAATGAACTGAAAGCAGAGTCCTGAAGAGATATTTTTACACCTGTGTTTATAACAGCAGTAATCACAATAGCCATGAGGTAGAAACAACTCAAATGTCCACTGATAGAGGACTGGATGAGCAAAATGTGTTGTATTTATGCAGGAATATTATACAGCCTTGAAAAGTAAGGAAATTCTATTCCATTCTAAAATACAAATGAGGACATTATGCTAAATGAAATAAGCCAGTCACAAAATAATAAATAATAAATGATTACACTTATATGAAGTTTCTAAAAATAGGCAGATTTTTAGAGCTAGAAAGTACCAGAAGCTAGGGGAGGAGGAAAGGGGGCATTGTTGGTTAATGAGTATGAAGTTTAAATTCTGTAGTATGGAGTTTAAATTTAAGTTGAAAAAGTTCTGGAGATCTGTTTCAAAACAATGTAAATATACTTAACATTATCATATATTAAAAATGGTTAAGATGGCAAACTATGATATGTGTTTTTTAACACAATAGAACCAATAAGGGTAAGTTAGGAGGACTAAGTTTCTTGGACATCAGTACCATTATAAAGCAACTGTAAATAAGGCACATTGATATTGACACATGAATGGACAGTTAGAATACAGAACAGATCAAATCTGTTAGCATACAGACACTTGATAAAATTGGTGCTGCTGTGCAATGAAAAGAGAAAGTCTTTTTTCTAAAATGTTACACAGAAAGCACGTTTTTTAAAACTATAGAAGAAAACTTAAGAAATACGGAAGTTATAGTGAGATGTCTAATATATCTAATAGGAGTCTTAGAAAAGGAATGAGAAAGAATGAGACTAGAAAAATACAGAAATGATGACTGAAATCTTTTGGTGGCGAAGAAATACAGAAATGCTCACATAGGAGCACCCTATCTCAAGATGAAAAATTATAAAGAAATCTATACCTACAAATATCACACTAAAATAAAGGATAGAAAAAGCAAAGGAAACATCTAAGCAGGCATAGAGAAGGGATGCTTTTATAAAATATTTTTTAAAAGCTTGGCAATTATCTTCTCAAAAGAAAATATTGGTTGCCCAGAAACAGTGAATAATATCCCAAATTTGCCGAGAGAAATAAGAGCAAATCTAAAATTGTAAACTTAGCAAAACCGTATCTCAAAATGAAGGTGCAACAAAGACAATATCAGACAAATAAAATTTAAAAATTTACCCTTAAAAAATCCACAGTAATGGAAATTCTGAAAGAGTTACTTCAGAGATAAAGAAAGAGATGCCATATTTATGGTTTGATAAACAAGAAGAAAAGATAAACAAGAAAAGTGGTGTATTAGTCTGTTCTCACGCTGCTAATAAAGACATGCCCAAAACTGAGTAATTTATAAAGGACAGAGGTTTAATTGACTCACAGTTCAGCATGGCTGGAGAGGCCTCAGGAAACTTACAATCTGGCAGAAGGGGAAGCAAACTCATCCTTCTTCACATGGGGGCGGGAAGGAGAAGTGCAGAGCAAAGGGGGAAAAGCTCCTTATAAAACCATGAGATCTTATGAGAACTTACTCACTATCATGAAAACAGCATGAGACTAACCGTCCCCATGATTCAATTACCTCTCATGACACGTGGGGATTATGAGAACTACGGTTCAAGATGGGATTTCGATGAAGACACAGCCAAAACATATCAAGTGGTACATTTTATTAAATCAAACAGACATTGGTGGAATGAAATAATATAAGACTAATGACTTTGAAAGTTAAATAATATCAAAATAAAATATGAAGTCTGTATTAGGGTTCTCCAGAGGGACATAATTAATAGGATATATGTATATATAGAAGGGAGTTTATCAGAGAGAATTGGCTCACACGATTACAAGGCAAAGTCCCATGATGAGTCATCTGCAAGCTGGGGAAAGAGAGAAGCCAGTAGTGGCTCAGTTCATGTCCAAAAGCTTCAAAACTAAGGAAGCTGACCATGTAGGCTTCAGTCTCTGGCCAAAGGCCTGAGAGCCCCCGGGAGGCTGCTAGTGCAAGTTCCAGAGTCCAAAGCCCAAAGAACCTGGAGTCTAATGTTCAAGAGCAGAAGGAATGAAAGCCGTGTCTAGCACAGGAAGAGAGAGAAAACAAAAGATTCAGCAAACTGTGTGCCCCTTCTTCTGCCTGTTTTGTAGCCACCCTGGTAGCTGATTGGATGGTACCTATCCCCACGAGGGTGAATCTTCCTCTTCAAGTCCATTGATTCAAATGTCCATCTCCCCTGGCTACACCCTTACAGACATACCCAGAAACAATACTTTGCCAGCCATCTAGGCAACCCTCATTTCAGTTAATATTAGTCACCTAATATTCACCATCACAAAGGCTATATAAGGCAGGAAGAGGTCATAAGGGTAATGTGATCTAAGGTCCTTGAATGCAGAGGAAGAAAATATCTGTTAATATTAGATTTTATTAATTAAGCTATACATACTCAAAAGTAATAGTTAATGTTAGCAGAATTAAGTACATTTTATAATTTCTAGACAAGGAAAATGAATTAAGTAGTATGAGGTAAATCAATAAGTACAAATGAGAAGAAAGTAGAAACAAGCTTTAGAAATGCAAGAACAATAAGAAAGCACAGACTAAGCTGATAGATCTAAGCCAAAATATATCAGTTATTGCATACACACACATTATACTCTTTAAATACAAATAAAGATTAAAAAGTTGATTTTAGAAAAAGAAATCCAACCACATGCTGTTCACAAGAGAGCTACATAAATAATAAGTACAGAGAAAGACTAAAGATAAAGTCATAGAAAACTACGTACTAGGGAAAGCAACTACAAGAAATATAGTGTAGCTTTATCAATATCATGCAAATTAGATTTTAAGTGTTACAAGTATCATCAGCAGTAAAGAGTGTTGGCATGTAATAAAAATGATTCAATTGTTCATTCATATGCATTATATATCAGAGTTTACCAATAAAGCCAACAAATAAAACATAAATGAGATAGAACTTGAAGGAGAATTGGACAAAATAATCAGCATCAGAGTTATTTTCAAAGTATATCTCAGAAAATGAAATACCAAGCAGGAAACATATGTAAAGAATATATAAAAGTTGAACAACATAGTTAAAAAGCTTGATCTATTACATGTATAAAGTTGTAATCATCCAGTGGCAAATACATATTATTTTCAAGCACAGAGATCATTTAATGAAAATGGACAATATTCTGAATCAAAAAGCCAGTCTAAAAGGCTTCAAAGGATTGTTTTCATGATGACTATGCCTTCTTACACAAGGAAATTAAGTTGGAAATTTAAAAACAACATCTATATTTGGAAGCCAAGAAATAGTTCTCTAACACATTGGGTATAAGTGAAAATCATAATGGAAATAAAAAATATTAGCATTTAAAATTGATGCCAAGGAAAGTATTGTATATCAAAATTAGCCCAGCTAAGTGGTATGAAGACTAAATCTATACTCTATATTACAAAGCAAGATAGTCTTAAACTTATGTATGCTGAACATTCAATGGAAAAGACAAATCAATAAAGACATTAAAAGGAAGCAAGTTTAAGAGTAGTAATTAATAAAATAGTATTAACATATAAACATTAAAGTTACAGAAAATAATTATTTTAAATGAATAATAAAATTGACATAACTTCCCCAAGAGTGATCAATAAAAGAGAGGATCGCCAATAAGTATTAGGAATTAACAGGGGTAAATTTTCAAATGCAAAGGAAACTAAAACATAATAATAGAATATTATGAACAATTTTATGCCAATAAATAAGAAAAAACTAAACTGGAAAAATAGAACTTACCAAACAGACCTAAGAATATTCTGTCTATTTGAATAATTTCCAATACAATAAATTCAATCTGCCACTTTATAAAGTCTCTATAAAGAAAACACAGGGACCAGGTAGTTTCATGAACTTTTGTTGTGGTTGTTTTTAATAAACTTGCCAGGCTGGCTCTCAAATTTATATGGAGAGCAAGCTTCCAAGATTATATAACGTACTCCATATGAAGCACATGGCAAAGAATTATTTTACCAAATATTAAATATTATTATAAAGTAGTCATTAATTAGGATAACAGGATGGTCATATAGGGATAGAAAATTGGAAGGAAAAAAAAGAAAAACAAACCTCAGAAGGAGGATCACCATACATGCAAACTTAATTTATATCAGAACTGAGGGACCTCAATAAATGAAGCGTATTAATTAGATATTGATTGCCTTAAGTTTTTAATTGCTAGAAGAACTCAAAGTACACAATCAGTTACACTTACAAAACAGCTTTCTTAGAGGTAAAGGATACCGGACTTCAACAGGATATGCACTGAAGGGTGCAGAGAATGAAGAGCAGGCTTCTTTGTCCTCCCATCACTGGGTCGCACATGCCTTACTTTGCCTCTAGGTCTCAAACCACTACTTGTATGCTTGAAAATGTAGATCAACCTTCACCATCAACCCCGCTAGCCTATGTCACTGAAACCAAGTGCAAATAAAACATCCAATCATTATTACTAAATAGTGCTGACCGGCTGGCTATGTCATACTCTGAAACACTTCATGTACTTATGGTTACTGGGCATTATTTCTCTCTAGTTACTGTACTCCACAGCATTGCTCAAGTGTCAGTGCCAGGCTTCAGAGCTGCGTGGAGATAAGTATGTGGTCAATATGGACCTACTGAGATTACCTGGGCTATACAGGAAGTGAGAACGACATATTATTCACAGGGAAAAGCTTTGGGATTGAACCTATACCATACCAAAGAAAATCATTTTCATGGGGAATTATAGTTTTAATATGAGAGCTCTATCTATGCAGCTTTAGAAGGCAACTTAGGAAATTATCTTTACGACTACTGGGAAGAGATCGGTTTTTAAAGGTAGACACAGAAAGTATAAAAATAATAAGAAATGGCTGGGCGCAGTGGCTAACGCCTGTAATCCCAGCGCTTTGGGAGGCCGAGGCGGGCAGATCACGAGGTCAGGAGATCAAGACCATTCTGGCTAACACGGTGAAATCCTGTCTCTACTAAAACTACAAAAATTAGCCGGGCATGGTGGCAGGCGCCTGTAATCCCAGCTACTCGGGAGGCTGAGGCAGGAGAATCGCTTGAACCCGGGAGGCGGTTGCAGTGAGCCGAGGTCACGCCGCTGCACTCCTGCCTGGATGACAGAGAGAGACTCCATCTCAAAAAAAAAATAATAATAATAATAATAAAATTAAATTAAAATAATAAGAAATTATTACATTTACTACTTTAAAATTAAACATTGCCTTTTGTCTCAGGATACAATTTTAAATTTTTATTTTATTTTTAAATTGGTACATAATAATTGTACATATTTATGTGGTACATGTTGATACATATAACGTATAGTGATTGGATCAGGGTAATTAGCCTATCCATCATCTCAAACTTTTATTTCTTGGTGTTGGGAGCATTCAATATCCTCCTTCTAGCCATTTGAAACGATATAATGTATTATTGTTAATTGTATTTATCCTTCAGTGCTATAGAACACTAGAACTTATTCCCCCATCAAGCTATAATTTTGTATCCCTCAACAAATCTCTGTCTCCCCATTCTGCACCCCTTCCGAATCTCTAATACCCTCTGTTTTACTTTTTACTCCTACGATATCAACTTTTTTTTAGCTTCAACATGAATGACAACATGCAGTGTTTAATTATCCATTCCTGGGTAGGATCCATTTTTTAAAGGGAAAAATAATGTCTCAACTGAGGAAAAATTGCAGCACATATAACGGATAAATCAATAGTATTCACAATATAGAAACAATTCTTTAAAAATAATTAAAATATGAACAATCCAATAGAAAAGTGAGGAAATTTTGAACAGAAAATTCCAATTGAGAAATATAAATGAACACAAAATGTATGAAAAATGTTTATCTTCATTAACAGTCAATAGATTAAAAAAGAAAGGAAAGAAGGAAGGAAGGGTATGAAGAACAGAAAGGGGAGAGTGAAACAGAAGGAGAAAGTGAGAGAAAAAGAAAAGCCAGACAATATCAGGCACGGACATGGATGTGGCACATCTGGAATTTATAATTGTAAGTGAGGCATAAATGGATATAAGCCCTGGAATACATACAACCTAGAGTTCTACTCCTGGATGATTATCTTAGAGAAACTGTTACACATATGTATCAGGAGACATGTAAAATGATGTTCTCAGCATTTTCATAACTGAAAAATTTGGAAACACTCAAATGAATATCATTCATGTAATAGATAAATTAATTTTGGTATATTCATTCAACACACTAGATAGCCATGAAATTGAATGAACTACTGCTAAACACAACCACACAGATGAATGTCAAACATATAATCCTGAGAGAAAGAAGCAAGTCACAGAAGAATATTCCACTTAGATAAGATTCAGAAAACTGGCAAAATTAAAGAACGTATTGTTTAGGAATATATGCATAGAGGCAACCAGTATAATAAAAATCAAATTCACAGCTATTTTAACTCACCATCTTTAAAAATACTCCTAGGGAAGATTTATGGTAAAACCTCGGTGCTATTCTCACACTTCCTTGTCTCTCCCTATCTTCTCATCTGCCACCCTGATACATTTAAGCACCAAGTAACATCAATTTTACTTTCTGTACATTTTTGGAATGGTTTCACCTCTCTTTCTATTCACTGTTCCCATCCTAAAACAGATCCCCACATTCCTTGGATGCATAATTTAAGCAGTTTCTTAACACATGTTTTTGCCTCCAGTTTTGCCCTTTCACTCTGCATCCCCCCAATGCAGCCACAGGGGTCCTTCTAAAATGCAAATCTGATCTTATTACTCCTATAGTGACCTCCATTGCTCATAGAATGAATCCAAATTCCTTACCATGGCTAACAAATTTCTTAATAATTTGGCTTTTTATTGCTTTGTTCTTATTTTTCAATACCCACTTATCTCTTCCTCTCAACTCTTGCCTTTCTCATATCCTATTCTACGTGACTGACAAATTCACATTTGAAACCCCTGTTGCCTGGCTTGTGTTTCTCAATTGCCCCACCTGAAAGTGGACGTCATTTGCTCCAGTAAGTCTTCCCTAAGACAGCATGATTAATTTTAGTGCCTATTTAATAAATGTATGTGCATTATAAACTGTTCACACTGCATTTTGCAGGGTTCTTCATAATATTATGAGTTTTATGAGCACAGAATTCCCAGTACTTGAAATTGTGACCAGCACATAGTAGGAAAATATTAATTATTTCTGAATGAATACTTTATTATTTAGGCAGAGTACAGGTGCTATGATTTCAGCTGTTTCTCAGAAATGTAATCTGATATATATTTCTTATTTTCTTTGGGCCCCAGTTTCCTGCTTTGTAAAAATATACCTTATGCAGATAATAAGCTTCCCTTACTAAACATCAGCTAGCCCTCATTTTGTGTGACTTTGCAACTTCTAGTGCTGCTATCATTATAGCTGAGGGTGTCAAAAACCCTGAACCTCATGCAACATCTGTTAAACCCTAAAAAATAACTACTGAAAATAAGTTTATTTTACTCTTATTTTTATTTTTTCCATTTTTTTCTTCCAACTTTTGTGTTCAGAGGGTACATATGCAGATTTGTTATATGAGTAAATTGCATGAATTTTGACTCTTATGTTTGTATGCACTAGTCTTTGAGCAAAATGGAAGCTTTTATCCTTGACCGCAAAAAAACCATCTTCTCATCAAGATTCTCAATGGTCTCCTGAATTTTCTGTCCCACACATTTAGTTTCTTACCTATTATATATGACACAATCAGTGCTCCTGCCCAACATAAGGTCTTTGTTCATATTTCTTCTAATCAATGTATTTTATTGCTCTTACTCTTCACAGAAGTTAGTCCTATACACCTACTTAATATCAACTTTAGTGTCACTTTTCCAGTGATACCTCACAAAGTAAAACATTTCTGTTAAAGACTCTCAGAAGACTGTCTACCTCTACATGCACAGTTGACATTTTAAAATTATTTGTGTGGATATATTTTTAATGTTTACATCCCTGCCCTAGACATATACTTCACGCAAGCAGGGGTCATATCTATTTTTCCATTGTATTTCCAGTACCTTTCAAAGTGCCAGACACTTAGTAAATTGTTAGTTTATTTTTCTCTAAAGTTGAAAGAAAGAAAGAAAGAAAGAAAGAAAGGCACGAAAGAAAGGCAAGAAAGGAAGATGGCAGGAAGGAAGGTAACCAAGAAGAAAAGGATGAGAGGAAGAAAGGAAGGAGGGAAAGAAGGAAGGGGGGAGTGTGGGAAGGAAGGAATAAAGTTAATTCCATTTTTCCAGATACTCTGAGAGTGTAAGAGACAAAAGCTGAGATAGACAGGTGAGAGACTTGGGCACATTTCCAAAGCCCCGAGTAGGCCCACTCATGAATGGACTGTACCACCAGCACTGAAAAATCCCAGAAATGGGAGTATGAAAGAATTGTTATAGGAAATATCAGACCCAAGCAGGAAAGTTCAAATAAGGCCAGTGGCCAAAAGAAGGTCAGAACTAGAGAAACTAAAGTGAATGTCAAAGTAAATTCCAAGAACAAGAGCTATTAGTCAGAACTGATCAGCAAGCCAGAATTATGATGCTCCCAGCTATGGCACATGGTTCTGCCATCTCAGAGATTATATTGCTGTCATAGTAGGGGGCATAAAAGCAATTGTTGCTAATTGCAACAGGCTAATTTTTATATAACTATGTGTTTTTCCTATTTGATTGCTCTTCCAGGCTTTGCATATTTTTTACATTTTTCATTTACTATTTATGTTCTTTTTAAAAATGAAAGGTATAAATAAGACTTTAAAAACTAAGATAAAGTTGTGAGCTTTCTTTGTGGTTTGATTTCCTGACAGCAAATAACACTTTTGAGACCATAGCTGGGGCCTTTTACACTAGGATTTTTGTATCATTGAATCTTCCCCAAACCTCTAAAAAATAAGCAATATTTCTATCTTGCAGATAAGGAAACCAAGGCTCATAAAGACTTGGAGCTCTATAGAAATAGCTTTAAGCATGTCTCAATCAAGGTTCACAGTATTTCCATGGAAAAATATTAACTTTGAAATTAAGAACCTTCTTTCTTTATAATAAATTCTTCAAATATTTGCTTTGTGGTGTTGAAACACTTTTAAAAAGCAAAATTATTGTAAATTTCCCTCCCTTTACATAGAGAAATAAGGGGTACTAACGTGATTTAAAAAAAACTACTTTGACAGATCAATAGAAAATACATTTTTTGAGAATGAATTTTAAGAGAGCTGGAATAGTATTTTTCAAACTTTAAAGCAGTTATTTTTAAAAAATGAGATCTTGCACAAAACTATAAACAGATAAAAGGAGCAGCTGCCCCAGCAGAACTGAGGGTGGAGGGGCTTCTTGGATCTTGAAGCTCCTTACATCTTAGCAGTGATACTCTGAGGCACCCCTAGGAAAACCGAAGGCCCTGAGCAACATGAGAGTTACAGCTAATACATTCTAAATGCCTAAGAGGAAAAGGAAGATAAAGCCTGGGAGGGGTGGGAGGACAATCAAAGGAAAAGTTAAATACAGCCTTCTCCTTTTCATTTTTAAAATATGGATGAACCTCATTTAAAAAGTCATACTTTCATTATTCTTTGCTATTATTTTTTATACACAGTTTTCAGACATACGTAGCTTGGACCCTTCTTTAGCGGTCTAAAGGGTAACTGAATCCTAACTGGTGAGTTCCAGTGCTCTGGTTTGCTCTTCTTAGGGTGCTACTCTATCAATGTATATTGTGAATTCAGTGTGGAACAGAAGTACTGCTGTTCCCTTTGCCTTATCATAGCATTCAAAGTTGTATCCCAGCACAGGAATGCATACTGTTTTCTAATGCTCCTGTTTTTCTTTTCTTTCTTTCTTTCTTTTTTTTTTTTTTAGCAATCTGCACTAAGTTCTCACTTGCCATTCAATTCCACATGTACTTCTGTATTTAGCTAATTTAGCACATTTCCATTTTATTCTTATTATTGACTTGGTTTCTTTCTTAGATATTCAGAATTATAGTAAAGAATGGTAACTACTTAATTCCTAATCATACATTTCTTTAAAATTCTCAAACCACTAATGGAAAAGTTTCCTCTAATATTAATTCTTCATTGCAGATAATAATGTTAAGCCTAATGTTAAAGGTTTTCTATTTCTTAGTTTTCAATTCTTATAATGATATTATATGCTATGTGTATATAGTATAAGAGACATTTTCTGGCTGTAAGATTAATGATAGCCATAAGGTCCACTCACACATCTCACATTATGATGAAATTTGGACTGGGGATTTTCATCCCTGGCCCAGGGATTTCCAGGAGAGACCACTTCAGCATACTTACAATTCTCATAAACCTTAAAACAAAGCTCAGTTTTACAAGAATAGCTTAAGCTCCCTTTATGAACAAAACATCTGGTAACTGACCTGGACTGAGTATACAGGTATAAGAAAGGGAGAAAACTCTCCCACACTTTGAGATTGGTCCCCAGATGGAAATTTCATAAATAATAGGTCATTTGACTCCCTGACTGTATCTGGTTTATGATACTAGCCTGTTCCCACTCTCTGTCTTGTAAGAGCACTGCCAGAATAAACTGCTTGAGCATCAGATAGTGCCTAAGACTCATCTTGGACATAATTCAGACTGAAGGGGAAATGTCACACCTGGGAAAGCTGATTAATTAGGACCACCCAAGAGCCCTGAATATGACATTTTGCTGCTGAGATCATTTGTTTAGTGCTTTAGTTATATCAATGTGACCTAATTTGGTATTTACATAGATATGGGATATTAATTCTAGTTTTGGCTCCCTGAAATATTAAATAAAAGGCTTATTTCTGACACTGTAACATGGAAAAAAATGAATATCTTTTTCAATAGATCAATATTGAAATGGCATAACATGCATCAGTTAATGAAAGTTCTTAAAAAGTGCAGTGTGTTGTAATGATGTTGTCCAAAATTAAAGGAAGAATAATCATGGATTGCTGGAAAGCTTCTAAAATTAATTTTAATTCAGAAAAGTTTCTGATATTTACTTCACTTTCAATAAGGTTTAGTTTAATAATCAATAGAGTAAGACCCATTTGTCCAGTGACAAATAAGGATATCTACACTGATTATTTGTAAAATCACGAGATTTTGCACAATTAGAAATGACATTTCTAAAAAAATGTAAGATTTTTTCATTCATAATTATTAAAAATCACACCAAATATAACATTACCTTTCATTTTTTCTACATAAGATATTAAACATCTGAACTCTATGGATATAAAATAAGTTCAGTATTTAAATTATTGTTAGTTATCATTCCTAGATAATTTCATATTGGAATGTAAACCACCTTTATTAAATTCAATTAAAGAAATATTTAGTGACTAACTACAATTCTCTAAAAATGCTAAGAAGCAATACCGTGATCCCCTATGGGGAATTAGTTCCAAGACTAATAAGTCATAACATGGTAAGCGTACTGGAAAGTGCGCTTCGACAAACCAAAGTGTAGCTTAACCCAAAGCATCCAACCTGGAAGATTTCATCACAACCTGATCACTTTGATCCAACTCTAGCCTCAAACCTCTCTAAAAGTAATATCAAATCATTTTAATCAAACAATTTACCTTAAAGTATAGGTGACATTTCTAAACAATGGTCACATTCATTGGATTTTTTTCTCCTGTAGCAGATAGGAGATAGATACCAAAATCCACAGATGCTCAAGTGCCTTATGTAAAAAGTTGTAGTATTTCAATAGACCTATTCATACCCTCCCTTATACTTTAAATCTTTAGATTATTGATAATACCTAACCCAATATAAATGCTATGTAAATAGCTGTTACGTTGTATTGTTTTTATTTGTATCATTTTTATTATTGTATTTTTTTTTTGTTTTTTCTGATTGTTTTCAATCTGCAGTTGGTTGAATACATGGATGAGGAAGCTGAGGATGAGGAGCCTACAGATACGGAAGGCTGACTATAAGCAAATACAGTCTGGGTCCTTTGAATTGTTTCCAATAGACTATTAGTAAATATGAGGTTCTATTTACTTCTTAATGTTTAGTTCATTCCTGCACCATAGGCTTTCATTTGTTCATGCCTAAACTCATCCAGCAAGTATGTATTAAGTACCCACTATACTGAGATACTGTGATAGACCGTGATGCATTATATGAATATTTGAACTGACATGATATATGCCCTCATACATCTGGTGGATAATATAGAAAATTAAATGGACAAAAATAAAGTGAAATAACCTCTGTGATAAGGTAACTCTAGGTGGTAAGGCAACACTTTGCAGGAGCATGAGGAACTCGTGGAAACTGAATTCTTGGGTCATATTCATCGGATTTTTTCTCCTATAGCAGATGTATTGATGCTCTGCCCATATTCCCTTGTTTCTCATAATTCTAGTAAAGCCTACAGCATCCTATTGGAAGAAACTGCAACCTCTTAGCCCATGTATTGAATGAGCCATAATTCCTGGTGAGCTGATGCCCCTAACAGCAGCCATTAATTAATAACGGATGAATTTAGAGTTAAATATCTAAGTTTCCTTAGTGCTCAGGTGGGGTATGTCTGAGGCATGTTCTGCATAATGTCCCAGAGTTTCCCAGTAGGATTGTGCCTTGGTTACCCATAGGAATAACCTGATCGGTAACACATCAATTATTGGCTTTCTTTAGTTACCTATGTCATATCTCTCCTCAGCATCGGGTGTTTTCAGGATTATGTTCCAAATAAACTACTTTCATACAAATCCTTATTCCAGTATATATTCTAGGAGGAACCTAGCCTATTATATTCACACTCCAAAACTTAGAGAAGTTTTCTTAAAAATTCTTGACTCTAGGTCTAGTGAATCCATATATCTTTGACTTAACCCCTTCAGATGAGAGAAATGAAGGCCATACAATTTTACCACTAAAGCATAACAAAAATATATTTCTTCTGAATCCCATACCACTGATATTTCTACAAAATCATGATATTATCTTCCCAGTCAGGGAGTTGATCTCATGGGAACAATTATCATGTTACAAAAAAGCCTTTCTAATTATCTGGTAAATAATTTCTCAGGTAGATAATTGAAACTGAAACACTAATCTTGAGTACTGAAAACCACGAATATTGCTATTATCCTTGGATATGCCATATTTATCTAGCCATATAAGTAGCTTGATGTCTAAATGCTTATGTAGAACTTTGCCATGCGACGCAAAAAAGTAAAGATATCAAATTTCAAGAACTCATTTTTACAGTCAGAAGATTACTTTGAAAGAAGTCCTCTGTATGCAATGGGTTCTGTGCTCTGATCACTTTATTCCCTCATAACTTCAATCCTACAATTGGTAAAAATCTTTGCTGTTATTCCCAGGATTCCTATACTACCCTTAATGGCTTCCCTTTAGACTGCCCACATCTTTGCAAATAGTCCCTTCATTAGACTCTCTTTGAATATTTCTTGACTGAGACCCCAATTGATAGAATCTCAGCTTATAAAATGAAGAAATAATCTAGGGGATATAAGCAAGATGGCCAACTAGAAGCCCTTAGCACTTGTCTGCCCTACAAAGACAGCCAAAACAATGAAAAAAACAACCACGCCCAAATAACTAGAGTGTCAGATTGCATCAAAGTAGTAGTAGAAATCTTACAGAACACAGAAACCCAGAATAGCAATATAGAGAATGAAAGGAACAGTTGGCTTTTACCACTCCCTTCCCCAGCTGAGACCAACTCACAACCAGGAGGAACTCCCCCTACAGGGGAAGGTAAGCAAGAGGACCCCAGCAGCCCACATCAACACCTTGAACAACTGCAGTCCTCACCACTGGGGACCCCTACAGTCCTCACAGGCACTAAGCACAACTGAGGGAGCTGCCTGGAGTCCATGCAGCTGTGCTCCCCCAAGAGAAGGAACCAAATCCGTGCCCTGCTCTCTCTGGCCTGCATGGCTACTGTGCTATGCCATCTTGGAACCAAAACTACTGCTGGAGTGTGTCCTGCTCCAGGAGCAAGTGGCCACAGCACCCTTCCATAACCTCAGGCTTAGCCACAACCTCACTCATTGGCTCTACGTATTTGAGCCAAGCTGCTGCTCTATCTATTCCTCCTAGTCACTGCTGTACCCTGCCCCTCGTTGCCTGAGCCAAAGTTGCCTACTCTCTCATGAAGAAATAGTACCTTGGTAGAGCTTCACCGTCTACCCTTACCAGTCTCTGCTTTGCACTCCCTCCCAAGGGGAAGAGTCCCTTGACAGAGTCGCTCTTTATACCCTTACCAGGCACCGCTGCTGTGCCCTGACCCTAGGGGCCTGAGCTGAAAGTGCACATTGCCTCCCAGGGAGATCAGTGCTTTGATGAAGACACTCCATGTCCTCCTCCAGTCAATGCTGCACTCTGCTCCCTATGCTGAAGCTGAAGCAGCACCGTACATCTTAGGGTGCCTTGGCAGCCCAGAGCAGTCATGAACCCCTGTGCCTGAGCTGAAGCAGTGCCCTGTCTCTTGATAAAACATACTTTGGGGCCAGGCGCAGTGGTTCACACCTGTAATCTCAGCACTTTGGGAGGCCGAGGTGGGCGGATCACCTGAGGTCAGGAGTTCAAGACCAGCCTGGCTAACATGGCAAAACCCCGTATCTACCAAAAATACAAAAATTACCTGGGCATGGTGGTGGGTACCTGTAATCCCAGCTACTTGGGAGGCTGAGGCAAGAGAATCGCTTGAACCCAGGAGGAGGAGGTTGCAGTGAACCAAGATCGTACCATTGCACTCCAGCCTGGGCAACAAGAGTGAAAATCCATCTTAAAAACAACAATAACAACAACAACAACAACAAGCACACTTTGGACAGCCAGAGCAGTCGTATCTCCCCTGCCCCTGCATCCAGTGCCTAAATTGAAGCAGTATCTTGCCTCCTGGGAAACAGTGCCTTCACCATCCAGAGTGGTCTCATACCCCTGTACCTAAGCTGAAACAGTGTCCTATGTCTCAGAGAAGCAGTATCTTTGCTTCCTGCAACAGACACACCCCTCCAGGCACAAGCTAAAGCAGTACATTGCTTCCCAGGACATTAGTGCCTTGGCCAAGCTGAGCAGGTGCACATCCCTGGGCTGAGCTGACATGGTACCCTGAGTCCCAGAGAAACAGAGCAATGGCTGAGGTGACACACCCTGCCCTGCAGGGCAAACAAGTCTAGTACCCTGCTTTTCTGGAACTGAACTAGCTCCCTTAGAGTCTGAGGTACTGAGACATCCCTCCACCCCCAGAGAGTAGAGTCATTGCTGTGCTGCTCACTATCCCCCAGATGAATAAACAACCACTTTTTGATGGAAATAACTAAAGGAGAGTGTTGGATTGTATCAAAGGAGTAACAGAAAACTTACAGAGCACAGAAACACAGAATAGGAACATAGAGACTGGAAGGAACACTTTGCTGCCACTGCACTGTGCCTCATAGTCTGGGATATTGCTGAGTCCCTCAATCTCAGAGTCCAGAATCACTACTACATAGTACCTTATCCCCTGGGACCTAAGTTGCTACGGAGCTCTATCAGTCTTGTTCCCAAACTCCAGCCTACCCTGCTCCTTGGGCCAAAATATCCAGAGAACCCCTTCTTCCTCAGACCCAAGGCAGTTCATGAAGATGTAGGATTAATAAATGAATAAAATGAATAAAAATATAATTGAAAACTTCAAAAACAGACTTGATCAAGCAGAAGGAATTTCTGAATTTTAAGACAGGTCTTTTAAAGTAAACCAGGTAAAATAAAAGGAGAAAATATAAGTGTAAAAAATTAAGAAAGACTATGGGCTTATGGGATATCATTAAGCAAACAAAATTTTGCATTATTAGAGCTCCAGAAGGAAAAGCAATGGGCAAAATCATATGTATTAGTCCATTCTCACACTGCTATAAAGAACTGCCTGAGACTGCATAATTTATAAAGAAAAGAGTTTTAATTGACTCTCAGGCCTCAGGAAACTCACAGTCATGATGGAAGGGGAAGCAGGCATATCCTACATGGCAGCAGGTGAGAGAGCATGTGAAAGAAGTTAAGGGATAAAAGTCCCTTATAAAATCATCAGATCTTGTGAGAACTCACTCACTATCATGAGAACAGCATGGGGGAAACTATCCCCATGATCCAGTCACCTCCCACCAGGTCTCTCCCTTAACTCCTGGGGATTACAATTCAAGATGAGATTTGGGTGGGGACATAAAGCCTAATCATACCACTTAATCCTTGGCCCCTCCCAAATCTCATGTCTTCATAGTTCAAAACCAATCATGCCTTCCCAACAGTTACCCAAAGTCTTAACACATTTCAGCATTAACTCAAAAGTCCAAGTGCAAAGTCTCATCTGAGACAAGGCAAGTCCCTTCCACCTAGTAGCCTATAAAATTAAAAGCAAGTTAGTTACTTCCAAGATACAATGAGCGTACAAGCATTGCATAAGTGCTCCTATTCCAACTGTGGGAAATTGGCCAAAACAAAGAGACTACAGACCCCATGCATGTCCAAAATCTATCAGGGCAGTCATTAAATCTTAAAATTCCGAAATAAACTCCTTTGACTTCTTGTCTCACATCCAGGTCACAGTGATGCAAGGGGTGAGCTCCCAGTGTCTTGGGCAGCTCCACCCTTGTGACTTTGCAGGGCACAGCCCCTCTACCAGCTGCTTTCATGGGCTGGCATTGAGTGCCTGCAGCTTTTCCAGATGCACAGTACAAGCTGTCAGTAGATCTACCATTCTGGAGTCTGGAGGATGGTGGCCCACTTCTCATAGCTCCACTAGGCAGTGCCCCAGTGGGGACTATGTGGGAGATAGGAACCAACCCCACATTTCCCTTCTGTACTGCCCTAGCAAAGGTTCTCCATGAGGGCTCTATTCCTGCCACAAACTTCTGCCTGGACATCCAGGCATTTCCATACATCCTCTGAAAACTAGGTGGAGGTTCCCAAACCTGAATTCTTGACTTCTGTGAACCTGCAGGCTCAACACCACGTGGACACTGCTAAAGTTTGGGCCTTACACCCTCTGAAGCAATGGTCTGACCTGTACATTGGCCCCTTTTAGCCATGGCTGGGACCCAGTACACCAAGTCCTGAGTCTGCACAGAGCATCACTGGGGACCTGGGCCTGGCCATGAAACCATTTTTCCCTCTTAGGCTTTCAGGTCTTTGATGAAAGGGACTACCATGAAGGTCTCTGACATGCCCTGGAGACATTTTCCCCATGGTTTTGGCGATTAACATTCAGCTCCTCGTTAGTTATGTAAATTTATGCAGCTGGCTTGAATTCCTCCCAAGAAAGTGGGTTTTTCTTTTCTGTTGCATTGTCAGGCTGCAAAATTTCCAAACTTTTATGCTCTGCTTCCCTTTTAAACATAAGTTCCAATTTCAAACCATCTCTTTGTGAATGAATAAAACTGAGTGCTTTCAAAATAATTCAGGTCACGTCTTAAATGCTTTGCTGCATAGAAATTTATTGTGCCGGCCACACTAAATCATCTCTCTCAAGTTCAAAGTTCCACAGATCTCTAGGGCAGGAGCAAAATGCTGCCAATCTTTTTGCCAAAGCATAGCTTGAGTGACCTTTACTCCAGTTCCCAACAAGTTCTTCATCTCCCTCTGACAGCGTCTAAGCCTGGACTTCATTGTTCACGTCACTATCAGAATTTTGGTCAAAACCGTTCCACAAGTCTCTAGGAAGCTCCACACTTTCCCACATCTTCCTATCTTCTTCTAAGCCCTCCAAACTCTTCCAACCTCTGCCTGTTACCCACCTCCATAATTGCTTCCACGTTTTCAGGGATCTTTATAGTAGTGCCCCATTCTCTGTAGTACCAATTTAAAGTATTAGTCCCTTTCCACACTGCTATAAAGAACTTCCCAAGACTGGGTAATTTATAAAGAAAAGAGGTTTAATTGACTCACAGTTCCACATGACTGGGGAGGCCTCAGGAAACTCACAATCGTGGTAGAAGGGGAAGCAGCCATGTCTTACATGGCAGCAGGCAAGAGAGCATGTGAAAGAAGCAAAGGGGGAAGAGCCCCTTATAAAATCATCAGATCTTGTGAGAATTCACTATCACGAGAACAGCATGGGGGAAATGCTCCCATGATCCAATCACCTCCCACCAGGTCTCACCCTCAACACCTGGGGATTACAATTCAAGATGAGATTTGGGTGAGGACAGAAAGCCTAACCATATCAGCACAGAAACCTATTTAGTAAAACAATAGCTGAAAACTGAAGTCTTGGGAGAAATATGAATATCCCGATCCAGGAAGTTCAAAGAACCTCAAGTGGATTCCACCCAAAAAGGTTCTTTTTCACTCAAATTATATTCAAATTTTCAAAAGTCAAAGACCAAGAGAGAATTGTAAACACAGCAAGAGAAAAGCATCTAGTCACAAAAAGCAGATTACCATTAGACTAACAGCAGATTTCTCAGCCCAAACATTATAGGCCGGGAGAGAATGGGATACTATATTCAAAGTTCTAAAAGTAAAAAGGATTATACCTAGGAAAACTATACCCAGCAAGCCTGTCCTTCAGAAATAAAGGAGAAATAAATTATTTCCCAGATAAGCAAAAACTGAAGGAATTCATCACCACTAAATTCGTTTTAAAAAAATTGCTAGAGGAAGTCCCACATCTGTAAGCAAAAAGACAATAACTACAATCCTGAAACATGAAAAAGTGTAAAACTCACTAGTAAATCAGGTTCACAAATGAGAAGGAAGAAGAAATGAAATCTTATCACTATATAAAAACATTAAGACATAAACATAAACAAATAAGAGAGGAAGAAAGGAACAAAAGATATATAAAACAATCTGAAAAAAATAACCATATAGGAATAAATCCATACCTGTCAATAATAATCTTGAATGTAAATATATTGAATTCCCCAATTAAAAATATAGACTGGGTAAATGGATTATAAAATAAAACCTAAATATATGCCACCTACAAGAAACTCACTTCACCTATAAAGACACACATTATTTGAAATTGAAAGCATGAAAAATGATGGAAACCAAAAGTAAGCAGGAACAGCTATACTTATATCAGATAAAACAGAGTTTAAGTCAAAACTATAAAGTGAAACAAAAAGGTGATTATATAATGACAAATCATTTCATCAAGAGGATATAATAATTGTAAATATATAAGCACACTACACCAGAGAACTCATATAAAGCAAATATTATTAGATCTAAAGGGAGAGATCAACTCAAATATAATTTTACTTGGGGACGTCAATACTCTCAACTTTGGACAGATTCTCTAGAGAGAAAATAAACAAAGAAAGGATTTAAACTGCACTTTTGACCAAACAGACCTAAGAAACATTTGTAGACTATTTCCTTCAATAGATGCAAAATACACATTCTTTTCATCAGCACATGTGACATTCTCCAGGATCATCCATATATTAGGCTATAAAACAAGTATGAACAAATTTTTAAAAATCAAAATCACATCAAGTATCATTCATGACTACAATGGAATAAAACTAGATGTTAATAAGAAGAGGAATTTTGAAAACTGTACAAATACATGGGCATTAAACAACCTGTTCAAGAATGACCAATGGACCAATGAAAATATTAAGAAGGAAATTTTTTAAAATGTCTTGGAACAAATGAAAATAGAAACACAACATACCAAAATCTATGGAATACAGCAAAAGCAGTATTAAGAGGGATGTTTATACCACTAAAATCCTACATTAAAAAAATAGAAAGGTTTTAAATAAACAATCTAACAATGCACCCCAGGGAACTAAAGATGCAAAAAGAAATCAAACTCAAAACAAGTAGAAGGAAAGAAGTGATGCTGATCAGAATGGAACTAAATGTATACAGACAAAAAAATATATAACGGATCAATGAAACAAAAAAGATTTTTTTGGCAAGATAAACAAAATTGTTAAGCCACTAGCTAGACCAACCGGGAAAAAAAGAGAAGAAACAAATAAATAAAACCATAAATGAAAAAAGATACATTACAACTGATGCCACAGAAATACAAAGGATCATTAAAGACAATTATCAATAATTGTATGCTAACAAATTGAAAAATATAGAGGAAATGAGTAAATGCCTGAATGCATAAAAACTACTGCATTTGCACCAAGAAGCAATAAAAAACCTGAACAGACCTATACAGAATAATGAGATTAAATCAATAATAAATAGTTTCCCTAAAAGAAAAGACCAGGAACAGACAGCTTCACTTCTAAATTATAACAGACTTTAAAGAAGAACTGATACCTATTCTTCTCAAATGATTCCAAAAAAAATTGAGGGAATGGAAAATTTTCCAAATTCATTGTATGAGGCCAGTGTCACCCTGATGCCTAAAACAGGCAAGAACACAACAAAAAAGTAAATTATATTCCTGATGAAGATAGATACAACAATCCTTAACAAAATACTACCAAACCAAATACAACAGCACATCAAAAAGATTTTACATCATGATCAAGGGGGAGTTATGTTAAGAATGCCAGATTGATTCAACTTATGCAAATAAGTAAACATGACACATCACATCAGTAGAAAAGACAAAAACAATATTATCGTCTCAATAGACATAGAAAAAAATGATAAAATCCAACATTCGTTTATAATAAAACCTCTTAATAAATACAAAAATTAGCTGGGCATGGTGGCATGCACCTGTAGTCCCAGCTACTCAGGAGACTGAGGCAGAAGAAACCCAGGAGGCGGAATTTGCAGTGAGCTGAGATCACGCCACTGCACTCCAGCCTGGGTGACAGAGCGAGACTCCATTCCAAGAAAAAAAAAAAAAAAAGAAAAGCACCTTCATAAGAACAAAAAATTAAGTGAGCAATTACAATACCTGGTTTCAAAATCATATTAAGGAGAGAAGCACTAAAGAGGGTGGGAAAGACAGTTTTGAATTGCCTACACCACACCTCCCTCATGCCCCTGCAGCGGCCATGTGGCATGGATAGAGAATCTTTGTGTTTGGGAGAGGGAGAGTGCAGTGATTGTAGGACTTTGCGTTGGAACTCAGTGCTGCTGTTACAGCAGAAAGCAACATGGGACAGAACTCAGTCGGTGCACACGGAGAGAGCATTTATACAAGCCCTAGCCAGAGGTGAATTGTCCATTCCAGTGGTCAGAAGCTGAGTTCCATCAAGCCTTGCCACCATGGGCTAAAGTTCCTTGGGGTTCTAAATCAACTTGAAATGCAGTCTAGGCCATAAAGACTGCAATTCCTGGGCAAGCCTTGGTGCTGTGCTGGTCTCAGAGCCAGTAGACTTGGGGTGAACGTGACCTAGTGAGACACCAGCTGGGGAAGCCAAGGGAGTGATTGTGTCAGTCCTCCCCTAGTCCCAGGCAGCACAGCTCACACCTCTGGGAGAGACTCCATCCTTCTGCTTAAGGAGAGGAGAAGGAAGAGTAAAGAAAACTTTATCTTGGCCGGGCGCAGTGGCTCATGCCTGTAATCCTAGCACTTTGGGAGGCCAAGGCGGGCGGATTGCCTGAGCTCAGGAGTTCGAAACCAGCAACATGGTGAAACCCCACCTCTACTGAAATACAAAAAAAATTAGCTGGGCATGGCGGTGCGCACCTGTAGTCCCAGCTACTCAGGAGGTTGAGGCAGGAGAATTGCTTGATCCCGGGAGGCAGAGGTTGCGGTGAGCTGAGATTGTGCCACTGCACTCCAGCCTGGGTGACAGAGTGAGACTCCATCTCAAAAAAAAAAAAAGAAAACTTTATCTCGTGACTTGGATACCAGCCCAGCCACAGTAGAATAGGGCACCAGGCAGAGTACCGAGGCTCCCATTTTGGGCAATAATACCCAGGTAATATTTCTAGACACACTCTGGGCCAGAAGGGAACCCACTGCCTTGAAAAGAAGGACCCAGTCATGGCAGGATTAATCACCTGCTGACTAAAGAGCCCTTGGTCCCTGAATAATCCACAGTGGTAGCTAGGCAGTACTCATTGCAGGATTTAGGTGAGACTCAGATATGTGCTGTGTCAGTTGTGACCCAGCACATTCCCCGATATGGTGGCTACAGGAAGAGACTTCTTCTTCTTGAGCAAAGTAGAGGGAAGACTAAAGAGGCCTTTGTCTTGCAGCATGGGTACCAACTTGGCCACAGTGGGATAGAGTACCTAGCAGGCTCTTGGGATTCCCTGTTTCAGGCCCTGGCTCCTTGACAGCATTTCTGGACCTGCACTGGAGCAGAGGTGAGCCCACTGCTCTGAAGTGGGAGATCCAGGCCTGGCAGCATTCACCACAAGCTGACTGAAGAGCCCTTGGGTCTTGAGTGAATATCAGTTTTAGCCAGGCAGTACTAACCATGGGTCTGGGGCTGTGGTGACCACAAGGAAAGACTCCTCTGCTTGAGGAAATGAGAGGGAAGAGTGGGAAAGACTTTGTCTTGTGGCTTGTGTGCCAGCTCAGCCACAGTAGAATACAGCAAGAGGTAGATTCCTAAGGTTGCTGACTCCATACTCCATCTCCTGGACAATATCTCTGGACCCACCTAGCACGAGATAACTCAGTGACCTCAAGGGAAGGACACAACCCTAGCTGGACTTGCCATCTCTTGATTATAGATCCCTTAGACTATGAGTGAATATAGTTGGTAGCCAGGCAATGTTTGTCAAAGGCCTTGGGTGAGACCTAGTATTGTGCTTGCTTTGGCCCGACTCAATGCAGTCGCAGCTGTGGTGGCCACAGGGGTGATTGTGCCACTCCTCTTCTAGCTACAGGCAGCTCAGTACAAAGAGAGAGTGAGACACTCTATTTGTTTGGGAAAAAGTAAAGCAAGGGAACAAGAGTCTGCATGGTAATCCAGGGCATTCTCCTGGGTCTTACCCAAGACCACCAAGGCAGTGCTACTATGAGTCTACAAGAGTCACAGTATTACTGAACTTAGGGTGCCCCCTCCTGCAGATATGGCTGCAGGGACCAAAGACAGATCACAACACCCAAGTCCTTTCAAATACCTGGAAAGCCTTCAAAAGCAGGATGGGTACAAACAAGGCCAGACAGTGAAGCCTACAAAAATACCTAATTATTCAATGCCCAGACATTAATGAACATCCACAAACATCAAGACCATCAAGAAAACATGACCTCACCAAATAAATCAGGTACCAGTGACTAATCCTGGAGAGACAGAGATATGTTACCTTTCAGACAGATGTTCCAAAATACTGTTCTGAGGATGCTGAATGAAATCTAAGATAACACACAGAAGGAAATCAGAATCTTATCAGATGAATTGAACAAAGAGATTGAAATAATTAAAAATAATCAAGCAGAAATTCTTACGCTTAAAAATGCAATTGGCATCCTGAAGAATGCATCAGAGTCTCTTAACAGCAGAATTGATCAAAGCAGAAGAAATAATTAGTGAGTATGAAGACAGGCTATGTAAAAATACCCAGAGGAGACAAAAGAAACAAGAATAAAAAACAAAAATGCAAGCCCACAAGATCTAGAAAATATCCCCCAAAAGGCAAATATAAGAGTTATTGGCCTCAGAGAGGAGGTAGAAAGAATATTGGGGTAGAAAGTTTATTCAGAGGGATAATAACTTCCCAAACGTAAAGGAAGATATCAATATACAACTGCAAGAAGGTTATAGAACATTAAGCAGATTTAACGCAAAGAAGCCTAACTCAAGACATTGAAAAATACACCTCTCAAAGGACAAGGATAAAGAAATGATCCCAAAACCAGCAAGAGAAAAGAACCAAATAACATAATGGAACTCCAATACTTCTGGCAGAAGACTTTTCTGTGAAAATCTTACAGGCCATTAAAGAGTGGCATAACGTATTTAAAATGCTGAAGGAAAGTAACTTTTATCCTAGATTAGGATATCTAGCAAAAATGTCCATCAAACATGAAGGAGAAATAAAGACATTTCCAGACAAACAAAAGCTGAGGGATTTCATCAACTCCAGCCCTGTCCTACAAGATATGCTAAAGTGAGTTCTTCAATATGAAAGAAAAGGACATTAATGAACTATAAGAAATCATCTGAAGTTATGAAATTCACTGGCAATAGTAAGTACACAGGAAAATGCAGAATATTATAACACTGTAATTATGGTGTACAAACTACTTATATCTTGAGTAGAAAGACTAAAAGATGAACCTATCAAAAATAATTATAATAATTTTTGAAGTCATAGTGCTATAAGATATGAATAAAAACAAAAACTTTAAAAGCAGTGGGATGAAATAAAAGTGTCAAGTTTTCATTAGTGTTCTCCTGGCTTGTTTGTTAGATTGTTTGTTCAATTATGAAATCTGTGGTAAGTTGTCATCACTTTAAAATAATGGGTTTTAAGATATTATTTGCAAGCCTCATGGTAACCACATATCAAAAAACTTACAACAGATACACAAAAAATAAACAGCAGGAAATTAAAACATGCCACCAGAGTAAAGGAAGACAGGAAAGAAGAAAAGAAAGAAGACCACAAAACAACCAGAAAACAAATAACAAAATGGCAGTAGTAAATCCTTACTTATACATAATAACATAGAATATAAATGGACTAAACTCTCCAATCAAAAGACAGAGTGGCTGAATGGATGTTTTAAAATGACCCAATAATCTGTTGCCTACAAGAAATACCCTTCATCTATGAAGACACATGGGCATATACAGACTGAAAACAAAGGGAAGGAAAAAGCTATTTCATTCTAATGGAAACCAGAAAAGAGCAGGACACTTCTACCAGACAAAATAGATTTCAAGATAAAAACTATAAGAAGATACAAAGAAGGTCATTATCTAATGATAAAATGATAAGAGTTATAAATAAATAAAATGATGAGTTATAAATATGTATTCAGTCAACACTGAGTCACCCAGATATGTAAAGCAAATATTATTAGAATTCAAGAGAGAGACAGACTCCAATACAATAATAGCTGGAGACTTCAACATCCAATGTTCAGCATTGGATCATCCAGATGGAAAATCAACAAAGAAACATCAGACTTAATCTGCACCACAGACCAAATGAACCAAATAGATATTTACAGAACATTTCATCCAGTGGCTGAAGAATACACATTCTTCTCCTCAGCACATGGATCATTCTCAAGGACAGACCATATGTTAGTCCACAAATCTTGAAACATTCAAAAAATCTGAAATAATATCAAGCATCTTCTCTGACCACAGTGGAATAAACTAGAAATCAATAAGAAGAGGAAATTTAGAAACTATACAAACACATAGAAGTTAAACAATATGCTCCCGAATGACCAGTAGGTCAATGAAGAAATTTAGAAGAAAATTTTAAAATGTCTTGAAACAAATGATAATGGAAACACAACATACTAAAATCTGTAGGATATGGCAAAGCAGTACGAAGAGGAAAGTTTATAGAAATAAGGGCCTACATCAAAAAAGTAAAAAAACTTCAAATAAACAACTTAATGATGTATCTTAAAGAACTAGGAAAGCAAAAGCAAACCAAACCCAAAATTAGTAGAAGAAAATAAATAATAAAGATCAGAGCAGAAATACATGAATTTGAAATGAAAAAGTAATACAAAACATCAGTGAAACAAAAAGTTGGTTTGGTTTTTTGAAAATATAAACAAAACTGACAAACCAATAGTCAAACTAACTAAGAAAAAAAGAGAGAAGGCTCAAATAAATAAAATTAGAGATGAAAAAGGAGACATTACAAACAATACTGCAGAAATTCGAAGCATCATTACAGGCTACTGTGAGCAGCTATATTCCAATAAATTGGAAATCCTAGAATAAAGGGATAAATTCCAAGACACAGACAACCTACTGAGATTGAACCATGAAGAAATCCAAAATCGAAACAAACGAATAACAAGTAGTGAGATCAAACTCATAATAAAACGTCTCCCAGCAAAGAAAAGCCCAGGACCCAGTGGCTTCATGGCTAATTTTTATCAAATATTTAAAGAACTAATACCAATCCTCCTCCAACTATTCTGAGAAATAGAGGAGGTGGGAATACTTCCAAACTCATTCTATTAACGTGAGGTCAGTATTGCCCTGATACCAAAGCAAGACAAAAGCACATCAATAATAAGAAAAACACAGGCCAATATCCATGATGAACATTGATGTAAAAATTCTCAGCAAAATATTAGTACAGCATTTGATAAAATTCAATATCCCTTCATGATAAAAACCTTCAAAAAGCTGGTTATAGATGGAACATAACTCAATACAATGAAGGCCATATACATCAGAGTCAAATCTAGTATAATCCTGAATGGGGAATAACTGAAAGCCTTTCCTCTAAGATCTGGCACACCGCAAGGATGCCCACTGTCACCACTGTTACTCAACACAATACTTGAAGTCATACCAGAGTCATTAGACAAGAGAAGAAAATAAAGGGCATCCAAATTGGAAAAGAAGAAATCAAATTATCCTTGTCAGAAGATGATATGATCTTATGTTTGGAAAAACCTAAAGACTCCAGAAAAAAATATTAGAATGGATAAACAAATTTAATAAAGTTGCAGGATACAAAAACAACATACCAAATTCAGTAGTATTACTTTATTCTAACAGGAAACAATCTGAGAAAGCAATCACAAAAGAAATTCCAGTTACAATAGCTACAAATAAAATAAAATACGTAAGAATAAACTTAACCAAAAAAGGAAAGATCTTTATAATAAAACTATAAAATATAATAATCAAAGTGTTTTCTTACTCAGTCCTGTAATAAGAATGTACTGTTCTCTTTCCTGAACTTTTGTGTCTACCTGTCTTTCTCCATCTTTCTTATTATAATTTATGTCCTCTTCCAAGTGGAGTAGATGGAGGGATATGGATCAGAGGAAGGGTGAAACAGTAAAGAGAGTAGTACATTTTTTTATTTGATTGGTACTATGGAAATGCCTCAGTAGTCTGAAGTTGGTAAGCATTTAGAGTTGTCCCATTGCTTCAGGAAGTGCTTTTATGGATTCTTTAGCTCCCTTCCTTCATTTCCAGTCTCCAACTCCAGGGTTTTCTCAACACTATTTCCCCTGAAAAGGAAAAATTATTCTTTTTGTCAAGAGACAATTATCACTTCTTGACATCTTAGGCATTTGGTGGTAATACTCAGCTTATTAATTAATGGGGTACATTAGTTTGTCTAAGTGACCCTTTAGACAGGACATAATAAAGCTCATGAGTGTTCTTTTGCATAAACCCCAAGAACACTCAAAACTCTTAGAAGTGCTTTGAGCAGTGCAATTATTACTAAAACAGAGTCGTCGATGTTGGTACCAAAGAACACTTCAGGCTGCTTCTTGTCTTTTATGGGTTTATGACATGAGTCAGACCCACTAGATATTGTTCCCTTCTCCAACCTAAAATAACAACTTCATCCTGATACTGAAGCCAGGAACAGACATCAAAAGAAAAATACAATTACAGGCCAATATTTCTGAAGAAAAGAGATGAAAAATGTCCTCAACAAAATAATAGTGAACTGAATTCAATGGCATATCAAAAAGATTATACAACATGACCAAGTGGGATTTATTCTTGTGATACAAGAGTAGTTTAACATGCAGAAATCTATCAGTGTGATACACTACATTAACAGAATGAAAAAGAAACACACAATTATCTCCATAGATGCAGAAAGGGCATTTAACAAAATTCAATATCCATTAGCGATGAAAGATCTAAAACAAATAGGTATAGAAGAAACTTTTCTAAACACAATAATCAATAATCTCCATTTATAAAAAGCCCACAGCTAATAAGCAGTCTAAATAAACTGAAAACTTTCTCTATAACATCTAGTAAAAGGCAAAGATGCCCACCATCAGTTTCTATTAAACATAGTTCTAGAAGTACTAAGAGGAGGAATCAAATAAAAAGAAATAAAAGACGTAAAAACTGGAAGGGAAAAAGTAAATTTGTCTTTGTTTACAGGTGACTTGATCCTACATGTAGAAAACCCTAAAGATGCCATGAAAAACTATTAAAACTAATAAACAAATTCAGTGAAGTAGCAGAATACAAAAGCAGGTAATGAGATTTTTTAATATGCCGCCAAAAGCATAGGCAACAAAAGCAAAATAAACAAGTGGAAGTAGATCAAAATAAAAAGCTTCTGCACAGCAAATGAAACAATCAAGATAAAAAGCCCACCTACAGAAAGGGAGAAAATATTTGCAAACCATACACTGGATAAAGGGTTAATACCTAAAATATATAAGAAACTGATACAACTCAATAGCACAAAAACAAACAACCTAGTTTAAAAATGGGCAAAAGACTCAATAGACAGTTTTCCAAAGAAGACATACGGGTGGTCAATAGGTTTATGAAAAGGTGCTCAACATCACTAACCATCAGGGAAATGCAAATCACAACCAAAATGAGATATTACCTACCACCTGTTAGGATAGAGGGCTATTATCAAAAAGACAAAAGGTAAGTGTTGGTGAGGATGTGAAGAAAAGGGAACTCTTGTACATTGTTGATGAGAATGTAAATTAGTAGAGACATTATGGAAAAAAGTATGCAAGTTCCCTTCAAAAATAAAACTAGAACTACCATATGATCGAATGATTCCTCTTCAGAGAATATATTCAGTGGAAATGGAATCAGTATCTTAAAGAGATAGCTGCACTAGTATGTTCAAGGAAGCATTATTCACAATAGCCAAGATATAGAAACTACTTAAGTGTCTGTCAACAGATGAATGAATAAAGAAATCGTTATATACATATATATATCCATTATATATGGATATATTTATATAATCCATATGGACATGTCCATATATATAGATAGATAGATAGATAGATAGATAGATAGATAGATAATTATTCAACCTTAAAAAATTAGGAAATCCTCACGCGCCTGTAGTCCCAGCTACACGGGAGGCTGAGGCAGGGGAATTGCTTGAACCAGGCAAGCAGAGGTTGCAGTGAGCCTAGATGGCACCACTGCACTCCAGCCTGGCAACAGAGCGAGACTCCGTCTAAAAAAAAGAAAAGAAAGCCTGTCATTTTTAATAACATGCATAACCCTGAGGACATTATGCTAAGTGAAAGAAGCCAGACACAGAAAGAAAATACGTCATTATCTCACTTACATTTGGAATCTGAAATGTTGAAACCCTAGAAAAATTGTAATCGTAGGGCACAAAACTATTTTTAATCCATTTACTCAGAACTATATTTTTATTTTCTTATAAAAGTTATTGACCTGTTTCATTTTGGCTTTAAGTATAATTTTTTTTTTTTTTTTTTTTTTTTTGGGAGATGGAGTCTCACTCTGTTGCCCAGGCTGGAGTGCAGTGGCGCCATCTTGGCTCACTGCAACCTCTGCCTCCCGAGTTCAAGTGATTCCCCTGCCTCAGCTCCCGAGAGCAGGGACTACAGGTGTGTGCCACCACCTCTAGCTAATTTTTGTATTTTTAGTAGAGATGGGGTTTCACCATGTTGGCCAGGCTGGTCTGGAACTCTTGACCTCAGGTTATCCACCCACCTTGGCCTCCCAAAGTGCTGAGATTACAGGTGTGGGCCACCATGCCCAACCTAAGTATAAATTTTTAACAACCTGACACTAAATAGTTGCTTTTCAACTCCCAAAATTAAATGCAAAATTTTGATCTTGCACAGTGAAATAGCAAATGGTTCATGGCAGATTTCACAACCTAAACACGAGTATCAAGTCTATACAAAATCTTACACATTACAGAAGTGTAATGAGTAAGAATTCTCATTGCAGTGACAAGGAAAATACAAAGTTTACAAAATTAAAAGCTTGAATTGGGTACCAGCAGACACGCACACACACTCACAATGTTAGACTGAGCTGAGAGGAGACAAACTCAAATATATTCTTTGGAAGATCCCCATACGGTATCATCTAGGTGCTGATGCTGACATCATATTGATTAACCCACTTTAGTTTATCCTGGCAGAATTCAAGATCAAAAGAAAATCAGCAGAAGATGCAAACAGTTTCTGTTTCTGAAATGTTTTTCTATGCATGTTAGAGAGAAAACATGTAGAAGATGGGTCTAATAAACCCAGCCTTCCGTGAAGAAATGTTACATAGAATTCGGAAGTGAAGTTCAGGAATCGTTAACGGTCTACATTATGAGTACAATAAAGAATTGACTTTTAAATAATGTTATAAATTACGTTCAAATGCAATGATGATCATAAATTAGGAAGAACAAAGTAGTAAGAACTGGAGTTTTTTTCTTCAGAGATCATAATAAATAACAATTGTAATGTATGATCTTTACCAGGCTCTTTTTTTTATACTTGACACTTTAATAATAGCAGTCTTTTTAATCTATTTATAAAAATAACTGTATTGTAAATATAATATATATATATATATATGTGGAAAATGCAATCATCCCCCAACCAAAAAGTATCTTGAACTTAACCATTAAGTTTGGGGTTATGTTCTTCCAGCCAGACACACACACACACACACACACACACACACACACACACGCACACACACGGACACTCACAGTTTATGCTAAGTGGTATCTTATTGCTCTGTGGTCTTCTTCTCCCCCACCACCCTTTAATAGTGTAATCATTTCACAATGTCATTAAGCATCCTTCTCTAAGTTTGAGTTTTAATGGTGTATATTATTACATCAGTTTTCAAATTACCTTTGATTATTAATATTTTTCCAACTTTTATCATTTTAAATACCACAAACATAAACTTCCTCTTTGCACACAAATGTGATAATTTTCTGAGTAAGTTATTAATACTTAGAGAGTCTGTACACTCTATAAGTTTTGAATATTTCTTTATTTCAAGTACATTTGTACCAATGTAATCTCCTATTAGTTTCATCCAAGAGGGTCCATTTTCCAATAACTGGACCTCTGGGAGTAATAATATTTGTTTAATCTTCACCAGTTTCATAGTTAGCATGTTGTATTTCATTATTTCTTAATAGGACTTCATTCGACTACTAGAGTTTTCTCACAGTTTATAGATGATTATTGGTCATTTAATAACTCACAGTAGTCCATGAAATTTGTTGACTTTTATATTGGTATGTCCAGGGAATTGGGTTATTTAATCAGTTGTACTGTATATGGAAGCATTAAGTGTATCTTGTTAGAGAGACATTTTGTGATCCACAAGGATTGGGGTATTTTTTTCTTGGACTAAAAGTTTTTGACTTATCATTGTAGAGAAGCTGTACTTACAACCTGCATTCTTCTTATCTAAATATGATATAGAAATTATTGAGACAATATGTATATTGTGGAAAACAAAATATAGATATAAATATACACACATGCACACACACATATACAATGCCACACACACACCTACAAACACACACATATATAGTTATAGATATGTATAAGACATGTACAGTAAGTCCGCACTTAACATTGTCAGTAGGTTGTTGAAAACTGCAATTTGAAGCAAGACAATGTATAACAAAACTAACGTGTTTATTTCTCATCAACATTATCAGGAAACAATGTTGAACAAAACGATGTTGAGGACCTGCTGTATGTCATTTCACTTAAAGTTGCAATTTCCAAGAACCTGTTGACGATGTTAAGTGAGGACTTACTGTATATACATATACATACAAAATATTTTACAGGAACCATTAGTAGTGATGGAAGCTAAAGTCTTGAGGCCTAGGCTTTTCAAGATAGGAAATAGGGAAGAAGGATAAGTACTAAACTCCTCTCAGTGATTAGGAATCCAAAGGACTGAATAACGCCATGAAATGAGGCCAGTCCTCTATCTGAACACAGGGCTGATGATGCGTACCCCCAAAACTAGTTGTTTGCTTTTGGCAGGGAAGAAAATATAAAACTATAATGGGAAAATTGACAGATGTAACTATCTCAAAATTAAATCTTCTGTTAAAAAAGCCATACAAATTTAAAAGACAATGATAGCTTTGGGAAAGTTATTTGAACAAACATAGTATCAGAACTCAGAATATATGGCCTATAAATACACCGAAAGTTTAAACCACCCAAACAATCAGGGTCTCTAGAAGTTTTTGGTTTTTGGCTTCGTTTTGTTTTTTTGTTGTTGTTTTTGTTCTCCTTGCTTTTTCTAAACATTTTATCTTCATCCTCCTTCAAAACTCCAGATCTTCTGAAATTCATGCCGTGAGTCTTCACTGATACTTCTTTTAATACTTTCATCTAACAGCCAGATAGGTCACTTCTCATTTACCGTTGTGTTCAGCACCTAGCTTACTCTCTTCTACCACTTCACACGTAATCATACTTGGATGATTCGACATCCATAAAAATAATCCCTCCCTTACTTAGTCTTCATAGTTCCTGAACATACTGCTGCAATTATCATTTCTTCCATCATCCTCAACCACTGACTCCTATGCCCTTATTGATACTAATAATTGTGTAACTCCAAAATTTCTGCTGCAATCATTTTACACTCTGATGAAGATTTCCTGTATTCAGTTTCTCTATATTCTATTTCCTATATTCAGTCTAGAATTTTATCTCCTATAATTACTCAAACTCACTGACGCCTCCAATGATTTGTTCTATAATTTATTATTATTATTACATATGAACCCTTTCACATACTCACTTCCTTCAATATCTAACTTGGATTTTGTGTTCCATAATTTTAGTTACTCATTTCAGTTCCATTGCCCTTCCCTCCCTCCATTGTACATAACTGGTCAAAGTTCAATCCTGGCTATAACTAGATAGCTTTGTACTCAATAGTTTTTTCCTAAGCAGATGAATGCAGAACGGAGAATATTGCACATTATCGCAGATACATTGCCCTTTAAATTAATGACTATTTATGCTTAAAAGGCGCTTTCTGCTGGTCAGAATTTCCACACTTCCCTGATATATTTACATTTCCACTCTTCCAGAAGATTATTTCACATAGTGTTCTTTTCCTCCAAAGTCTCTCTCTGTGTGTGTGTGTGTATGTCTTTCCTCTAAAATTTTATTGAAAAAAATTTATAGAAAAAAGTCAGTAATTTCCTGATGTCTCACAATTTCATCAAATCATCTGCATCTGCATGCATATTCACTGCCTCTTCTCATGTTGTAAATGAAATAAATTTCTTGCATCAAAGCCCAGTTCCTCTGGATCCTGCCCTCTCTCTGCATCTCAAAGACTTAATTTCTGCATTATCACATTCCTTCTCTCTGATATCATCAATTTATCTCACTCTACTGGATCATTCCCATCAGCATGCAAATGTGTTCATCTCAAAAACATTTCTTAATTTGTTAGAAATTTAAAACAACTTTAGTTTGGTTGATGGGAAAATAAAATAAATGTTTATATATACACATATATATGTATACACATATATATGCTCGTGTTGGTCTGCACATTTAAAATCTACATTTGTGCAAGAAACTTCTGGGAGTTACATACCATATTTTAAATAATAGTTATTTTCAAGAAGCAAAGGAGAATTTTACTGAAGTCAGATTTTTAAACTTTTTTCTATATACCTTTGTATTGTTTTCAGAAGTGTAATTTTGCAAACCTAATCCGGCAGCATTGTAAGTAACAGTTTGAAGTGGAAAGAATATTTTAGTTACATATTCAAATTATTATTATTTTAATAATCATCCAAGCTTCAGAAGAAGCTAAAGGGACATGAATAATTATTGAGCACCCACTCCCTACTGTACTAATCTTTTACTTACAGCATTTTATTTATTCACTTAATTTTTACATGTGGGAATTAATTTGGTGCCTTTGACATAAAGAATATCATTCAGTTCTCCTGTCTTGCTTGTGGAAAGTGATGATGAGCTCTGTGTTTAAGATGTTTTCTCTTCTAAGAATGTTTTCCCCTTCTCCTCGATTTAGGGTTAATCTTTGTTGAAAATAAACAATGAGTTTCCTTCCAATTATTTTACAGAAGAATCCAGCAATGAAAAATGAGAAACATATTTTAAGGACTCCATACATATTTGTTGAAGTAATGAATAGATGAATCTTGTTCAGTTCATTTTATGCTTATATAAGAAAATAAATGCAGAATTAATAGTGAGTCCCCTGCTTATAATTTGCTGGATATTTATCAGGCCTTCCATGAAATACAGGCTGCATGCAATTACAAAAGCCTCAAATTTATTATATTCTCATTCCTTCAAAAATATTATTTCTCAAAATTACTAGTTTCCCAATTATAGCCATAGTTTTATCTGTGTGGTCTTCTCTGTGATTAGGCAATTCATTATTATTCTATTAATTAGCACAGTGGTTTTCAACCTTGGCTGCACATTAGAATCACTTGGGGAGTTCTTAAAAAAATCCCATGCCCGAGAAGCTGAACTTCCAACCAATTACCTCAGAATCTCTGGAGGTGAGACCCAGGCATCAGTTCTTTTTAAAGCTCCCCAGGTGATTTCAATGTGCAGCCAAGTTTGAGAATCACTAATTTAATGGAAGTCATATGATTTGCCCCCATAACAGGAGATGTGAATTTTCTCATCAAACCTACTATACTTCTGAAAACCAGCATGAAAAGTAAGCAGAAATATCAATGTCTTTTTTAAAAAAATATTTTAAGTATAGAACAGAAATGAAACAGAAGTCTCACCTATTGAAACATAATCTTGGACCCTCATTTAGGCAAACAGCTTGAGAGGGTGGTGGTAACATTTGTTTAGTCGGGAAAGGTTGGCATCTCATATGCAGCTTCAGCTAAAGTCGAGATTTGCCCAGGGCAATAGCAAAGTTAGTGAAGACAGAGAAGTGCTAAATCACAAGCCCAGTGATTTTTGTATTGATAGACTTTACAAGACTGTGAGAGTTATATTTTGAGTCTGATCCTCATAGGCTTTCTATAATCAATTACAGCCTAAAATAATCATTTCTGCTTATTAAATCTGAACTTGTGAATGCAAATACATGTATGTGAATACAGATTAGAACTTGGAGATAAATGGAAACTAATGCTTCCTTTATATTTGATTTCTCCTTCCAGTAAAAAGAGTAACTCAATTGCATGTTTAATTTTCCATCATTAATAGGACATTATACTTTTAGATGTTCCTTTAATATCTATGACTGAGGATTTTGTATGTCATTATTCTACACAAGCATAATGTTCTTAGTAAATTTTGAATGATTTCCTGGGGCATAAGAATAAATTGTTCAGAGTTATGTTTTATTACGTGGCTTCTAATTCATACTGTTTCAGAAGTCACTCATAAAATTATACTCATAACTTAAATTGTGTACTTAATTTGTTAAGTGTATCTATTTTATTCAACACATATTTTAGATCATAAACCATATCTCAATATTATGGTCATGGTGTGGAGTTTTGAAATGCCTAAGAGAAATACACCATTGGCTCTAAAGGGACTTAAAATAACCAGCATAGTATGTACATGAGGGCATGAAAATATATATAAAAAATAAAATTATACTCACATATAGGAAAATGAGTATCAGTTAAAATTGAATTCAATCAGTTTATGGGCAGGCCAGGCCTTGCTTTTGGCTTTGGGCTTACTCTTATCAACAAGATACAATGATCAATATCTTTATACAGTTTACTGACTTGGGTATGTGTATATGTGGGTACTGAGAGGAACACAAATGTCATATAAGTTATTCATTGAAATTTGATCATAGTGGAAATGCATGCATATTTTCCAAAGGGAACCAACCTATGCTAGGGCCTGGGAAAACTAAGACAAAATGAAACTACTTGTACAATATTTGTGGCAGAGATCCAGATGAGGGAAGAAATTGGAGTGAAATATATGTTTCTACTAGAGAGTGACAGGTATATTGCCTTTAGTATATGAAATGATATCCAAATAAAGATTAGCGAACAGAAGGCAGGATGACCAAGATGAGGCTGAAGAGGAAGACAGGAGAGTGGTAAAGCTAAGCCAAAGGAGATTAAGCATTGCATCAGGGTTGGGCCACATGACAGCCCTACCCAGTTATGCTTTCAGTGACAAAACCTTGGTTCCTGAGGTGGCTAATGGAAGGGAGAAGCTCCCAGTACCTTCAGGCTCCACCATGCCGTCTCTTTACAGGAAACAACTCTTGGTTCACCAGAAGCACCCTTTCTCCTCCTGTGTACTATGGGTCAGCATGTCTGTTGGAGAGCGGTCAGGCAGCATCAAGTGATCAGGACATGCCTGCTCTGGGACCCAGGGGCTGACAGGTAAGGAAAAGTCCCCTCTACATCAAATAAGCTAAATTAATATGGGCTTTATTTCCTGGGAGACATTCCCGCTGCTCTGAATTTGAGCCGCAGGAACTTTCCTTATTCCAAAACACATGGATCTCCTTTTAGCTGCAAAGTTTTCAACTACCCCGAGAACAGCAAAATTGCTTAGCTTACTCCCTTTCAATGCTCAAGGGAGAAAATTATGGCAGGCCCTTGATCATCATTACTTTCAGGATAGTTTTAACTAAGACCCTTTTTCAAAAGGTGCCAAATTTTAAAAAGCCTTGTAAGATTTTGGAGACTGGAGTTTATTCTATAGTCTCAAAAAGTAGACTTTGAAGAATTTTAAACACAAGCATAACATGATTGATTTTGCATTGCAACAAAATATAATTGTAGCTACATTATAAAATGCTAATTAGAGGCCCTAATTCAAGATACTATATAGGGAATACTGCTGTCTCCTTTCCTCCTTCAAATGCATAGAAATAAGAGAAAAGTTATTTATTTTACAATCCATAACCAAGGTTGAATGTGAAAAGGAAATCTTGAAAAATGGAAAATAGAGGAGAATGTTTCACAATACTAGGCTAGATTAACCTGAATAAATTTCTGCTGTAAAATATCTAGATATTTTGAATAAAATATGTTTACAATAAAGAAGGAATCCCCACAGAACAAAACGCAGGGGAAGTGAGTGACAGGCACAGTGGTAAATGGATACAGAATATTTGATTGTCCTAAAATAATGTGCTGTCTTCATTAATCAGAGAGACTTGGGTGTAATGAGTATATGGGAATAAAAGTCAAAGTAAAGGCATGCATGAAACCCCATGTATAAGATTTCCAAGAAAATACTATATCTTAAATGGAATGTTAGGGGGAAATAAGCAAAGTGAGATAAAAACAAAGTTTATATTTATTAACATGGACATTGAGTGAAAAAAACATGCATTAATGTTTGAACTACATACTTGCTTTGATGAAGGTTCTGATATTTATACTACTTGCATTGTCCAGATACCCTAAAGCTAAAAATGTAAAATAGAAACCGGTACAGGACTGTTAATGACCCTGGGTGCACCTAAGAATAGCAAATACAAAAATCCTCAGAAAAACATAACTTCAACCAAAACCTCAAAGGGATCTCCCTGTTAAATCCCTGCTGAACAGAAGTTCACAATCTAAAATTAGAAAAAAACAATAAGAATCCTCCTTTATTGGAAAATGTCAACAAGATCAGCAAGTAGCAGAATTAGAGCCCTAAGTCATTCAGTTAATAGAATTATTGATTAGAGATAATAATCTGATTGTTTCACATGATTGTATAAAGCACAAAGGGTAAGAATCTAAGAAAAACCCATAAATCAAAATGGATTTTTAAAGGGGAAATTTTAAAGCAATAATAGTAGAGGTGCCAAATTAGCAGAAAAAAAATATTGCAGGTATCTTAAGATTGAAAAAATTCCTTGCTTGCAGAATAGGCTAAGTAAATATAATAAATGTTTAAAAATAACAACTAAGCCTGAAACCTATATCTTACATAATTTCAGAAAAAAATAAGAATAAAGAGAGAATTCCTAAAAACTTCTAGAGAAGAAAACAGGTAGATTATCTCCATAAAGGAGTACATGTCAAACAAGGAGTAAAATAACTTATTAATACAGGATATTAAAATAACATGGATCAAAGTTTTCAAAAGTCTGAAGAAAAAAAATTTTATGAGAATCTTATACTTATGTAAACTATCACCAAGCAAGAAAGAGAATCACAAATAATTGGAGTTATGCAAAATCTCAAAAAGTTTCTTACAAATAGATCTGTTCTGAAATATTTATTGAAGAATTTACTCCAAGAAGAAAAGCAAAAGAAGGCAAATGTGTGATGTTATATTCAATAATAAGCAAAGAAGTAAGAAATGCTTACTGTTAAATTGTAAAGATTGTAATTTCAAATGTATGAATTAGAAAAAAAGTAAGATTGGACATAAAATAAGCTTGCAACACAAGAAGCGCAAAATTATGTTAATGCAAAACTTAATTAAAAAGCACATAAAAATTAAAAGGTAGGGTTGATCACTAAAATTAAAACTAAAAGTGATTATTAAAATTATGGTTAAGCAAATAGAGGGGAAATCCCACAAGAATGTATTTGTGTTTACTTCCTGTTTTTTTTCACAGATAGAAAAACAATCCTATATCAGTATATGCTTAATTACATGGAATCAAAACATATAAAAGCTGAATAAATGAATGAATGAAACGGTCAATTACACAATCACACTGGAGAACTTAACATCTTTTTCTCAGAAATCTATATGATGAATACATAAAAATTAGTAAGAATGTAGAATATTTGTATAATACAATTAATGAGTTGATCTCATCAATTTATGTATAGGATCCTGCAATCAACAAGTAGAGAATGTACACCCTTTTCTAGCATGACTATGGGCTAAGTCCCAGTTTCTATAGCAGATTCTATATTTCAGGAGCAGGTGCCAAGGAAGTGATTAGTTGACCTTAGCGAGGGTTGGAATATTGCCAAACAGATATCACATAAACAATAAGTCAAATAATTTTTAGATATTGAAAACAGTAACTGATGTTTCTGAAGCAGAATCTAAGTCAGGTATGATAAAATAGAATAATTGCTCATATTAACAACGAGGAAAGAGAAATAAGGCGGGGAAATTTACTATGCCAACTTATATAGGTGAACACATCTTCCCACCCTCCTACCACTGGTTTGTTAATTTTATGCCTGGTATGTTCCAGAAACCTGAAGAACAGATGTACCAGAGTAATAGTCAAGGAGTCAGAAAATCTGTATGCAAGATCCTGATCAATGAAGCTTTTGCTTAAACTTTTAAAAGAGTCCTTTGTATCATCTAATGGTTAGAAGTTTGGACTTGATATCTAAGTTTCACTCTCATACCTAAGATTCCATTATTCTCTTCTCATTATTTCATCATACACATACGTATATGTTTGTGTAAGACCAAATACATATGTTTATATATGTGTGTATATATATAATGTTTTACATATGTGTGTGTATATATATGTTTTACATATGTGTGTGTACATATGTGTGTGAGTATATATATACATATATATACACACACATATATGTATGTATATATATGTGTATATATATGTAAAAACATTCCCCAATAGCATTCTGCAGACACGACTTGCTATATAGTAGTATAGTTACCTATTTATTCCCTGGTATTCTTCACTAATGTATGCCCCCTCAGAAGCCAGACATAACATCTTTTTAAGCAATATATTTTTAGTAACTGTCATTGTGTCTATCACACCAAAGCAGTTCAACAAATTATTATTGAATAACTAGATTATTAAATAAGTCAAGATTGCAATTCTTAAATGTGTTCCAGGAAATGAGTGCTATCACTGGGACCCTTTCAAGGTTTACAAGGTCAAAAATATTTTCATAATAATGTTAAAATATTTTTTATTCTTTTCACTCCAAGTTTCTCACAAGTATGCAGTGTTTTCCAGAGGCTATATGGTGTGTGTTATCTGAGTAAGATTGAATACAGAAGCAGGTATGACTCCAGTGGTTTTCTATGAAGCTAGATATTGAGGATATTTCTACAAATATAAAGTAGTGCTTATTCTTCTCACTATTTATTTTTTGCTTTGGAAAATGGTTATTATTCATACAGTATGATATTTTAACATGCAAGAGACTTATTTGAATTTTAGAATAAATTAATTTACTATTAAAAAAATGTCAGTTCTAATTTTAATATGGTAAAAATCAATAAATATTACTCACATTAACAAAAAACCTTTGAATTCTTCAGTAATTTGTAAGAGTCTAAAGATGTCTGAGACCAAAACTCTTAAGAACATTTGATTCACTAAGTACTTCATTTTCCAGGCCATGTTTAAAGAAGACATATAAACTTATTGTTTTTTCTCATGGAGGCCAACATTCAGTTGCAAAATATACAACACAACCAAATCAGTTCAAGTCACTTAATTTTGAAATTTAGATTGTTTTAATTATCAATTTTTGGCACATTAAATTAACTTAAAACGCTGTGATCTGAGTGAGTGGTGAACACTATCAAACTAAAGGAAGACACCTCAAAAATATCTGCTACCTATAATATTGTTAATTGTCTCTCTTTAGTAATAAAGTGTTCATCAAACTCATTGCAGTTTCACAAAGTGCAGAAAAATGGCAAAGGATAGAGTTACAAAAGTTTTTTAAGCTGTAGGTTTTACTAAAGTGTGTGAAAGGCAAAGTCAGCCACATCAGTTATGTGATCATGTTTATTGTGTTATATAATTATAGTCTTTTGTTGGACAATAGCTTATTTTGCTTCTAAAGTAGTTTAGAGGTGAACCACCAATTTATTGGTATCCTATATTGAGTGTAAGTATACTAATTCCTAGAGCCCTTTGGACAATGTGAATGGAATAACCTGTCCTATTTCTTGCTTCATCATAATTTAGAATCCTTTAGGTTTCAAGATGTTTCCTCCATATCTTATATTCATGAAGGTAGTAACAGTGATGCTGAAATGGGGAGAGCAAAGGCACTTATTGCTTGGCTTCTCCTTAAAAAGGCTTTCACTTGCCAGGTGCGGTGGCTCACGCCTGTAATCCCAACATTTTGGGAGGCCGAGGCCAGCAGATCACCTGAGGTCGGGAGTTCGAGACCAGCCTGACCAACATGGAGAAACCCTGTCTCTACTAAAAATACAAAATAAGCCGGGTGTGGTGGCGCATGCCTGTAATCCCAGCTACTCTGGAGGCTGAGCCAGGAGAATCACTTGAACCCAGGAGGCAGAGGTTGCGGTGAGCCGAGATCATGCTATTGCACTCCAGCCTGGGCAAGATGAGTGAAAATCCGCCTCACAAAACAAAACAAAACAAACACTTTTTTTAAAAAGGCTTTCACTTAAGTTATGATATCTCTTTACATTTAATTTGGGAAAAGGAAGGTGATAGTAATATTAGAGAAAGGCCAAGACCAGGGAAAAATTTCAGGCATGTAGAGATCACCAGGCATGAAGGAATAGGGTGGAAATCATAAGGCTGAAAAGGAAAGTCACAGAGCTAGCAGGAAAGAGGTAAACTCGCCTAAGATAAGAACCTAGGACTAGTTCTGTTATTTCAATTCAAACACTCTAATTTGTTTTTAAGTATGTTTTTAATATACAGAGCTCATTTACCTTCCTATTTCTTTTGTTTTATCTTCATCGTCTCCTCTATCTTTAAATTTATTACTAGAGACCCGGAATATTCTTATTATTGAGTTTTACTCCTTACCATCATCATTTGCGTCAGCACTGACATTGAACACTATGTATGTGGAAATGCTCTGAGCTCCCTGTAGGAGATTTATCATATTTAATACCAGCTGAAATACTTTATATTTATAAACCTGGATACATGGCATAGTATGGAGTGAAAATCTCCAGGGATAAATCTCGCCATCCATGTAAATTCATAACATTTTAGAGCTGGAAGAGTATTTAGTGATGATCTGATTCAACAGCATCATTTTGCAGATGACTAAGCTCGTGCCTACGGAGGCTAAGAAGGGCCTGATCACTTTCTTGAGGGAATAATTTAGCATCCTGAAAGAAAAAAAAAAGACCTTTCTAAATCATCTATGAAAGAGTTAAACATGAATCCGATTACTTGCAGATGTATTTATGATTAGGTGGGGCAGCTAGAACTCTTTCCTCTAACTCCCATCTTGCTAGTCCTTGAAATAGTTGCGCTGTGGTATCTTCAATCTTATCAAAAGAAAAGGTAAAGGACAATCAGTATTAATTGATACCAGGCACTGAAAGTAAACCAAGCAACGATGAAATGTGTTTATTGTCAGACACGGCTTCCTGGCTTAGTTGTCTCATCCAATAATCTTTGGGAATAATATGTGTGAGGAGCTGATGAATTTACTTTACTATTCACCGTGTATTTTGTGAAAAAACTATTCTGGATGCATATGAATTTTGTGGATTATATTATGTGACAAAAATATTCATTTCCAACTGTCATAAATTACCTTATGCTCTTCTCAGTATTCCATATATACAAAACTCCTCCAAAATTGCACAACATTATCAATTTTCCAAGGTCACTTGATTTTTTAAAAGGGAGATACATGATGCAACATAGTATAATTTCTCTCCCCAACCTACCCTTCTATATTGTTACTCTATTATGATTGTAGTATAACTTATAGTATATGTTTATACTGTATCAAAACAGAGGATACTTTCTTTCAGGGAAAAATCTCATTTGCATTCTCAAGGATAATGATTTTCCATATACATTAACCTAAATATAAATATTTATTTAACACTAAAGAAAATAAATGTGCACATGTATCTTCTGATCTATATTCCCTTCAAATTTTCTCTTAAACCATACGATTTTAGCCAGTACTCGAGAACAAACACGACATATTTAGTAATGCCATTTCAAATATCCAAAAGGATGGAGAATATGTGTGAGGAGCTGATGAATAATTATCAATGGTGATTACGATGATTAAGAATAAATAATAGGTCCTGGATATTTTGGGGTTCTCATCCCCTCCCATTTGTATAACAGATGACAAATACAACATACAGCTGCACTGCAATTAAATGCCTTTTTCCTTTGTAGAATCACAACCCTTTTTGATACTGTTTAATATGCTAGGTCTATAAGGCAACTACAGAGACAACTGATTCAATCTGTGACATTAATAATTTAATCAAAGTTATAGAAAAGGATCCTGGTCTAAATAATATACAAAATCATGAAAAATATCCATGACATGTAGGTATTCTCAAAATAACAAAAACATAATCAAAATTTCTTTATGTACATTTTACAAAGGAGAAAAATATTTGCTGTTAGCATTGAACAGGAAGAAAATTCCTTTTCCATGTAAGGTATTTATAAAAAGGCAGAAATGCCAGTTTTTAGCACCCATGCCCTCTTGGAATTGGTTCTGTCAACACCCCTGCAGGTGGCACAAGAGAAACAGATTGAGAAGTATGTTGACAAAAGGCAATCATCCCAAAATCCCATTTTGGTTGTCCTCTTCAGCATCGTTTTAAGTCTCTGGATCATGTCCATAATCATCTTTTTTATTTTGAAAATAATTTTTCTGCATCCTGCCACAAAAATTAAAGTGCTATTTTGCAACAATAGTATCTATCAAATATCAAAATATTGCCATGTGTTTAGCAAAGTTGAAAGGCTCCTGTTAGTTCAAGATGTCAACTGTAGATTAGCTGATTCACAAGGGAGGTAATGATCACTGTACATCTATTGTTTTTATTTCTGCCCTAAAATGACTATTAGCATGTATAGCAACAAACCGGTTCAATACTAATCCTGCTTGCTTCCTGAAGACTCTTGAAACAATATTTTCCACCAAATTCATATGTTTCTTATCTATTATTTTCCTAACATACCTGTCTCTTAATCTTACTATGGATTGAGACGATGAATTCACGAATTTTGTCTTGCTTACTTTTAAATCCTCAGTACTTATCACATGGCAAATGGTGGACTCTATAAATGTCTGTTGAGTAATGATAATAATGAATGAGTAAAATATTCTCTTAATACTGCTAACTTATTTATATCACTATGAATAATAATAACAACAGCAACATTTTTAGTACATTTTCCAATGTTGTTATTAGTAGTTAATAAAAGCACCATGCTTAGTATCTGCCCAGTTCAAATACTGGAATGTAAATAGCACAATGAAGTCAATTACTTTGAAAATCGTCACCACCCACCAAATTTAATTTCTCTCTGACTCAATATTGGTTGTGAAACAAAACCTGCATAAGCCATGACAGACAATTCAGGCACCATAATTAAAACTGACCTTCTCTGTTAGTTGTCTATTATGTGATTCTTTTTGTAAAAAAAAAAAAAAAAAAAAAAAAGTCATCAAAGCTTTTGTTTATGATATTAACTGAAATGTCAAGGTCTCTGATTATTACGACTTGCAGACAATAGCTTTATGAGAAAAATGTATATTTACATTTTTACATTGGAAAGACTTTGGCTACAAGTAACAGACCACTAAACACAAATCTTTTAAACAAATGGGGACTGTTTTGGTAATGGGAAGTCCAGAGGTAGGGAGGACTTTGGGGTTTATCCAGTTTAGGAACTCTATCTCCTTTTTCTGTAGTTTCTTTTACAAATAAAAATAATTACTATATAAAACGTGTTTTTATTTTAAGCTATGAAGTATTGTAACTTTATTGCAATTTATTTTGCTCTCTGCCTTTCAGACATTAAATACACATAGTTATAACAGTAAGTCAAGATTTTCAACGGGAAATAAAACAGCACCAAAAGTAGCGACACAATTGTAGTAATAGGACAAATGACAATGACATTTAGGATTAAAGATTTAGCGCTTGTCAATGCGAATTCTGTGATCGGCCAGTTGTTTGTAAGACTATCTGGTGTGGGTGAAGACAGATAGGGAAGAGGGATAATTATCCTGTAAAATATAAGGTGTATTTAGGAGATGAGAGCAGAAAAGAGAATGTAGAGGGATCAAGCCTTTGAGAGCCCCTAAAAGATTAATTTCAAGGTCTACCCAGATAGGGAACCATTTAAATTTTCCCAAGTTATTATGCACATAAAACTAGTGTACATTAATAAAAAGTGTAATATGCTATAATTGTATCTGTACAGGAATAGGAAAGAAAAAACCCTTTAATACAATATATTAGGCTTTTCATGGCTTGATCCCTGTCTGTATATCCAGTTTCATGTCTCAGCAACCATGTGACCATATGTCTCTGTTTTAAGGAACCCTTTCAGATGATTGAACTCCCTTGCTGTCTCAGTTTGGGGCTTTACAGACTGTGCTCTTTATGTCAGAAATACTATTCTTCTCTCCTATCTTCACCTCCTAGGGTGATTCCTACCCACCCTCCATTACCCAATTTAGAAATCACTTTGAAAAGGCTTGGCTGCCTAGACTAAACCTGTTACATGGCCCTTCCATGTTCTCATATGTCAACCCAAGTCCATATTAGGTTGTAATTGAAGATGTACTCTCTACCATAAGTCTCTTAAGTTCTGTGGAGGCAGAAGATATATCCAGTAATAATGTATCTCCTGTCCATTATTACATGTCTAATTCCTAGCACAGTGCCTCTTTCATACAGTAAATACATCTATTGATTTAAATTCAAATTGAATGGTGATGAAAGATGGTTATTCATTAATCATTCATAAACTACTTTTTATAGGGTGCAAGTAACTTAGAGGAATCAAAAGCTAAAAGTAGGCAAGTGGATAGAAACCATGACAAGAAGTTCAGCTGTGATGGGTTCTGGAATTCAGACCAGCAATTTAGGCAGGTGGATAGTTACATCATGTAACAGCCTGGGCAGCAGGATTGGACAAATGAGTCATTTTATGGAAAAGGGGGATTTCAGAACATAGTAATGGAGAAAATTGAGACAAACCTCAGCTTCAGACAGAAATTATTTTATTCTCTTATTCTCAGGACAAAAACTGATCTCTGATCAAAGTTGGAGACAGAATACAACGGCATTTAGTGTTTGCCTTATGATTAAAAATATATTCTTTTATTTGATCAGGTTTATTGAGACAAATTTACAGTTAGAAAAGTTTATTTTTTTCAGAGAGCAGTTCTTTTAGTTTTGACAAAAGCATACAGTTGTGTAGCCACTACCACAATCATGATATAGATCAGTTTCCATCACCCATCACTCCATGCCCCTTTTTAGTTAATCCCTTACCCTTACCTCTGGTCCTTGGCAATCACTGATCTGTTTTCTGTCCAGAATGTCATATAAATGGAATTATAAATTCTATGGCCCTTTGAGTCTGGCTTCCTATCCTTAGCATAATGCGTTGTGATTCATTCATGTTGTTACGTTTATTGCTTTATTTTTATTGTTGCTGTTTTGATCTTACCCTGCTAGCAAAATTTCTGCAGTTGAGTTTCTTGGTAAGAATCTCAGGTTCAGCACATCCCTGGTGTAATAGACAAGCCTCACCCTAGCAAAACCCATTTTGTGATCATAGTATCTCTTCTACCAGCTAAGAATTTATTAGTTTACTTTTTACTGCTAAGTATCACAGGTTATGTAAACATCTGTGATACTTCTATCACATATTGTTTATCCATTTTCCCACTGAAGGTCATTTGGTTTGCTTCCAGTTTTAAGCAATTATGAATACAGCTACCATAAACACTCCTGTACAGATTCTTGTGTGAAGATAAGGTTTTCCACCTTTGGGTAAACTATGTATTTAACATTGAAAGAAAGGTCCAGTTTGTGTTTTAAGAAGCAACATATAAAAATTCCAGTTGCTCAACATCCTTCCTAGGTTGTGAAATTGTCAGGTTGTTTGTGCATTTGGATGTTCTATTTAATTTTTGTTCTTATTTTTGTTTGAGCATTCTAATCAGTGTGTAGTGGTATCTCATGGTGGTATGATGATGTTGGGCATTTCCTTTTCTTGTCCTTAAGGTCAGGCCTATCTCTTCCTCACTGAAGTGTTTGTTTAAATCTTTTGCCCATCTTGGTTAGAATGTTTTTCTTCTTACTATTTTATTATTGAGTTTTGAGATTTCTGTATGTATCCTAGATATGATTCATTTCCTTTATCAGATATATGCTTTAAAAATATTTACTCCAATCTCTGGCTTTTTCCTTCATTCTGTTAAGAGCAGAAGGTTTACATATATATATATACACACACACACAATATATATATCATGTGTGTATAAACATGTAAATCTATCATATGTATATGTGTATATATGTGATATATATGTTTGTATATAAATATCATAAAACTTTAAAAATATGTATATCACACAACTTTTTTAAATGAATGAGCTCTTTTAGAATTGTGTTTAAAAAGTTTTTGCTTACCTCAAGTTCAAAAAGATGTGTTCGTATGATTTTTCTAGGAGTTTTATGGTCTCAGGTTTACATTTAGGTATCTGATTCAAGTTGACTTAGTTTTTGTGTAGTTTATGAGTTATGAATGAGATTCATAATTTCTTTATGGATAACTAATTGTTACAGGAACATTTATTGAAAATACCATTCTTTCTCCATTGAATTGCTTTGCATTTTTCTTAAAAATCAATTGACAGAGATAAAAAATATTGACAAGGATGTGGAGAAAAGGGAGTTCTTGTACTTGGTAGGAATGTAAATTCGTACAGCCATTATGGAAAACAGTATGGAAGTTCCTCAAAAACCTAAAAGTAGAACTACTGTATGATCCAGCATTCTCTCCTCTGGGTATATACCCAAAGGAAATGAAATCACTACTGCATAGAGACAGCTGCACTTTCAAGTTCATGGCAGCATTATTCACACTAGCCAAGACATGGAAACAATGTGTGAGTCAGTGGTTTAATAAATCAATAACTTGTGGTATATATACAATGAAATACAACTCAGCTTTAAAAAAGAAGGAAATCCTGCCATTTGTGACAATATAAATGAACCTGGAGAACATTATGTAAGGTGAAATAGGCCAGACACAGAAAGAAAAATACCACATGATCTTATTCATATGTGGAATCTAAAAAATGTTGAATACATAAAAACAGTTGAATGGTGGTTACCAAGGCAGGGAAGATAAGGAAGTGGGGAGCTGTTGGTCAAAGGGTACAAGATTGCAGGTATGTAGGATAAATAAATCTAGAGATTGAATGTACAATACGATGACTACACTTAATATTATATCCCATACTGGAAATTTTCCAAGACAGTAGAATTCAGGTGCTCTTACCACAAAAAAAGTAACTATATGAAGGGATGGATGTTTATTTGCGTGACTGTGGTAATTATTTTACTACGTTATATATATCAAAACAATGTTGAATACCTTAAACATATACAATAAAAATCCACAATTGACCAAATACGTGTGGGTCTACATTACAAATGTCTCTTCTGTTCCTGCCTGTCCTTTCACCAATACCACATTGTCTTGATTAGTGTAACTTTATAATAATTATTGGAATCTGGTAAAATGTATCCTCCAACTTTGTTCCTTTTAAAAAAAATACCCTTTTGCTCTTCTAACTCCTTTGCATTTTGACCTAAATTTAGAATCGATTTGTTCATTTCTAGGACAATTCCTGCTGGGACTTTGATTGGGTTTGAGCTGAATTTATAGATCAGTTTTGTTAAAATTGCTGTTTTAACAAGAGTCTTCCAATCCGTGAACATGATATATCCCTCAATTAATAAGTTATTTGATTACTATTATCGGTGTTTATACTTTTCAGTATACTGATCTTACATACATTTTGTCAGATTTATATCTGTTTCATGTTTTTGGTGCAAATTTAAATGCTATTTTTCATAAGCTTTAAAAATATTAGAATAGTTATTAATTAACAGAACAATTTTAAAGAAAACACAGAGTTACTGTATATCCTTCACCCAGTTTCCCCTATTGTTAAAAACTAAGGAACCAACATTGTTGTGCTAATATAGATAAAATGTCACACTGTATTAATGTCATTTTTTTTTTGTTCCAGGATCCTATCCAGAGTACCATATTACATTTATATTTCATGTCTCCTTAGGCTCATCTGTTCTGTGACAGTTCCTCAGAATTTTCTTGTTTTTGTGACCTTGACAGTTTTGAAGAGTGCTGGCCAGGCAATTGTTACATTTTTTTCTCAATTGGAATTTGTCTAATTTTTTTCATGATTAGAATGGAGTTGAAAGTTTGGAAGGAAGGCCACAAAGATAAATTGCCATTCTCATCACATTATATGAGAAACATACATTATCAATACGATTTATAAATATTGATATTAACCTTGATCATTTGGCAGTAGTAGTATTTGCCAGGTTTCTCCACTATAGAGCTACTTTTTAAATGATATTTTTAAAAATTAAATTTCCAATTGTTCATCATGAGTATATAGAAGTAAAATTGATTTTTTTAAATTGACCTATCATCCTGTAATCTTGTTAAAGTCACTTATTAGTTCATTCAGCTTCTTTTAGATTCCATTGGGTTTCTAATGTAGAAAATCATGGCATTTGCAAGTAGATATAATTTTATTTCTTCATATCCACTTTGTATGCCATTTATATACGCTTGTGCATATGAATATAAGTATATATTCATATGTCTATGTAGGTGTACTTGTCTTATTGCATTGTCTGGGACCTGAAATACAATGTTCAATAGGACTGATAAGAATATTTGGCTTTTTTCCTGAAATCGTGAAGAAAGTATTCAGTTTTTCATCAATACATATTATATTATTTGTAGGGTTTTTAAAGTATATCCTTTAGCAAGTACAGGAAGTTCCTTTCTCTACTTTTCTGAGAGTTTTTAGTGTAAATGGATGTTGAACTTTGCCAAAACTTTTTCTGCATTTATTGAGATGATCACGTTGTTTTGCTTCTTTACTCTGTTGATGTGATGAATGGCATCGTTTTAAACTGAGGGATATTTTCTCTGATAATCAGCCTACCTCACAATCTTTCTCTTTAGCACAAGTAAAGTCCCTGGAGAAGAACCTTCAGGTGTATGCAGTCTTCTTTTATTGTTTGCAGCTCTAGGGAATTCTGTAGTCTCTTGCTAGCCCACACTTGGCATTTAGCAAATTTTTAAATATTTTAGTGAAATCTTTTTAGCCACTTGTGTAACAACTCTGTCTTCCTCCTGTGCTCTGCCATAGGTAAGACAATGGCTGTGCTACATTTTACCTTAGAAGTATCTATCTTTCCAAGATCTTAGCCTCGTTGGTTATTCTGTAACCTCAGATCTCTGATGGGTACAATAAAATTAATGATTTTATATTTAGTACTGTTTTTTTTCTCATTGTTAGTGTGGAAATGACAGCCTTCTCAGCTTTCTAAATTCTAGGCAGAAGGAGGTAGTCCTTGTGATTAGAAGAAATTGACTTACCTCTAACAATGAAATGATTCAGGGATGTTCTTTCCTCAGAGGATTTTACCTATAACTTCTTTGTGAAGTGTAAAATGTAGCAATGGGGTTGGTTTCAGCTCATATGCAGCATAGGCAAGGCTAATTTAAAAACTGTGTTCTGTATGGCATCTAGTCCTTTGCTGGAAGTTAAGACTTGGATAATAACTGTGTTTGCATTTAAGGAAACTCTCTCCCTGGGCTTTAAAATGAAGACGATAAGAGATAATTATATCACTTTTGGCAGAGCAAATTAAAAGCAGAATAGGAAATGAAGCTGTCTGAAATTGCATAAATCAAACCTGCTGGCTGTTTTCCCTAAATAAAAAACTAATGGGTACCATCCAGACGTGAATTCCATGTTGTTTTTTTAATAAACATGTGAATGGTATCAATCAATGAAGTTTAACTTTGTTCATATTATGAGATTTTATATGAAAGTACATGACATTAATATATTTTTTAATTCCATAAATATTCATTGACCATCTAAAATGTAACAGAGCTACTCTCCCAGATATAGAAGAAACATTCAGACAGGCAATTTGGAGACCTGAGTTTTAGCCCTGATGTTATTACTAATCCTCTGCATGATCTTAGATAATTCAGTTCTCTGAAAAAAATTAGTGAGGGTGAATTATGTCAAGAATTACAGATATGCAGCCATCTCAGTACCTCTTACCCAGTCTATTTCTCCCAGTAATTAGGGCAGACCAGGTTATTCATATGTGATTATTCCACCTAAGATAAACAGGCAAAGAGCAAACAATAGTGAAGAATTACAAGACCAAGATTTGGGGGAGGAAGAAGACCTTGAGAAGTACAACCAGCATTAAGGATTCTTGTTGAGCCAGGATAATATGCCAAGCCACAAAGAATGGTTAAGGGCCTTAGATATTATTTTTGGTAGCCTTGCAAGGCTAAATAGATAAAACTGGGTGTCCATAGTCCACCAAGAATAGGAATCCTGCTAATTCCCCACCGTACCCTCCCCTTTGGGCTGGGATCCTGAAGAGTCTTCTCCTACTATTAAGAATGAATTGGAAGTAAACCAACCTTCACAGGAATTTTCAGTTCAGATTTAGTCATATGAAGGTTCCAAAAATCCTTAGTCCTTGAACTTGGATTAAGATGGTCCCTGACTGCTAAAATTTCTGGAATGCCTCATAGGAAAAAAAAATAATATGTGAAGAAAGATATTGATATAGGAGTTAAAAGGAAATTATTTAAGGAGATAGTGAGAGTAAGGAAGTCCTCGGTGAGGTTTCCCTTTGATAAAAAGCAGCCCCCAAATCATTTCTTTTCTAACAAAAAGCAGCCTGTAAAATCGAGCTGCAGACATACATAAGCAAGCTGGAAGCTTGCATGGGTGAATGCCAGCAGCTGTGACAATAGGAAAAGGCTAACTAGGGGCTAGGCATGTCCAACATGGCAGCTCCATCTTCCCTTTTCTTTGTCAACCACGTGTACAGTAAGGAGCAGAAAATATGGCACTGGCCAGGTAGAAAACCCATTTGCATAATGAAAGATTAGGGTGGGTGGCCAGCTTCCTCGTGTGCTATGTAAATGTCATACCTGATCCAGCCAATCTTTGAGCCCTGCCTAAATCAGACACCACCTCCTCAAGCCAGTCTATAAAACCCCGTGCACTTCACCATGGGACTGGAAGACCCACTTGGGAGGCCCTCTCTCTCTTCAGGAGAGAGCTATTCTCTTTTCTCTTTCTTTTACCTATTAAACCTCTGCTCTTAACCTCACTCCACATGTGTTCATGTCCTTCATTTCCTTAGAATGAGGCAATTAACCTCGGGTCTTACCCTAGACGAATTATGCCACTTCATTGTGGGGGCTTGTCTGGTATTGGAATGCAGGGTATATTTATTGAAACAGTGAGTATAGGTGTGAACCTCAATTCTGTCCTTTCATTTAGAGGCTCTCGGCCTTCATTTTAAAATCAAATCTAACCAAAATACTGGGCCCCCATAAGCCATTTAAAAAACGATTAGCATGGCTGCCAGCCTTACAAGACTTGGGGTATAGGCTTGCTGGGGAGAACATGGAGAATCCCCCACCATCCATGTTGCTGGGCATGTTGGCCATGTTTTGAACCGTTTCCTTTCACAGAGGACCTAGCCATCATGTGGGGCTGGAAGAGTTCCTGAAACAACGGAGGATTTCTGGCCAGGACTACACCCCGGTGTTATCAGAAGGCTTCCGGACTGACTCCAGGCTCCGACTGCCCAACTGGGCATTGGCAACAGGATCTTCAGCTTTTCCTATGGTAATTTCCTCCTTTCCTGTCCACAACTGCCATGTCTCCTATCCTGTCTCTATATGCAATGTTATGGGAATTTTTACAGTTCAGGTCAGGGAAATAATCACGTTAGGCAAGATCAGGAAATGCCATAGTAACTGGGGATAAAACTCAAGGGAAGCCCGTTTTTGTGATTTTAGAGGAACAGAAGGTCTCTCCCCGCCCACCCACAGTGAGTGTCTCTCTCTGCCCTTGGTCTGTAGAGCACATGGCATTTCAAGGTCACTCTGCCCTTGGTCTGGAGAGCTTATGGCATTTTAAGGTCAACATCGCCACCTAGTGGAATAGGAATCCTCTCCATGGGGCACATTTTTGCCCCTTCGCAGAAACACTCTAGCTTCCCAATTCTCCTCCCTTTTTGTGCTCCTCTACTAGAGACCATGATTTATGCTGCTTCTGTAAATGAGGAAACTCTGCCTTCAACAATGAGGAGGAAAATGTCCTCCGAAATCAAATTTTAGTCTTGATACTGTCCCATCAGCAGGAAAACTGTCATTCACTCCCTACATTCTTTTATGGTACCTATTCTACCTCCAATTAAAATGGTACCTAAAATAGTAAGGAAATTTTAAGTCCAGAAGTTAGCTGGAGACAATCTATAAGAGTAAACACTTCAACACGGGCCATAATAGTTTCTTGGTCTGGTCCCCAGGCAAAAGGGAATTTTATTTTGGGAAGGGGCTGCTATTGTCTTTGTTTGGGACCATAAACTGTAAACCAAGCTCCTCCCAGAGTTAGTTCAGCCTATGCCCAGGGATGGGTAAGGACAGCTTGGGGGCTGGAAGCAAGATGGAGTTGGTTGGGTCAGATCTCTTTCACTGTCTCGTTCACAATTTTGTGACTTAACACCTCTTTGAAAATACCTCATATACTCGTGGCTAAGTCATAACCTAATTAAGGCTTGTTGGTTTGATCTATGAAGTTACTTTTGGTAAAGTTCAAAAGCAGAAAATCTTAACTGCTTGGTGTGGCTAAAGTCAAGTAACAAGGGTTTTAAAAGGATTTTCTTTTTCTTTTTTTCGAGACAGAGTCCACCTCTGTTGCCCAAGCTGGAGTGCAGTGGTGCAATCTTGGCTCACTGCAACCTCCACCTCCTGGGAGGAAATTCTCCTGCCTCAGCCTCCCAAGTAGCTGGGATTACAGGTGGGTGCCACCATGCCCAGCTAATTTTTGTATTTTTAGTAGAGATGGGGTTTCACCATGTTGGCTAGGCTGGTCTCAAACTCCTGACCTCAGGTGATCCACCTGCCTCAGCCTCCCAAAGTGCTGGGAATACAGGCGTGAGCCACTGCACCCAGCCAAAAGGATTTTCTTAAAGAGTGCTCAGCTTAATTAAAAGTGGATATCCAAGCTATAGGTATATTTAAAAGCCCTTTAGCCCTTTATGTTTGTTTTTTTTTTTCCTCTTCTTGGGTCTTGTTTTTCTGGAAAAAAAATGTTTTTTTTTTCTTCTTAGTCAACTGAATTATTTTTTTCCATTTTTTGTCTTGTCACTTTTAATGCACACATGAGAGGCCCTAAGATAACTTCTAGTAACTTGGGACTACTTGGGAAAAACAGAGGAGGCACCACAAACCCCGTTTTGGAGAAATACTCTGTTTTCCTCATGAAACCCCAGGAATTAAAAATGGATAAATCCCTCTCAAAATGAAAGGCTCTGTTCTGTCTTGCATTGTATTATCTGATGGTTTTGAGTTTTGGGGGTATCAGAAATTACTTCTCATTGTGAGAGAGCTTTGGTGTGTAATAAGCAGGTAGGAAATATACTTTAAGGGATGGCTAATAGTAGTTATGGTAGGATACTTGACTCTGCACAGTTGAATAAGAGAAGCATGCTCTTGGCCACCTGGAAGATATGGAAACATCCCTACCCCCCACCCACTGAGAGATGAGACTCCTATGGGGGATGGGTTGATTACGAGGTCGGCTGGTTGGCTTTGGGTTGCCTTGCAATGAAATGCACAGTTGAAGCATTTCAGTATCTTCTCCCATAGTATTTCCCTCCTTTGGGGGATCCAGGATCCACTATAAAAGGGCACCCTTAATTTTTGGAATCTGTCTTTGCCTTCAGCTGTGCCTGCTTATTTGGCTCTAGAAATGCATGCTCTCCTGGCTCTGTTCCTTCAAGGGCTACACCCTGAAGCCAGTAGTCCAATTAAGAAACTGGCAAATGAAAAATCTTCCAAGTGCTGAATCTTCTGTCTGTGTAGCTATATATGTGTTGTGTGTAATGTCTATAAAAAGAGCTCTAATTGATTGGCTTAAAGAAAAATAAGCACTTAAATCAAATATTTTTAAAGGAAAGATAAAAGCTATAATGCCTTATAGTTCATGTGACTTCAATCTTTAAGAAATAAAATTAGTCTTAAGGATTATTGGTAAAATACAAGTGTCATCAAAATGCAAATTGGTGGTCTACATCATACAAGTCAGATACTAGGTTTGCTAAATGTTTCAATAAACTACCTGCTTTACAACTTGGTAAGGTCTGGGGATATATGAAATTAACCATGCCCCTAACTATGCTGGAAAAAGTCAGACTTTATCTGTGCCTAGTACATAATCAAAACAACTTACTAGCCTTCACATTAAAGTTATAAATTGCTAAAAGTTACCATTATAACATGTAATTTAAACTACTAAAAATGGATTTACATGCAAGGTGTGTAAAAACATTAAAATGTGTTTTTAATAAAAGATTATAAGAAGACATGGAAATGTAAGTTTTGCTTAGGGATAAAGGATTGTCTGAAATTAGATAAGATAAAGCTGAAAGTTTAAGCAAGTTGTGGAACGATTGTAAAAATTAATCTTGCGAAAATCCCATGTGTAAACATTAACTAATTTCAAAAGCATATTATACGGTCTTTTCATAAATTGAGCATTGAAATAAAAGCACAGCAAGGTTGTCATAAGATGTTAGTCTGCCCTTGAGCAAAAGTTATAAAAGGATAGTAAAAATTTCACCTCATGGTCAAATTGGTTAAGATTAGATGGAATTGTCTATGAGTTTTCACTTTAAAATTTGGGTTAACATTAATAAAATAATGCAAGGGTAAAATTTGGCTTTGAACAGGATTTTCATGTAATACTAAAGGCTAATGAAAGGTTTTTGCCTTTTTAAAATTTTTGAGTCATTATTTTGGCAAAATAAATAATTTATGGTAATCTGGAATTCTATTTCATAACATCATCAAGTGTTTAAACTGCTGACATATTTAACAGGATTCAAAAAATCAAACCTCAGTTTCAAAATTGTCTTTCCTGACACCTGGCTTTTCAGAGGCTCCAGAAGGGCCCCCGTAGTGTCCAAAAAAGAAAGGTAAACAGGATTATTTAACATGTTTAGGTATGTGAAATTGCCAAAATGATGTTTAATCTTCTTCAGGTTATATTTTACTGAATAATATTAATATATGTTCCAAAATTGTGTGGATGTCTAAAATTCTAATGTCTAAGTATACAATATCAATCATAATTAAGGTCAAAGTTATTATAAACCACAGAAATAACCAAATCTCTTTGTCAGTAATGTTTTTAACTGTAACTACCCTGGAAATTTTGTCATTTGCAGACAATTGTTGTCTTGCTTTGTTGCTTCTCAAAAGATGGTTTATAATCAAACTATGGGACTTTAACAGGTGTCCTCAAATGCAGGTCTCTAATAGCTTTGAAGATTGTAACATTGGAATAGAGAAAAACATACAGTACTCATTAAGAGCTGAAATGTTCATGAATATCAAACAGGAGTTAATTGCACGAACTACACTAATAGAAGTCTGAAGTAATCTTTTTTTTTAACTTTTTTCTTGAAACATTGCTAATCCTTGCTTTGTTCTTCAAAGTCAAGGCAACCTTTCTTTTAAAGCTATCTATAGCTTTTAACAATTAAGTATACTTCTGTAAACAAAATTTGAAGCATATTTATTTCTTACTGCCTGGGTCCTCTAAACTTTGGAATCTATTTGTGAGTATTCTTAACTTATGGCAATATAGTTATTTGCATCAGTGCAATAAGAATCCATTTTCTTTTTGCAATAGGACACAATTGGAGGAACTGGTTGTTTTACCAAGGCTTTGGCTGGAAGGGTGTGTTCCCCTTTAAGGAATCAAGCTTGACTTGCAGAGCCCATAAAAGTCCCTTGGGGAGACTGGTCTCATGCCCTTGCCTACACAGTCCCTGTACAGGGTTCCCGATCTGTGGTCAGTAAAGAATGTCACTTTCTAACAGGTCCAGGAGCTCCAAGTTTATCTTGGAACCTTAAGAGGAAAGGATCACCCAACTCACAGGTATTTGAGGGTACAAATCCATGGCTGTACTTGGCTTTAAAAGGTTTTATCTGAGATCCCTTGTGGAGCAGAGTTCCATCAAAACTAATCCAAAAGGCCTATGTAGCAATAATTATTCTTGCTGTACTTTATGCAAATAATCAGGCCAAGTATAAGACTAAAGTTTATTCTACAAACAACACAGTCCTATCATAATTTGTTTTTACTGAAAATGAGGACTGGAGATAGAAAAATTATGCTCCAAAACTTATTATACATTTATCATTAAGTTCTAGTTTCATTCGTTGTTTTAAAATTTTTTTGCCTACATTTTAGACTAACTCTGCTTATTTCTGTGAATCAAGTAGTGATCTCCTGCAGCTCAGAAGAAACAAAAAGGGATGGGTAATGTAAAAATCTGGATCAATATCCTAGTTCTGGGCAATTATCCTGCAAATCCTGCCAGGTAATGAAAGTAAATAAGGTGCCCATAACCTGTAGGTTTCTTTGACTGGGAAAATAAAACCAAGGAACTTCAAAGACCCCCAAAGGGAAATTCTATATATTGGCAAGTAAAATTTTATACACTACACTACTCTTGTGGGAATTGCTATACTCACTCTACTATTTGCAGTAGAGCTATACACCAGAACACCTTCTAACTGGAAAATCAGACAGTTTCCATTGCTATAGTATTTTGCTTAATTATTATCCTTAAAGGAGGAATAATAGTTACCGACAAGAAGTAAACATGAAAGTTTTACCATCAATAAATCTGCTAGAACTTTTTATTGGGTTTGGTAATATGTCACACCCTAGCTATGCAAAAAAGCTATAAAGAGAAGAGATTTTATTTAAGAAAGGATCTTGTACAGTAAATTATTGTCCTAAAGAGAATAACTGGTAGTTTAAAAAGAGGGATGTTTAGGACAAGCCAGAAAGTTTAAGCATGTCGTAGATGGTCTGTGGAAGTCATGAGAGGATTGGTAATTGCAGGAAAAAATTAGCCAAGGTTAACACTAAAGTTACTCTAGCCACCCAATAACGTATTTCTCCCAATTACATTGCAAGTTATAAAAGATGGCCTAGATCTAAGATTATCCCCTAATAACAAGTCAAGAGGGAAATACAGGTTTTTCTCAAAGAAAAATTATCAATGCTTAAGGTAAAGTACAGCGACCTCTGGTGGAGGCAAACCAGTATTACAGTCCATCAGAATGGCTGACAGATATCAAACTCTACTGTCATGGTTGTGGCCTACAGTACCCCCACTAATAGTGGTAGTCTTAATGCTCATATTCAAACTAAAATTTGTCTGTTCTTGTCTAGAAGCAATCAACTCCAAATGATGCTGCAGACAGAACCACACATGGCCAAGCTTTACTTCCAAGGACCCTTAGATCAACCCCAGGAGGAGCCCCAGCTGCTCTTCCCCACACAACGCCCAATTTCAGCAGGAAGCCAGAAAGAGTTGCAATCCAACACCCTCTAATAGCAGTTAGGGTTACCACTCCTGAGAGGGGAAGTTAGAAGTTAAAAAGAAATTATTTAGGCAGATAGTGAGAGTAAGGAAGTTCTTGCTAAGGTTTCCTTTTAATAAAAAGCAGCACCCAAATCATTTCTTTTCTAACAAAAAGCAGCCCATAAAATCGAGCTGCAGACATATATAAGCAAGATGGAAGTTTGCATGGGTGAATGCTGGCAGCTGTGACAATAGGAAAAGGCTACCTGGGGGCTAGGCATGTTCAACATGGTGGCCCCATCTTCCCTTTTCTTTGTCAATCACGTGTACAGTTAGGAGCAGACAACATGGCATTGGCCAGGTAGAAAACCCATTTGTATAATAAAAGATTAGGGTGGGGTTTCCAGCTTCTTTGCCTGCTATGTAAATGTCACACCTGGTCCAACCAATCTTTGGACCCTATGTAAATCAGACACCGCCTCCTCAAGCCAGTCTACAAAGCCCTGTGCAATTCACCAGGGGACTGGAAGACCCACTTGGGAAGACCCACTCTTTTCTCTTTCTTTCACCTATTAAACCTCTGCTCTTAACCTCACTCCACATGTGTCCATGTCCTTGATTTCCTTGGCATGAGGCAACAAACCTTGGGTATTACCCCAGGTGAATGACACTGCTTCAATATTATATTAAGTCAAAATTATTTCTACAAATAATTTTTCAAACACAATAAGCACAGTTGAATGTAACAATTTAACCAGGGAACAAGACTCAATGAAAAAGAATAAGCAGAAAATTAGACAAACAGCTGCAAGGCCTTAGTTTTTGGAAATATTAGTACATGTATGTTGTTAGAAAGTAACAGTGGAAAAATCCACTGTAGTTATTATGTTCAAGGCTAGAAAATAATACATTAAAATTTTCTGTAACATATATATGAAATTTTCAGTAGCAAATATATGAAAACTGAAAAAGAACGTCCTAAGAAGAATGAGATCAATAGCTGACTAGACATAGTGAAAGACAGAAGTAGTCAACTGGGAGATAGGTGAGTATAAATTTTTTAAATGAAATAAGGAGAGTAAAAAGCAATCAGAGCTACAGAATAAAATAATAGATTTTGAGGACAAAATGAGAAATTGCCTATCACAATTTTAATTGGAATACCAACAGGAGAAGATAGAAGAGAACAGTTTAGAGCAATATTTGAAAGAATAAGTAACAGTTTTTCTGAACTGATGGAAAGTTCAATCCTTGGATTCAAGAATATGAAGGAATCCCACATTAGAGAAATAAAAATATATTTATACCAAGTTACACCATGTTGTAAATGCAAAATAAAAGGAATGAAAAAATCTTAAAAGCAACCAGAATTAAAAAAAAATAGATTTCCTTTAAAGAAGTTATAGACCACAGAGCCATAGCTGACTTCATGACACTCCTTTCCTCTATAACATTCTTTTTGCTTCCTTATTGTATTTATTATTTTAAAGTTTTAATTGAGGATTTGAAATACAGCAATGTCCCTGAAAGCTATCTTTTAAATTACTGAAAGAAAATAATGCTCAACTTAGAATTATAATAAACAATACATTACTATAAAAATAATAATCCTTGAATTAAAGCAAAATGGACACATTATCCAGACAATTCAATATTGAACATTTGCCAGTCAGGAGGTTCTCCATGAGGGTTCTGCCCCTGCAGCAGACTTCTGCCTTGATGTTCAGGCATTTCTGTACATCCCCTGAAATCTAGGCAGAGGTTCCTAAACCTCAGTTCTTGACTTCTGTGCACCCACAGGCTCAATACCACAGGTAAGCTGCCAAGGCTTGGAGCTTGCACCCTCTGGAGCAAATGCCCAAGCTGTACCTTGGCACCTCTTAGCCACCACTGGCATGCAAGGCTCCAAGTCTGGAGGCTGCACAGAGCAGGGGAGCCCTGGGCCCCACCCGTGAAACCATTGTTCTCTCCTAGGCCTCCAGGCCTGTGATGATGGGAGAAGCTGCCAAGAAGGTGTCTGAAATGCCATGGAGACATTTTCCCAATTGTCTTGGGGATTAACATTTGGCTCTCTGTTATTTATGCAAATTTCTGTAGCTGACTTGAATTTCTCCCCAGAAAATGGGTTTTTCTTTCCTATCACATCATCAGGTTGCAAATTTTCCTAACTTTTATGCTCTGCTTCCCTTTTAAACATTCCAATTTCAGATCATCTCTCTCAAGTTCCAGAGATCTCACAGATCTCTGGGGCAGGGGCAAAATGCTGCCAGTCTCTTTGCTAAAGCATAGGAAGTGTGACCTTTGCTCCAGTTGTCAGTAAGTTCCTCATCTCATTTGAGACCACCTCAGCCTGGACTTCATTGTCCATATCACTATCAGCATTTTGGTCAGAACCATTCAACAAGTCTCTAGAAAGTTTCAAACTTTCCTACATAATTCTGCCTTCTTCTCAGTCCTCCAAACTGTTCCAACCTCTGCCTGTTACCCAGTTGCAAAGTTGCTTCCACATTTTCAAGTATCTTTATAGCAGTGCCCCACTCTCTCTGGTACCAATTTACTGTATCAGTCTGTTTACTCACTGCTATAAAGAAATACCCAAGACTGGGTAATTCACAAAGGAAAGAGGTTTCATTGACTCACAGTCCCACATGGCTGGGGAGGTGTCAGGAAACTTTCAATCATGGTAGAAGGGGAAGAGGAAGCAAAGACTTTCTTCACATAGTGTCAGGAGAGAGAAGAGTGAAGGGAAGAGGCAAGAGTCCCTTATAAAACCATCAAATCTTATGATAACTCACTATCATGAGAACAGCATGGGAGTAACCACTCCCATGATCCAATCACTTTCCTTCCTCAAGATGTGGGGATTACAGGTCCCTCCCTTGACATGTGGGGGTTACAATTCAAGATGAGATTTGGGTGGGGACACAGAACCAAACCATATCAGTAGGTCTGGGGTAGGACTTTATATTTGAATTTCTTTCTTTATTTTATTCTTTTTTGTTCATTTATAGGCTTTTATTGACTGGCTTGCATAAGATTTGGGTTTGTTTTCCAAGTGAATGAGTTTTATCAATATTACTTTATTTTATTTTTTATTTTAAATTTAAATTTCAATAGTTTTGGGGGTACAGGTGATTTTTGGTTACATAGATTCATTGTATAGTGGTGAAGTCTGAGATTTTAGTGCACCTGTCACCTGAATAATATGTAGTTTCTTATCTCTTGTTCCTCCCACCTTCCCCTTTCTGAGTCTCCATAATCTATTATATCCCTCTGTATGCCATTGTGTACTCAGAGCTTAGCTCCCACATATAAGTGAGAACATATGGTATTTGGTTTTCCATTCCTGAGTTACTTCACTTAGAATAATGGCCTCCAGCTCCATCCACATAGCTGCAAATCACATTATTTCATTTTTTATGGCTGAGTAGTATTCCATGGTGTATATATACACCAAATTTTCTTTATCCCCTCATTGGTCAATGGGCAGTTAGGTTGGTTCCATATCTATGCAACTGTGAATTGTGCTGCAATAAACACACATGTACAGGTGTTTTTTTGATATAAGGACTTGTTTTCCTTTAGGTAGATACCCAGTAGTGGGATTGCTGTATCAAATGGTAAATCTACTTTTAGTTATTTAAGGAATCTCCCTACTGTTTTCCATATAGGTTGTATTAATTTACATTCCCAGCAGCAGTATATAAGCATTCCCCTTTCACCACATTTATGCCAACCTCTATTGTTTTTAGACTTTTCATTAATGGCCATTCTTGCACCGCAGTCAAGCTTATTTACATATCCATCACCTGACATAGTTACTATTTTTATGTATGCAGTGAAAACACTTAAGATCTACTCTCCTAGCGGATTTCAAGTAAACAATACATTATTAGTAACTGTAATCACTATGCTGTACTTGTCTTGAGTGTGTTTCAACTTATAACTGAAAGTTTATACCCTTTGACCAAAATTCCCCTATTTCCCCTAGTCCCCTTTCCGCTCGCAGCCATCATTCTACTCTCTGCCTTTTGGTTCAAAGTTTTAAAATTCCACATATAAATGAAATAATGCAGTATTTATCTTTCTGTGACTGGCTTATTTCATTTAGCAAAATGTCTTCTAGTTTCATCAGTATTATCACAAATGACAAAATTTTCTTATTTTGTAAGGCTGAAAAATATTATTTTTGTATTTATTTTAAAAATATATTTAATTTTAGATTCAAAAGTACATTTTTGGCTGGGTGTGGTGGCTTATGCCTGTAATCCCAGTACTTTGGGAGGCCAAGGGATTGGCCCAGTACTTTGGGCGGATCATCTGAAGTCCGGAGTTTAAGAACAGCCTGGCCAACATGGTGAAATCCTTTCTCTACTAAAAAAACAAAAATTAGCCAGGCGTAGCGGTACATGCATATAGTCCCAGCTACTCTAGAGGCGGAGGCGGGAGAATCACTTGAACCCGGGAGGCAGAGGTTGCAGTGAGCCGAGATCATGCATGCCACTGCACTCCATACTGGGTGACAGAGCGAGACTCTGTCACACACATAGAAAAAAGTACATTTTCTTGTTTGTTATGTGGGTATGACATGTGTAATGGTGAGGGTTGGGTCTTCAGAGTACCCATTACCCCAATATTGGAGACTGTAGTCAGTAGGTAATTTTTCAACCCTTCTCCCCATTTTGGAAATCCCAGAGTCTGTTCTCTCCATCTTTATGTCCATGTGTACTCTTTGATTAGCTCCCACTTATAAGTGAGAATATGCTATATTTGATTTTCTGCTTCTGTGTTAGTTCACTTAAGATAATGGCCTCCAGCTTCATCCCTGTTGCTGCAAAGGGGACATGATTTTGTTCTTTCTTGTGGCTGTGGAATATTTCATCATGTATTAACAGCATTTTTTCTTTATCCTTTCAACTGCTGGTGGACACTTAGGTTGGTTCCATGACTTTCTTATTGTATACAGTGCTGCAATAAACATACAAGTGCAGGTGTCTTTTTGATATAATGACTTTTTTTTTCTTTGGGTAAATACCAAGTAGTGGGATTGGTGGGTTGAATGGTAGATCTATTTTTAGTTCTTTGACATATCTCCAAACTGTTTTTCCTAGAGGTTGAGCTAATTTACATTCACACCAACAGTGTATGAGTATTTCTTTTCTCCAAATCCACACCAACATCTGTTATATTTTTACTTTTTAAGAATAGCCATTCTGAACAGTGTGAGATGGTATCTCAGTGTTTGTTTACAAATTGAAGCACAGGTTTTAACTAGCATTTCTCTGATGATTAGTGATACTAAGCGTTTTTTGATGTGTTTCTTGGCTGCTTGCATTTCTTCTTTCAAGAAATGTTTGTTCATGTCCTTTGCCCAGTTATTAATCGAGTTGTTTGTTTTTCTTCTTTAGTTGTTTGAGTTCCTTGTAAATTCTAGCAAGTTACCAGGTGATGCTAATCCTGCTAATCTTGGAAGCACACTTAGAGAAACTGTTTTAGATTCTTCAGAGAAGGAAACCATGTTGCCAGATATTGAGCTCCAAAGGAGTGATTTCTCACAAGTTAATAGTGACTGCTTGAATTCATTTCTTCTAAGAAAAAATAAGTGGGCATATTAAATATAGACTTTAACAAATATTCTTTCATCTTTTTGCCAAATACTATTTTATTTTCTACCCAGATGTGATATAAATTGATGCATGTCCAAATTGAAGCACAATCTGCTGATAGATCAATATTTGTAGTTCATTTTGAAATAGTCAAGTTAGACATTTGGGTACTTGAAAGCAAGTTCCACCTTTAGAATGAAAATCCATTTTGTTTATAAATTGCATATCACTATTTCACTCATTAGTAATGATCTCTTCCATATCCAAGAAGAAAAAAGTGGTATGAGGGTTCACAGAAGAGTTTTCCACAGAATTTTAATATACATTTCATTAAGAAATGCTTTATTGTTGCATTGTTATTATTTAGTGATGTCCATGAATATGTTCAATCAAATTCCTTTGGTATTAAATGACTAGAAGTTTAATTAGACAAATAAGAGTTTTGTCAGTTGCTTTTCCTTGTTCTCCCTTAAATTAGTCTTAGAAACCTCCCAAGGGCTAGCTGTTGGTAAGATGTTGATTGCCTCAGGTCATTCAAATTTTCTACAGACCTATCTTTAAAAGAATTAATGATTAACTTAATCTAGTCTATTGGAAGTCAGGAGTTGGGGCAAGGGAGGAGGGTGGCTAAAACACATCTGAGTTACATATGAGCAACACTACACTATGTGCTTCTTATGGGATCAGGATCACTTGGGAGCTTTGGAGATTTTCATGACTCCTAATGAGCCACTTGAGCCAGTTCAACAATATTTACTCAGGTAACTCTATATGGTGATATTTTGATTTGATAACTTGAATATGTGTACAATAAATGAACATATAAATGTGTCATTTTTTTGCCACATTTATAATAGTGTATGGGTTAGGGAAATATAGTTACCCTTATAGTTTTTCATTTTAATACTGAGCATAGAGTCATCTAAATGAGATTTTTTTTTTAATACATAAGACTTGGGAAATTATTTTGAGCAGTGGTGTGAAGAGTCTTTTTGAATTTCCTTTGGTTGTTATGGAAATGGCAATTGATAAATTTGTCTGCAATTTTTTTTATATTTTAATATAGAGAGTATTCAAACAGCTAGATATAACTGCATTTTAAACTCTTCAAAGTAAATGCCTATATTCACACATAAGATATGATGGACATAATTATGAGTTAAAATGTAAATGTATTCATATAAAATATCCTTTTGAAACCAAACTGAAGAAAGTGAATGTTTCAATATAAAAATATTCAACAATCAGTTAAATTACAAATTGTTATAAAAGATTGAATTACCTTTAAATGATTTCCATATTCCTAATCATTTAAAGCTTATGACTTACATGCATATATCAATTTGCACATCAATGCTCATGAATACTATTTACATGTTGAAAATCAAGTAATTGTATTGTGAATAGTTATGTCCAAGTGAGTACAAACAGATTTTAACTTAGCTTAATGTATGTATTATTTCACCACTCATTCTTCTTTTCGAAGGCATTTGTTAATACTGTATGTCAATAAGATAGCTACATCATAACTGGTGTTTTGCTACACACGTTTTAGATGTAACTAAGATTCTTAGTTCTTAACACAACTCTAGTATTAATAGCCCAGAAGTCAATTATTTTACATTCTCCCTTTGTTAGATCCTCACTTCCCAACACTACCTACTGATAATATCATGAGTTACAGAAGTTTATCTGCCTCAAATATTCACAACCTTATGTATTGAGGTATGCTTCATATATTTAAGTGCCTTAGTAGTGTGTATCCACTATGATTTGGTGATGGAAGAGCCTTTTAGCTTAAAGAAAATAAGACCTTGACAAGTTACATCTAAAATATGAATCTGGGTGGAGTCTGCCTCTAATATTCACAATCTTATGTATTGAGGTATGCTTCATATATTTAAGTGCCTTAGTAGTGTGTATCCACTATGATTTGGTGATGGAAGAGCCTTTTAGCTTAAAGAAAATAAGACCTTGACAAGTTACATCTAAAATATGAATCTGGGTGGAGTCACTTGCTTCCTTGAGTGGCCACTGATGATGCCAAGTTGCCATGGTCTCCATATGGTGATATGCAAGATTGAGAACCAAAGGGGATCCAGGTACACTGGCCAATAAACTTTGATTCAGGCTAGAGTTGACCATTACCTCTGGAAAAACAGGGCTGAGTATTCCCACAGTTCAAGTCATGAGGCCATAAGGGACAGGCCTATAGTAAAATCTCTCTAGTTGAAGATTTATATCAAAGAGCTGTGAGATGTTGCTTGTTCTAACTTAGTTGTACCAGATTGTTGGCTCTTGAACAAATTAGCAGAGACTGAGTCCCAAATTCAGTGGCAAAAAATATTTCTTGAGATGAGCCATTTTCTCTTCTTTTTTTAGTATTTCTTCAGAGAAAGTGTCATACTTCATCATGAAGCTTTTCCTTAGTGTTCCAACTCAAGGCTCATTTGGTTTGGATATAAATCTATCTTCCAGCCAGTATAAGAGGCACTGGTTCAGAACTACTTACACCATCCTTGATGTCATAAATCCAGACAGATACCTTCAACTTTTGATTACTGTTTGTACTGGGCACAGTTTATGCATTTCCCTAAATTCACTTGGCAATGGTGTTCTGCTTGGTGCTCTGATGACCCTCCAGGAAGATTGACTGTCACCAGTCATGCTTATAAGCCACAGAGAAGAGGTTTCAATCTACCCTGAAGGAAGACTTATTGAGCTCTGTCACCACCTTGCACTGGGGGCTGCCACTGCTATCTTAGGATCTGGCTTCCCTAACCAAAAGAAATTTGATGGTGAAAATAAGTAGTACAAGGGAGTTGATGCTCTGTGGGTAAATATTTAATCACAGGAGACAAAAATGGCATATATAATTCTCCCTTTCTACTACTAGTAGATGTAAACCAGGGAGAACCATCCTTTCTAGTAAACCAAGCTACCAGCAGCACATGTTGGAATGCTGTGACCATCGCAGTAATATATTTTCTTACGTTTGTTTCTCCTTCCTCATTTGCCTTATTTCTCCCCTTAAAAAATCTCACACCACACTATTACCTCCTCAATGAAGTATTAGATTTTCCTTCAGTCTCAGATTTTCTAGGAAGCCCCTGCTAAAATAGTGGTCATTATCCTGCCAGGTGGAGCTCCTCCACTCTCTCAGAAGAATCAGGTTTCTTATTTTCACATTAGCTTTCTAAAAAAGGTCTTCATCTGGCCAGGTGCGGTAACTCACGCCTGTAATCCCACCACTTTGGGAGGCCGAGGTGGGCGGATCACCTGAGGTCGGGAGTTCGAGACCAGCCTGACTAACATAAAGAAACCCCATCTCTACTAAAAATACAAAATCAGCCAGGCATGGTGGCACATGCCTGTAATCCCAGCTACTTGGGAGGCTGAGGCAGGAGAATCGCTTGAACCAAGGAGGCAGAGGTTGCAGTGAGCCAAGATTGCGCCATTGCACTCCAGCCTGGGCAACAAGAGCAAAACTCTCTCTCTCTCTCTCTCTCTCTCTCTCTCACACACACACACACACACACACACACACACACACACACACACACACACAAAAGGCCTTCATCCTAGAGTCTAAAGTGACTTTCCATATGTGGCCTTACTGGCAATTTTTCTCACTACTTAAAAGAAATCACAATTCAAACACAGCCTTTTATTTCTCAATCCCTTTAGGCCTTCTTTGCAAGTTAGGAATCATTTGTGGGAGGGAATGTGTAGGAAGTGCCTTTAATTAATGGGATTAGGACAGTTTCAACTGCCAGCAAAGCCATCAAAGTGCTGCTTAAGAGGCAGTTTCCCAGAACACTAACTTCATCACATAGGACAGTATTTTACCTTACGTGTAAGAGTTTCCTCAGGCATTTGGTAATCTTGAATACAGGATACATTTCATGACCCAACTTGGGAATAATCAGTCCCTTCATTACCTAGAAATTAATTGTTTTTCCCCCCAGATTATCAATCTTTCTTAATCACCAGATTCAAAGAGTGATACTGCATTTAAGAGTGGGATGCAGGCTGGCTAACTCTCAGTCCTATTTTCTGTTGTCCCAACTTCTTATTGTTCCACTGCTAAATTCCTTATTATTTTGTTTTCCTACACAAAATCAAGAAAAACAACCTAAAGGATTTTCCCCCTAGTGAAATTGTTTGTGATTTTTCACAGTTTTTACATATCAATTTTTGAGGTGGATAGGCAAGCATTTCCCGCCATTTTTCCTATAGATAGTAAAATATTTAGGAACATTACTCTGATTTACCTAGTTCTAGTATGTTTAATTTTCATATAAGATATGAATAATATTATAATTACAATTGGATTTAATATTATTGCTATTATTCTACTAGTATCAGTAGCAATAGTAGTAATGACAATGATAGCACCAGTAATTATTATCCCGTAATATAAACTCAGTGAATAGGGTCAGAAGACTGGCCTTGACTTTACATGACCTAAGTCATCAAGCATAAAAGAAAATGAATGTATCTAACTTCCTTTTACATTCTTTAAGTTCTCAGGTTCATTTGAGAGATATTTCCTTGGGCAAGCTGGGAAAGATGAGAAATAATTAGAGGGCAATCCTGCTCCTAGTCAGTCTTTCCCACATTCTATTTACCAAAATGATGCTGCTGCATGCAATTATTGGTATTCGTAGATTTTTTTAAAAAGTTTTATTTTTTGTTTGTTTGTTTAGCTACTAAACTACCAGGAGAGACCAACTTGGTCAATTGTGTGTGTCAATACTTGTCTTTTCCCTCCAAGATTCCATCTATGAGGTATATTAGTATTTCTTATTAGAAGAAATATTTTTGGCAGCTCTCTCAAAGGAGATAAAATTTACCCAGGGTCATATAATAAAACACATTAAACTATGAGATATAGATGTTTTGTTTATTTCTTCCTTGGAAAAGAAACTTCTTTGTATAGGCCAATTTTTTCAAATCAATTATTTTGAATTAAAGCTCTAAATCATTAAACCTATGAATTAAGAGAGTTAGGGAATAAGTTAATAACTAGTGTACTTACTAATTATTACTTATTTGGTATTTTAGGTATCCCACAGTTAATATTTTATAGACTAAATAAAATATGAGTACTTGTATACTATAGCCAGGTTATAATAAATGATCATGATTTCAGCATAAAGGATTATTTTTACTTTGAGAATCTTTGGTCAGCTGGAGATGGTGGACACGTAAAATAGCAAGTCCTGAGTTGCATTCTATACAGTTCCTTCCTCTCATCTCTCTCTTGCAGTGCCTATCATGTGAACTATAAGCTCCCAATTGATACTTTGTTTTTTTTTAATTTTCATAAATTTAAGAGGTACAAACTCAATTTTGTTACATCAATATATTGTGTATTGGTGAAATGTGGGATTTCAGTATATCTATAACCAGAACAGTGTACATTGTTACCCATTAAGTAATTTCTAGTCATCCACCCCCTCCACCACCCCCATGCTTCTGCATCTCCAATGTCTGTCATTCCATACCCCCATGTGTACACATTATTTAGCTGCCACTTTTAAGTGAGAACATGCAGTATTTGACTTTCTTTTTCTGAGTTGTTTCATTTAAGATAATGGTCTCCAGTTCCATCCATGCTGCTACAAAATAGATGATGTCACTCGTTTTATGGCTGAATAGTATTTCATGGTATACATATACCACATTGTCTTATCCAGTCATCCATTGATAGACACTTATGTTGGTTACACACATTTGCTGTTGTGAATAGTGCTTTGATAAACATATTTTTGTGGGTATCTTTTTTATATAATGATTTCTTTTCCTTTGGGTAGATTCCCAGTAGTGGAATTGCTGGATTGAATGGTAATTTTATTTTTAGTTCTTGAGAAATTTTAATACTGTTTCCACAGTCATTGCATTAATTTACATTCCCACTAACAGTGTCTAACCATTCCCTTTTTTCCACATCCTCACTAAGATCTGTTATTTTTTCATCTTTTTAATAATAGCCATTCCAAGTGGTATAACATGGTATCTCATTGTGGTTTTGATTTGCATTTTTCTGAATGATTAGTGATGAGCGTGTTTTTTATATGCTTGTAGGCCATTTGTATGTCCTCTTTTGAAAAACCTAGAAAAAAACCTAGGCAAAATTCTTCTGAATATTGTTCTAAGCAAAGAATTCAAGACTAAGACCTCAAAAGCACAAGCAACGAAATCAAAAATAGACAAATTGGACTTAATTAAACTAAAAAGCTTCTGCACAGCAAAATAAATAATTAACAGAGTGAACAGACAACCTACAGAATGGGAGAAAATATTTGCAAACTATGTATACTACAGGGATATCTAGAATTTACAAGGAATCCAACTGATATTTTTAACATTCTGCCTCAGGATTTCATGAAACAAAGTGCTCTTCCAGCTTCCCCTTGCCACTTAGTCTCGAAAACAGTGCTACATTTCACGTTTTGTTAGGGCAACACTCCTTTTCTAGGTACCAATTTTTGTATCAATGGCCTATTGCTGCAAAGCAAATTATCTCAAAATTTAGTGGCTCAAAATACCAACCATTTTTTTTTTCACTATTCTTAAAGTTGACAATAAGGACTGGCTTCAGTTGTACAATTCTGCTAGTCTTTCCCACTGTCATTGAAATAGCTACAGTCATTTGGTGGTTCAGTTGGACCTTAATGGTCTAAACTCACATTTCTAACAATTTGGTGGTGGCTATCAGCTGAGTCACATGTCTCTATCAGGCTAGCCTGCAGTTCATCACACAACTGAGAAAAAATTTCAGAAATGAAATTCCAAGAAATTCTCAAGACCTTTTGAGAACTAGACTTAGAAGTCCACATCAGTTCTGTAGCTAAAAGCAAATCACAAAGCATTTATGGCCAAATAAGAATAAATTACATTATTAGATGGTAGTATGATTTTAGTTTTAATTTCAACTGAATCAAAATATCTAAACTCTTCTCTCTCTCATATATATTCTATTTAACCACTACCCTTTGGTGGAAGATCAAGCTATTTCCTAGGAGTCATTACTCAAGATAAAGACATAATGTAATTGTAATATTAAAAACAATAATCTGAAACCCCCAATTTTTAAATTATTTTTTAAAATTTTGAATTGGCCCAAATTAGTTTTTTTAAAAAAACCTACTTGCAAATCCAGTCATAGTAAAATTGTGCTAAATATTCTACCTTGAGTATATTCAGTGTTTCTTGTAAGACTAATAATAAAGACATATGTTTTAAAATAGACATACTAAAAATCATAAATTTATGATAATTATAAAATATAGTACAAAGAACCAAAAAATCAACATGGCCGAATCTAAAGTCCAGAAAGAAGCTAATACACTCTTTCTCTCACACACATATTTAAGGCACATTTTAAATAGACAGTTGCATTTGGCTACCCCCAAATTTGGAATGTCTTTAAATAACAGAACAAAAAAAAGTTTGAAATCAATGAGCATATCTGTCTACATTTTTACAACATTGAGTTAATATAAATATAGTTTCAATTAATTAGAAAAATATGACCATGCAAAAAAAAATAGAAAATTAAAACATAAACTGGCACTTTATAAAGGAAGAGATTACACATACATATGCATATTACTTTATATGGTAGATATGATATGGAGAAGAGATAGGACTAGAACAAACATGTACAAAAAGAAACTATTTACAAAGTATTAGGAAGCAGGAACAAAATGGTGACAGAACCTAGAGATATTTGAGATGTTATGAAACATTTGTTCATATATATATATATATGTTTTTTTTTTTTTTTGAGATGGAGTTTCACTCTTGTTGCCCAGGCTGGAGTGCAATGGCATGATCTTGGCTCACTGCAACCTCTGCCTCCTGGGTTCAAGCGATTCTCCTGCCTCAGCATCCCAAATAGCTGGGATTACAATCATGCGCCACCACGCCTGGCTAATTTTGTATTTTTAGTAGAGATGTGGTTTCTCCATGTTGGTCAAGCTGGTCTTGAACTCCGGACCTCAGGTGATCCGCCTGCCTCAGCCTCCCAAATTGCTGGGATTACAGGTGTGAGCCACTGCGCCCAGCCTTGTTCATATATTTGATCTAAGATTATTGAGTGAAAAAATATATCAAAGATGACTCCCAGATTTCTAGCTTGAGCAACTGAATGGATTATGGCTATATTTAACAATACTGTATGATCAAGTCTAGAAGATAAATACTGCTGGGAATTCTTTTTGAACATGGTGAATTAAGCTATTTTCTCCTTTCCAGCCTCACTATTTTCTCCTTCTAAACCCCCCTTTAAATAGAGTTGGAAATTTTAAATCAATCTTTCTCTGTCAAATTCTATTTTTTCTTTTGCTTTACGTTTCCATTTGAGGGAAAACCCATTACTTGAGTGTAATTTCTATTTCTCCAATCTGCTTTTCCACTTTGCCCAATCTGCCATTTTTCTTACCCATTATCTCTAATTGTTTTTTGTACATAATAATGCAATGATTTACAATAACTATGTTTTTCTTCTGTGCATGTAATATTGATATTAACTAAACTTGTAAGTTTCTAGACTTGTAGTTGCAATGACTATTTTTATCTGAGTAACTTCTTCTCTATTTCTAGTCACTATTCTCTCATTCATAGTACTGGCTTTAATTAAATGTTTAATGATCTTTGAACATGGCAGCTTTATGTAGTGAGTATACCAAAAGGAAGTTTGGGATGGGTTAAAGTTTAAATGGGAGGTAAGGAAATGGAGACAAAATGATTACCCAATAATTATAGAAGACTGTCTCCAACAGCTAGAAAAAAGTGGGGGCACAGTGTAGTTGGAGAGGATAAGAAGTCAAAAGTGAAGTTTTCTTTGAATATTTTTGTATTTTAATTTTTGTATTAGATTTTATTGTTTAGAAGGTAAGATACCAGATCATATTTATAAAAGTTTCATAGCTATATTCAAATAAGAAATGTTTAATAACCAATGCTAACCTACTGTTAATTTTATTATGAGGTAAGATTTTATTTTCTACATTAGATAATTTGTCTTTTAAACATTGTATTTATGATCATTGTAGACAAACTGATGAGTGCTGAGAAGTCAAATGTTGAAAAAAATCACCAATTATCCAACATCTCAGAATGACAACTTTTAATATTGATATGATAGATTGTGTTCCAGTGTTAGCTGCAATAATAGCTCCCATTTCACAATGTTTTTTGCAATATGGAACTTGCCATGCCCCCATCCAGAGATGGAGTCTATTTCCCTTCCTCTTGAATCTAGACTTTCCAATAACATGTGGCAGAAGAAACTGTGTAACTTATGAAATTGGACATTAAGGAAACTGTAGCTTCAAACTGTACTGCTCCCTCCTGAAAATATTAATGTACAAGGCATATGACTACCCTAAGACAACCATGCTGTAAGGAAGCTCAAATATGCCACATGAGGAGAAAAGTCACATAGAGGAGCACAAAGATGCCAGGTACAAATAAAATGGTTGTTTAAACGTCTACGTTTTGGGGTAGTTTGATATGCAGCAATGGATAACCGAAGCATTTAAAGTGTGTTTATTCACAGCCACCCTTTTCTTCCTAAATGCAAATATTTTTAGTAGGTTAGTAATCTATGAAGAGTTTTTTTTAATATTTATTAACTTTCAAACATACATAATATTTATAAATATTAAAATAACAAACACCCATCTATCAATCACCCAGTTTAAGAAATAAAACATTACAAAATATACTGAAAGCTCCCTGTACACTCTTCTACCAAAATATTTTCCTGCCTCCTCTTATTGGGAAACCACTATCCTGTAATGCTCTTTATTAATGTGAAAATGTCTTATATGGTTATTATATAAATATTTTTTCTTAAGCACTGTAGACTATTCTTATGCAAATTTAATTTTCATAAAAATGGCATTGACTACAATGATCCATTGATAAGTTGTCATTTTTGTGCAACATTAGTTTTTAGAGATTCATCTATATTTGATACAAGTTCCTCTACCTAAATTATTTCATTGATTCTAACTGGATTGTTTTCAGTTGTTTATATTACAAACAACGATGCTATAAATATTCTTATACGTTATGCATCTAGGAGTGAAAAATGCTGGGTTGTAGGGTGTTCACACTGTCACTTTTCTTAGGTATTGTCAAATTGATTTGCAAGTCAGCAGTATTTTACATAATACTCCCTAGTTTACCTAGATTCATTAACTCTAAACATAGTAATGAAGATATTTTGTCTTACATAATTTCACTTTGGCAAGTTCAGTATGTGGATTGTCTCATGTTAGCATCTGACATAAAGTAATACATCTTTTATTTAATCATTTGTATAATTAAGAAAGTAATGTTTCATAGTGTGGGAACAGAATCAGGAGTGGCTATAATTCATTCTCTTATGGATTTATAATTTGGCTTTCTGAGACCAAGTATGATTCCTCCTCTCTCTCCTCATTCTTTTTTGAAACTCATAACCAATAGGAAAAATAAAAATTTCAAACATTTTTTACTTTCCATGCCAGCATATTTACCTCTGGGTTGTTGTTTTTCTAAATCGAAAGATTATTTTTTCCCCTGCTTGTCTCTTTGTCCTATGATGCAATTCTGATATTTTATATAACACTGACTTCTGTTCCTCTGTAACTTAGTTTCTTTCGACAAGATATAACTCTAAAGAACACAAACAGAACACAAGAAGGTTTTAAAGCAGAGATAAAAAGTTATTTCTCCACAATAATCATGGTATAGATTTATACATATTGTATTACTGGTAGTTCTCAATCCACTACCAGAAATCAAGAGCACAATATCTACAAACTAACAGTCTGAATTGTTGCTCTGACTGCTCCATTTGTAAACATATACTGGAAAAGTAAAAACAATCAAACTCTAAATTGGGTTCCACATCCACCTTGATAACACCCTCTTAATGCAGAACGCAGCACCTGAGCTACAGTAGCCTATCAATTTAGGTTCCTTTCAATGGAAAAAAAAATGTATATACGGAAGGAAGTAATTCCTAGCTCCAAATATTTACCCTTCTCTCATGTTGTTTCAGGGAGAATACACTCTAACATTCTACATAAACTTTAACAGTAATATTTCGTATAACTTCATTCTGGCATCTTTTGAAGAGCCCCTCTTTTGTGTTATCTAAAGTTTAAATCAAATTCTGAAATACATTCCCAGAACAAAACTAATGTTTTCCAAAGATTTATATTCATATGAGAGCACAATATTCAGTTTTTGATGATCCTTAGCTTTAAAATAATAACTGCACTCCAAACTTGAGGCATGAGGGGAGACATAGTTTTAATTTTTAAGTAATTAGCATGTGAATCTCCCTTACCTGATTATATATAATTTTTTTGTTTTAATATTACCATATTTGTCTCAATTTTCTTCAATGTATAATTGCGACCCAAACCAAATGACAATTATTGACACTTATTTGATACTTTTATATGCCAGATATTGTGTTAATTGCTTTATGCATATTTTATTTAATTCTATCAATTTATTAGTCAATGTACTCATTTTACATATGAGGAAACCCAAGGCATATAAAAACTTTCAGACACTGATTTCATGTATTTATAAGAAAATCATTTTTTAATTTAATTTTACAAACTTAATACATAAAGTAAGAATGAGGATACAGACACATAATATTTAAGAAAGGTACTTAGAAATTAAGAATTTAAATTAGACTGAGCGCAGTGGCTCACACCTGTAATCCCAGCACTTTGGGAGGCTGAGGCGGGTGGATCATGAGGTCAGGAGTTTGAGACCAGCCTGGCCAACATGGCAAAACTCCGTCTCTACTAAAAATACAAAAATTAGCCAGGCATGTTGGTGGGTGCCTGTAATCCCAGCTACTTGGGAGGCTGAGGCAGAAGAATCCCTTGAACCTGGGAGGCAGAGGTTGCAGTGAGCCGAGATCGTGCCATTGCACTCCAGCCTGGGTGACAAGAGCAAGACTCTGCCTCAAAAAAAAAAATAAATAAAAAGTTAAACAACAACAACAAAAGATACTTTATTACTTTTAATGGCAAAAACCACAATTACTTTTGGAACAACCCAATAATTCCATGAAAATCTTCTTTAAATAAATTTATACAACCCAAAAGCCAATATAGAATTGAGACTAAAAGCTACCTAAAATATTTTCTGTTAATTTTCTATATGAATTATAGGAAACTATTTATGATGAAAAATATTTCTTACTTTATGTAACTTATAAACTCTCTATCAAAACCCTATTTCTGATTGCAGGCATTAGTAAAATCATTCGACTTTGGGTTGTAATCTTGACCAATTACTTTCTGTCCTCTTTGATTTGCCATGGAATTCCTGATATTTTACTCTATTAATCTATCTTCTATAATTTATTCATTGAACTATCAAGTTTATGATATGAATAGATAAGTTACTTGATATTGAATTCTGTTAAGTTCATCTCTTAGGTTTCTGTTTTTTTTAAATAGATGAAATTAGAAGGGATGCAAGTATATAGTTTCTTTTATGCTGCTAATATTCATTAAACATTAGAAGAAAACAGGAACATTTTCTGCAACACTTCAATATATAATTTCACAATCAGTTTACTTTTAAAAAAAAGATGATGGTACTCATAATTTTATATTAATGACTAAAGTAAAGTTTTAGAATACATAATGACAGAAGCATAGATTTAGAAATGTCCTTTTTATATTGAGTTATCTATTTTGTCATTTGATAAATTGTTAGTACATATACTTGGAATATGAAATCAGTGATTTAAATTTGTACCTCTAAGAATATGCAGGACATAGTTATATGTTCTAGATTTATATGCATGCTTCCTCCTTCAAAAAATAACTCAGTTTTAACTTTTGACTAGCTTCCTCCATATGTGGAATTTGAAAGGCATGTTTCTGAATATTCAGATAAGATGAGATAAAGGTATTAATGGGAAAAGGGAATACAACTGAATTTTATATTGTTATGTGTCTTAATTTAAAAAAATAAAGTTACATGCAACACATAAGAATTTAGAAATTTCACCAGAAATATCTTCTAAGTGTTAATACATCACTGTCATTCTTAGAGGTTTGTCAAGTGCTTTTTTTGTTTGACAGATTTAGATTCCACGTAGAACACATTCATTTATTTATTCATCAAATATGTATTGAGTGCCTATCAGGCACCAGGAGTTCTACTAGGTACCGATGATCCAAGGTATGGCTGAAGTATCTTAAAATATTTAGAGAGGAAGACAGATAATTTAATGGAAGAAGCAATACAGAAGTGTTGTGTTCTATGTTATATACGTTAAATCAAGTTTAGCCTAAAGCTGCTTCCTTACATATTTTAGGTTTCACCTAAAGGTTTCTCTGTACATTGTGAACTATAACCTAAATGGAAGTATAAACAGACTGTAGCCTACTCTTGTGCCAATCACCGAGTTTTGGCCAAACAAACGTGGCCAACTGTTCAAACCATGTTGAAATAAGGCAAACGCGAGCTGTAACCTATCTGGCTCTTTCTGTACCTCACTTTCTTTTTCCGTACATCACTTTCCTTTTTCTGTTCATAAATCTTATTCCACCATGTGTCTGCACTGGAGCCTCTGAGCCTACTCTGGCTTAGGAGGCTGCTTGATTTGTGAATTCTTCTTTGCTCAATTAAACTGTGTTACATTTAATTCAGCCAAGATTTTTTTAACAGATGGTGTCAGATGTGGGATCTAAAGCAGAGTTTCTAGCAACCTCCAAGATCACCAAGTGACCAAGCAAGGTACCCGCTGGGCCCATTGTGTCCATTGCTCTTTTACAGCAACTGGGGATTGTGGTAAGTTCTCTCTTGGATTCCAGAGCTCCACAGATTTGTGTTTTGAGCTCTCCAAATTTCTTTGAGCAAATTTTGGATTTAAATTGGGTTTGGAAGTTGCAATTGAAACTGGACTGGGTCCAGGATCAGATTGGATCTGATAATTAAGTGTCTTGGTTCCAGTTAGAGGCCTCTTATAAGTCTGACTGAGTCAGAAAGAAACCTGTAGTCAATGGCAATATTACAAGGGGTGTAAACTTTGGCTTTTGGAAATTCACAGGGATTTTTGTGTTCTACCCCCTTTGTTTCTTCTTTCTTGTATGCTCATGCTTAGGTAGGGAAAAAATCACTGGCTAAAAAAGCTGCAAAGTCTTTTATTATTTAAATACTGTTTATAAAAGGCAAATAAACAGATTAAGTGACTAACTGATAAGAAAAATTAAATCTGCTAACCTTTTGGCTTAGTTACTATCCTGCACTGAAAATGGAAAGAAAGCTATCCTAGATAAAGTGTGTATGAAAAGTAATCTCTCAGGTAAAATAGGCTTGCTTCATTTTCATATCTATCTATGTTGAGTGCAAGCGTAGACAATGATTTCTTTGCCCCATTCCTTAGTGGGTTCCACCAAGAACTCAGTAATTTTAGCTAAGAAACAGTAGCTAATTTTAAAAGACCATGTATTGAACTAAGATACACCTTTCTGGAATTTAATTGGTGCTCTAAAAAATCTTTTGTTAAAGAAATTTATGTCTATAAAGGAAATCTCCATTTTTAAGGATGTCTACCTATATACATTAGGAACTCTTACTATTCTTTTAAATGTACATAATCATACCTCTGTTTAAGATGCTTTTCTGGCCATCTTGTCTTGAGTTATCTTTTACTTGATCACGGTTTTATTTTTCTTGGTTTGAGCAAATGATGATACAATATTTAGGCCTAAAATCTTAAGTTTGTGCTTATGAAATATATATATATATATTTTGTGTGTGTGTGTGTGTGACAACTAAGAGTTGTCCCTTTAGAAATGCAATTTGTTGCCTAGTTAACAATTGCTTAGAGCAATGAAATAGATGAATGGAGAAAAAAAACTATTTAAAAGCTGGCAAATGAAAATCCTTTACAAAAGTTATAAGATCTTCTTCTGTGTGTTTTAATATCTACATGTGTTATGTGTCTGTGATAATATTTGGTAAATAAAGCTAGTTTTAATTGTAAGTAAAATAGGAATGGTTTCAAAATTATCAGTTAAATATAATTGGATACTTGCTTTATTTGACCGTGAGCTGTCTTTAGTTAGAGCCTCTGGATTTAGGAGTTTGGATAGGTGGTCATGATGAAGTCTGGAAACATGTTCTTAGTGTTTAGACCAGCAGCTATGTTTGAAATGCTTGTTCCCTGGTGCCATAAAGAAATAGCACTTGAATATAAATTTAATTTCCTCAGCAAGGCCATTTTTACTTTCTGCAGAAAGGGTACACTCACCAGCAGTTTTGCCATGAGAGTACACCGAACAAAGGAGACAGGGTCATTTATAACCTGACACATCCACCCTACTGCTGTGTCCAGTTTCCATTGGCTGGAACGGGACCTCACATTCTGTATTTGTCCTGATTGGCTAGCAACTTAGAACTTTTTACAAGAGGCAAAGGCAGAGGAGAACAAAGGAAGGAGGAAGTAACTTGTGGAATGCTGAGAAAGGTAAAAACACCTTCAAATAAGGAACAGAAACAGGCTATGACCTAATGCTTGCTTGGACCAGTATAAGCATGCCAGGGCAAATATTTAGGCTAAATTGTGGGAGCTAAGAACATAAAGTACCTTGACTTCTTTATTACGGCTAGCAGATATTTAAGAATGTTAACACAGGTCTTTGAATAAATTTTGCTTCCAAGAGAAGTTACTATTTATTCCTAATTAGATGGGGAGGAAAGTCTCTTTGAAGAGGAACCTCTACTTTACTTTTTACAGCTAGAAGCCAGAATCAAGCCCAATATGCTCTCCTCCTTCCCCACTTTTCCTGCTTGTCTACTGGTTATTTTGGGAGGGATTGGATCCACCGGGTATATTCTTCATAGCTCTGTCTGTCTTCTGTCCTGACCTCTACACCTGGTATGTAAATTCAGGACCCAGACAGGCCCTGAACTTCATAGTCCTCCTGGGTGCCATGTGGCTACTTGAGACCCAGGATGACTGGGAGAAGACATTAGGGCAGGCACCTGTGTAATATTTTCAAAATTATTTTCAGTAATTTAAAATCCTGAAGTCATGTTATGTTACATTAAGTAATAGATAAGTATAAAATTTCTGAGTCATTTTTAAGCTAAAATACTGAAATATCAATTATTAAACATTAGTTTAAGTCTATTTACCTTGACATGTTATTTTCATATTGAGAGACAGGACTAGCTGGATTTCCAAGGCCGACTAAGAATCCCTAAGCCTAGCTGGGAAGGTGACCACATCCACCTTTAAACATGGGGCTTGCAATTTAACTCATACCCGACCAATCGGGTAGTAAAGGGAGCTCACTAAAATGCTCTTAGGCAAAAACAGAATGTTAGGCAAAAACAGAAGGTAAAGAAATAGCCAATCATCTATCGCCTGAGAGTACAGGGGGAGGGACAATGATCAGGATATAAACCCAGGCATTCCAGCAGGCAATGGCAACCCCCTTTGGGTCCCCTCCCATTGTATGGGAGCTCTGTTTTCACTCCATTAAATCTTGCAACTGCACACTCTTCTGGTCCGTGTTTGTCACGGCTTGAGCTGAGCTTTCGCTCGCCATCCGCCACTGCTGTTTGCCGCCCTCGCAGACCCACGGCTGACTTCCACCCCCTCTGGATCCGGCAGGGTGTCTGCTGCACTTCTGATCCAGCAAGGTGGCACCCATTGCCACTTCCAATCGGGCTAGAGGCTCGCCATTGTTCCTGCGTGGGCTAGGTGCCTGGGGTTTGTCCTAATCGAGCTGAATAGAGCTATAATACTCACTGCATGGCCCAAGATTCCATTCCTTGGAATCTGTGAGGCCAAGAACCCCAAGCCAGAGAACAAGAGGCTTGCCGCCATCTTGGAAGCAGCCCGCCACCATCTTGGGAGCTCTAAGAACAAGGACCCCTGGTAACAATATGGTACAGAAAAGCTAAATATATTTAGATCTGTTAATAAACAATAATTTGAAGAACTGTCTTTCTAAAAAATTTTAAAATGGTTTTTATTTACAAATATTGATATAAAATAGTTCAAATTACTTAGGTGTGAACCCTGAAAATTTGAGACAGGTCTCAATGTAGAAAGATTATTTTGCCAAGGTTGAGGACGTGTGCCCATGATAGAGCCTCAGGAAGTCCTGATGACATGTGCCCAAGGTGGTTGGGGCACAGTGTAGCTTTATACATTGTAGGGAGACATAATACATCAATCAATATATGTAAGAAGTACATTGGTTCAGCCTGGAAAGGCAGGACAACTTGAAGCAAAGGCAGGCAGACTCAAAGCAGGGAGCAGGCTTCCAGGTTACAGATAGGTGAAAGACAAAGGAACAGTTGCATTCTTTTGAGTTTCTGATTAGGCTTTCCAAAGGAGGCAATAAGATATGCATCTATCTCAGTGAGGCCAGGGATGACTTTGAATAGAATGGGACGCAGATTTGACCTGAGCAGTTTTTGAAGCGGCCCAAGATATTTTTCTTTCACAAAGGTTTTCACTACAAATTAGGGCTACTAAGAGTTCAAATTCTAGTTAATATATGTAATTAAAGATCCTAGATAGGAAAGAAACAATTCTGTATTCAGAGTGTATAAACAAAAGCAAGATATGCTTTTGATAAGAAAAGTTATAAAGTCATAAAAATATGTGTTTGTTAAAAAATTTTGTCTGGTTAGAAGTTACTTAAAGGTTTCAAATTGAAGGAATAAAAAGCAGATAAAGCATGATAAATATAAAAAGTTGGGGGAGGCCAGGTGCGGTGGCTCACGCCTGTAATCCCAGCACTTTCAGAGGCCGAGGCGGGGAGAACATCTGAGGTCGGGAGTTCGAGACCAGCCTGACCAACATGGAGAAACCCCATCTCTGTTAAAAATACAAAATTAACCAGGAGTGGTGGCGCATGCCTGTAATCCCAGCTACTTGGGAGGCTGAGGCAGGAGAATTGCTTGAACCCAGGAGGCAGAGGATGCAGTGAGCCAAGATCATACCATTGCACTCCAGCCTGGGCAACAAGAGCAAAACTCCATTTCAAAAAAAAAAAAAAGTTGGGGAAAATAATATAAAACAAAAAGTTTATGGAAATCTTGTGTGGTTAAAAGACGACAGATTTGATAAATTTACTTATGAGGTTTTGTTAAAATCAGCTTTAGTATTGATAATACACTAATACAAAAGTAAAATTTTGTTTTCTTTTTTGAGCAAAAATTTTATGTAGTATTAATGACAGAGTAAAATATTTGTGTTCAAATAAGAAATTGATGTTAAACCTTCAAGTTGTGTTTTAATAAATGTTATTAATATACATTTAAAAATTATATGGGATTTCTAAAATTCTACCATGTCTGAATATATGCTATCAGTCATAATCATGGTTGTTATGTTAAGTTATTGTAGACCACAGAAATAACAAAATTTCCTTGTCAATTGTATTTTTAACTATGACCATTTTAAGTCATTTTCATAGTTAATTGCTTAATTTTGATGCAGTTTCTGAAATCTTCACAAGCACACAAAATCCTAGAGTATGTCATCTTTAAGGAGGTTCATGAAAGGATAGGAGGTCTTCACTCTTCTAGATGGGCATCACTTGTTAGGTTCTTTATTTCACAGTTTGGAGTAAATGAGGCAATAATTAGAAATGTATTCCTCATGATAGGCTTTATAGCAGATTCTACTTATAAAAGCTGTGGTTACAAAGCAGACTTTAAATTCTCTTGTGAAAGTTATGCTAAATAACAGAATTGCTCTAGATTACTTACTGGCTAAACAGAGAAGTATCTGTACAGTTGTTGGCACTTCTTGTTGCCCATGGAGAAATAAATTGGGTATTATAGAGATTCAGTTGAGGGGATTAACGAATATGCTGTCTAGTTAAAGTGAGTATACTCTTTATCTAGTTCATTCCTTGATCTATTTGATTTTAGTTAGTTTGCTTTACGGGGGCCCTGGCTGAGGAGCATACTCCAAACTCTTGGTATTATCCTCTTGATAGTCATAATAGTAGTCTCCTTGGTGTGCTGTATTATCTCTAAATGTTTGCATGCAGCCACCCCTAGAATGTCAAATGGTGTCTCTTCAACTGGAATGACAACAGCTGAAAGAAATGTGTTACTATGAGGGCATCATAAAGTATGAATAATGTACTAAGACTGAAAACCCAAAATGATGGTAATTGAGAGTGGTGTTAACGCCCTAAATTTTGGTCATACTCTCACCAAAGTAAGAGCCTGAGCAGAGGGGGAAATTTTAAACAAAATTATGGGAGGTCATCGCTTTCAACCGAGCCCTTGCAGTAGGCCCCAACAGACCAGACCAAACCAAAATGGGGCCACTTATGCTAAATGTGACATAATCAAACTAAGACTTTAAGGAAACAGATAGATTCTAGAACAGATCAGGTTTTGTTTTTCTCTTGTAAACAGGACACTGCAGCATAAGGAGGTACCCACTACTCTTACTCTTACAAAAAAAAAAAAAAACATGAAGTCCTTATTCCCACCTTATAAAACCCACTGTTCTGCTATTTCCCAGTGGGTTTTGAGAACAAATAAGTACATTTACAATGGTAATAGTGACACCAGTGACTAAAGTTTTTGTCAGTCTTTCAAAATTGAGAGGATGACCAAAAGAGGGGAATTGTTAAATCATGTTTAGCGTAAAGCTGTCTTCTTATATATTCTAAGTTTGACCTAAAGGTTTCTCTGTACATAGTGAACTATAACCTAAATGGAAGTGTAAATAGACTGTAGCCTACTCTTATGCCAATTTTGAGTTTTGGTCAATCAGAAGGAGCCAACTGTTCAAACTGTGTTCAAATAAGGCAAACAACAAGCTATAACTAATCTGCTTGTTTCTGTACCTTACTTCTGTTTTCTGTTCATCACTTTCCTTTTTCTGTCCACAGATCTTTTTCCACCACATGGCTGCACTGGAGTCTCAGAGCCTACTCTGGCTCAGGAGGCTGCCCGATTCGTGAATGGTTCTTTACTCAATTAAACCCTGTTAAATTTAATTTGGCTAAGGTTTTTCTTTTAACAATTTTATATTTCCAGAAGTAAGAATTGCTCTTATAGAAGAGAAAGACAATATTAGACAACTCTAAAATGTATGTATGTGAGCTCTCTACTGTTAAGACAATAAGGACCTCAGGTAAAAGGATCATGTCTTATTTTTGTCTCTTATTCAAAATAGAATACATGCTGTAACAAACAACCCCTAGATCACAATGGCTTAACAAAAGGTAGGTGTATTTCTTCTTCTTTTTTTTTTTTTTTTGAGATGGCATCTCGCTCTTTCGCCCAGGCCGGACTGCAGTGGCGCTATCTCGGCTCACTGCAAGCTCCACCTCCCGGGTTTATGCCATTCTCCTGCCTCAGCCTCCTGAGTAGCTGGGATTACAGGCACCCACCACCATGCCCAGCTAATTTTTTGGATTTTTAGTAGAGACGGGGTTTCACTGTATTAGCCAAAATGGGTATTTCTTCTTATGTCACAGATAAATTGGCTATTTTGTGGTCAGCTTTTCAAAGACAAATTCAGAATGAGAGGTCCCTTTTTTCTGTGGGTCAGCAACTTCTAGGGTCTTGGAGATGAGTCTTCTACAGCAAGTTTGAAGACAAAAATAGAATAACAGACACTGGATTATCCCTATCTATTCTAAAAATGTTTTCTTCTTCCCAAAAAGAAGAAACTGTTCCTTTCTCTCTTTCTTCTCCTTCTGGTATTTTCATTACATGTAAGTTACATCATTTGTAATTGTCCCACAGTTCTTAGATTTCATATTTTACAGCTCAATTTTTCATTATTTTTTTCTCCTTGCATTTCTGTTATGAAAATTTCCATTGACATACCCTCAAATTCACTTTCTTTTCTTTGTGCTCTACCAATAAGCCCATCAAAGACATTCTTCATTTTTGCATCAGTGGTTTTGATTACTAGCATTTCCTTTGGTTGTTTCTTAGAGTTTTCATCTCTCTGCTTACATTATACATCTGTTCTTGCATGTTGTCCACTTTTTGTGAGCTACCTCGAGTTACCGGTGGCAAGTCCACATGCATCTGCAGCAACTTCAATTCTTGCCTCCTCAGAAGAAAAAATTTGACCGAGGGAAATAAAGCAGAAAAGGAAACCAAGGTAAGTTTCAGAGCAGGAGTGTAAGTTTATTTAAAAAGCTTTAGAATAGGAATGAAAGGAAAGAACCTGTGGAAGAGACCCAAGTGGGCACCTGAAGGTCAAAGAGGGAAAAAACAGGGGGCTTTTAACCTTGATTCAGGGACTTTATAGGCTTGCCTCTTTCCTATGATTCTTTCCTTAGGACGGGTTTTCCACATGCATGGTGCCCTCCTTACCCTTTGGAATTGAGCATGTGCAGTGTGTTTAGGAAGTTATATGCATGCCCATCTGAGGCTTTCTTCCTTTTTCCAGTAGGGTGTACCTGGAAGAGCATACTGCGCCATTTTTGTCTCTTAATGTGCATGCCCAGGAAGTTGCTTCTACCTGGGGCCTGCCTTTAATTAATAGTTAAATGTTAACAGGTGTGGACCATGAGGACCTGGCCTCTCCTTGGTGCTGGCTGCCAATTTATCACTTTTAAACAGGCAATCCAATAATTGCCAAACCATCACCACACATTTCTAGTGGGTGGTGAGGGGAGAGCCCTCTCCTGTCCCACTCATGCCTAACTACCTGTAACAAAAGGAACTGAGGTAAATGGGTCTTTTGTGTGAGGTGTTAGATTTATCTATGTGTTAGGTTGTGTTAATTGTTTCCTACAGCTGTAGATGTCAGAGGCTAAAATTTTCTCTAGTGTCTTTGTTTTCATCTCCTCTGTGGTATTTGGGTTTTCCTAGAGATTTCTTAAATAGACTACAAGCCTTAGAATTCTTTTCAGCTGTAATGCCCTTTTATTATACAGGAACCCTGTTGATGTGGTAGTATGGGGGCACAGGAGAAGCATTCTATTAATATATTCTTACTATTTAGGTCTCAGTGTTTTAATGGGTCTGTGGGTCCCTGGGCTGTGACCTTATTAACTGTTTCTGAGCTTCTTTATATAATACAGGAACATTAGAGTGCACTGGATTTGTATATTTTCCTTCCCTTATATAGCAGGCTAGAGGGAGTTAGAGTTGAGTATCTCTCTTCCCCCACATCAGTTAGACTCTGTTAAAACCCACATTGGATAGGCTCTGGTAAAAATAGTTTCCCTCTAGGGCAGTCCTTTGTTAATGAGAATAGACACTCTGGGGGTATTTCAAAATGGTTACTTTTCCCTTCCCCCTGAGGGAAGCATAAGAAGATTTTTCTCTGATCTTCACCCATGAAACCTGGTCATAAAATTCAGTATGGAGGACCCCAAAGGCTGACTTCCTAGGAGTTTTTCATCTCTCAAATGTCCCCACTGAGTCTACAGCAATTATTCAATTACTCTACCAGTCTTCAGCTGTGGCTTTTGCTCCTGGTAAATTAGAATTAATCTGTATTTATCTTTCTCTCTAATTTTAAGAACTACAGTTTGCCCTGTGACCTCAATTTGCTAATGGATCTAAGGTGAGTTGATTTTCAGTCTGTTTAGCTTTAAAAATGTGTTTCCTTTAAAAATTTCCTGCTGAATAGCAAGCAATTTAAATATTTAATTAAAAACTGTTTGGGGATAAATTTTAAATGTTTATTCATAATTAGTACATTTTGTAAAAAGTAAAGAAAACAAATTAACTCTACAGTAGTTTCTTGAGAGAAAATAGTTCAAAATTCTTGTTTCAATGCATGTAACCTAGTATCCCACAAAGATAGGGTTGATGCAGTTTTTGTCTGCACAATTCATTGTGAACAAGAGACTAGATGTTCCATAATTATTCATCTATTATTTATTAGTGCACTATTTTTTTCCAGAAAAGGATATAGTTGTTTTTTAATTCAAGTAACTGCAAATAGGAAACCAGAGGGAGAGCCCCAGGCTGGGACAAATCATGGCTACCCCTCCTCAACAGAACAGGGGGAGGAGGTGGCCTCTATGCCCTTTTTGGTCAATTCGGGCCCCCTTGCCAGCTCTGCTGCAGCATCCTAGGGGCAGGGCCCCACCTTCCCTGGGACTGGGGTAGTTGGTCACCCAGCCAGCCATGCTCCAGCCCCTCTTCTCCATGAAGAGTATCTTGGGGGATCATGGGCAGAACAGGAGGCAATGAGGATGAACATTTGGCACTGGTAGCAGCAGCAATGACAGATGTCGAAAAATGGAACATTGAACAAAAAACAACACGACTGTCCAGAGGTAGTTTGTGAACAGAGAAAAAAATGGAACCAGAACCTTGGGGGGCAGGGAGGAGCAGGAGGGTTTGGAGCCCGCAGGGTGAGCTCCTTGTTATTGGTGCCCCATCTGAGGAGGGGCAAATGGCCAAGTAGGAGAAGCAAGTAGGGGTGGGGGAGCAGCCCCAGCCCACCTCAGGTGGCGGCCACAGGGCTTGTGGGCCTCACCTGGACAATAAGTGACTGCATTTCCATCACTGCAATAAGTACTCAGATCCCAGGTGGAGGGCAAGGGGGCTGGGGCCACTGCAAAGAGGGAGTAGGGGGCTCACACCCCTCCTGCCTTCCTGTAGCCAAAGGGGGCTATCCAACCTAGTGTAGGGACTAGGGAAGGTGGGGAAGGATGAAAGGTGTGAGCCCCACGTGGTGAGGAAGACAGCTTGGCTGGTAGAATCCTGGGGGCCAGCAGCCCCCTCCATTGGCCACACCTGCTGCTGCCAGGGCAGTGGAGTAGGGCAGGCCAGGATGAGATGGGGCTTGGGCCCCTTTTAAGGCCAGCGGAACCCTCCCAGGCCCCACTGTGGGAAGCCAGAGGGAACAATGGAGGAGCAGAGAGGGCGCCCCCAAACCAAAAGCCCAAAAAGCAATGTCCCCACCACCAAAGGAGTGGGGACGCAGTAGGTGCCGGGTGCGGCTAAGTGGAACGTTAGCCTTGTCCAGGAGGGCACATGTGTATGCGTGGGTGGGCGGGGGGAGCTGGGAACTGAGGCCAGGGGAAAACTGCTCCCCACTCAGCCCATGGGGGCCCTGAAGCTGCTGGTGTGCTGTGTAGTGTGGTGGTGAAGTCGCAGGTGGAAGACAGGGGTGGCGGCTGGAGGCGGTGGTGATGGTGGGCCTGGGGAAGGGACGGGGGCGGTGGGAGCGGAGCAAAGCTGTCCAGTCCCAAAAGGAAGCTGCTCCTCCAGTGAGGAGCAGGCGACACGCAAGCACGGTCATTGCTCCTCCTCCGAGGACTCCTGTGAGATGCCCTCCTCTTCCTCCTTCTCCAGTTTTTTGGGTCTGCCCCTTGGTTTCCTTCCTGGAGTTGTGGTGGTTTTCCAGGTCTTGGCAGCGTCCTTGTTTTTCCTTCCATTTGGTCGGCCCTGAGGTCTCTTAGGTTTTGGCACTTCACTGGGCTCCTTCTGACTCCCTCCCAGCGCTGTCCTGGGACTCACCAGAGGCTGCTTGCGCGGCCTGCCCCAGCTCCGCTTCTCAGTGCCATCCTTTTCCTGCTTGGAGGCCAAGGGCTGGCTGGACTTCGAGATCGACTCGCTCATCTTCCCTTCTCTAAGAAGTAGGTGGAAAAGTGATGGCTAGGAGAGCCTTCTTGGAGCCGTGCCAGCGCCAGAAATAGCCCCGGCTCAGAGTCTCAATTAAAGGAGACTAGTGCACTATTTTTTTTTAAAGCCACTTGACTACATTATTATAGTACCCTAATCAAATTAATCTGACAATTTTTCACATAAGGCAACATCAATTGAAGTTTTTGCTCCAGTCATTTCTAGAAAACATCTGCCTTGTTGGGTGCAGACAACTATTGTGAAATTTAAAAATACCTATACAATTATTGACAGGTATTCAGCTGCAATGTGACGACTTAAAAAAATTATTTTACTTGTGCAACAATTGTGGAAGCAGACTCTGAGACAAAGTTTAGTTTGCAGGATCAAAACCCATGGAAGGGCCGAAAACAAAGCAGGCTTGGGAAGAGAAAAATTTCCGGTTCTGAGGCAGGTCTATCGAGTCTCAATTCATCTCATGGGGGAAATTCTGGAACTATACTGTTTCTTCAGAATTGTCCCTTACGGGCCAGAAGGTTGGACCTTAATGCCTGCATTTGGAGCAGCCATTGGATCTGGGATGCCAGAAATGGGCATGACCTTGAGGGAGGCAGCTGGAACAATACCTGAAAAGACAGAGCAACTAGTGCAACGAGTTCTTCCTTGAAGGAGAACCAGGTGGTACATCCCTGATCATTACAACAAGATAGTTGAATAAAAATCACACTGCAATATCTACATAATTAAAATAGGTTTTGCGATTAAACAATAGTCAGAGAAATGAGAGACCTTTATTTTATAATGTGAAAGAGATATTCATGTATAGGTGAGCTTAACTGACTTACGAAACACAGACATTCCTCTTACAGGACATTTTTGCAAAGGAATGCAATACAGATGAAAAAAAATGTCCTAAATCAAAACCAAAATATGAGCTCAGTAGTGTAGCAGACCTGGAAAAGTTGCTTTTGTAGAGTGGTGCTCTTTTAAATTTTAGAATATTTTAAAATAAAGACTTTTTATTCATTTGATGGCATCTTGCTAAAAATGTATTATATGTGCTATTTTATAGTCAAAGTGAGATAAGGAGTATTCATTGTTTTTTTGCTTTTTGTTTTTTTTTTTGAGACGGAGTGTTGCTCTGTCAGCCAGGCTGGAGTGCAGTGGCGCAATCTCGGCTCACTGCAACCTCTGCCTCTCTTTTCCAAGCAATTCTCCTGCCTCAGCCTCCTGAGTAGCTGGGACTACAGGTGCCCGCCACCACGCCCAGCTAATTTTTTTTTTGTATTTTTAGTAGAGAAGGGGTTTCACCATATTGGCCAGGCTGGTCTTGAACTCCTGACCTTGTAATCCTCCCACTTTGGCCTCCCAAAGTATTCATATTTTTAAAAAAATGATCTTCGGACAACATTTTGATCACATTTTATATTTTACCATATTATCGGTATGTACACAAGACCTCCTCAAGAGGATGAATCAAACTGGTCTGGGAAATGACTATGGCGACAATATATGTTAAAAGGTTAATTTGGAGAGATTCTACACTTAGCTAAAGAGAAACAACGGTATAGTTGAGAAATACCACGTTATCTATTGAGATGAGGGTTGAGCCAAGGATCTTTAAGGATATGGAAAGGAAAGGCAAGTGAACAGTGTTAAGAATATTAGAAAGGCAGATGAGAAACCTTCTAAAGGATAGTCATCCAGTGTAAAAATATATGATGATGCACTGAGTTTATACTATACTCAATTGAATATACTATATGCATTTTCTTGTACAACTAAAATTCTTTAAATCTACTTGCTTTATGTTCATTACATCATTTAACATTTATTTGTTGTTTGTCTACTACATTGTAAACTCTTATGAAAATTTTGAATCTTAATTTTTTATTCTGCAATTAAATGGATGTAGTAGAAAAAAGTCAGTAGAAAAGCCCAGTATATTAATAATTTCCCATTTCTCCACTGTAACCTTAAACTTAATTGAGCTAAAGTTTACTGTATTTTCTCCTCCTCTAGTTGCTTTCATACTTTTAAAGATAGTAACATATGATGCTTCTCAGACATTTCTGGTAAGATGTATATCTTTACTATTGGATTGTTTAACAAACAATTAAGCCTAGAAGTTAATTGAGGACATAAAGGTGTAAGAATGATACAATGGATTTTGAGGAGTGGGGGCAAGGGTGGGAGGACTACATGTTGGGTACGGTGTACACAGCTCGGGTGATGAGTGCACAAAAATCTCAGAAATCACCACTAAAGAGCTTATCCATGTAACCAAATACCACCTGTCCCCAAAAACTATTGAAATTTAAAAAAAATTTTAAGGCAACCTCTGTCCTGATTTGTATAGTAAATATATCCCGTTATACAGCAATTACATAACATTTTCTTAAAAACATTTTGATCAGGCCGGGCGTGGTGGCTCATGCCTGTAATCCCAGCACTTTGGGAGGCTGAGGCAGGCGGATCAGCAGGTCAGGAGATCGAGACCATCCTGGCTAATATGGTGAAACCCCGTCTCTACTAAAAATACAAAAAATCAGCCGGGTGTGGTGGCAGGCGCATGTAGTCCCAGCTACTCGGGAGGCTGAGGCAGGAGAATGGCATGAACCTGGGAGGCAGAGCTTGCAGTGAGCCGAGATGGCACCACCGCACTCCAGCCTGGGCGACAGAGGGAGACTCTGTCTCAAAAAAAAAAAAAAAAAAAAAAACAAACAAACAAACAAAAAAAACCATTTTGATCAAAGACTACTTTTAACTGTTTTATTTGAGATGTTGCTAAAGACTGCTTGACAGAAGGCTTCTTCTATTAAAAAAGGTGGCAAATAACTGAAATAGTCTGACCCCCTTCATTTTACAGAGGAAAAAAATGAAGTCCGAGAAGGGAAAGAACTTTCTTGTTTTAAAATTGACAAATAAAAATTGTATATATTTGTAAACCAAAAATAAAAATCTAAGGCTCCCCAACCATCTGAATGGACTTCTACTCAGCCAGGGCTCTTAATATTTAACCTGTGAGACTGTTTCTGGCCATGATGGGAAGTGGGGGTTGGTGGCTCATTATACCTCTCTGCCATTAACATCAACACAGACTTTAAATCTGATAAGAAACATTTTGCAACGTGTTCTCTCTGAAGCCTGCTAGCTAAATGCTTCATCTGCTTGATAAAACTTTGGTCTGCACACCTCTTATCTTAACACAGACATTCATTTCTGTTTGATCGCAGGTCTTTAGACAAACTCAACCAATTGTCAACCAGAAAATGTTTAAATGTACCTATAGCCTGGAAGCCCTTACCCCTTGGAATTGTTCTGCTTTTCTGGACCAAACCAATGCATTTTTTTTTTTTTTGAGACAGAGTCTTGCTCTTGTCATCCAGGCTGGAGTGCAATGGCGCGATCTCTGCTCACTGTGACCTCTGCCTCCCAGGTTCACGCGATTCTCCTGCCCCAGCCTCCTGAGTGGCTGGGATTACGGGTGCCCACCACCACAGCCAGCTCATTTTTTTGTATTTTTAGTAGAGATGGGGTTTCGCCACGTTGGCCAGGCTGGTCTTGAACTCTTGACCTCAGGTGGTCCACCTTCCTTGGCCTCCCAAAGTGCTGGGATTACAGGCGTGAGCCACTGCACCCGGCCACCAATGTATTTTAAACCACCGCACCCAGCCTGACCAATGTATTTCTTAAATGTATTTGATGTCCCATGCCTCCCTAAAATGTATAAAACCAAGCTGCACCCCAACCGCCTTGGACACATGTTCTCAGGACCTCCTGAGGGCTGTGTCATGGGCCATGGTCATTCATATTTGGCTCAGAATAAATCTCTTCAAATATTTTACAGAATTTGACTTTTTTGTCCACATATTTATGGTGTAAAAAACGAACCAACCAACAAAAAAGAGTATAAGTTACTTAGAATTTCCAGATACCCTTTCTTTTTTTGAGAAACTGTGATTTTATTTTTTTATTTTTTAAAACCAATATACTTTCTTAATTTTATTTTGTCAAGAGTATAGATTTATAAAGATCTGAATATCAAACACTAGTTTTGTGAGGGAGCAGATAAACTATATTTTTCACTTTTCTAATTCTTAATATTTTATAGTACTCTTGAAGTAATTAAGTTCACCTGTGATAATTAAATTAAGTTTTTCATGACTGGAAATAAGACAAATGAATATTATTTTCAAATGTTTTGTGGCAGTAAAGATAAAGAAAATAGGATAAATGTCTACACAGTCATCTCATGCCTTGAGTTGTAAGTGAAGATTAATTATATGATATTAGATGACAGGAAAATAATTTGACTTTTATTTGGGAAAATTTTTATAAAGCTCAAAACTGGTACTTCTGAAGTATTGCCGTTTCTCGCTTTTTCTAAGTGAATTGGATATACAAGCAAATAGCTACTTTTAGGATTCAGATAAATGATATAATGTATTTTTTTCTACACATTTTAAACTCCCAGCCCCCCCAACAAAAATTGATTGAGGTATTTTGATTAATTATAAACATTAACGTTTTAGAAAATATCTCTTTAAATTAGCATGCAATAATTTAAAAGACTTTCTTAAGGAGTCAGAACTTGCATTTTTAAATATGATAAGTCATGTTTATTTCCTATTCTTGGTTGTATAAAGTAGCACAGTAATATCATTAAATAAAGTAAGCTTAATAGATTTTTTGCTGATTGAATTAGCTTGGATACATACATAATGCATGTTTTCACTGGAAACTCAATTTAATTGTCTTTTATTGAAATGTTTATAAGAGATAGAATAGTACATAGAATATTACTTGGTGCATTAATATGCTGGATATTTTTAGTTTAGTTTAGTTCTCGAAATATTTATTGCAAAATGGATACAACTGACTCCCCTGACCATTGAGTTGAATTATGTTAATATAAAGTAGAACCCTTGCAATAAATTAAGAATCTTATAATTCTGGTGAAAATAAAACTAGTTTCTTGTTAAAAAAAATGGAAAAGTTAGTTTAGTCAAAGATATAGAGTTCAATTGAATTAAATAAACAGTGACTGTGATTTCACTTGGATGTAATCTCCCTGAAGAATTGTAGAAAATTCTACAATTGCTTTAGGATTCAGACATCTTAACCTATGAAACATGAAGATAATATATACCTTTCCTGTATATGCTTTTCAACCATTTTGAAAATATGGAACTTAAAGTATTGCTTTTAGCTGTATACCTGCCTGCTTTGAAACCTTAATTCATATTGTGAATTTCAGTTATTCCCAATATACTGGCATGGTGGCTTTATTTTACTTGTTAATCCTGAAGAGAACAGAGAAGAAATTAAATGCGCATTTTGGAACCATAGACATTATTTTAAAATTATTAAAGTTAAGAATTAATATGCCCATTCTCCTAAATAAACTGCATACATCTTGTTTTTCTGCCTCTCTTTAAGCTTGATTACATCTCTGCACAATTAAAGAAATGAGTTTTTAATTGGACTTCCTTTATTGGAAATTTGTTGGTTGTAGAACACAACCGCTCATTTGTTCCTTAAGAGTCAGTTAGGTCTGATCTGTGTTAATACAGTATGAAAGAATGAAGAGGATTTGAGTGGTCTCTGCAAAAAGAATGTGATCCCTAATGCAAGTTTCTAAATTACAAATGATTCGTTGATTAGTCCTGTCTAAACCTGTCATTTTATAGGTGCCTTCTTTGTGTCTGGTAGTATTTGGAAAACATCTATAAATATAATTAATTTGAACTACCTTTATAAAAATAATGGTACCATGATTTATTAAAGTTGGAAATATGCTCATTTATAAAAATTCAAATATTCAAAAATTAAAGAAAAAGTCTAATAATTTTTCAAATTAAATTCATAGTACCTGTGCTCTTTTTAAACTACAAAGTAATGCAATTACATTTATGTTTATGTAACCAATAAAATAAACTGAAAGGAAACATGGAATAGCAGAGCTTAAGGTAAGTGTTTATTTTTTTAAATATTAATGAAAAAGCTTAATTAAAAGATAGATTTTCAAAAGTATTAAGAATTTGGAGCCATTTTGTTTTAATACATGTTTATGTTTCAAATCTAGATCATACATTTTGGCAGGTTTCTGTAAATTTTGAGAAAACTAGCATTCAACCCCTTACTTATTCCAACTTTCCCTTTACTATCTCCAGCTTTTATTCACTTATAATATTTTTTGCTATGATCAACTTCTATATCATTTATTTACTCTTCTCTAACTCTAATATTAAAATAGCATCAATTGTCTAAATTAAAATTAATTTATTTCTCATCGCCATTTTTGCTCTGTTTACATTATTCCTAATTTCTTTATTTTAAATTATACAGCCAATTAGTTGGATCTTGTGATCAAGTATTTTTTTATTTGTGAGTTTGGTATATAAAATAAAGCTATATTATCTGGCAATTATATGCCTTAAAATATTTTCTATTGTTTTATCACTTGAAGAAAAACTGCTGGATGTAACATTTTTGAAACATAATTTTTTTCTCAAACTGGGGTAACTTGCTGCATAATTTTGAGTTGAATGCTGGTCTGTAGAAGGCTGAGGTCAACATACTTCTCACCACTACTGCATGACTTGCATTTCCACTACTGATGTCTATTTGAATAGTTTTAACATGCTAGATGTTCAGTAGTTTACCACTATATGCCTTGGAATTTAACATTTCATTTCATTTTTTTCTAGAGAAGTTGTTTCCTTTTGGTACACATATTAAAACATTTACTGAAGATGTAGTACCTTTTACATTTAAATAATTTTTAGGTTTAATTTGTCTCTCATATTTATCATTCCTACATTCCCTGATTATTCTTCAGGTTTTATCTTTTCCAGTTATTTTGGTAATAACCTTCATATGGTTTGGCTGTGTCCCCTCCCAAATCTCATCTTAAATTGTAGTTTCCATAATCCCAATGTGTCGTGGGAGGTAATTGAATCATGGGGGTGGTTTTTCACAAGCTATTCTCATGATAGTGAGTAAGTTCTCATGAGATCTGATGGTTTTATAATGGCTTCCCCCTTTGCTGGCTTCTCATTCTTCTCTTTCCTGCTGCCATGTGAAGAAGGATGTGTTTGCTTCCCTTTCCATCATGATTGTAAGTTTCCTGAGGCCTCCCCAGCCATGCTCAACTGTGAGTCAATTAAACCTCTATCCTTTTTTAAATTACCCAGTCTCGGGTATGTCTTCATTAGCAGCATGAGGATGGATTAATATAAACCTCAATCCTGCTAATTATTTTCTTGTTTATGTTTTCAGTCATGCCTATTCCATTTTTATTGCTTCTAACATATCTTATCTCTGAAGAATGTTTTTTTTTTCTTCGTTGGTTTCCTAGAGCTCTAACAGCTCAAAATTTATTTTCTTCTCCCTACTGATGTCTTTATTTTGTACTTTAAAGAGTTTAAACAGAACATTAAATGGTTTTGTGTTGTTTTCTAGGATAGAAAAATCTTGTCACTAATTTATTTAAGATAATGAAAAGTTATTTGTTGGACTGCTGTATTTGTTACGTTGTAGTTCCTCTTTTGGTGTGCATTCTTTGTGTGTGTGTGTGTTTGTGTGTGTGTGTGTGTGTGTGTGTATGTGTATGTTTTATATATAATTCCTGCTGCTTTCATTATTCCAACTTGAAGAGCCATGGCTACTAACTAAATTTTTTTGTGCATGTTGTCCTGGAATAATAATTTCTTATAGAGTTTGGCCTTTGGAAAATATTATGGGCCTTACACAAATGTTGCAGGGAGTGTTACTAACAGAAAAACATTTGTGTATGGAGAAGAGTATAGAGTACTACATTTCCAGTACACTATAAAGTTATAAATCCATGAATTGATTTTTAAAACTATTTAAATATCCGTACACAAATACCATTAAAACAAAATACAGTAAGTATTGCTAGACATTTAGATGTAGATTATAAACTTAGTCAATTTTTTATCTATGCAATCACAAACAAGTTTAATATGTCAAAGACTCTCAATTATTTCCAATACCTTAATCATATACAAATTGTTCCCATGATAATAAAGTTATTACAACAAATATAATTAAAATAATCTTAAAATAGGAATGTTTAAAATTGGCATTTTAGGAATATTTTTAAAGCTATGATTTATCTAAAGTTACAGGCCTCATACCCTTTTGAAATATAAAAACACATCTCTGCAGTTAAAGTAGGATCCTATCTCAAGATGTAACCATTTGTCTTTCAGGGAAACTCAAGGTGTAGCCATTTGGTTTTTGAGGAGATACAGAGTTTTATTATTCTTTTAGAAGTGGCCAATTAACTAAACAAATAGCTTTCTCAGTTTTCCAGGGAACTTTGTACTGCTTTGCTATATAAATTATGTAGGATTTTATACATAAAACACACACATATATAAATTTTAAAGACTTTCTCTATTTCTCTAATAGCTCTATATATGTCTATATCTACCTACAGTTACAGAAATATTGGTAGATCATAAAGAAAAAGAGCACTGTGTGAAACCAGCCATAGATGCTAATTCTGGCCAAGACACAGGATCTAATTTTATCTTTGAAAAATCAAACCTGAATCAACATTCACTGGCTGAGCCTCTTCTTGAGTCAAAGCTCATTACTACATCAATTGGACTTTACAAATCCATGCATGATTTTAGATTTTGGTGTTCCTCCCCATTCACATGGCCGTCAACTTTGATCTGGGAATATCTTTGTCCTTTTAAAAGTTATCTCCTTGTACCTTATTAGCAATTTATTTTAAGTTGTTAGGTTATCTAGAGATTTCTGCTTTAAGAAAATTATATATCTAAGTATTCAGTTTCTGTCTCTGGAGTTTTAGCAACTCATTGCTGTATTTTCATTTGTTAAGTCATTGTGTATGGTGAACATGAACACCAGTGCTGACTATTCCTCCTGATTTTTTATGGTGTCATAATATTCCAGAATTAGATGGCTTTCCTACAGTTCCTTATAGCCACTATCCCTTACTTAAAGGAGACAGAAATATATGTAGCAATGCTTAATTTAAAAAAGAAGAAATTCCAATTAGGTTGCCATTGTATTTTAGTGTATTATTCTGTTACAGTGTCCTTTTATATTTACAATTCACTTTTGTACATTTTGAATTAACATTTTCATTTGCAAGTATCATCATGTACCCAAGGCTTTTCACAGATGAAACATGTTCCAAATAATTGTAATTATTATCCTCTTTTTGATGTTTTAGTTTTTCACATTTTGGCCAGTGGGAGCTCTTTTATAGGGCACACCTTTGATCTTTTAAAACTACTGTAGATCTATTTTAAAGCCATCTTTATTTTCTGGCAATAGGGTCTTCCAATCTATTATTCATATGTTCCTGCCTCAAGACTTTAAATCAGTGACTCCTCTCAATGTACAAATTTTGAATGGAAAAAGTCTTTCAGAAATGTGGCAATTGAGATTGTATTCAGGTGCTGATGACAAGGCCTGGGAATGACATTTAAACAAGTTATGGGTTTATTACCTTACGCTCAGGAAGCGTTTCAGAAATCAGCAGTCCAATATTATGTGTAATGTTAAATGGTGTCTTCTTGTAACATTCAGGAAAGTATCCATGAGCAAACTATGCCCAAGTATCATTTAAAATATAATAGTCTTTAAAATTCAATATAGTTCTTTTCATTCTAAAATATTCCTTAGACAGTGTGAATACAAGTATGCTAGCAGAGCAGCTTTTAATTCTGATTAAATTATAATTTAGCATTTACATTATTGTAAGAAATTTTTCTGGTACTATAAGAGTGGGCATACCCTTATCTACATTTCTTCATTGCTCATCCCATTTATATTAAATTATTTATCTCCTCTATTCCTTCCTATAGTTTTTATATTGCATTCATTTTAATTGTTGCTGTCATTTTCACTTTATTTCTATAGTTAACAAATAAAATTCTGTGAAAATCAGTTAATGTAATTCATCACATCAACAACAAGCCAAAAAAGAAAAAAAATTTTGATCATATAAATAGATACATGGTATGGTTTCGCTTTGTCCCCACCCAAATCTCATCTTGAATTCCCATGTGCTCTGGGAGGGACCTGGTGGGAGGTAATTGAATCATGGGGGCAGGTCTTTCCCATGCTGTTCTCATGATAGTGAATAAGTCTCATGAGATCTGATGGTTTTATAAAGAGGAGTTCCCCTGCAGAAGCTCTCTCTCTTTGCTGCCATCTATGTAAGATGTGACTTGCTCCTCCTTGCCTTCCACCATGATTTGGATGCCTCCCCAGCCATGTGGAACTGTAAGTCCATTAAACCTCTTTCTTTTGTAAATTGCCCAGTCTTGGGTATGTCTTTATCAGCAGTGTGAAAATGAACTAATACAGTAAATTGGTACCAGTAGAGTCGGGTGGTGCTGAAAAGATACCCAAAAATGTGGAAGCAACTTTGGAACTGGGTAACATGCAGAGGTCAGAATACTTTGGAGGGCTCAGAAGAAGACAGGAAAATGTGGGAAAGTTTGGAACTCCCCAGAGACTTGTTGAATGACTTTGACCAAAATGCTGATAATGATATGGACAATGAAATCCAGGCTGAGGTGGTTTCAGATGAAGATGAGGAACTTGTTGGAAACTGGAGCAAAGGTGACTCTTGTTATGTTTTAGCAAAGAGACTGGTGGCATTTTGCCTCTGCCCTAGAGATTTGTGGAACTTTGAACTTGAGAGAGATGATTTAGAGTATCTGGTGGAATAAATTTCTAAGCAGCAAAGCATTCAAAAGGTGACTTGGGTGATTTTAAAGGCACTCAGTTTTAAAAGGGAAATAGAGCATAAAATTTCAGAAAATGTGTGGCCAGACAATGCAATAGAAAAGAAAATCCCATTTTCAGAGCAGAAATTCAAGACTGGTGCTGATATTTGCATCAGTTATGAAGAGCTGAATGTTAATCACCAAGACAATGGGGAAAATGTTACCAGGGAATGTCAGAGATCTTTGTGGCAGCCCCTCCCATCACAGGCCTGGAGACCTAGGAGGAAAAAATGGTGCTGTGGGCTGGGCCCAGGGTCCCTGTGCTGTGTGCAGTCTAGGGACTTGGTGCCCTGTGTCCCAGGTGCTCCAGCCATGACTACAAGGGGCCAAAGTACAGCTTGGGCTGCAGCTTCAGAGGGTGCCACAAAGAAGGGAATCAAAGAAGATAAAAGCAAAAAATCCTATCCAAAGGACAGCAGCTACAAACATTGAAGGAACATTAGCCCACACAGATGAATAATAACCAGTGTAAGAATTCTGGCAATGCAAAAAGCTAGTGTGTCTTTTTATCTCAAAATGCTTGCACTAGTTCTCCTGCAATGGTTCTTAACCAGGATGAAATGGCTGAAATGACAGAAATATAATTCAGAATATGGATGGAAAGAAAGATCTTTGAGATTCAGGAGAAATGGAAACCCAATCTGAGGGTTCTAAGGGATACAATAAAAATGATATAAGAAAAGAAAGGTGAATGGACATTTGAATCAAACTGAACTGATACAGCTGAAAACCTCACTTAAAAATTTCAGAATATAATTGCTAGTATGAAAAGCAGAATTGACCAAGCTGAGGAATGAATCTCTGAGCTTGAAGACCAGTTGTTCAAAATAACTCAGTAAGACAAAAACAAACAAAACAAAACAGCTAAAAGAAGAATGAACAAAACCTCTGAGAAATATGGGATTATGTAACGGGACCATATCTATGATTCATTGGCATCCCTGAAAGAGAGGAAGAGAAAGCAAACAACTTGGAAAAATATTTCTGGGTATCATCCATCAAAATTTCTCCAACCCCATTAGAGAGGAAAACATTCAAATTCCGGAAATATAGAGAATCCCTATGAGATACTACACAAGATGACCATCAGTTTCACCAAGGTCAAAATGAAAGAAAAAATACTAAAGGTAGCTAGAGAGAAGGGGCAGGTCGACTACAAAGGGAACTGCATCGGGCTAACAGCAGACCTTTCAGCAGAAACACTACAAGTCAGAAGAGACTGGGAGCCTATAGTTAGCATTTTTAAGGAAAAGAAATTCCAACTAAGAAATTCATATCCAGCTAAACTAAGCTTCATAAGCGAAGGATAAATGACATTCTTTGCAGACAAGCAAACGCTAAGGGAATTCATTATCACTAGACCTCCCTGAAGGCAGATCCTTACTCCTGAAGGGAGTGCTAAATATGGAAAAGAATGACCATTACTGGCCACTACAAAAACACACTTAAGTACATAGATCATTGACACTACAAAGCAGCCACACAAACAAGGCTACATGATAACCAACTAACAACATGATGACATGTTCAAATATGCACCTATCCATATTCACCTTGAATGTAAATGGGCTAAATGCCACAATTAAAAGGCTCAGAGTGACAAGCTGGATAAAGAACCAAGAGAGAGGAAGTCACACTATCTCCACTTGCAGATATGATTCTATACCTAGAAAACTCATAGTCTCTGGCCAAAGGCTCCTAGATCTGATAAACAACTTCAGCAAAGTTCAGGATACAAAATCTATGTACAAAAATTAGTAGCATTTCTATACACCAAGGATATCTAAGCTTTGAGCCAAGTTCAGAACACTATCCCATTCACATTAGCCACAAAAATAATAAAATACCTAGGAATATAGCTAACAGGGAGGTTAAAGCTCTCTACAATGAGAATTACGAAACATCAAAGAAATCTGAGATAACACAAACAAATGGAAAAACATTCCATGCTCCTGGATAGGAAGAATAAATATTGTTAAAATTAACATACTGCCCAAAGCAATTTAGATTCAGTGCCATTTCTATGAAACTACGAATAACATTCTTCACAGAATTAGAAAAAAAGTATTTAAAATTGATATGGAACCAAAAATAGCCAAAGCCATCCTAAGCAAAAAGAACAAAGCTGGAGGCATCACATTACCTGACTTCAAATTATACTAAAAGGCTACAGTAACCAAAACAGCATGTCACTGGTATAAAAAGAGCTACATAGACCAATGGAACAGAATAGGGAGCCCAGAAATAAGGCTTCACACCTACAACTCTCTGATCTTTGACAAAATAAACAAAAACAAGCCAATGGGGAAAGGACTCCCTATTCAAAAAGTGGTACTGGGGTAACTGGCTAGCCATATGCAGAAGATTGAAACTGGACTGTTTCCTTTCTTGCTTCAATTCAAGATAGATTAAAGACTTAAATGTAAAACCCAAGTCTATAAAAACCCTGAAGAATAACCTAGGAATACCATTCTGGACATAGGACCTAGCAAAAATTTCATGAGGAAGATGCCAAAAGCAATTGCAACAAAAATACAAATTGACAGATGAGACCTAATTTAACTAAAGACCTTCTTCGCATCAAAAGAATCTATCAAAAGAATAAACAGACAACCTACAGAATGGAAGGCAGTATTTGCAAAGTACGCATCTGACAAAGACTAATATTGAGAATCTATAAGGAACTAAAACAAATTTTCAAGTGAAAAACAATCAACCCTATTAAAAAAGTGGACAAAGGACATTAACAGGCACTTTTCAAAAGAAGACACACATGCAGCTAACAAGCATATGAAAAAATGCTCAATATTACTACTCATTAAAGAAATGCAAATCAAACCACAATGAGATATCATCTCAAACCAGTCAGAATGGTTGTAAATAAAATAGCATATGCTAGTGATGTTGTGGAGAAAAGGGAATTCTTATACACTGCTGGTTAAAATGCAGATTAGTTCAATCTTTTGGAAACTGTGGAAAACAGTTTGGCAATTTCTCAAGGAATTTAAAACAGAATTACTATTTGACACAGCAATCCCATTATTGTGTATATACCCAAAGGAATATAAATCATTCTACCATAAAGGCACATGGATGTGAAGGTTCATCACAGCATTATTCACAATAGCAAAGACAGAATCAGCCTAAATGCCCATGAATTGTAGACTGGATAAAGAAAAGTGGTACATATACACCATAGAATACTATGCAGCCATTAAAAGAATGAGGTTATGTCCTTTGCAGCAACATGGATGGAGCTGGAGGCCATTATCCTAAGCAAACTAATGCAGGAACAGAAAAACCAAATACCACATATTCTTATTTATAAGTTGTAGCTAAACATTGAGTACACATGGACACAAAGAAGGGAACAACAGACATCGGGGCCTACTTAAGGGTGGAGGGTGGGAGGGGAGTTGGGATCAAAAAACTACCTATCAGGTACTATGCTTATTACTGGGTGATGAAATTATCTGCACACCAATCCCCCATGACACACATTTTACCTACAGAACAAACGTGCATATGTACTTCTGAACCTGAAATAAAAGTTAAATAATATAATAACTAAATAAATAAAAAGAAAAACAACAAAGAAAACTAAATAGACAGTTTTTCCATGCTCATGGAGAGTAAGACAATATTTTCAAGAAGTGAGTTTTTTCTAAATTGATCTATAGATTCAATGTAATATCAATAAAAATTCCAACAGGTTATTTTGTGTATCTTGACAAACTTATTTAAAGTTTATATAGACAGCAAAAGACCCAGAATAGTTAACCCAATATTGAAGGACAAAGTCAGAGGAGTGACAATAGCTGACTTCAAAATTTACTATAAATCTGTAATAATCAGGACAGTGTGGAATTGGTGAAATAATAGACAAATAGATCAATGGAACCAAAAAGAGAGCCCAGAAATAGACTCACATAGTCAGCTTATGTTTGAATGGGGAACAAAGTCAGCACAATAGAGAAAAGATATTCTTTTCAACAAATGGTTCTGGAACAACTGGACATCCACACGTAAAATAATAAATCCTTTTGAAACTATTCCAAACAATAGAGAAAGAGGGAATCCTCCCTAACTCACTTTATGAGGCCAGCATCATCCTGATACCAAAACCTGGCAGAGACACAACAAAAAAAGAAAATTTCAGGCCAATATCCCTGATGAACATCGATGTGAAAATCCTCAATAAAATACTGGCAAAACAAATCCAGCAGCACATCAAAAAAGCTTATCCACCAAGATCAAGTCGGCTTCATCCCTGGGATGCAAGACTGGTTCAACATATGCAAATCAATAAATGTAATCCATCACATAAACAGAACCAATGACAAAAACCACACGATTATGTCATAGATGCAGAAAAGGCCTTCGACAAAATTCAACACCCCTTCATGCTAAAAATTCTCAATAAACTAGGTATCATTGGAATGTATCTCAAAATAATAAGAGCTATTTATGATAAACCCATAGCCAATATCATACTGAATGGGCAAAAACTGCAAGCATCCCTTTGAAAACCAGCACAAGACAAGGATGCCCTCTCTCACCACTCCAATTCAACATAGTATTGGAAGTTCTGGCCAGGTCAGTCAGGCAAAAGAAAGAAATGAAGGGTACTCAAATAGGAAGACAGGAAGTCAAATTGTCTCTGTTTGCAGATGACATGATTGTATATTTAGAAAACCCCATCGTCTGTGCCCAAAATCTCCTTAAGCTGATAAGCAACTTCAGAAAAGTCTCAGAATACAAAATCAATGTGCAAAAATCACAAGCATTCCTATACACCAGTAACAGACAGAGAGCCAATTCATGAATGAACTCCCATTCACAATTGCTACTAAGAGAATAAAATACCTAGGAATACAACTTACAAAGGATGTGAAGGACCTCTTCAAGGAGAACTATAAACCACTGCTTAAGGAAATAAGAGAGGACACAAACAAGTAGGAAAACATTCCACGCTCATGGATAAGATGAATCAATATCATGAAAATGGCCATACTGCCCAAAGTAATTTATAGATTCAATGCTCCCTCCATCAAGCTACCACTGATTTTCTTCACAGAATTGGAAAAAACTACTTTAAACTTCATATGGAACCAAAAAATAGCCCACATAGCCAAGACAATCCTAAGCAAAAAGAACAAAGCTGGAGACATCACACTACCTGACTTCAAACTATACTCCAAGACTACAGTAACCACAACAGCTTGGTACTGGTACCAAAACAGATATATAGACCAATGGAACAGAACATAGGCCTCAGATATAACACCGCACAGCTACAACCATCTGATCTTTGACAAACCTGATACAAACAAGCAATGGGGAAAAGATTATCTATTTAATAAATGGTGTTGGGAAAACTAGCTAGCCATATGCAGAAAACTGAAACCTCACCCTTTCCTTACACCTTATACAAAAATCAACTCAAGATGGATTAAAGACTTAAACATAAGACCTAAAACCATAAAAACCCTAGAAGAAAACCTGGGCAATACCATTCAGGACATAGGCATGGGCAAAGACTTTATGTCTAAATCACCAAAAGCAATGGCAACAAAAGCCAAAATTGACAAATAGGATCTAATTAAACTAAAGAGCTTCTGCACAGCAAAAGAAACTATCATCAGAGTGAACAGGCAACCTACAGAATGGGAGAAAATTTTTGCAATCTATCCATCTGACAAAGGGCTAATATTCAGAATCAACAAAGAACTTAAACAAATTTACAAGAAAAAAACAGACAACCCCATCAAAAACTGGGCAAAGAATATTAACAGACACTTCTCAAAAGAAGACATTTATGCAGCCAACAAACATGAAAAAATGCTTATAATCACTGGTCATTAGAGAAATGCAAATCAAAACCACAATGAGATACCATCTCACGTCAGTTAGAATGGCAATCATTAAAAAGTCAGGAAACAACAGATGCTGGAGAGGATGTGGAGAAATAGGAACACTTTTACTCTGTTGGTGGGAGTGTAAATTAATCCAACCATTGTGGAAGACAGTGTGGCAATTCCTCAAGGATCTAGAACTAGAAATACCATTTGACTCAGCAATCCCATTACTGGGTATATACCCAAAGGATTATAAATCATTCTACTATAAAGACACATGTACACGTATGTTTATTGCGCACCATTCACAATAGCAAAGACTTGGAACCAACCCAAACGTCCATCAATGATAGACTGGATAAAGAAAATGTGACTCATGTACACCATGGAATACTATGCAGCCATAAGAAAGGATGAGTTCATGTCCTTTGCAGGGACATGGATGAAGCTGGAAACCATCATTCTCAGCAAACTATCACAAGAACAGATAACCAAACACCACATGTTCTCACCCATAAGTGGGAGTTGAACAATGAGAACACATGGACACAGGGAGGGGAACATCACAAACTGGGGCCTGTCAGGGGGTGGGGGGCTAGGGGAGGGATAGCATTAGGAGAAATATCTAATGTAGGTGACAAGTTAATGGGTGCAGCAAACCACCATGGCACCTGTATACCTACGTAATGAAACTACACTTTGTGTACATGTACCCCAGAACTTAAAGTATAATAAAAATATATAAACAGACATCTTACACCCTTCATAAAAATTAACTCAAAGTGGATCATATACCTAAATGTAAAATGACAAACTATAAAACTAGAGGATAACATAGGAGAAAACCTAGATGACCTTGGGAATGGCAAAAAAAAAAAAAAAAAATCTAGATGACCTTGTGTATTGCAATGGCATTATAGGTAAAACACCAAAGACATGATCCATGAAATAAATAATTGATAAGCTAGACTTTATTAAAACTAAAAAATTCTGCTCTGTGAATGACACTGTCAAGAGAATGAGAAGACAAGCCATAAACTGGGAGAAAATATTTTCGAAAATCATATCTGATAGAGGACTCTTCCCATAATTTACAAAGAACTCTTAAAAATTCAACAATAAGAAACCAAACTACCTGGTTAAAAATGGGCAAAAGACTAGAGGAGACACCTCACCTGAGATTTATAGATGACAAATAAACATATGAAAAGATGCTCCATATCATGTTAGAGAAATGGAAATTAAAACAGCAATGTTATACCACAACAACATATTAGAATGGCCAACATTCAGAACACTGACACCACTAAATGCTGGTGAGCATGTGGAGCAAAAGGAATTCTCTTTCATTGCAGGTGGGAATGAAAAATAAACAGTCACTTTGGAAGATGTTTGGCAGTTTCTTACCAAACGAAACACATTATTACCATATTATTGAGAAATCTTCCTCCTAGGTGTTTATCCAAATGAGCTGAAAACTTATGTCCACACAAAAACCTTCACATTCACAGCAGCTTTACTCATAGAGCTTTTCGTGAAATCAAAAGATAAAGCCAAAATTTTGTCCAAACTTGGAAGCAACCAAGATATCTTTCATTAAGTAAATTTATAAATAAACTGTAGTACATCCAGACAATTGACTGTTATTCAGTGTGAAAAAGAAATGAGCTATTAAGCCATGGAAAAACATGAGGAAATTTAAATGTACATTACTAAGTGAAAGTAGCCAAACTGAAAGCTACATACTGTATGAGTCCAGCTATATGACTTTGTAGAAAAGCAAAACTATGGAAACAGTAAACAGACCAGTGGTTGCCAGGAGTTAACAGGGAGGGAGAGATGAATAGGTGGAGCACAGGAAATTTTTAGAGCAGTGAAACTACTCTAGATGATACTATAATGGTGAATATATGTCATTGGACATTTGCCAAAGCCCAAACAATGTACAGCGTTATATTGGGAGAATATATTAATGTAAACTATGGTCTTCGAGTGACAATAATGTGTAGGTTCATCAATTGTAGCAAATGTACCATTTTTGTGGAGATGCTGATTGTAACAAAAGACGCACATGTGAAGGAGCAAAGGACATATGGGAAATCTCTATCCTTTCTGCTCAGTTCTGTTGTGAACCTAAAACTGTTATAAAAATGAAGTATATTTAAAAGAAAAAAATGCACTGTTAAATAGGTCATATTTTCTCAAATGTAATTGTTTTTAATTTTCACAGCCTAATGATGTAAGGATTCTATACTTAATGGATGAAAACAAATACTCAATTTATATATGGCTTAACTAAATATTTATACATTTATTGTTCCTTCATTTATTGAATAAATGTTCCAAGAACCCTTTCTATGTTATTAGGCTCCAAACAAGCTATGGATTATTTAATTTATTAGCTTATCATCTTTATAACTATATTGAGTACCTACTAGGTACTGAGAACAAAATAGAGAAGGTCACTCCTCTCCTAGAGATTGCTAGATTATAATCTGTATTAAACATGATAGACATGAGTTTTGCCATCAAGGAGGTCATATTCATGATACAAATCCCATTGATTTAATGGAAAACCCTATGTATGCTATTCTGTGTTCCTAAGAATATTTTAAAAGTTTTCCATTTCAGGTTTTTCTTGGTCCTCATTCAACTTTTCTATAATCTGGAAATGATTTGAGTTGAAATGACATGTTATGAGTTGAAGCGACACAGAAGGCCGGATATGGTCAAGATTGAGATCTTCGATGCCTGGTAAAAGTGCAGTTTACGTAAAATAAATTTTATCAGGTATTGCTAGTTAGAACATTCATAAAACATTTATTAAGTGGCTAACATATATTAGGTTCTGTTCTAGTAATTGATATAGATCCATACACACAACAGAGCAAGATGGTTGCTTCTGAGAAACTTACATTTTAGCAGGAACTTATTGAGGACTTGTAATTGCCTGATATTATATTGTATTATATATTAATTATATTAATTGTATTATTTGGTTTATTGTTAATTGTCTGTCTCACAACTGGCATGTAAGCTCCATTAAGTCAGGCCCATTTATCCATTTTATTCCAAGTGGCTTGACAAGTTCCTGGTCTAGAATATGTATAGTATAATTGTTTGTGATCATAAAAGCAATAATTACAGTAAAAGAAAATGTTTATTCATAAAGGAATTTTGTTTCTCTGATAATACTGAAAAAGCGACATCAACATAATGTGTAAAATGTAGTTTTGATGATGAACTGATTATGAAAAGCAATAATTACAATCCAGTAGAAGAAAACCTGCTTATTTAGAGAGGGATGCTTTGTCTCTGAATGATACTGAAAGGAAGATATGGATATTAAGTATTGAATTTTCAGTTATTTTTACTGAGAAAGTCCTTTCCAGGAAGCCTATTTTACACTGTTAGCCTAAACTCAGGTTTGCAAACCAAAATTTTGTTTCCCTACTGGTCTGTAGAAGTATCCAAACTGTTGGTTAGAGGTTTTTAGAGTTTATGCAGCATTTTGTTTGTTTGTATATAGTATCTGATACCTTTGAAATGTGAGATTTTACTGGACCTATCTGAAATGCTTAGAAAAGAATGCACATGACCTATGCCCCAACCTACCCTCGCCATCCACACACAGGTACACATGTCACTGATATACACATACAGGCACATATATAGACACATCCTAGAGCCTGGTATTTGTACTTATATTTTCTAATCAGTATAAATTCTGTGATATAATCAATGGATACTGAAGAAGCAAAATCAATCAGTGTTTGTGCAGTCTCTCAGAAAATTGATGACTATCGGGAAGAGTGAATTCCACGGTGTCATCAATCAGGAAGTGACCTACATGAAGATCATATATACTTTAATCCACTCATTTTGCACTCATTCATAAGGTATACTCTGAGAAACTCAATTGGGCTTCTACTAAACTTCTTAGCTTTCCCTTATGGACAGTTTTTAATAAAGTAACTAGAAAATGTCCACTGTGATGGGTTGTGTTGATAATGTGGGAGGTTATGTAAGTGTGGGGGAAGGGGTACATGGGAAATCTCTATAACTTCTTAATTTTTCTGTGAACCTAAAACTGCTCTAAAAAATAACAACATTTTAAAAAAGAGAGAATTATGGGCAAAAATACCTACAGTGCCAACATTGTAAATGATTCTGATAAAGTATGACTATATTCTATTAGGCTGATGTATTACCTCTGCATGAATCTTAAATTAGTTTTATTTTAAAGATAGTAAGTTTCAATAAAAATCACAATTCTCCACATATCATAAATTTATGTGTCAGTTGGGAAAATTTCCTGTTGAAAAGAATGAGTATTAATTTATTGAATATTAGTATTGTAACACTGGAGTTAATCCATTTTATTTGACATTATACAGAGAAGTGAAACAAAAGAAATATTGATAGTCATCCTTAGTAATCCAAAACAGACCATAGCTATTCACTTGAGTTTTACAAAAATAGATCTGAAATACGTTTTGTGATTGTAAAGATTTTACAGTGCATGACTTTTACTTAACTATGGCAATTCTACCTTCTAAATGATACTTTCTCCTTATTGTGAGGTAATAAAATTTTTTACAGTTTTTACTCTCCCACCCAACCTAACTTGGTTCCTACGGATTTCTAGAACTACCTTAGGCTATTCCCTTCTGTTGTAGATTTCTCCTGTTGCATAACAAATTACCACAAATGCAATGGTTTAAAACAACACACATTTATTATCTCACAGTTTCCGCAGGCCAAGAGTCTGGACACGACTTTACAGGGTCCACTGCTCGGTCTGCAATTAAGATACTGGCAAGCTGCATTCTTATCAGACTCTTAACTAGGGAAGAGTATGGTTTCAAGCTTATTCAGACTGTTGACAAAAGTAATTTGCTTGTGGCTGAATAACTGAGGTCCCCAGCTGATTACTGGCTGTTGGCTGGAGGACAGCCACAGTTCCCTGCCACATGGCCCCTTCGAAGGCAGTTAACAACATGGCTCTTTGCTTCTTCAAGGACGCCAGGAAAATCAAATCTCTCTCTCTATCTCCCTCTCTCTCTCTCTCTCTCTCTCACACACACACACACACGCATACACGCACACACATACATACACAAAGACACACACATCATCATTATTATCAGTGGAGTGGCATCCTATCATCTGTTTCATAGTCTATTGATTAGAATCAAGTCATAGATTATGTCTGTACTTGAGGAGAGAGAATTATACAAGGGTATGACTCATTGGAGTTCATCTTACTGTGTGCCTGCCACACATCTAATCCTCAAAATCAACTGGCAACCCTATAGAGATGAAAAGGTAGCACTGATTTGAGCAAAAATAATAACAAAAAGTTGGAAAACCACTGAGAGTCTCTGACTCCCTCCAATGGTGTTTGTTTATCAGGCGTGCTGCGCATGGAGAAGGGAGTAGCCCAAGAGAGCAATAAAAGAAAGTGATAGAGGGAAGATGGTAAGCTCTATTTTTCTCTCCTTGTTGCCTTGAAACATCAGTCATCAGCCCCTCAACAAGGATATCTGTAGCAACAGGACAGACCACCAGTGTAGAAAATAATAGTAAAAAACAAAACTTCTCTAAGGAAGAAAAATTTAAAATAACAGATGCAGGATGATCAGGCAATTTTGGGTGTTCTCTATGCCCTCACACTGCAAGTCTGAAGACCAGTGGATTATAACTGAGGGAGGCTCTCTTCAACAATCGCTGCTTTTAATCAAGTGTTTAAAATAAAATCCTGGCTAGAAGAGTTACTTTCTTGAGTAACATCAATTGAGAGTGACCTACAGTGTTTCTGAGTTCCAAATATTCTGCTTATCTCTTTAAATTCACCTTGAGATAATGCTTATACACTGCTGGTGGGAATGTAAATTAGTACAACCTATATGGAAAATAATATGGAGATTTCTCAAAGAACTAAAAGTAGATCTACCATTTTATCCAGCAATCCAATTACTGGGTATCTACCCAAAGGAAAAGAAGCCATTATATAAAAAAGACACCTGCACATATGCTTATCACAGCAAAATTCACAATTGCAGAGATAAGGAATCAACATAAGTGCCCATCAACCAATGAGTGGATAAATATAATGTGGTATATATACAACATGCAATACTACTCAGCCATTAAAAAGAATGAAATAATGTCTTTTGCAGCAACTGGGATGGAACTGGAGGCCATTATCATAAGTGAAGTAGCTCAGGAATGGAAAACCAAATACCTCATGTTCTCACTTATTAAGTGGGAGCTAAGCCATGGGTACACAAAGGCATACAGAGTGGTATAATGGACATTGGAGACTCAGACATGGGGAGGGTGGGAAAGGGGTAAGGAATAAAAACCACCTACGGGGTACAATGTACACTATTCCAGTGACAGGTAGACTAAAATCTTATATTTCACCACTATAAAATTCATCCAGGTAACCAAAAACCACTTGTACCCATAAAGCTATTTAAAATTTTTTTAAAGTAAAAATAAATAAATTCACCCTTTAATTTATGAGTGAGATTGTCCAAGACATTGACTTTTGACTGTTCCAATACCAAGCAGCACAGCTGACAATACCAGGAAACATGAGCTCTTCGATCAAATATATTAGACATTTAAAGTACAATTACTTCAAAACAAAGGCAACCAAACCACAGAGAGCATATGAAACAGAAGAGAAGCACTACAAATTTAAATATAATTAAATAATTATTATAAGATGTGATATAAACAATAAACACTATAAGTGATAAAATATCAAAAAGAATCAAGTAGAAACATTTGGCATAAAATTTATAATTGTTGAAATAAGAATACATAGTTGGAATAAATAATAGGATAGATAAATCCTACTATTACTTATTGATTTGAAAGGCCAGGTTAATAAAATATCCTAGATGGTAGCAGAAAATATAAAATAAGTCAGAAAAAATATAAAATAAGTCAGAAAATATAAAGCTAAAACTGACAGCAAAGGAGGATAGAATTATGAGTTGCAGAAAGGAAGTTAAAAGAAAAAGAGAAGTGATAATGTTTGAAAAAATGTTAAAACTTTCCCAGGATTGAAAAACAAAAAGTTTAGATTTACTGTTCTTCAAGATGGTAAATGGGAAAAAATCTACACTAGACAAATTATAGTGAAATTTAATGACACCAATGACAAACTCAAATTTTAAATGATCCCAGAGTAAAAGGAAAATAACCTATGGAGAAATAAGGACCGAACAATTACATCAGAATTATCAACAGCAAAACTGAGTATAAAAAATAAAACAATGTTCTATTTAAAGACTACCTATTGACATTCTTTATCTACATATTCTATATATATTCTATATAGATACATATCTTTAATTTTATATATATATATATATATATATATATATATATATATATATATATATATATATATATAAAATGCAGTATTGGGCCTCATGGGCATTCAAATGTGAGGGCATAATAAAAATAACTTTCAAAAATGATGTTGAAATATTTGCCAAAAATAAAGATATTGTATAGATACCTGCAAAACCTTATAAGAAGTGAAACAAACCCAGAAACACACTTTAATATATGGGGTTTCCCCATGTTGGCCAAGATGGTCTCAATCTCTTGACCTCATGATCCGCCTGCCTTGGCCTCCCAAAGTGCTGGGATTACAGGCGTGAGCCACCGCACCTGGCCATTACTAGAGAATTATTATGTTCATCTGGAGGTGTCATGTTTTCTTGCTTTTTCATATTTCTTGTGTTTTACATCGATTGCTGATAATCTGTTGTAATAGTCGCTTCTTTTAATTTTATGGATTGGCTTTTGTAGGGACTTTTTACTGTAGGTGCATCTATAATCTTTATTGAGTATAGTGCTTTGGTTTTGATTCTGAGTGATTTTAATCATGCAGTCTCTGTATAATGTCTTTGGTTGTTATCAATTCCACTGGCGTATGTGGGTCCTCAAATGCTTAGCCTGTGATTATTAGTGGAGGCTGGGACAAGGCTTTACTGAGGATGAGAACCCCAGGTGGGTCAGTTCTTGGGCGCCAGTGGTGGCAGCGACAGGATGGGAATGCTGGTATTCAGGATCCCAGGCAAAGTATGTGGGTACTGGCAGTGGCAGTGGCAGTGACAGTGGTGGGTAGAGAGGTCAGTTGTCTGGCCCCAGGACAGCAGTGGTGGCAAGTGGTGACAGGCAAGGTGAGTCTCTCCTCGGACCTGTGGATGGTATGCATGGTACCAGCAACATCAGAGTCAGATGGGGCTTGCCAATCTTCATGCACCTGGATGAAATACATGGGAATTAGTAGCAAAGGAAGTGGGCAGGCCAAATTGATTCCCAGCCTCCCAAACAGCTTGGTAAGCACTGGCACCATGGGTGGGGTGGGCCCATCTTCATGTCCCCAATAGCACATTACCGCTTTTGCATTGGGCAGGGCTGGCCTGTCCTCTGGCCCCTGGCACGTGCACAAGTGGGCCACTCCTCAGGCTCCCCAAAGGTGAATGCAGCTATGCGGCAGCCCTGGCTGGCACTGGAAGAGGTCGGTGGTAGTGGCTCCAGGCCGGCAGCTCCCAGGCTCTGGAGAGTGCATGTTTCAGCTCCCTTTGCCCTGCAGGCAGCCTTCTTTGTGTGCTATACCACCTATTCTCCAAGGTGTGGTACACTGCATGGGCTAGATTGTTGAGGACCCCACAGCAGCACTGGGTCCACCTAGCATTGCAATGCTGAGCCTTCTGGGTGGACATGGGTGGATAGCAGTGCTCTGGGATATGGAGATGCAGAGACTCTTGGATCCCAGGGTAGTAGTCTGGCGGGGGCTGTGCTCTCAAATGGCATCTTGCTGCAGCTGCTTGGTTCTTGGAGGGTGAGTGGGACCCATTGTGAATTCTTCCCTGGAAGAATTCAGTTGCATAGACTCTAGGCATTTCCCTGTACTAGGTTCAGGGCCTGTAATGGCTGAGGGGCTCTGCTGCGCTGGGATGGCAGGCATCAGTAGTGGGAATGCAAGCCTCTGGAGATACCTTGCACATTTGTCCCCACAGTGAGAAGTTCCTCTTATCTTTGAGCCAATCCTACCATTATTTCTTTTTTATGTCATATATAAAACACAATTTAAAATAGATTATATGTCTAAAATTTACAAGTTCGATTTACTCATCTTCTGGAAGAAAATTTAGGATAAAATCTTTGTAATCTTGGCTTAGGCAAATTTTTTTCAACAGGACATCTAAACATAAAACATGAAAAAAATGATTTAGACTTAAAACTTTATGCTCTTATAAAATTTGATTTCATTTAAGAAAATGAAATCAACACACAGACTGGAAAAAAATATTTATTGTTTATCCAAAAGGAACTTGTATCCATAATATATAAGTGTCCTTGCAATTCATTAACATTATCAAGTAACAACTCATTATTATGTACAATTAAAAATTGGTCTGTAATCCCAGCCCTTTGGGAGGCCGAGGTGGGCGGATCACAAGGTCAGGAGTTTGAGACCAGCCTGGCCAACACAGTGAAACCCCGTCTCTACTAAAAATACAAAAAATAGCCAGGCGTGGTGGCTTGTGCCTGTAGTCCCAGCTACTCGGGAGGCTGAGGTAGGAGAATAGCTTGAACCCGGGAGGCGGAGGTTGTGGTGAGCTGAGATCTTGCCACTGCACTCCAGCCTGGGCAACAGAGGGAGACTCTGTCTTAAAAAAAAAAAAAAAAAAAAAAATTGGTAAAATATGTGAACAGATACTTAACAAAAAATATGTGATGTCTAGTCAAAAGAGAAAAGCACATTAAAATACATTTTGATACCATTACACACATATTAAAATGGTTTATATTGAAAAAAATTGATAATAGCAAGTTTTAGCTAAGATGCACAGCATTTGGGCATTTCATACTTTTTCTGATGGGAGTGCAAAGTAATAAAACAACTTTGGAAAACAGTTCCAAAGTAGTATTCTCATGAATAAGTACTTAGAAATGGGATTGCTGAGTCATATGTTAAATTATATTTAACTTTATATGAAACTGTCCTAAGAAACTGTCATATAAAGTTAAATATAATTTAACATATGACTCAGCAATCTCATTTCTAAGTACTTATTCTTGAGAAGTGAAAATGTAGGTCTACCCAAAGACTTGTACTTGAATGCTTATGGCTGCTATATTCATAACAGTCAAAAAATTTATTAAAAAATTTGGTACTTCAATTCAGTATCCTTTCAGAAATAAAAAGTGATGAACTACTATATACAACAATATGGGTGAAATGTAAGTGCTTACTGTTTGATTCTTTCTATATGAAATTCTAGAAAAAAATGAAATTATAGTTACAGAAATTATATCAATAGATACCAGAAATCAGTAGTTACAAATGGAGATTGACTTCAGATAGTCACAACATAATATATTGAACTGATGGAAATATTGTGTATCATGATTTTGATGGTCATTACCTGCTAAATACATGTCAAAACTTACTGAATTGAGCACATAAAATTGGTAAATTTTATTGTATGTAACCTATATTTCCAAAACCTTGGTTATAAATTTAAATATATGACAAATGACAAATAAAATTTGAATAAAAACTCAAGAAGTTTTACTAAAATTTTAAAAAGGAAGAAAGAAACATTTGTATATATGAATATCTGGCATACCCCAGATGAACTGACAATATTCATAGCTCTTGTTGGGAATAATTAATGGAAAATAGCTTAATTGTATCTCATATACTTCAGAAACTTCGAAAGTTAATGAAGAGTTAATTTATTTCTAAAATAATTGGTTTGACAGCTTAGATTGAACTTATATGTTTTTAGTACATATCACATTAGTAACAATTAGAAACTTATCAGTTCAGTACAAAGAATGAAATTGATCCTATGGGCAGTTATACTATGAAATTATCTCATAATCAATTTAAAGTTAATGTATGTCAATTGAAACTCTTTAACATCTCCTTATGCAACCCTACCAATATGTATCTTCCTAGTTACTCAGAAGTAATATTTAATTTAGAAGTTATCTTTAATTTCTCTCTTTTCCTGACCCACTACATAAAATCTATCAATATGTTTGGCTGGGACTACTTCAAAATCTGCTCTGAATCTGATCATTTCTCATGAGCTTTATTACAATAATCATAGTTTCACTCTTCATCAGCTCTTTCCTGAACAATCACAATAGCTACCTAACAAGTCTCCCTGTATTCATTCTTGCCCCTCTACAGTACATTCTCTGCAAACTTGCCTGACTGACATTTTAAAAGCCTAAATTAGATCACTTCTATACTCTGCTTATAACCCAATAATAGTTTTCCACAGCATTTAGGCTAGTATCAAGGAATTTTCTCAAGATTATGAGGCCCCTTATATCATACTGTAAAGTGGATACATTTTTATGGTTAAAAATAGCAAAATTTAATAATCTTGCTTTATTAAAGGATTTATATTTTTGAAATATAAACTTGGTCTTAAATGTATATGGTGAAAGACTGTGATGTGTGTGTATGTACATTATTTTTAAAATTTACTTAGCATATGTATGGGACCTCCCTATTTTATGTGCAAAATAGGGAGCATTACCTCCCTATTTTATGTGCCCAATAAAAATGAATTAAAAAAAGATATGAATTAATGAGTAGGAATGTAATTATGTATAAATCTGAATTTTGGTAAGTCCAAGTCTTATTTCCTGAACATTAATTTACTTAACACATCTTAATTTAACTTGTAATAGTATTTATGCTTTAGGATGATACACAATCATTTTATATATATTAAACATTAGCCTGTGAACAAAACATCATAATAATTATGCCAGAATGTACCTTTCCATAAAAAGAACTTTGTAAACACAGTGATATAAGACTAATGGCACAGGCCAAGATACAGATACTTGAATTCTATACACATGTTATACATAAAATCACAAATGTGATTGTCTCCATACTACCTAATCCTCATTAACAAACTTTTTATATCACTCCCAATTCTAGATTGTAATCAATCTTCATAGAATTATAGAGCTACCTAGAGTAGGAAAAATTTATAAATTAATTCACAAGCCAAGGCATAAATCTGAGAATGATTCATTATCTAATCTATTAAGGCAACAGTTCTCTGTGTGTAGTATGGAAACATCTTGGGGGCACTGAGATCCTTTCAGGAAGTCTGTGAGGTCAAGACTATTTCATATTAATACTAAGATGTTTGCCATTTCACCCTCATTTTCTCATGAGGGTACTGTGGAGTTTTCCAAAGGCTATGTGAAATAAGATATTGTAACAAATTGGAAACAGACACAGATATGGGAGCCCAGCTATTCTCTATTTAGCCAATAATTCAAAAGATTTGCAAAAGTATAAAAAATGCCATTTTCACTATATTTTTAGAGAAAATATATTTTTATAAAGTATGTCTTTTATTAATATGTAAAGGGTTTATTAGTGTCATTTTAACTGAAATAAATACATATTTTAAAATTTATTTTAATTTCAAATATGGTGAATAATGATAGATATAACTCATACAAACAAAAGCTTATTGGTGTCCTCAGTGATTTTTTTTTTTGGGACAGAGTCTTGCTCTGTCGCCAGGCTAGAGTGCTGTGGCGCGATCTCGGCTCACTGCAACCTCCAACTCCCTGGTTCAAGGGATTCTCCTGCCTCTGCCTCCCGAGTAGCTGGGATTACAGGCATGTGCCACCATGCCTGGCTAATTTTTGTATTTTTAGTAGAGATGGGGTTTCACTATGTTGGCCAGGATGGTCTCGATCTCTTGACCTCGTGATCTGCCCGCCTCGGCCTCCCAAAGTGCTGGGATTATAGGCGTGAGCCACCACGCCCGGCCAGTGTCCTCAATGATTTTTAAGTGTATAAAGAACTCCTGAGACAACATAGATTGAAAAGTACCATATTAAAGAACCTTTGAAAAAAAATTTTTTTTTTATTTGAGACGGAGTCTTGCTTTGTCACCCAGGCTGGAGTGCAGTGGCACAATCTCGGCTCACTGCAACCTCCGCCTCCCAGGTTCAAGCGATTCTCCTGCCTCAGCCTTCCAAGCAGCTGGGACTACAGTCACGCACCACCCCGCCTAGCTAATTTTTGTATTTTTAGTAGAGACGGGGTTTTGCCATATTGGCCAGGCTGGTCTTGAACTCCTGTCCTTGTGATCCACCCGCCTCAGCCTCCCAAAGTGCTGGGATTACAGACGTGAGCCACCGCACCCTGCCTGAAAATCTTTTAAATAGATTTTATCACTTATCCTCATCCCAGCTCTACTTTCATCAACATGGAGAAATAATACTACATTATTTTATTAGGTATAAATAAGAGAAAGACTGCAAAAACTCTTTGCGCAATGCTCAAGAAAAGTTAGTTATTATTATGACTGTTGTTATTTACAGAATCGTGGTTTAGAACAGGAAAGAAATATTTTAACATAATATGTAAGATATGTACCTGAATCATGTAATAAAAACAGGCTAAAGGTGATATTTAATTAAATCTACTCTGTCTACATATTTTTGACTGTTTTTACACTTCAGACAATTTTGGGTAAATAGATGTAGCATTAAAAAGGAAAGGCAAGAAAAAATAGCTCATATGAATCTAAAATGCTGGTTTTAGTTATGAGAAAAACAGAAACACAAATTTGAGGGAAAAGAGTCTTAAAATACCTTCTTGGTATTTTGAGGTATTCTTTAAGATAAGTATGCATTTTCATTTTATGGTAAATGGTGGAGGAAGAGAATGCTATTTCATGTACAGATATAAATTTGTATGAGCAAAATTGATAAGGATTCTGATGAAACTTGTTGATTAAAATATCATAGTTTGGTAGGCTGTTTAACAAATTACTTCCAAAAACCAAGTTGCCTGGCAGGAGTTATTTGAAGTCATCTGTAAATATTTGACTTGATTTTATAATATTAGAATACCTACAGGGAAACTGGAGGAAAATGATACTAAAACATTGCCCCATGGAACAGTGAAAAAAAGAGTAAAGGAATGGGAATGAAGATTGCTTTCTTCTCTAGGCCTTACAACCCATTCACCCTAGAGCCAAAATTAGACTTTCTTAAAGAATAGAAATTCTTAAAATTACTATATCATGCTTCTGAATGACTTTGGGGTAAACATCTCAATTGGTTCAGCTTACACAATTCTGACTGAAAAAATTAAACTTCAGGTCTTCAAAAAGTCCATGGAAAATACATATTATTAAAAATGATGCATGGATTTCAAATGTTTTGCATAAAAATAAACTCATACTTATTTGTTATAACGTGTCTAAACAGGATCTAGTCTAAGGTATGAAGAAGGATAAGACACCAGTTTGAAAAGAGTCCCAATTACAGCAACATGAATTCTATTATAATTGAAGCAAGAACAAATATCAAACTATGGTGAAGAATGGAAATTATGGTGGAAGAATGGTAAAATTAGTGATGCTTTATGAAAAGTTTATGAGGACAATTCCCTCCCTCCAAATCGGCAGTTTACAAATTGGTAATTTTTTAAAGAAGGGATTAGATGATATTAAAGATGAAGCCTGCAGCAGCAGAACATGCACATCTATTGTGAGGAAAAAATTCATCTTTTTCATGCTCTAATTGAAGAGGACCAATGATTAAGAGCAGAAACAACAGCCAACACCATTAACCAACTGGATCTAATAGACATCTACAGAGGGCTCCATGAAACAACCACAGAATATACATTCTTCTCATCCACACATAGAACATACTCTAAGATCAACCATGTGCTCTGCCATAAAGCAAATCTCAATAAATTTTTTAAAAAGGAAATCACACTAAGCATACTCTCAAACCATAGTGCAATGAAAATGGAAATCAAAACCAAGAAGGTCTCTCAAAACCACAAAATTACATGGAAATTAAGTTGCTTCTGAATGACTTTGGGGTAAACATCTCAATTGGCTCAGCTTATGCAATTCTGACTGAAAAAATTAAACTTCAGCAAACTTGCCACTCAATGGACGCCAAAACTGTTGTGCCCAGATCAGCTGCAAAGAAGATCAGAGCTTTCATTAGAAATTTTAAACAAGTGGGACCAAGATCTTGAAGCATTTATTCAAAGAACTGTAACAGGAGATGAAACATGGCTTTACCAGTACAATCCTGAAGACAAAGCACAATCAAAGCACTGGCACCGAAGAGGTGGAAGTGGTCCAGTCAGAGCAAAAGCAGACTGGTCAAGAGCAGAGGTCATGGCACCAGTTTTCCAGGATGCTTAAGGCATTTTGCTTGTTGACTTTCTGGAGAGCCAAAGAACGATAACATCTGCCATTAGGAGAGGGTTTTGAGAAAGTTAGCAAAAGCTTCAGCAGAAAAATGCCCAGGAAAGCTTCACCACGGAGTCCTTCTCCACCATAACAAGCTCCTGGTCATTCCGCACATCAAACACAGGCAATTTTGCAAGAGTTTCAATTGAAAATCATTAGGCATCTTAATGTGGCTCCTTCTGACTTCTTTTTGTTTCCTAGGCTTAAAAAAAATCTGTAAAGATGACCCAGTTTTCTTCAGTGAGTAGTGTAAAAAAGATTGCATTAATATGGTTAAATTCCCAGGGCCCTCAGTTCCTTAGGATGGACTTAATGGCTGGTAACATTGCTCAAAAAGGTGTCTTGAATTTGATGGAGCTTATATTGATAAAGTTTATATTTATTTGTATCTTTTAATTCCATTTCTTCATGAAAAATTTAATGTTTATATATGTGTATATATGTGTGTGTGTATATGTATATATGATTTATTCATTATAGAGAATTAATGGACTACCAGCTAGCACACACCACTGAGCTCAAGTTTACCCTAGGTTATTTGACAAACTCTGACTTCATATGAAATTATAAAGGTTAATAAAGTCACACTGTACTATATGGAAAAGTGAACTTAAATTAGTAGAGGGACTAGGGTAACAAATACTAATTAGCTTGAAAACACTTGGAAAGCAAAGTGGCTTTAACGTCATTTAAGAGAGGATTGGTATTCAAGATAAGTCTAAAATCCCCTTGATAAAAAAGTGAAGAAAAGTACATTAATGTATATTAATAATTACAGTAATAGAATATCACTGTAATAATGATAGAAAATATGTAGTACTTAAAATTGAATAAATATCCCAAATTGAACAGAAATTTATTGCAGTGTTGCAGGTAAATGGCCTCTGATTATTAAAATTCATTATGCATCCAAACAAAGAATGTGTTGATGAAAAGGAATTTTACAATAAATGCACAAGAAAGCTGAAATAACACCAGAAATATTGATAGAACTCATGAAAGCACTATACAAGGAAGAAGTCTTTACCAGCACATACTGAGTGGTAGAATCCCAAGGTAAAGCTTTTCCTCCTAATTTTATTTTATCATTGTTTAATATAATGAAATTAAGCATGGGAAATTTATTTTGAAATCATTTTTTTCTTTCATCTCTGCAGACTGAGCAACCTTTTGAAAATAGATGGTGTTAAGCATAACTTTGTCTATATAGAAACACATTGCTGGTCATGGGAATACAGTTATGCCATGACAGTTCTGCTTTATCCCTGATCATCCTGCTAGTGGTAATCACTGTTAATTTTTTTGTGTATATTTCCAGACATTTTCTATGTCCTCATAATGTCAGAGATTATTAAAAAATTAATGACTAGCATAATATGGCTCTCACATAATTTATCAGATCTGCTCCCAATTGTTGGGCATCAAGTTATTTTAGGTTTTGTTATGGACAGTGTTTTTAATTTTAAAATAACTGTCTTTCTGTTTCAACATCTTATCTGAAAAAATTGTTAATGTGAGACATCCCCTATAAGATGGATCTATTTTAGTATGATTACTACATGCTTATGGTTTTTCAAAGTTGAAGGAAAATAAATTCTGAATTAGGATAAATTTAGGAAATCAATGCCACTCTGGCAGTTCAGAATGAATTCTAGACACTAGAGTGGAGCTTAGCCTGTAGGTCAGGAAAATATATGACATCTCTATATCTTACTAGGATTAACTGAATTGATGTTAAAAATGACATTTAGTCATCTGGACTAGATTACAAATGTTAATTTCATTTATGATATAGCTGAGGTATTGAAGCTAATGTCTGTGTGACATGACACCAAAGGAAAATGGCAGGTTTCCCATTTAAGACTCATGAATACATTGCCCCATCGATTGACACCTCTAACTAGGCTCACAGGGACTGTTCCTGTCCTAAGGTGTCAGATACAGGATACCAGTGGAGTTAGGAGTAAGTTAATAGAGAAATTCCAAAATGCTGTTTAAATAAATCTAAATTAATAATTGGTTACTAAAACTTAAAGTATAATAATAATAAAATTTAAAAAAATAATAATTGGTTACTAAATCTATGACACTCTGCTGAGTTTCTTTTATACTATTTTTAATCTACATGTAGTAAAATGATGCACTATACAATATAGTCCTGTTGTTGGATAATGTTCCAAACCAGGTAAATCTCTGTGTATGTGGTCTTGAAAGTGTAACAAGCATTTCCAACAAATGCTCATATCTACTGGTAAAATGGATTGTCGGGTTTTGGTTGATTTCAAAATCTCTGCAATTGCCTAGTGAAATTTCCAGCTTGTGCTAAACTCCATGCTTGGAAGGATAATACTGACCCTGCACCTGTCAGTGAGGCTGCAGATGGTGCACGTAACACACACGATTGCCTTCAAAACAGGAAGGAGGAGGAGATGAAGGAACAGATTGCTGTGTGAAATGAACACACACGTCCAAAAGGCTAATTATTTGTTCCCTAAAACTATTTCCAGTGTGTTGCATCCTTAAACAGTGAGGCTCATTTCTGTGCATAATTAAAAAGCCAAAGAAAATTTACTACAGCAAATGCAATACATAAATACACTGCGGTGTCATTCACCAAAATGCATACTTTATAATCTTTTGAAATTATTTTTGTTTGTGGTAGGGAAATGCAGATTATGGATTAAACTTTCTCATATAAATTATGAATAGATGAAACATTTTTCTGCTCTTAGGAAACAGAAAAATTGGTATTAGTTTCAGTATAATTTTTTCAGATGACCAAATTATTCCAGAGTATTGACTTAATCAAATAACATTTAAAAAGGAAATAGTTACCAAAAATAGTTTGGCATTGACCTTAAAATATAAAGTTGAACAGCATTATCACACATAATCAAAGTAGAGGGTATTTTATCTTGAGAAATAGAAAATGAATAATACAGATATTAACAAAAATACATTTGAGCAATTATTATATAGTAGTGACAAAAATATTTTTCATCACAAATGAAATATATAGGCTGATAATTCAAAATTCAAATTATTTGGTGTGAAAAATAACTTAAAATATATAAAATACATGATTCAGTAGTGGTAAGACATCTACATTTAAAATCAATATATCTAATTAAGCTTAAACTATTTTATACTAAAGTATATTCATAATACTTAGTAAAAACAATTTATACTATGATGTGTGTTTGTACATTTGTATTTGTGTGTGTGTCTGTGTGTCTGCAGGTACACTTATTTACTCATTTTAAATGTTTTAGCATGATAAAAGAATGTATTCCCTAATTGTATTTTCCTATGCCATCATTCATTTATCCAAATCTTCTGAGAACAGTGGAAGTGTGGACTTCCAAGCAGTTTATGAAACATTTTTTGAACCCTTGCATACAAGTTCAAATTCCCTATAGACTGATTTTCTCATTGCTTCATTATTTACTTGCCAGATGACCTGAGATCTGTCTGGTAGATTCCCTCTCCAAAATAACTTTCTGGCAAGATTTTAAGTTAAGTGCCTGTGGAGACAATACATCTAATATCTTAGTTTTAGGACTGGGGACCTGCCACCATTGTCATAATCTACTGAGGGCCACAACAGTGCTCACTCAGAACTCTTTCCCACCTGAATAGATATACAATAACTCGTTATTGTCCCTGCGTCCTTTCATACTCTGGACCAAACACAATTTGCCTTTTCCTTTACTTCATGCGAGTGGCTAAGTGGCTTTAATAAAAATCACATATATATGTTGATTAGGACCATGACAAATTCTGAGCTTCCAACTTCATCTTTGCCCTCAGAATTTCCCAGGAATCTGTGTGTTTGTCTGCATTCAGCTCCTGATCCCATCACCTGTCTTCTCAATGATTATCACCCATCTCTTGGTCTCTTGTAGCCACCTGTTGAGCATCTAATTCTCAGGAGATAACCTAGTTTACACTTATCCCATTGAGAAAACTGGTTACACTTAACATTTTGATCCCAAACATGAAAATTTACCTGCATCCACCTTTTCTTTACTATATTTTATCAAATGTCAGAGGATGAGGTATCTCTTACTCTGATCAAGGTCACTCATTTCATCTGCAGCTTTGACACCCTCCTTTGAAATCTTATTTTGTCAATGGTCACCATTCTCTGGTCTTTTCACTCTCTTTACTTGTTCATCATTGTACTCACCAAACATGCTGAGATTTCTACCAACCTAGACAAATACATTTCTTGAACTTTGATCCCATCTTGCTGCCATATAATGTCTTCCTTTCTCTTCTCAGACTTCCTGAAAGACTTGTCTACCTTTTCCAGTTCAACTTATTCTCAATTTAATTCTGTAGCTCATCAGAATATGACTTCTGCCCCTTATTGTTACTCTGAAACTGTCACTCACAACATCCTCATTTCTAAATCCTGTGACATTTAAAAAATATTTATGATTATGAAACTGTCTGTTGAATTTGATGCTATTGTGCACACCCTACTTCATATATTTTGCAATTCATATTTTACATATTCATTATAAAACAGCAAAGAAGCCAAAAGACAATAAACATTTTAGTATATATATTTCAGTCTTTATGAATTCTCATTAGTATCTACATATATTTAAACATAATGAGTTCATTATATAGTAATTTGCAGTATAAACGTTTTTGCTTAAGATTTTATTGTGAATGTAGGTCAATGATACCAAATATTATTTTAGAACATAAAAATAATGTAGCCATCATATTTTCCTAATTTATTAATCAATTCTTAGGTTGATTGGTGGTATCCACTTCCATTACTTTTAGAAATATGCAACAAAACAATACTCTACTTGGATCTTTTCACGTTTTAGCTAATAATGCCTTAGGATAAACAATTGAATGTGGAATTTCTGAGTTAAAATAAAAGTACATGTTTAAGGTTTTTGTTATATATTTTAAGGAATCTTTCAAATAGTTACATTACAGAAATAGTAGATTTTATAAGCCTTTGTTCCCAGAAATAATGAATGTATATATTATATTCAATTTGATTGGCAGAATGTGACATTTAAATTGGTTTATATTTGAATAATAGTGAGATACATATTTTTTCAAATACATGATATTCCTACTTATTTTTAGTGATTTTGTAATTCGTATCATTTGCCTTTGTTCAAGTAGACTTTTTGTATATGAGATTTAACAAATGTAAACATCTGTATAAACCACCATAGAAAGATATTTCTTGACCATTTGCAGTCAGTACAAGCCCACCCCCACTCCCAGAGGCAATTCTAATCTTTATCACCATCATTTTGCATCACAGTTTTTTTTACAACAGCTTTATTGATAATTAATCCACATAGCACACAATTCACCCATTTAAAATGTTTAAGTCAATGTTTTCCAGTATATTCACAGGTATGTACAGCAGTCGCCACAGTCAATTTTATAAATATTTTCATCACCCCAAAAGGTGAACCCCTCTACTCTAGCGGTCACAACCCTCTATAGATGTTACTATTCTGGATACTTTTTAAAAATTGAATTATATAACATGTGGTCTTTTGTGAGTGGTTTGTGTCACTTAGCATAATGTTTTCAAGGCTCATTCGTGTTGCGGCATATGTCAGTACTTCATTTCATTTTATGGCTGAAGGCAATTCCTGCCTTTATGCAGGAATATTTGTAATTTATCTATTCCAACAGGAAGGAAAGTTGAGAGTGTAGATACAGAGTAAGTAGATGGGCAATCTAGTATGATTCCCATTCAAAATATATCCATTTTTTAATAAAAGTTTCACTATTTCACTATTCTTCTCTTTACTTATCTGTGTGTACTGACGTCTCTAATACTTGATTTAGATGCTATATCTTTATAGAATATTTTAGCATATGTACAGTGCTAGTCACCTCTTATTATATTATTTTAACAATTTTATTTTAATTCATTAATTGATAATTTTGCATAAAATTTATAAAGTTTAAAAAATTCTTTGGGAACTATTTTTTGAATTATACTAATAGTAGAGATTATTATAAAAATCGGCATTAAAATGTTAATTTTTCCTACCTTTCCTTTCTTGACACAATTTATTTTAAAAAATTATGTTCAAAGAGTGTCCTTATTTTCTTCATAGTTATATTATACAATTGTGGCAATGTGTGTGTATTCATATTTTATAATTCAATAACTATTGGTGAAATCATGACAGTGTTTATATCACCCATATTGCTGATATATAGTAAAAACGTTAATGTTGTATATTTATTTCATCAAGATACACATTATTGAATGACCTGATCATTCAATATTAGGTGATTCTCCTGTGACGTTATCCCATCATATGAAAATATTCAGACACCCACATTCCCAATGAACAAAATTGTTCTCTGTGTTAAATATAATTGGATTTACTTTAACTTCTGAGAAACAAAGAGTTAATTAATAAGAGTGAAAATCACTTTTTTCTTTTTATATAATGAGAATTACTATAACCTATTCATACTAATTAAAATTTGCACATTAGCATAGCAATGGCGAATTTTTAACCTAATAAGAAAAAAGTAAGTTTGAGATATGTATGCTGGATTTTAATAAATACTTTTTCAGCATCTTTTGAGAGAAGAACATTTTCTTTTCTAATGTAATGGTGTAATAAATTTCTTTAGTAGAGTTATAAGATTTGAATTACATAAATTATATAATCAAATATTTTCATTAATTAAGATATTTAATCATAGCTGTACAATTTATTACGTCTTTATGTGGGAAGAGAAATATGATTCTCACAAAAGATGCTGAAAATTACCTGTAATTTATGAAATGATCCATACTTGATGATAATGACTTTTAACATATACTACTGCTTATCATGTATCAGTACTTTGAGAGTTTTTACATCAATATTTCTAATTGATATTGTTTCCCACTTTTCTATTCTGAATCATCTTTTATAGGATTTGTTGTAAAGATTCTATATGGTTTGTATAACAAAGTGGGAGGGGTTCAACTACTTTTTAATTTCCAAAAAGAGTTTATATATATATAGATTATTAAAGCTTTGCTTATGAAACATGCATCTTCAAATCCTCTCTAAAAGGATCGTATTTATCCCTGGTTCTTAGGGTTTTCGAATTTTTCACATCTTCTTAAGCAAAATTTAGTTTATATAAAATGTATATTTATATATATAATTATCCATGTTTTTAAAAGCAATATCACAGTTTTGGCATTTTACAAAAGAATGCATGCCTATTATAAGTGGAAGCAAAAAAGAAAAAGATACAAAATGATATTTAAAAAGAAAGAAGTTCAAATTTTAACACCAAAACAACCACTATTACTATTATCCTTACATTATTCTAGACATACACTCATGCACACACACACCACACACGCACACAAGCAGAATATGACAGGTAAATGCATAAATGGTGGATGAACAGGTGAATAGTTTGGTGAACTGGAGTGAGAGAGAGAAAGGGAAACAGAAAAGAAAGAAGACAAATAGTACCACACAATATTTTAATAACAGGGTTAGTTATAGTAATATCTCTACAGAATTAATAAACTAAAACAAAATAAAAGAAATTCAAATTTAGGAGATACAATTCCCACAATAATTTCATAATCATTTAATTTCTGATAGTATTAATTATACCCTGTGGAACGTGAAGATATTAATACTCTTCAACTTCCTTTCCTGCTCACTTTTAAAAAATCGTACCATTGGCCGGGCGCTGTGGCTGACGCCTGTAATCCCAGCACTTTGGGAGGCTGAGGCGGGCGGATCACGAGGTCAGGAGATCAAGACCATCCTGGCCAACATGATGAAACCCTGTCTCTACTAAAAATACAAGAATTAGCTGGGCGTGGTGGCACGCGTCCGTAGTCCCAGTTACTCGGGAGGCTGAGGCAGGAATATCGCTTGAACCCAGGAGGCGGCGGTTGCAGTGAGCCAAGATTGCGCGACTGCCCTCCAGCCTGAGAATCGGTCTCAAAAAAAAAAAAGTACCATTTATTCTATACTGTCATGCTTTTAGACATTATAGGCTATAACTTCTATAGCTACATAATGTTTGTTTCATGTTTAAATTGATACCCTACTATTTACTATTGTTTCTTCATCAGAGAATTCTTTGTTTAATCTCTTATTTGGCTGAATTTCATTTTTCACATATATGTGTATGTATCTATTATGTATGTACATGAGTTTTATGGTGGTCTATTCTTTCCTTTATTCCCAATATTCCTTCAGGCATCACGGAACTTGCCTGTTGGCTCTTTCTGGGTAGAAATCTATTGGGCTTATTTTCTTTTCTCACACCAGACAATGAAAAAAAGGTAATAAGGCAAATTTGACTTTTGTTTCCTACCAATTAGGAAGTATTAATAAAAATCTTGAAGTTTCCTGACTCACAGTCATTGCTTTTAAGTGCTATACACGCAGCTAACTAGCTCAGCTATGCCTTGATACTCCATAGTAGAATTTGCTGTTTCTTTCTTCAGTTGACATTTTTTGAGGTTTGTGACTTCCTTACTATCTGGCTGTCGCAAGTGACTCTTCCTTGCTTTTCTTTCTCCAATTATTTTAGACACAAGGGAAGGAGATTTTGTGAGTCTGCTTAAATTTTCTGTCTTTGCCATGCAGCTCCACAATCCTACATGTATCTTTTATTTAAAATGTCATGTATTTGTATTTTCTCTACTTTTTTTCCCACTTGATTTGTCAAATGTTTACCTATTTATTGTATTTTTATTTATTTATTTTGGATAGTCATTTTATTCCAAGAAATAACTTTTGCACAAGTATGTCATTGCCACTATTTTTCTCATTCTAATTAATGATTTCCATATTAATAAGTACCTTCCTCATACTTTTTATACTGATTTATCAGTCTCTTGAGTTTAATATTTATTTCTCTTACTTTGATTTTTCCCCTGATTTAGCAATAAAACAATTCAAAAGTGTGTGTCTTTATGTTCTCATTTCAAATTTTATATATATGGAATACTTTATTTTCTAAATATATTGTATATTCCACATATTATAAATGTAATTTTGTATCCATGTTTAAGGCTAGTGAATTTATACATTTTTAAACTCTGCAGAATTTTCTTTCTTTATATATTTGTTATGCATTTCTAGTTTATTATTGCATTGCAGTCGGAAAACATGGCCAGTATAATTTCTAATTCGGAGACTTGTTTTATATTTCTTCAGTTTTATCTTGTAGCATAAAATATAGGTGATTTTAAAAATGTTTTACCATCAAATGCTTTAAAAGAAGGCATACTAAATCATGTCACCATGTAATAGATGGTATTGAAACTATGAAAGTAAAACATATTTCTCAAATGCATTACAAATTATAAATTATTTTAGAATGTTTTAGCTTTGTTTTATTAAGTTAATACCTGCCAATATTATTGCGGTTGTTTTTTTCTTATCTTTTTCCCTTTCCAAGAGTTTTTGCTTTCTATATAATAATGCTATGTTATTTAGAAATAAAACTTTCATTGAACCTCATTTTAGTTTTCTAATGCAACTCTTAAGGTGTTTTCTTTTAGTCTTGAAAAAAATTATTGAGCTTACATTTTTCATTATTAAGTGTATTATCCTAACTTTAAGATTATTGAAGACAATATTTTTTTATTCTCACATCTTTTTATTCTACCTCCTGTATTTTAATGGTAGAATCTAGAATTTGTGTTCTATTGGTTTCATTACAATTTAAAAATATTCTATTATCTTTTCCAAGAATTTTGTTTTTTTTTATTTCAGGTACTTAAGTATTTTTGTAACTCCAACTTTAATATAAAGTTATGTTTAAGTCACTTTGATGTTAGAAAATAAATTAACATTGATTTATTTTGATCTTTAAAAATGTATTTCCCATTATATACCTCCTGAGTTACTGTATATCGGAAAATGCCAAGCTATTGCATTCATTATGACACTAATTTGACGGAGTATTGAATTCTTGTATAGAATTCCATTACCTGATCCATTGACTTTTATGTAACTTGCAGAGAAGTTAGTATCCAACATATAGGTAACTTATTCATTGGATCAAATTTTAATCTTCTTTTGTATAATTTTCCTTGACTGGACAATTGAAGATTTTAAGTCTTCAGAAGTTATCCAGAGTATGTTTATTACTTATTACTTTTACTAAAGTGCTTATTACACATTTCAACCTGGGTTTCATACCCTCTCCTGAATTCTGCCAGTTTTCTATTTAAAATAAGAAAGTTTTCTTATCATCTTAATCTTACATTTCTTTTCCCTTTGCTTTGAGACAAGGTCTCACTCTGTTGCCCAGGCTGGAGTGCAATGGCATGATCACGGCTCATTGCAGCCTCAAACTCCTGGGCTCAAGTGATCCTCCCACTTCAGCCTCCCAAGTAACTGGGACTACAAACACGCATTGCCAAGCCTGGCTAATTTCAAAAACGATTTTTTTTTTTTTTTGGTAGAGATGAGGTTTTGCCGTGTTGCCCAGGCTGGTCTCAAACTCCTAGGCTCAAGCGATCCTTCCTCCTCGAGCTCCCAAAGTGTTGGGATTACAGGCGTGAGCCACCGTGCCTGGCCCTCCTTATTTTTCTAATGCTTTATTTACTTTTATCAAGAATGAAAGCAAACTCTGCTTAAAATTAACTTCTGTTTCTTGAAAGGAATAAATATTGCTATGTAAATACACATGTGTATATGTACTTTTAAAATCCTTTTCTCTAATCTTAAACTGAAAAACATAAATTTAAAATAACAACCCAGAAATCCAAGAACTAGGGTTGACTTATGTTTTTATTAGGAATTCCAATTAACTAACAAAATCATAAAAACATGGTAGGTATAGTTATATGAAAAAAAGCCTATTACAGAATCTCAATAGCTGTAGGCCGAGGATATGTTACTTTATTCTCTCTGAATCTCATCTTTCTCAGTTGTAAGATGAGAATGATAGTGAAATTAGCATCATATCATTATTGAAATTTCAAAATTACATAATGAAAACAAGTATTCTGCAGGATGTTTAGTATTCAGGAAGTACCAAAAATGAGAGTTATTATTCTTGACTATTGGTTGATGAAACTATGAATGGATAAATTATGAATGAATGAAATAAAAATATGAGATAAAATTGTAGTCTGCCACAGTCTTTTGCTATTCTGAAAGATCTAGTATGTTGTGTTTGCAAACCTCATCAAGAAAATAATCACATTTTTGCAAAAAATACAATTCAGTGATTGTGAGATTTCACTATTTCTAAAAAACAAAAAAAGTGTAAACCAATGCAAACTTAGTATGCTAGATATGTTCCCTGTTCTATTGGATAGATGTGCAGAGATTTGCATGAATTTTCAAGTTGCATACTGAATGATATGTACTACTCATCAAGTTTAAATGATATTGTTGACATTTCTAGTGGATAATTTGTAAGCAATGTTATATTGAAATGCAGCCCAGAATGTGGGTATAAAGAAGTGATTTATTGGTTATTTTCTATGTTCTTACTGTAATAATAATTATAGGCTCAATGAAATGAAGATTTTTTTGTAGGGAACAAATGGCAAGTATCTTCATGTACCAATTTGCCTAATTAGGCACTTACAGTAAAATTCCAATCGTAGTTGTTTTTAAAACCTTTGACTAGACTCATGTAGGCCGGTTAAATAATATGAAACTGTAGCCTTCTTGAAGGCAGGACATGTGCCTGCTCTTGTGTTATTTTTATCTTTTTGAACATCTAATTACGTTCCTTGTGCATGATAGATGCTCAAATATTAAAGTAAAGAATTGGGTATCATTAAAGGACTTTTTATGTATCTTTTAAGACCTACAGTTGGAAAGTCATAAGTGAGAATTGATCAGAAACATGGCAGTTGGAGCTAGATGCATCACTCTTGCAGGGATCATTTTGGTACAACTGTAGCCCACATGAACTTGCCACTACCTCCCAGGGTTGTGAAAAACAAGAGCTGATAGCCAAAGAGGCCAGAATTGAGGTGGCGGAGCACTGCTAAAGCAATGACAGGATGGAGTGGCAGCCTCTGCTTAGTTCTCTACAAGAGGCACTTGTATTCAATTCCACAGCTCCCTTGGGTGTCACTGAAGGTCTGTGGCAGAAATCAGCCACAGAAACAAGATTATCTATTATAATGATACATAAAAGTTTCTTCTTTCTTTTCTCCCTCCCTCCCTCCTTTCCTTATTTCCTCCTTTCCTTACTTCCCTACTTCCTCCCTTACTTCCTTTCTTCCTTCCATCTTTCCTTCCTTGCTTTGTGCCTCCCTCCCTCCACTCACATACTCAGAGAAAAAAGAAAACACCCTACCTTTCCCACCCTCTACCTCCATCATCAATATTATCTCATATATTCAATTATTTTTGAATATCAAGGCATATATTAATTTTCATATTTATATGCTCTGTAACTAAGTATTCTTAATGAAAGGTAGAAGTGGGGGTGGGAGAGGTAGAGATTCTGTAAGGATAGTTATCACCTCCTCTTATGTAATAGAGTATCAATAGTTATTTTCTAAAATCCATGTAACAAGCAAATAAGATTTTAGTATATTATTGCAAACTGTAATAAATTGAAATTGTGATTTGAAGGTGGTGGAGTAATGGCAGTATTCTTTCTTTTTATCTTTTATAACCATCTAAGAGCAACAAGGGGAATTAGAAATGAAGATGCAAATTGAATTTTCATTTTTCATTATTTGATCTATGAGCCGGTTAAACCCTAATTTATGAAATAAATGGAAGGTATAACAAATGCAGTGGAATTCAGGCATAAGTAAAAGTGAGAAACATTTTAGCTGCAAATCTCAGAAAGAACTAAAAAAAATCATGAGAAGTCTACTCTGAGGTATGAAATCTCAGCAACAGCATGAACTGTGAATGAAGGCTGTGATATAAGTGTTTCAGTATCTAGTCTGGACTCAAGAAGTAGAAGAGTGAGAGAGAAATATTTATGCTACATTTCTTATAATAGCCAAAAATTGGAAACAACCTAAATGTGCATCAGTAAGGCTAATAAACAGTGGTATGTCTGTCCATTTGTACAATTAAATAGCATAAAAAAGTAGAGAAGGCTCTTTATGCATATGGAATGATCTCCACAATTCATTGTTAAATTAAAAAATAAAGGAATTCAGAAGAGTTATTACTATATTTTTGTAAAAAGTTAAGGATGTATTTGTCCATATATGTAATCTTTCTCTGGAGGAATATGCAAGGAAAAGAAAATAATAACAATAACTGATTATAGAGCTAACAATAATATAGGTATCTAAATGTGGAAAAGAAAATAGAAGAAATATGGTAAGTAAATTAAACATATTTTCCTTCATTTGGGTGTACATTGAGACTTTTAAAAACTAAGCTACAGAGAATTCTTGCCTAGAAGTTGCATGGTAGGGATACTCAGACACAAACAGAGACAAAGACTTACAGGCAGGCAGACAGAAACACACACATGCACACACATACACACGCATGCACACACATACACACACACACACACACACACACACACGTGCGCAACTGAGAGCAATAACCCCTGTAATTGAGACAGTTATTTTCTATCGATTATTTTGTCCTTTATTACTGAATACGGGTATAAAATTTGATAATTTGTAATTCATACAGACACACAGTTTCAAAGTCCATGTGAAGATTTTATATATGTATTACCTTTAGTGATACTTCCAGCTTATTTATTCCAAGGTAAGTAATCAAAGCATTTGGGAAGCAAACTTTATGAGCCATTAAGAGTTCAATCTAACTATATCTCTTCATAAAATGGCTAAACTGAATCTGGAAGCCCTGACTCCGCTTAGACAAAATGACATTTATCGATTCATATTTTGAGAACTATGAAGCTTTTTGACCAGGTTGAATACTCAAGGGCAGGGATCACTGAGAGTTAACAATCGTTATCGGGTAGATTTGAATAGGGTACTGAAAGATGAGTTTCTGAGAATCTGAGCCCTGCTGTGGAATTGGGCATAAAACCACTCACTCTGTGGAACTGGGGATGCTGTGAGCAGGACAAAGAAAAGGCTATATTTTGTTCTGAGAGATGTAAATTATCCACAAACTAAGTGCAGTGGTTTTTAATCCTTAGTACACATTAGAATTATCAAGGGAGCTTTTTAAAAATATGGATGCCTAGACACCAACCTCACAGCCTCTGATATAATTGATCAGGGGCAGAATCTGGGTATGGTTAGGTTTTAAATCTTGCTGGGTGCTTCTATTGTGCAGCTAGTTATATACCATTATGCTAGAGCAATGGTTTCCAAACTTAGCTCATATTAGAATCATCTGAGGAGCTTTTAAAAATTCTGATACCCTGACAATCCTGGACAACACAGTCAGACTTTGTCTCTACAAAAAAAATTTCAAAGAAAAATAGCTGGGCGTGGTGGCATATGCCTGTAGTCCCAGCTACTCAGGAGGCTTAGGTGGGAGGATCACTTGAGCCCAGGAGATTGAAGCTGCAGTGAGCTATGACTGCATCACTGCACTCCAGCCTAGGCTACAGAGCAAAACTCTGTCTCTAAAAATAAAATAAGAATTCTGATACCCAGGTCATAACCAATTTTAATTGAATTGAAAAGTCTTGGGTTAGGAGCCAAGAATCAGTATTTTTATATGATTCCAATATGCACCAATGTTTGGGAACCACTGGATAGCTAAGTAAAGAAAGAATAATGGCAACATCTGAGCTACACAGCCAGTAACTCTGATAATGGCCTATTATGTGATGTTAGGCATTTAGTTGCTTCTACAAAACAAGCCAAATGGATTATTTTTCAAGTTTCTTGGGGATGAAAGTAGAATACAGGGTAAAGTGCTACATCGACGTAAGTTATTAACATTTTAATTCTAACTTGATGATTTCTATAATACTTGTTATCTATATAATATTGATGAGACTCTCCACATGCTTTGTTATAAAATTAATTGTTTAATGGTCAAATTATATTGCAAATTAGGGTGATCAAACATCTTGGTTTTCCCAGGACTGAGGGGTTCCCTGGGACATGGGACTTTCAGTTTTAAAACCAACACAGTTCTGGGCCAACTGAGACAGTGGGCCACTCCATGTCAAACCTCTGTTGAATTCAATGCAATTTGTTTTTGTTCTTTTTTTTTCCATTTTACTTGTTACACCAAAAATTTTTCCCATTTGAGGATAGAATTATCTGCAGAATTTTAATTAAACATTAAATATTTATAAAGAGATTTTTAGGCAGTGAAGTGAGTTCTGAAGCAGCTCGGAAGGGAAACCAGAAATAAAGGACAAGAAAGACATTGTAAGAAGGATATGATCTTAAAGGATTGCCACTGACTGGAACAGGCCACCCAAAGCCCGGTCCTAAATCTGTTAAATTTTGCTCAACATTGGTATGGAAGTTACTTTTCCACTACTTTTAGTCTGCCTATATTTCCTACTCATTTCTCCACACCATTTTCTAAGCAGAGATGATGATGTCCTGTTGCACTCTCTGCTCACCTCTTATCTAAGGAAAACTGCAGTTTCTGAAATGTCTTCCTTCCTTTTACTGCCTTATCAACTCTTTCAAGATATTGTTTGAATATTTATGGTGTTCTTTATGACAGGATCATTCTATCACTTTTTATCTTTTATGAATGTTATTTAATTTGGTATCATACGTTGGGATATGGATATTATTGAAAACTTCACTTAAGATTCAGAATACTGAATTCTTGGTGACTTAACATAACAGGGTTGGGGGTGATAGAATATTAGATTTGATTTTTAAAAGCCATCTAGTTTCAGTTACTTTATAATAACTTCAAAAGAATGTGGCAGCCATAGCTCAATATATCTGTACCTGAATCCAAAAGTGACCATGAACTCCATTGATTTAATAGTAATAGTCAAAAAGAAACCCAGAATATAATATCGTCTTTCTGAGAATTCCAAATAATTTCTTAAGGATCATATAATGAGATGATGTTGTAATTTGTTCCATGATAATTTCATAAGCATGCTCTGCATAATCAGAAATATATACAGAAAATAATCATAATAATGACAAAAAATTTTAAAAAACATTTAATTCAATTTTAAAAATAAGTGCAAAAGGAATTTAAAATATTCAGGTTTTCCATGGTTCCATATAAATTTTAGTTTAGTTTAAAAAAAATTCTGTAAAAAATGCCATTGGGATTTTGGTAGGGATTACACTGAATCTTTAGATTGCTATGGGTACTATGGACATTTTAATGATATTGAATCTTCCAATCAATGAACATCATATGTCTCTCCATTTATTTATGTCTTCTTTAATTTCTTTCATCAATATTTATAGTTTTCAATGTATGAGATTTTCACCTCTTTGGTTAAGGGTACATCTAAGTATTTTATTCTTTTTGATACAATGATATATAAGATTGTTTCTTAATTTCCTTTTGGGACAGCTCCTTGTTAGTGTATAGAAATGCAACACTTCCTGATTTCAAAATTTTTTTAAAAATACAGTAATTAAAAACACTATAGTACTGATATAAAACAGACATATAGACCAATGGAACAGAATAGAGAGCCTGCAGCACTTCCTGATTTCAAAATATATTTTAAAAATACAGTGATTAAAAACAGTATAGTACTGGCATAGAACAGACATATAGACCAATGGAACAAAATAGAGAGCCCAGAAATAAACACACACAAAGAAGGTGAACTGATCTTTGACAAGTGTGCATATAATACACACAGGAGAAAGAATAGTTTCTTCAACAAATAGTGTTGAGAAAACTAGATATCCACATTCAAAAGTATAAAATTGCACTCATCTCACTTCAGACACAAAAAAATAAACTCAAAAGACTTAACCATAAAACCTGAAACTGTAAAACTCCTGTAGGAAAACACAGGAGAAAGCCTTCTTGATACTGGTCTTGGCAATGTTTTCTTGGATACGACATCAAAAGCATGGGCAACAAAAACAAACTAGTCAGTGAGACTACATCAAAATAAAAAGCTTCTACACAGCAAAGGAAACAATCAACAAAGTGCAAGGTAACCTACGGAATGGGAGAAAATATTTGCAAGCCATATATTGCACAGAAGGTTAATATCCAAAATGTATAAGGAAATCCTACAACTCAATAGCAATTAATAAATAACTCATTTTTTAAAAACAGGCAAAGGATTTGAATAGATATTTTTCCAAAAAAGATATACAAATGGCCAACAGGTATATGAAAAAGTGCTCAACATCATTACCAGGAAAATGCAAATCAAAACCACAATGAGATAACACTTTACACCTGTTAGAATGACTATCATCCAAAAATCAGGTAAGTTGGTGAGTTTGTGGAGAAATTGGAACCCTTGTCCATTGTTGTTAGAAATGTAAAAGCATGAAGCCACTATGGGAAATGGTATAGAGGTGCCACAACAAATTAAAACTAAAACTACCATATGATCCAGCAATCCCTCTTCTAGGTATATATCAAAAGGAATTGAAATTACAATCCAGGAGAGAGATCTGCACTCCTATGTTCATTCCATTCCAGGGTTGTTCACAATAGTCAAGATGTGGAAACAATGTAAATGTCTATTGATAAATGAATGAATAAAGAAAATGTGGTATATACATACAGCAGAATACTACGCAGCCTTAAAAAATAAAAAAATTCTGTTGAATGTGAAAAAATGAATGCCTTGAGGAGATTATGCTAAATGAAATTAAGTCAGTCATAGAAGGACAAATACTGCATCATTCTACTTGTATAAGGTTTCAAAAATTTTCAAATTTAAGGAAGCAAATAATGAAATTTTGGGTGCCAGGAACTTGTGGGAGGCAGAAATGGGGAGTTGCTAATCAGTTGGTATGAAGTTTCAGTTATGTAAGACAAGTAAGTTCTAAAGATCTTCTATAAAACATTGTGCCTATAGAAAACAATGCTATATACTGTCCTTAAAATTCTTTAAGATGGTAAATCTCATGTTAAGTGTTAACTGCCACAATTAAAAAAATTAATTTAGGCTGGGCGCCGTGGCTCCCCCCTGTAATCCCAGCACTTTGGGAGGCCGAGGTGGGCGGATCACTTGAGGTCAGGAGTTTGAGACCAGCCTGGCCAACATGACGAAACCCTGTCTCTACCAAAAATACAAATATTAGCCGGGCATGTTGGCATGCGCCTGTAATCCCAGACACTCGGGAGGTTGAGGCAGGAGAATCACTTGAACCCAAGAGGTAGAGGTTGCAGTGAGCCGAGATCACGCCACTGTACTTCAGCCTGGGCGACAAGAAAAAAACTGTCTCAATAAAATAAAATAAATATATTTAAAGTAACATGTCCTGCAAAGCTAAAGGTTTAAAATGGAAATTTCCTGTCATTTAAAACAAGTTACATAATTTAAATTTTTCTCCTGACTGAATTAACTTGCATTAATTCTTTCCTTCTGACCCTCTGTATATGGATGCCATTCTCCTAGTTAGGAAACCCAACGGTTATTTTCTGGAACAATTGATGGGAAGAGTCTCTCAATCAGGGACAGAGGCATTCAATGTCTGGCAGAATGGAATGGAGAGAGAGATGAGGCTGAACATAGAGGCAGTCAGTGACGATTCACATGGTGAATGCTAAGACCTTCACCACTTTCTCCCTGTCCAGCTAGACTGTAAAACATTTTTAACTACAAGGAATGTAGTTAAAATGTAGTTTAAGTATGTAGTTAAATTTTTTGCCTGAAACTCCAGGCAAAATTCTGAAAAATTATATTTTGGGACACTCAATAACCCTAAAGATAAGAATTCCTACTTCTGATCATTTGAAGACCCTCCCAATTAAACAGTCATCACCCAACTACCCCATAGTGAATTCTATCAGTAAATGAGTCTCCTTGTACACATACAGTCATACACTCAGCCAGTGATGATAAGACATTTGAGAAAAGCCTCTAAAGTGAAACACAGGCAGCAAAATGAAAAAAAAAAAGTAAAATTTGTAAAAACAGAAATACACAGAGAGCAGAAAATAAAGTCAATTTTTTAATAATTAGTAGTTTCAGTGTAATGTAAATGAAACAAAAAATATTTTAATCAAGTCATCATAGAATAAGAAGCAGCTCACTGTTGGACATTGAATGTAGGTTAACTGACATTAAAAATAAATAGAAGAACTAAAAAACAAAGTTGAGATCATTGATCATTTCCCCAAGTTTTAGCAAAAGAAAAGAGATGGGAATTAGCAGATAAAAGAACTGAAGATAGAACATTCCTTTTTTTTTTTTTTTTTTTTTTGAGATGGAGTCTCGCTCTGTTGCCCAGGCTGGAGTGCAGTGGTGCAGTCCTGGCTCACTGCAACCTCTGCCTCCCAAGTTCAACCAATTCTCCTGTCTCAGCCTCCCGAGTAGCTGGGACTACAGGCACATGCCAACATGCCCAGCTAATTTTTGTATTTTTACTAGAGATGGGGTTTTACAATATTGGTCAGGTTGGTCTCAAACTCCTGACCTCAGGTGATCCACTCACCTCGGCCTCCCAAAGTGCTGGGATTACAGGCGTGAGTCACCGCGCCTAGCCCCAAGAACATTTTTTTTGATAGAACTAGCAACTGAATAAGAGGTGTTTTAGCAATAGAGAAAAGTGAAAACAGAGTAAAGGGAATGCACCAATAATATTTTTTTCAGAACAAAGATCATCAATTTTTCTATGAAAGTATCCAAAAAAGATCAGTGTGATGGTGAATTAATATTCCTACATAATGTCCAGCATTTTAGTTACAATGAAAAAAATGTAGAGAAAAAAATTATATTTTTTTCTCTACATGCAAGTTATATAAGGGAACAACTAGACTGACCATTAGCTATCCTGTGAAACAACTCCCTTCAAAATTCAGAGTGATTTTTTTAAACCTATGCTTCTATACTTGGCTGAATTATCCTTAACTGTGACAGTAAGGATATTTTCAGTCCTTGAAATAAATACACATATATATGATGTGCATATATGTGTGTATGTGCGTGCATGCACGTATATGCATGTATACATGCACACACATGCACATGTACTAATACATTTCTACTGATACATAAGTAAATAAATGAATACATAAATATATTGAATAACTTATTAATTCCAGTTTTGAGCTGTGTGTAAATATTCTTAAAATATTATTCTTGCATTTACCGGCAATCACAAGCACATAAAACCCACCATTTTTCTTTAATGCTCTGATCATTCATTTTATTATACAAATAGCACATTCACTGTAGAACTGTTAAGATACATAGGCAATAAAAAGAAGAAAGAAAAAATAATATGTTCACCCATTTAATTCTATTATTGCAAAATACGTACATGTATATATATGTATACCCATATTTTTATATAATTTATTATTATACTTTACATACTATTATGGTGAGCATATTTATCACTTAATGATGTAACATTTTTCATTTTTACTTTTCTAATTTTAATTTAAAATTTTTATTTGTATAAATTTATGTATAAAATTACAAGTGTAATTTTGTTAAATTGATATATTGCATAGCAGTGAAGTCAGGGTTTTTAGTGTATTCATCACCAGAATAACATACATTGTACCTATTAAGTAATTTCTCGTGAAAATAATTAAATGCTCTTCAAACATGCAGAGTTCAATTGGTGTTCATTGAACATCTACTATGTTCAAAGGTTTATAAGAATAGATCCACCTTCTAGAGGCTGTAGGCATTCTTTGCCTCATGGCCCCTTCCTCCATATTCAAGGAGCAGTGTAGCACCTACTAAGTATGAGTAGGACTCCTACTTCTGTTGGTACATCTGCTTCCCTCCATCCTTGACCCTTCTGCCTCCCTCTTATAAGAACTCTTGTGATTACATTGGGACCACCTAGATGATCCAGGATATCTCAAGATCCTCAACTTAATCACATACAAAAAATCCCTTTCACTGTGTAATGTAACACTCAGTGGTCCCACAAATTAGGACATGAACATCTTTTGGGGGACATTATCTTCCTGAGTGAGTGTCTGTCCTTAGTGTTGCTTCTGTCCCTGAGCTTCTTCTGGGATTAAACACTTCACTCTGAATTCTATCTCCTGACAAGGATGTTTTCTTCCAGTAGTTTACAAAATTATTGATGTTTGAGAATCTAATTTCTGCATCACCAGAAACTTTATATAAGATGAGGTTAGGTAGGCAACAATGGAGATTGGGAACAGCCCTGCCCAGTGAAGCCTGGGTGCCCAAAGTGACATGTGGCCACTGTGTGACAGGATGTAGGCCACACACTGGCACCACATTCTCCCTCCTTGGGCACCCAGTAATACTGTCTTTCCTATCCTTCCTCACAGTTAGGTGTGTCTTGGGATAAAGTTCTAGTTGAGTGAGTGTGAATAGGAGTGATAGAGGAATGTGGGAGGAATGTGTTTCCAGGTCTGGCCCACAAATCCTTCCACAAAAGATCCTCACTGCTCTTTTCCCTTCTGCTGGTAGATATTGATGTCCCTGGTGACCATGGAAGCCACACGTTGAAGGCAGCAGGATTTTGTCACCCTGGTTCCCAGAATGACTCTATGTAGCACAGTTGGCTATATACCCTTGTATCAGCCACACTTCTAGCTTCTGTAAATTTGATGCCTTAACATCTGTCTTCCATGCATATGCCAGACACACCTTGTTGTACACAATTCAATAATATGTCTAAGCCACCTTGTCTTGGCCTCCTGCCTCCCTCATTGCTTCTCCTCCCCTTGGCAATAGCCAATAATCAGTAGCATTTCTGTACACTAACAGTGAACTATCTGAAAAAGAAATCAAGAAGGCAATCTGCCATGACCACCGGCTAAAATCAAAATCACTAAGAGAATAAATTTTAAATGCCTTCACCGCAAAAGAATAAGTATTTTAGGTGACAGGTATGTTAATTAGCTTGATTAAATTATTCCGCATTGTTTTAATAAATCGTAATATCGCTTTGTATTCTAAATATATACTGCCCTGTAACATGTCAATTTACAATTAAAAATAAAAATTTAAAAAGAAAGGAAAACAATCCCATTTACAATAGCATAAAAAATTCTTATGAATACATTTAACTAGGGAGGTGAAAAACCTATACACTGAAAACTATAAAATATTGATGAAAGAAACTGAAGAAGACACCAATAAATAGAAAGATATTTCATTTTCATGTATTACAGGATGAATATTGTTAAAATTTCCATAGTACCCAAAGTGATCTACAGATTCAAGGCAATTCCTATAAAAATTCCAATGACATTTTTCACAGAAATAGAAAAATAATCCTATTATTCATATAGAACCACACAACACCCCAAATAGACAAAGCTGTCTTGAGCAAAAAAGAATAAATCTGGAAGCATTACTCTTCTTGATCTCAAAATATACTACAAAGTTACAGTTATTGAAACAGCAGATTACTGGCATAAAAACAGACATGTGGACCAATGGAACAGAATAGAGACTGCAGAAATAAATCCTTGAATTTACAGTAAATTAATATTTCACAAAGTTGCCAAGAACACACAATGGAGAAAAGATAGCCTCTTTAATAAATGGTGTTGAGAAAACTGAATATCCACATGCAGAAGAAAAAAATTGGACTTTTATCTCACCTCATATACAGAAATAAACTCTAAATGGATTAAAGACTTAAATGTAAGACCTGAAACTATGAAACTCTTAGAAGAAAACATAGGGAAAAGGCTTCTTGACAATAGTTTTGGCAAAGATTTTTTTTTGATATGACTCCAAAATCACAAGCAACAGAAGCAAAAATAGACAAACGGGATTGTGTCAAACTAAAAAGTTTTGCACAGCAAAGAAAATAATCATCAGGGTGGATAGACAACCTATGAAATGAAAGAAAACATTTGGAGACCATACATCTAATAAGGAGCTAATATCTAAAATATATAAGGAACTCAAATAGCTCAATAGCAAGAAAACAAATAACGTGATTTTAAAAATGAACATAAAACCAGAATAAATATTTCTCAAAATAAGACATACAAGTGGGTAATATATATTTTTAAATGCTCAATATCACTAATCAACAGGAAATGCAAATTAAAAGCACAGTGAGATCTTAATTCACATCTGTCACAATGACTATTACTAAAAAGAAAAAGACAACCAGTCTTGCTGAGGATGTGGAGGAAAGTGAACCCTTGTACATTGTTGGGGGGAATGTAAATTAGTAAATCTATGATGAAAAACTGCATAGAAGTTTCTCAAAAAATTAAAAATAGGGCTATCAGATGATACAGCAATCCTTCCTCTGGGTATATATCCAAAGAAAATAAAATTTGCGTGTTGAAGAAATATCTGTACTCTCATGTTCATTGCATTATTTGCAATAGCCAACATATAAAATCAACTTAAGTGTCCATTGACAGATGAACGGATTAAGAAAACGTGACACATACACACACATAAACACATACAATGGAATACTAGTCAGCTTTAAGAAAGCTGACAATGTCATTTGCAACGACATTGATGAATCTGGAGGACATTATGTTAAGTGAAACAAGCTAGGCACAGAAAGACAAACACCGCATGATCTCACTTTTATGAGGAGTCTAAAAAAGTTGAACTGATAAAATGAGAGAGTCAAATGGTGGTTACCAGGGGCTGGATGTAGGGGATGGAAATGGGGAGATACTAATCAAAGGGTACAAAGTTTCAGTCAGACAAGAGGAATAACCTTTGGAGAACTATTATACAGCATGGTGACTACAGCTAATAATAATGTATTGTGTACTTCAAAATTGCTAAGAGAGTAGATTTTAAATGTTCTTACCACAAAAAATAACGATGAGAGGTGATGGATATGTTAATTATCTTAATTTGATCATCTCACAGTGTATACATACATCAAAACATCACATTGTACACCATAAATATATACAATTTCATTTGTAAATTATACCTTAATAAAGCTGGAAAACTAAAAATATCGTGATAGAATGTAACAAATAAATAGGTGAACAACTATACCATTAGGAAATTTACTATGGAGTAAGCAAAAATGTAGCCATAAGTAGTCTTCAAATATTTGAAAGGGTTGTCATTTTGAGAAGAAAGTAGGAAAGAAAGCATTTGTTTTGAAAAAGATCTAGAATCGGTGGGTTGAAGATAAAGGAAAGCAGGTTTCACTTCAACATGCCAGGCACAATGTCACCAAAGGAATTTTTGCACAGGCTATTCCCTGTGTGTGAAATGTTCTTCCTCAAAGTGACATCATAGTTAACTGTCTCCCTCTTTCAGGTCTTTGTCACATCAATTGTCACCTTCTCAAGGAAACATACTCTAATTACCCTATTTACAATTCTAATCTCTCTTTGGACAGTCCTGTTGCAGTCCTCTTACCTTGCTCTTTTCTTTAATTTTTTTCACTATAAAATGTGCCAAATTTAATATTCTACATGGTTGAGTGTGGCTCCACTAACTACCTGTGGATATTTAAATATAGATACTAATTAACTAAATTTAAATAAAATAAAATAAAGTATTTCTTTAGATGCATTAACCATGTTCCAAGTGCTTAACATATGACTCCTGTCTACCATATTGAACAATGCAGATATTACAAGACATTTCCATAATGACAGAAAGTTCTATTGGACAACACTGTATTATATCATTTAGTACATTTACTGCCCTTCAGCTAGAACGCAAACCCCATGAAGACATGCCCTAAGAACACAGTAGGCATTCAATAAATATGTTTAATGAATTAATATATGAACAAAATGAGAAGCTGTGGGAAGAATATCAAATGAAACAATCTGGACCTGACCAGATTGTACACAGTACATCCTACATGGTACACAGAAGGCATACAGGAAAATTTGGGCATTTAGAATGAATAAATATGGATGCTGAAAAGAAAATATATTTATCTAATGCCATTGTAATGGAACAAATATGGAAGGGTCTGATTTATAAATCTCTCTGAAATAAAAAATTTGATAGACCTGTCAAGCCGATGTCAGTTTGATTCAGCATTCTTAGCAGTGAGTTTGGAGACTGCCAGATTTGGAAATCATGGCAGAGATTTGACTTGAGCACCCTAGGGATATGAGCTTATCAAATAATACCATGCAGACAGAAAGCTAAAGAAGTTGAAAAGAGAATTTTGGGAAAGTTCTTACACACAAGATCTTAAGCATATTTTTCCTTGTGTTTTCAATGGTAGATTTCAAAAGGTTGTTTGGAATAAATACCATTTTATTTATTCTTTTAACAAAGTTGCATCATACAAGAGTGACCACAACAAAAAGTTACAAGACATTATGATTCTATAACAATTGCTTCATAAGTATTGGGTCTGTCTCTCATTGTTAATAACTTATAAAGAGAGATATTTATAAACACAAATGAGGAAACAATGATTCGTATTTTTTTGGTTATTTAATAATTTTAGCAGTACATTTTACTTCTGTTTATTCTTTAACGTTCTTACTTCTAGACTATCTTAAGCACTCTTTTCTTTAATAAACAGACTTCATGTGGAATCAGTAGTGTGAAAAATAGAAGATATTTTAATAAACAAATATGAGACTTACCTTAGCAACAACATTAAAAAGGCACTTGTTAGTGAATACTGTTTTTATTAACATTTGAGGGAATTTTCTGGTATTAAAAGTAAGGGATCTTTGTGTGATATATATACTTTATGGACTCATGCTATCAAAAAAATAATAATACAACAAATGCAAAGGCCAAATCTTGGAAAGAGATTTTGGATAAGAATTGATTGTTCAGCCTGAATCTAGGCTTATCAGTATCAAATAAGGGCCAAGCTGTGCCATCATATATTTTACTCTTTAGTTTCCATTCTAGGGCAATGGAGAGTAGCTATTAAGAGCTTGGCTTTTGGTGCTATATTACGTGGTTTCGAACCCTGGTTCTGTAATTTCCTAATTGTACAATTCATACAGGTTACTTTATGACTCTGTTTTAGCTATGTGATGACAAAACAGTATTCTTTCATAACACTGTTTTCAGGCTTACAAATGAGATAGAATAGTGCCTGAAACATTAAATGAACACCAAATAAATGGTAGTGATCCTAAGTTTGCCTTGGGGCCTCTTACTCTTATCTCCAAACTGTTATCTAGACCCCTATATCTTCCAATCATCCACAGAAATTATTTTTATTCCATTTAACTCTTTTAAAATCCCTACTCCTTTAAGGATGGCTCTTTATCTTTATATGAACAAGTGAACACATCCATTTAAAAAATATTTTGGTGTAAAATCCCTCTCTCAATTATGGTCTAACTGTCCTTTATATTTAAGCTTATATTCACATATTTCATTATTTCTTCAATTCATAGCAACCGGCTTACACCAAACCCTTATTCATCTCCCCACACACTCTAAATCAGTCACTCTTGTCTCACTAATGACACCAATTACTTCCTAAACACCAAATCAAATGATCACTTTATTGTTTTTATTTTTGTGAAATTTCTAACTTCAATACTATTCATCAGTCTTTCCTTTAGCTCTTTTCCATCAGTCTCCATGATACTGCTCTTCCTGTCTATTTGTCTTTCTGGTTTATTGGTAGCTCTTTCTCATTCAAACATATTGATTTTTCTTTTACTTATCCCTTATATGCTGGAACATTCTAGTCATCTGTTCTAAGAGCTATTCTCTTTGCAAACAGTGTCTTACACAATGACTCCTGGCCAAATGTGCCGTGGGGACTAAAATTCAGCTTGCTTCTAGAATAAAAAGGCATAAAATATCTGGTTTTGATGAGGATGTTGAACAACAATAACTGTTATATGCTATTGGTGTGAGTGTACATTAACACAACCTCTGTGGAAAATGCATATGTTTCTATTATTCTCAATATATTAATCTATTTTCTCAAGCCTAGAAACACATAAAATAGTTTCAGATTTGCTAACCCACAAGACTGTGAAAAGTAAGATTCCCAAATTGAGTTTATTATTTTTTATAATTCTGTGTGTTGAAATTTATATACCCTAAAATATAAAGATCTTAACTGTGAGATTTGATGAGCTTTGACAAATGTATACACATGCATACACTGGTGAAACCCACACCTCCATCAAGATGTACAATATTTCCATCTCCCCACAGATTTTCCTCATCCTCCCTTCCTGTCAACTCCCCAGAACCCTAATAACCACTTTACTAATTTGTTTCCCAATAAGTTAATGTTTTCTGCTCTAGAACTTCATATAAAAAATCATATACTATATACTACTTTGTGTCCAGATTCTTTTGGTCATTGTAATGTTCATGATGTTAAATGTATTTGTAGTTTAGTCCTTTTTCTTGTTGAGTAGTTTACCTTTATATAATACACCATAATCTGTTTATTCATTCTCTTAACAGATATTTGAGTTACATCCAGTTTTTGCTATAGTGAATAAAACTGCTATTAACATTCCTGTACAAATGTTTTAGTGGGAAATAAAAAATTTTTCTTTTGGGTAAATACCTAGAAGTTGAATTACTTCATCATAGGAGATGCATAGGTTTAACTTCATTAGAAACTTTCACACAGTTTTAAAAATGGTTGTGCCATTTTTAAAACAAAACAAAAGAAAAAACATTGCATTTGATTTCCTTCAGTTGCTCTCTATACTCTTCAATATTTGGTGATGTAAGACTTTTTCACTGTAGCCATTATTCATGTATGGCTGCATTGTGATGTCCCTGTTCAATCCTTTTGCCTATTGTATATAATTACTTTGCTGAGTTAGTGAAATTATTTATATATTCTGCATACCAATGCTTTGTCACATACAAAATGTGCACATAATGTCTCCAGGTCTGTGGTTTATGAATTAATTTTCTTAATTGTATCTCTTGATGAGAAAATGTTTTAATTTCAATAATATCTAAGGTATAATTTTTTGTCTGTGATGGTTATTGTTTCATGTCTTGCTAAGAAATCTTTGCCTACTTCAAGTTAGTAAAGATATTATACGTTTTCTTCATGAAGTTTTATATGTCTGGCTTTTTTTCTTAATTTGAGTGCAGGTACTGTTTATTAACCGACCAGCTTAGAAAAATAATCATGGTAGACACCTTAGTTCATTCTTCTAATAAGCCTGTTGATATCATCCTCCCTGTTGCCAGCATCGCCACCTTCTACAAAATGGGTGGTCTTTTTCTTCATTCAGCCTCATGGAGAAGATAATTTGAAGGGCCACAGGAAGTTATTTGCTTCTTTGAAGCGTTTTCCAACAGTATAGATCTCATAAATCAGATCCTCCATGCAGATGATGCCATATTTACCAAGAGATCGAGCAATCAAAACATTATCTGTCAAAGCAATTCGCTTCTTACTGATTTTGCCATAACCATGCTTGTAGATTAGTTCATTTACTGACTTCAGATTTGGGTACCCACAGGCAATATATGGCTCTACAGTCCTCAGCATGTTAACTGTAACCTTGATGAGCTTCACAAAGGTCCATTGAAGATTTGACGAAGACGAAGAAGCTGCAACACCTTTCGGACCTTTGGGCTCAGACCATCGATACCTCTGATTCTGATAACAAACACCAATTTGGGTTCTGCAGGTATATAGAAGTTGCCAGCTTTTCTTGCTATCCTTGCCATTCGAATTTCAGTTCTGTACTTCTGCCTATATTCCTTGTGATAGTGCTTCGCTTTTTCTTTTCTTTTTTTTTTATTTATACTTTAAGTTTTAGGGTACATGTGCACAATGTGCAGGTTAGTTACATATGTATACATGTGCCATGCTGGTGCGCTGCACCCACAAACTCGTCATCTAGCATTAGGTATATCTCCCAAAGCTATCCCTCCCCCCCCCGACCCCACAACAGTCCCCAGAGTGTGATGTTCCCCTTCCTGTGTCCATGTGTTCTCATTGTTCAATTCCCACCTATGAGTGAGAATATGTGGTGTTTGGTTTTTTGTTCTTGCGATAGTTTACTGAGAATGATGATTTCCAGTTTCATCCATGTCCCTACAAAGGACATGAACTCATCATTTTTTATGGCTGCATAGTATTCCATGGTGTATATGTGCCACATTTTCTTAATCCAGTCTATCACTGTTGGACATTTGGGTTGGTTCCAAGTCTTTGCTATTGTGAATAGTGCTGCAATAAACATACGTGTGCATGTGTCTTTATAGCAGCATGATTTATAGTCCTTTGGGTATATACCCAGTAATGGGATGGCTAAACCAGGAAGAAGTTGAATCTCTGAATAGACCAATAACAGGAGCTCAAATTGTGGCAATAATCAATCGCTTACCAACCAAAAAGAGTCCAGGACCAGATGGATTCACAGCCGAATTCTACCAGAGGTACAAGGAGGAACTGGTACCATTCCTTCTGAAACTATTCCAATCAATAGAAAAAGAGGGAATCCTCCCTAACTCATTTTATGAGGCCAGCATCATCCTGATACCAAAGCCGGGCAGAGACACAACCAAAAAAGAGAATTTTAGACCAATATCCTTGATGAACATTGATGCAAAAATCCTCAATAAGATACTGGCAAACCGAATCTAGCAGCACATCAAAAAGCTTATCCACCATGATCAAGTGGGCTTCATCCCTGGGATGCAAGGCTGGTTCAATATATGTAAATCAATAAATGTAATCCAGCATATAAACAAAACCAAAGACAAAAACCACATGATTATCTCAATAGATGCAGAAAAGGCCTTTGACAAAATTCAACAACCCTTCATGCTAAAAACTCTCAGTAAATTAGGTATTGATGGGACGTATCTCAAAATAATAAGAGCTATCTATGACAAACCCACAGCCAATATCATACTGAATGGGCAAAAACTGGAAGCATTCCCTTTGAAAAGTGCTTTGCTTTTTCATAGATAAGCTTCCTCCTTGCCTTTCGAAGCAGCTTTTGGGCAAACTTCTTTCTCAGGCACTTGATCTTCAGCTCTGTGAAATTTCTTCACTTTTTCTTAAGGGTTTCTGGCACAGCAGGAACCTTCTTCTTCGTCTCTTCTGTACCCTCCGTGGTTCCAGCCAAAAACAGAGGTATGTCTGGCTTTTTTATATTTAGGTATATAAATCACATTATGTCAATTTTTGTGGAGATTGTGAGGTAACGGTAAAAGTTTATGGATTTTCCATATCCTAGTTATTCCAACACCATCTGTTGATTATACTTTCCTACTGATGTGTGTATGTGTGTGTGCATGTGCACAAATGCCCATGTGTATGCCTAGGTCAAAAAATCAATTATTTGTCTAAGTGAGGGTATATATATGCACTACTCATTCTATTCCATTCAACTGTTGTCTATCATTATGCCATGATTACCATAACTTTACATGGTCTTAAAGTCAAGTAGTATAAAATCCCCCAATGAAATTATACTTTCCATTATTATTTAAGTAATTCTAAGTCCTCTTACAACCCTATATACATTTTATATTTCAAAGTGTTAATTTCTACAAAATATACCCTGCTGTGATTATTATCTAGATTGAAATTAATCTATATATCAATTGGAGAGAACTGACAATTTGACAATATTGAATCTTCCAGTCCCATAGACATGACATCTATCTTCATTTATTCAAGTCTTCATTAATTTTTCTCATGTTTTGTTGTTTTAATGGAAGAGTTTTAAATATCTTCTATAAAATTATCAGTATTTTAAGTATTTCCATGTTGTAAATGGATTTTTTCAATTTTTCATTACAAGTGTATAAAAGCATAAGTCATATTTTCATATCAATCCTGTATCCTGTGTTCTTGCTGAAATCACTTCTTTTTTGTAATACTTTTAAAATATATTCCTTAGACTTTTCTACAAAAATATTCAGGTAATCTGTGAATAAATACAGTTTCATTCTCTTCTAGTTTTTATGTCTTCTATTTCATTTTTTGTTCTCCACTACTTAGTAACTTTCGTGCAAATTGAATAGAGAGCCAACTCTGCCTTCTTCTCAACCATAGGGGAAAAGCATCCAATATTTCCTCATTGCATATAATGTAAGCTGTAGCTTTTCGGAACATGTAGGGCGTTTTCTCTTGAGTACGAGTCACATTTCTCTGTTTCCACACATAATTAGCAACATTTTAAAATAGTGTGCACATTGTAAATGAGATGTAGATTCTGGATTCTGATCTCTCTCTCTCTCTCTCTCTTATTTTTTGTCATAGCTGCAAGTTAATTTGAACGAATTAAATCCCAACTTGATACCTGCCCATACCAAACCCCTCAACTCCCACCTCCATGACAGATGACAGCTGAAACTATTCAATTCTTTCAGCCTTACAGATGTTTTATTTTCCCCAACTCATGCCAAATTCAGGGGCTGTTGAGTAACGTAGGCAGAATTTGTATATATATTTGGGGACTCGTCCTTATGTGGCTCACTCCTTCCAGAACTTCCTCCATCGTATTCAGCTGTTCTGGAACCCCCAAACTCTGTCTTCTCACTCCTGAAGCCAGTAACCAACGGAAGTATTCTTTAGTTCCAGAAGCCTCACCAAAATAGGGGTGTGCCCTCAAGCAAGAAGGCTTATTACCCAGGAATTTTACCCAAAGCCCTTCACTTTCCTCCAGTTTTTATTCAATTTTGGCCATTCTGTAGTGCCTTCAAGTAATCTTTGCACAAGAATTTATAATATTTTTTCTGTAAGAAAGTTATTCTGAAAGAAGCTATTTGACCATTACTGGGAGGGAAACTAGAGTTACTGATTTATTTCTTTACAGTTAATTATTTGTTTAAACTAACCTAATATATTGTTTATTAATTTATTATATAATGTTTTCTGTTATTTGGTCTGAGTTCCCTGCATCTTCCATTATATTATCCTAAATTTTGTGTAAGTTTTTCATTTTATCTGAAAAACTATCTCAAAACTTATTTGAGGAGACAAGTACTATGTATATTAGTGTCATTCATGCCATGCCCCAATCACTAAGTTGCACATGACATATGTTCATTAAATAGACATTCTTTGGGTTTACTTCCAGAACTTAAATGTTTTCTATGTAAACAATTTCTGATATTATTTTTAACTATCAGAATCACATTTCACAAGAGATGAGTGTACCAGAAGAAAAAAATAGGTCCATCTCAAAATATGTACATTATCTCTTTATTCTTTGTGATATGAATATTGCTGAGGAATTAATAGAGTAATAGGTTATCAGTCTTGATATCAATATTAAAGGTCATCTGTTTCAACCGATTCAGACTTCTTGATTCAATCTCATTTAGAGAATGGATTTTATCCAAAGATAAATCATTACTATCAAAATGTTCTCTCCACATGTGCATTAAAATGCAAATACTGAAATTCAAATTACCAGTTGCCTTCTTGTGGTTTAATAATCATAACATTTTTATTTCCAGGTCAAATGCCATGGATTTCAACTCATAAGATTATGAAATCAGTTGAGTTAGTGTGTGTGCTGGAATGAATGCGGGGGTGATAATGGATCAAGCTAAGTGAAGTTGTAAAAATAAAATCATGCCAGAGTGAAGAAGAGTTAAAATATGCTGAATTCCTTTCCATTTGGGGTTTAATATTCATTCAGCTCATTAAGTAGAGAATGGATTAGGCTAATCCCAACTGTAATTATACATTCTATCAGGCATATAAAGGTAAACTAGAGAGTGAGTCTGCATTGCCATAAAATTCAGGTTTGAGATAATCAGCACAACAGAATTAAGCTGTCAATGAATGACATTCATTATGTGGCATAAGCCTAAAGCAGATGCAAGTAACTCAATGATGGCTGTATAGTAGACATCAAGAAACAAATAGATTTAGCTAACTTCTCAAGTTTTAGGAAAATATTTACGTGGTAATTCTACTGACAGGCTTTTAGATAATACACATTGAAGCTAGAAACCACTATTTTTTGTTTTAACCTCTAGGGGAAGCGAGTAGAAATCAGAGTACAAATCAAGATGATCATGTTAGAATACTATGTTCTTTTTTGTTTTGTTTTGTTGTTGTTGTTGTTGTTGTTGGCGGCTGTTTGTTTGTTTGATACCGAGTCTCGCTCTGTCACCAGGCTGGAGTGCAGTGGCGTGATCTCGGCTCTCTGCAACCTCCGACTCCTTGGTTCAAGCAATTCTCCTGCCTCAGCCTCCAGAGTAGCTGGGATTACAGGCATGCACCACCATGCCTAGCTAATTTTTGTATTTTTAGTAGAGATGCGGTTTCACCTTGTTGGCCAGGATGAGAATACTATATTCTTTAAAAGTGTACATGTGAGACTAAATGTTAGATTTCTATCCTTGATTTGGTGACTCTTTAGAATGAGTTTGTATTTCTCAATTTATGAAGCAAGAATTAAAACAAAGACAAATTTATTATTTTGGCTCTAATTTGTCAAAATACTATGTTATTACAGTTTTTACACTGATCAGGACACAAAATTCAAAAATAGTTTAGAAATTTGTATCTTCACCTGTTCTCTTTTTTCACCCATATCATATACCATTTCTCAATCAGTGTGGCAGTTGAGTCAGATATCTTTCTGGTACTCTGTTATAATTCCTAACCTTGTTTAGTGACTACTTCCAGTCCATTTCAAATGTCCACCAACATTATCCTATTTCAGGTCCTACCTCAAACTGATACAACTCAAGATTTCAGGAAAGTTCAATGAAAAAAAATGAGAAAGGATTAAACAGAGAGTATGTGTAAGGGAGTTATTATAATGTTGTACAGGAGAATCTAATCTAAGTAAAATGAAAAGTAAAGATATTAAAGTGGGTTGAGAGAAGTGGAAGAAAACATACAAACCTGGTAGATTGTTGGTCCTCGTAAGGTCAAAGAATTGTTGAAGTCAGGGTACTGGAAGAAGTAGTCTTTAGAGAGTACCACATTTTCTTTGTCCAATCAATTGTTGATGAAGACTTAGGTTGAGTCCATGACTTTACTATTATATATAGTGCTGCAATAAACATACAAGTGCCGGCATCTTTTTGATATAACAATTTCTTTTACTTTGGGTAGATACCCAGTAATGGAATTGCTGGATTGAATGGTAGTTCTATTTTTAGTTCCTTGAGAAATCCTCATACTGTTTTCCATAGAGGTTGTGTACTAGTGTACCTTCCCACCAACAGTGTATAATTATTCCCTTTTATCCACATTCTCCCTGATGTCAAAAAAGTTATTTTTTGACTTTTTATTTTTTGAGACAGGGTATCACTCTGTTGCCCAGGCTGGAATGCAGTGGCATGATCATGGCTCACTGCAGCTTCGACCTCTCCAGGCTCAGGTGATCCTCCCACCTCAGCCTCCTAAGTAGCTGGGACTACAGGTGCTTTCCACCACGCCCAGTTAATTTTTGTATTTTTTGTAGAGATAGGGTTTTGCCATGTTGCCTAGGCTGGTCTCGACCTCCTGGACTTAAGTGATATGCCCACATTATCCTCCCAAAGTCCTGGGATTACAGGCTTGAGGCACTGTGCCTAGCCTTTGACTTTTAGTAAGAGCCATTCTGACTGGTGTGAGATGGTATCCCGTTGTGGTTTTAATTTTCTCTGATGATTAGCGGTATTGAGCATTTTTCATGTTTGTTGGCTTTTAGTATGTCTTCTTTTGAGAAATGGCTGTTCAGTGCTTTCCCCACTTTTTTAATGGGGCATTTTGGTTCTTATTTTTTCTCGTTGATTTTTTTGAGTTCCTGATAGATTCTGGGTATTGGTCCTTTGACAGATGCTGATATGGTTTGGCTCCGTGTCCCCACACAAACCTCATGTCCATTTGTAATACCCAGTGTTGAGGGAGGGACATAGTGGGAGGTGATTGGATCATGGGGGTGGATTTCCCCCTTGCTATTCTCGTGAGAGTGAGTGAGTTCTCACAAGATCAGGTTGTTTAAAAGTGTGGCACTTTCCCTTTTGCTCTATTCCTCTTGCTCCAGCCATGTAGGTCATGCTGGCTTCCCCTTCACCTTCTGCCCTGCTTGTAAGTTTCCTGAGGCCTCCCCAAGCCATGCCTCCTGTACAGCCTGCGGAACCATGAGCCAATTAAACCTCTTTTCTTCATAGATTATCCAGTCTCAGGTAGTTTTTTATAGCAGTGTGAGAACATACTAATACACATGCATAGTTTGCAAACATTTTTCTCCCATTCTGTAGGTTGTGTTTACTCTGTCAGTTGTTTCTGTTGCTGTGCAGAGAGAAGCTCTTTACTTTAATTGAGATCCATTTGTCTATTTTTGGTTTTGTTGCATTTGCTTTTGAGGTCTTAATCATAAAGTATTTGTTAGGCTAATGTCCAGAAGGTTATTTCCTAGGTTTTCTTCTAGCATTTTTATGGTTTTAGGTCTTACATTTAAGTCCTTAATCCATCTTAAGTTTATTTTTCTATATGGTAAGGAAACTTTTTTTGAGCATGGATAAGCATACACAGGTAATGACTAAATTAGTATGTGATTATAGAATGACTGGCTGAGGAGAAGCTCATGGATGAAAAGGAGGCTTAGAAACAGAGTACCTAGGGTAAAGAGTTATCTATATTGACATCAAAGTTGCCAATAGTTATGAGAGGTTTCGTTGAGAGTGTCACATACGGTAAATGAGTAAACAGAGTCGTGTATGTATGAGTGAACAATTGAATATATGCATGTATATATGTATGCATGTATGTATTTAAGGTTGAGTTCAAATACAGTGTTGGTCTAATTTAGTCTTAGTTGGTGCATTTAGAATTTTTTAAAAAACAATTCAAAAGCACAACCACTCTCCTGGTCCCAATCATATACTGTTTTGTATTGTGATGAAATTAGTACATGTTTTACCTTTTCTCCTTCAAGAAAATCATAATGGCTAATTCTTTCTATCTTCCAAAGCTATTTTACATCAGAAATACATTTTTAAAATTTCAACTTTTATTTTAGATACAGGAGGTACGTGTGCAGTTTGTTACATGGAATATACATTTCAGATGAGGAATTAAGCGGAGAGACAGCTTTTAAGTGGTAACACTTATTTTCATCACATATTATAACATTTGGGGCAAAGCTGGTAAGCATATATCAAGTGGGATTATTTTTAAAGCATACTGTTACTTCAGGCTTATTGACTATATTAGTCAGGGATCTCTAGAGGGACAGAACTAATGGAATATATATATGTACACAAAGGGGAGTCTATTAAGTATTAACTCACCCAATCACAAGGTTCCACAAAAGGCCATCTGCAGGCCGAAGAGCAAGGAGAGCGAGTCCGAATTCTAAAACTGAATAACTTGGAGTCCAATGTTCAAGGGCAGGAAGTATCCAGCATGGAAGAAAGTTGTGGGCTGGGAAGCTGGGCCAGTCTCTTTTTCCACATTTTTCTACCTGCTTATATTCTAGCCATGCTGGAAGCTGATTAGATTATGCCCACCCAGATTAAGGGTGGGTCTGCCTTTCCCAGCCCACTGACTCAAATGTTAGTCTCCTTTGGCAACACCCTCACAGACACACCCAGGTTCAATACTTTGTATCCTTCAATCCAATCAAGTTGATACTCAGTATTAATCATCACATTGACCTTTCAGCTCTGGCCTGATGTTGTGCAAAGTGTTTTGCATGTACACCATCATTCCAATCAGTTTTCTCTAACTTGGTTTCTTATATTTTTATAACTACACCATGATTTTTAGTAACTTAACCATGATGCAGCTACCACCGTAAAGCAATTCTAGAACATTCTAGTTCCCTCAATAGGTTCCCTCATGCCCATTTAAAGTTAATCCCCAATATTAACCCCTGCCCCAGGTAATCATTAATCTGTCTGTCTCTGTAAATTTGTTTTTTTCTAGGCATTTTATACAAATGAAATCTTACAATATGTGGTCTCTTGTGTTTGGCTTTTTTCACATAACATGTTTTTGAGGTTCAGCCATAATGCTGCACATTTCAGTACTTCATTTTCATTTACTGCTGAATAGTATTCTATCATATGGATATACCACATTTTGTCTCCATTGGATATTTAGGTTGTTCCCAGTATGGGGCTAATATGAATGAACCTGCTGTGAATATTATTGTACACATCTTTCTGTAGATATATGCTTTCATTTATCTTGAATAGATATCTAGGAATAAAATTGCTCAGTGGCATGGAGCCATTGGTATTCTTAAAGATAGATTTTGTTTTCTACAGCAGGAAAGATGTTGATTGTATTTAAATAAACCAAATCCATCTTGACATACTGTCCCAGATACAGAGCTCCTATCTAAAGATGTAGCTAGAAATTTCTATATATTATACTAGATAATATATAAAACATGATATACTATATAATATGAGAGAACTTCAAAATGTTTATGTAAATGCATATTATTGAAAAACTATGCATGGGTTTCAAATTTTGTTTAAACCCAAATAAACTTGTACTAACATGTTATAACTTTTCTGAATAGGATCTTCTTTGAGGCACCAAGAAGGATAAGACATCAGTTTGAAAACAGCCCCTATCAGAGCAACATGAATGCTGCTACAATTGAAGTAAAAAAGACATTACATTTATGATGAAGCTTGAGTGAAAAAATTGTGAAATAATTGATACTTTATGAAAAGTTTATGAGGACAAAGCCCCAAATAAATCAGCAGTTTGCAAATGGATAACTCCTTTTAAGAAGGAATGAGACAATGCCAAAGATGAAGTCTGCGGAAGTAGAACATCCACATCCATTTGGGAGGAAAGAATTAATCTTTTTGTTCCCCAATTGAAGAGGACCAGTGATTAACAGAATAAACAATAGCCAACCCATAGACATCTCAATTAGTTCAGCTTACACAATTCAGACTGCAAAATTAAAGTTCAGCAGACTTGCCACTCAATGGGTGCCAAAATCGTTGTGCCCAGATCAGCTGAAGACAGGAGCAGAGCTTTCAATGGGAATTTTAAACAAGTGAGATACAACATACTGAAGCATTTCTTCAAAGAACAGGAGGAGATGAAACATGGCTTTACCAGTATGATCCTGAAGACAAAGCACAATCACAACAATGGCTACCAAGAAGTGGAAGTGATCCAGTTAGAGCAAAAGCAGACTGGTCAAGAGCAAAGGCCAGGGCAACACAGAGGATGCTCAAGGCATTTTGCTTGTTGACTTTCTGGAAGGCCAAACAATGATGACATCTGTTTATTATGAGAGTGTTTTCAGAAGATTAGCCAGAGCTTGAGCAGAAAAACACCCAGAAAACTTCACCAGTCTTTCTCCATCATGACAATGCTCCTGGTCATTCCTCTCATCAAACAATGGCAATTTTGTGAGAATTTCAATGGGAAATCATTAGGCATTCACCTTATAGTCCTGACTTAGCACTTTCTGACTTCTTTTTGTTTTCTAATCTTAAAAAATCCTTAAACGGCACCCATTTTTCTTCAGTTAAAATATTTTTTAAAAGAATGCATTGACATGGTTAAATTCCCAGACCCTCTGTTCTTTAGGGGTGGATTAAATAGCTGGTATCATTGCTTACAAAAGTGTCTTTAATTTGATGAAGCTTATGTTAGAAATAGGTTTCTATTTTTTATTTTTATCTTTTAATTTCATTTTCCACAAACTTTTGAAGTCTCTTCACATATAAGTAATACATTATGACATATTATATAAACCATACATTACAAAATATATATACACCCACATATCTTATTTAATGGAAATGAATTGTTACCTGGCTTTTGTTTTTACAGGTGAAGGAAAGGATCTTGGTACTATGAGAGTCAAAGGTTGTGGAATTGAATGTTGTGAACTATCTGCTCTGGCTTCCCTGGGGAAATGTGTAAGTCATTATTAGAAGTTGAATATGACTTAGCTAGACAAAGGGTAACTTAGAATAACGTTTCAGAATGTGAGAGTCCCTGTGACAGGAAGCAGCATGAAGATTTTGAAGAATGGAAAGAAAGACAATGTGGCTGGTGTATGGCCTATGAGAAGACCAGGTGAGTGTAGGCCATCAAAGTTTTGGTCTTGTTCCTAAAATCACTGAGAATCACTGAAGGAATTTTAGCAGACAGAGGAGAAAATCAGATACTCTCTGCACTGGAAAATAGTAATTGGTCAAGATTTGTAGTGAATTCTTAGAGACCATTTATAATCTAGCTGATTTTTTTTCACCTAGATATTTTATTCGTAAGATATTTATCATGTTGATGTACTGAACAGGAAAACATACTGGTGATTGCTGGTTTGTTATGTGCCCTGTACTCAAGGAGGGCATTGGTAGAAACACAATGAGTATTCCCTAAATATTTGACAACAGATCAATTAGCAAAAATGGTCATGAAAATGTAAAATCAGTTACAAAGCATGAAAACAAATATACAAACTTTGTAATTAATATAATTGTATACTTCACAATGAACAGAACAAAGCTATACTAGGAACTCTTGGCTATATGCAATATTGTCCTTTGGGTAACTTTAATTTACAAACATTTCCATATATATATAATTATTGATGATAGTAATAACATTATTGACTACCACTTCTTTAATGTCAACTGTGCTAGCTACTCAAACTACTTTACATAGCTTACTCTCAAAATAACACTATCGAGTAGTCATTTTTAACCCTATTTATAAGATGAGAAAACTAAGATTCAGCAAGATGAATTGTCTTACGCAAAGTCTCACAGGTAATAAAATGGAATGGGCTTTCCAGCAGTGTTCCATGTATAACCACAGGAAGTATCCTTACTAGATATACTGTTTTGCCCCCTCCTAAGCACTTTGTAAAGCATATGTTACATATTCCAAAAGCATTTCTATAAAAATAGAATCTAAATCAAAAGCCAAGCTTTTATTACACTTCTTCGGGCTCTCTACCTTGGATGAAGTAATGCGTACAAAGAAAATATAGTAACCTATGCTGTCATTAATAAGTAAATGGACCTTTAGAAGCGAGCAATTTTTTTCCCTTCCTGCCTATCAGTTTGACAAGGCCAACTATTTAATTGGCAATTTGTTATATGTTTAAAATTTATCTTAAGGTTATAAAATTGGGAAAAGATGAATAGAATGAAAGGCAAATGACTTCCAGATGAAATAAGATGGAAGCACTCAAGGTAAAGAAAGGAATTATGCTGGATTCTACAATTAAAAGGAAATAATGCATTCTCTATATTAAAGATAAGATTGTATTTACATTACATGATATCCCTCCATGTTCCTCTACATGTTAATATTATTCCAAGAATAGAATATTTCTTGCTGTCACTTAAGAAAAACAGATTTTCCCCAGATTTAGCAATGGATTTTAGAAGCTGAAAATCATAAAACTTATTGACTTTTCATCTAATGATATTCATGGTCATAAACTAGGCAATATTCCTGATGAGAAAAAAATTACTCATTGTGGCTCTTGTTTCCTTTTTTATTAAAAGAAATATATATAGTGCTTGAAACACAAGTTAATTTTAAAATTCTATGTTAGACTTTGCCAGTGGGCTTTTATGCAAATGGCCAGTTGCAGACATAACTAAACAAGAGAGAAACATGCTAACAGAGTTCACTTCAGCAATGCCAATGAATGTTCCTTGTGACACTAAATAATGACAGATGGTTACCTCCTTAGTGACAGTTGCTAACTAAAATGGCCTGACCCTTAAAAAAGAGCACTTTCCTAATGACATGAGTGCCCTTTTCTAAAAATTATTTGGACATCATCCTTTTTGTAATCAAACTATTAATGTGCATACTGAGTTATCTTAAAAAGGAGTTTCTCAACTTGACCTCATGTTTATAGGTGATCCATAAGAATTGTAGTAGTATATGTGTGTCCTGTTCTTACAAAGATGTCCATGCATGTGCACCATTTTTCTTACATTATTGCCATGTGATACATTTTAAGGACCCATTCATAGAATGAGTAAAAAGACACAATATCTGATACATTGCATAAAATAATTAAATAACTATAGAGAGCTGATCATGCCAAGATAAATAGTCCACAATAAACATCATGATTCTGATTGAAGATACTTGTCAATGCTTCCTCATTTAATTCATTTCACTCATGCTCTTATACACCAAGGTGCCAGCCTACAAACATATGGTTAGGTTAAGAAACATACTGTTTTGGGCAGCCTCCTAGATCCATATCCCCCATTTTCTTGTCACCTCTATCCTTGGAGAGGGCCTGCCTGCTTGTACTTTATAATGGCATGTGGCTTTATTCATTGATCTTGTTACCCTCTCCACCACTGGCTCATTGTCTGGGTTTCCCTGGTTTATCATGACAGTTTTCAAAAACTTTATATCTGACCACCCTGTTCTCCTAGTGGCACTGTGTTCTTCATGAAAATTTCCCTACCCCTTTCCAAAGAACTTTTAAGTAAGGTCTCACTATTTTTTTCTCTCATCCCTCAATCTAAAGAAATCCCAACTCATTGGCACAGAGGCAAAATGACACTCACAAATGCCAGAACAGAATTTAAACCAAGCAGGAGTTGTGAAAGCACAGATTTAAGAGTTAAAATTAATTTTTATACTTTCATTTTCAGTGTACCTCCTGGATTGTCTATGTTGATAAAAACAGCTGTGAAGGGGTAACTCTAGGCAATTGTTTGCAAGACGTATATATGCCTTAGTTAGAGATGGATTTATAAATTTGTCCTAAAATTACCATACTTATTACGAGAATTAGTATCTCTATTTCTTAAAAGTTATTTTCACATTTTCTCAAATAACTATAAATCTATGTTTCCATAACAAAGCCACAATTATGAAAGTAGAAATCATTAAGTTGTAAATAATAGAAGTAAGAATAAGTAAATTCTAACTAACAAAGGCAAATATTGTAAAAATCTTAACCAAAAATAATATTACTGGGCATAAATAAGCAGCTTACTTATAACTTGAAATGACTTAACTAATAGTTTGAAAATTTGAAACCTTTATGAATATTTTTTATGTAGAAAGCTGAAACTGGATCCCTTCCTTACACCTTACACAAAAATTAATTCAAGATGGATTAAAGATTTAAATATTAGACCTAAAACCATAAAAACCCTAGAAGAAAACCTAGGCAATACCATGTACGACATAGGCATGGGCAAGGACTTCATGACTAAAACACCAAAAGCAATAACAAAAGCCAAAAGAGACAAATGGGATCTAATTAAACTAAAGAGCTTCTGCACAGCAAAAGAAACTATCATCAGAGTGAACAGGCAACCTACAGAATGGGAGAAAATTTTTGCAATGTACCCATCTGACAAAGGGCTAATATCCAGAATCTACAAAGAACTTAAACAAATTTACAAGAAAAAAATCAAACAACCCCATCAAAAAGTAGGCAAAGGATATGAACAGACACTTTTCAAAAGAAGACATTTATGCAGCCAACAGGCACATGAAAAAATGCTCATCATCACTGGTCATGAGAGAAATGCAAATCAAAACCACAATGAGATACCATCTCACACCAGTTAGAATGGCGATCATTAAAAAGTCAGGAAACAATAGGTGCTGGAGAGGATGTGGAGAAATAGGAATGCTTTTACACTGTTGGTGGGACTGTAAACTAGTTCAACCATTGTGGAAGACAGTGTGGCGATCCCTCAAGGATCTAGAACTAGAAATACCATTTGACCCAGTGATCCCATTACTGGGTATATACCCAAAGGATTATAAATCATGCTACTATAAAGACACATGCACACGTATGTTTATTGTGGCACTATTCACAATAGCAAAGACTTGGAACCAACCCAAATGTCCATCAATGATACACTGGATTAAGAAAATGTGGCACACATACACCATGGAATACTATGCAGCCATAAAAAAGGATGAGTTCATGTCCTTTGTAGCGACATGGATGAAGCTGGAAACCATCATTCTGAGCATACTATCGCAAGGACAGAAAACCAAACACCACATATTCTCACTCACAGGTGGGAACTGAACAATGAGAACACTTGGACACAGGGTGGGGAACATCACACACTGGGGCCTGTTGTGGGTTGGGGGAATGGGGGAGGGATAGTATTAGGAGAAATACCTAATGTAAATGACAAGTTAATAGGCGCAGCAAACCAACACGGCACATGTATACATATGTAACAAACCTGCACGTTGTGCACATGTATCCTAGAACTTAAAGTATAATAAAAAAAGGAAAAAAATAAAAACATAATTTAAAAAATGAGGAATGTGACCTTTTATGGATATGTAAGAGTTGTACATATTTATGGGGTACATGTGATTCTTTGATACATGCATACAACGTGTAATGATCAAATCACGGTAACTGGGATATCCGCCACCTCAAATATTTGTCATCTCTTTGTGTAAACATTCCAGATATTCTCTTCTAGTTATTTTGAGTTATACAACACATTTTTGTTAACTATAGTCATCCTGCTCTGCTATTGAACACTATAACTTATTCCTTCTAACTGCATGTTTGTACCCATTAATAAATCTCTCTTCATCCCCCTCCTCCACACCCTCCCAAGCCTCCTGTACCTATCATTCTACTCTCTAACTCCAAGCAGTCAAATTTTTTAGCTTCCACATTTGAGTGAGAACACGTGATATTTGTCTTTCTGTGCCTAGCTTATTCCAGTTAACATAGTGATCTCCAAAAATGCAACATTTTGTTGAAAATAAGGGAACTGCTTAGCTAGATTGTCAAAGTCAAAGATATAATTTTTACATTTTCTAAGGTTGCACAGACAAAATCTCAAGTACAAACTGTTTGTTAAAATAATTTTTTAAAATTAGAATATATAAAAATTTATAGCTTAAATTTATAACATAATTATTTTAAAGATCACAGGAAACTTGTAACAGATAACAGTCATTGAGTGTTTTCTTTGTGCTATGTACTGTTAATAATCCTAGGAGATGACATTAAATAACTGAAATAGAGAGAAATTAATAATTTTCCTCAAGCTTCACAATTCCAGAAATCACTCTGCCCAGAGTATAACTCTTGTCACCATTTAAAAAAATAGTTGCAGTTTCCTCATCTGTTAGATATTGTGAGAATTCTAAAAATAAATTGTATTGTGTATATTTAAGGTATACAACATGATATTGTAAGATATATGTATGTAGTAAAATGGTTACTATATTCATCATCTCATAGTTACTTGTTATACCCCCCATGGCAAGAGCAGCTGTGACCTGATCATTTTGCAAAAAGTCTAAGTACAATACACTATTATTAAATATTGTCTTCATGTTGTGCACTAGATCTTTTGAATTGTTCATCATACGTATTTGCTATTTGGGGTAGGAGAGAGAAAATGGGGATACGTAGGTAAAAATATCATGAGAACTAAATGAGACAACTCATGCAAAATATTTAGATTATGATTGGTTAAAAAAAAAAAGCTTCTGATAATCCTTAGGTATTATACGACTCTAGTTAACCAGTAGATATTATTATAGAACTTAAGGCCACTCAAGATAACTCAAGATACTCAAGATATCATATTCCTGTATAGATCTGAGAATTAGTAAACTGATTTGTTTGTTTGTTTTGACATAGTCTTGCTCTGTTGCCCAGGCTGGAGTGCAGTGGTGCAATCTTGGCTCACTGCAACCTCTGCCTCCCGGGATCAAGTGATTCTCCTGCCTCGGCCTCTGAGTAGCTGGGATTACAGGCGCCCGCCACCACGCCTGGCTAATTTTTGTATTTTTAGTAGAGATGGTGTTTCACCATGTTGGCCAGGTTGGTCTCAAACTCCTGACCTCAAGCGATCTGCCCAGCTTGGCCTCCCAAAGTGCTGGTATTACAGGCGTGAGCCACTGCACCTGGCCTGATTTTTTTTTTTTTTTTGACATGTTGTACCCATCTTGCTTATCTTTCCATATGCTGGTTAATTGGGCTTTGAAGGGGAGGAAAGAGCAGATGACTGTTAGACAAATCCATCATGCACAGTCAGTTCTCAGCCACGTATGGTAGTCTGGAAGCTAAATTTTTGTGTGCATTCCCCCAAATTTGATTAGTCTCTCAGGGATGAATTCCTGTTTGTCCAGCCTCTTCTGAATCCATTACATTTGTATATTTACAGATAATACAGGTAGGTGTGTGATTTGAAGATATGGCAATGAAACATTTGATAGGGAATTAGATATTCACTAGAGTGGATTATATCATCTGCTATTTGAACAGTACTAGATGAAACTAGATATCAAATTCTCACTTTCTGTAATACTTCTCTGTTCATGTGTATTTGTGGGTGTGGAGAATCCCTGCTTTGCTAAGTCAGCCTCCCTGAGGGATGAAGTAGCCTCTTGCTCCTGGCTACCATAACACTTTCAGCCAGAGACAAATTCAACCATTCATAAATCTTCAATTTACATAATTCTGATTTCAAGGGATGTCATGCTTCAAATCCCATTTAGAGTCAGTTACCAGCAGAAGTCCAAGTTTTTCACGTCATCCATCCTCCTGTGACACTAATCCCCATCCTGCTCTTCATGCCTCTTAACATGCCCTCATTCCCTACATCTGTTCATGCTCCCAAACCATCTATGTGCCTTTGAAAACTGATGGTCTGTAATTAACAAACCTTCTAAAAATCTTCACCTACTTCTCTAAAACTTCCCTTCACTTTCTTGCTCTAACTCAAAAGTCATTACTTCCCTTCAAAAGTTATGCCTTCCCTTCAAGTGACGAGCTTTCCCTCTAAGGTCCAGTAGGTATACTGTATATGGCTTGTTTTCCATTGCTATTTCTAAAAGATCTATTCTCATTCCTCCTGTTTTATGAAATGTCTTTCATTAGAATTTATTACTCATTACAGTTGTTGCTGAGAGTCATAGCACCTCATCATCTAATTCACTCTTTCCTTTCTTATCACAAGTCTGTTTCCATGCTTCGCATCTTCAACACCACATAAGTGTGCAATGTGCTCAACTCTCAGTTCCTTGGCCTTCTTAGCTCTAATGATCTTGCTTTCCATTTTACTTCAGCCACTTATTTCCACAGTGATACTTCAAATTTGGTTATGGTCAATAAACTACTTCTAAATATCCTAGTCTTTGAATACATCTAAATATCCTATTCTTTGAATACTCTCTGATTCCTACTCCTACTCTTTACCTACTCTATACTGCTGTACAACATTTGAAGATCAGATCAAAAGTTGTGATCCACTGTACCTACCCATTTTTACCTATCACCCTTAAATACCATTAATTCCATTCTTACGAAGCACAGAATCCTTGGTCTGATAAAACATGTACTGCTTTATAAATAGTCTCAATTCTCTTCTACCTCTTTCCCTAGCAAAATGCCAATTAAGCCCCAACACATCTTGGGAAAAAAATCACTTAACTGTAATCAATGGATGTGTTTCAAATATATTAACATAAATCTCAAGATGCTTTCCTAATTAAGCTCATTTCTCCATTCTGCAAGATGTGTTTTATACCTTTTCTTCTCTCAGCACATCTGCAACACTTCTACCACTGACATTCTTCTTTACTGATGATCTCACCAAAAAAGTCATTGAGAAAATGTTGTAATCAGCTAAGAATGCCATAATTCCATTATTAATTCCACACCACTGCATGTCTGTCTAATTCACATCTGCCAATTTTCTATCTGTTACAATGCAAACAGTATTTTGGTTCATATAAGGCTGACCCCTCCACATGTGCTTTGGACCTTTTCTCTCCTATCTTCTCAGGGAGTTTGAGTTGTCTTTTATATCCATTTATCTTCTATTACATTAGACGTTAAAGATATTTACAAAAAAAAATAGTAAGACAATACCACTCTTCCAATTAATGTATTTTAAAAATAAACTTCAAGGTTCCCATTTAGGATGCCACATCACATTTAGTTGTCATGTCACCTTAATCTCTTCTTGGGTGTGACAGTTAGATATTTTTTCCTTAATTTAAGACTCTGTTATTTTTGTTAACATGTAATCAGTTTATTGTTATTTTTAATAAATTAATAAGTAACATATTTAAATTTTATCACCTTTAATTTCTATATGACAAATATATAATTGGCATAATCAAAAGCTCTTTAGTGTTCTCAATAATTCATAAGAGAGAAGTTTCCTGAGACCAAAAAGTCTAGGAACCACTTCCCTAGAGTATAGTAGAGAAACAAGACTGAAAGAATCTGGATATTTGAATCAGTTTTCCACTAGCCTAGAATGCTCACACAGTTATGTCAGAGAGCAGTACACTTCTCTAAGCTATTGAACACGTAAAGTTTCTTTTTTAAAACCACTTACAGTTTACCCTTGATGATTGCTCATCCTGCAACAAAGACCTTCCAACATAGTGTCATTTTTTTTTTTGAATACTTACTCTAAGCAAGGGACTGGGATGAGTGAGTATACAACAAGGAAAAAGAAATAGACACATTTCTTGCTCTCAACAAACCTAGAGAAAATCAACTAAGTTGCTATGAAGGGAAAACTACAAAATGTGATGGGAACAGAAGGCAGGAGCACATTCCCGTGGCATCAAAAGTAAAAAAAAGGCCTCTCAGAGGAAGTGAAATCTAAAATAAAATCCAATAGTTGAGAAGAGATTAGGTCTAAGTACTGAGCTGAAGGCTGGGATGATGGTAATAAAGAAATGGGATACAGTGAGATATTTTTTAATGGAAATGGGAGCAGCATGTATCAAAGACTTGAGGGGAAATAACATATTTGAGGACTTGTAATATACATTGTAATTGGAGGGATTGGCAAAAATGGTATTAAGAAGGGTAAGCAATAGACAGAGAATGATGGAATAAACCTAAAGGTTTAGAGATTTATTATGGAAAAAGTTAGTCATTAAAATATTTTGAGCAGGCCAATGGCATTATTCAAATTGTATACATAAAAGCTCTCTTAACCTGAATTGTGGCAAATGGTGGAAAATGTACCAGATGGATAAAGATTAGTTAAAAAGCTGTAGCAATAATTAATTCAAATGAGCATTAACCATGGGCTCAACTTTGGAGTTGACAGTGAAGATGGAGATAAGCAAAAAGATTCATATAAAACTTGAAATATACGACTTGGTAATTTATTAAATGTGGAGAACGAATCAAGATAGAAATCAAATATGCTTTCCAAAGATCCGCCTTCAGCAATTAATTACATGGGGATGCCATTCACTAAGCTAGAAACATAGGGTTGGGAGGCAAATTATGGGAGTCAATATGATGATCTCACTTTTGAACATGACAATTTTCATGGGTCAGTCAAACAAGGAAATGGGGTTGTCTGAAGTAAGTAAGTGCATCTCTAAGGCAAGAAAAATGTGGACTAGAGAAATAACATGGTGTTGTCAGCCTAATGATAAAAACTAAACACCCATGAGTGAATGAGACTGACCAGGAGAGTGTGAAAATATAATCAAGGTACAGCAGAGAGCTTAGAGTAACTCTAGCAGTTGAGGTCAAGCTGCAAATGAGCTCTTAAAATGCTCCTTCTCTCTAGATATCATCTACATTATTATGATATCTTTATTTCCTACAGAGTATTTATCATTATTTGAACTTATATTACTTGTTTGTTTATATGATTTGACCCTACCACTAAAATGTAAATTCCATGGGAGCAAAAAATTTGTCAATTTTTAAATTTGTTTATTCATCATAGGTCCTAGTGCCTGGGAAATATCAGGCATCTATTAAACCTTTTTTTTTTTTAAATGGTGTTATTAAATATATGAGAGAAAAGAGGAGGAGGAGGAAGAGGGGGAGGAGGAGGAGAAGAGGAGGAGGAGGAGAAGAGGAGGAGGAGGAGGAGAAAAAAGGAGAGGAGGAGGAAGGGAGGAAGGGTGGAAGGAAAAAATTTGAGAAGAATAAAACAGGGCCAGGTGCGGTGGCTCACGCCTTGTAATCGCAACACTTTGGGAGGCCGAGGTGGGCGGATCATGAGGTCAGGAGATAGAGACAATCCTGGCTAACACGGTGAAACCCCGTCTCTACTGAAAATACAAAAAATTAGCCGGGCGTGGTGGGGGGCGCCTGTAATCCCAGCTACTCGGGAGGCTGAGGCAGGAGAATGGCGTGAACCCGGGAGGCAGAGCTTGCAGTGAGCCGAGATCGCGCCACTGCGCTCCAGCCTGGGCGACAGAGCGAGACTCCGTCGCGGGGGAAAAAAAAAACACACACACACACAGAAATGTAGAAGAAAATCAGGAAAGTGTGATACTAAGGAAGCCAATAAAAGGCATTCAAGAGAGATGTGGTCAGCAGTGTCAAAAAGCTGTGTATTTAATCATTGTATACTTACATTTCATATAGTGCAAGCCATAGAATAGACCATCCGTAAATATTATGAATGCCATGAATATGGAAAGTATATATTGATTTAGCAACAATAATTTTTTTCAACATACAAATCTCTAGTCAATAGTCTGCATGAGAAGTATCTCTGAAATACACAGAAATATTTTCTGCTGTATCAGTAATTAATTGATATATAAACAAATGTAAAACATTAGCAATAAAGCATCCTGGTTATATCTTTGAAGATGTCCATCTCTTGATTTTTGCTGTTTTATTTTCTAGTTATTGTGCCCCAAGTTTTTTGAGGTCAAATCTAATGTGGTCTTATTACAACTATAATTCTCTACTCCCTTTTAGCCATAAATAGACTCATGACCTCAACCAGATCAATTAGGATCTGTTTCCTGGTATTCTGAATCTCAAAAAATAAGTGATGCAAAGATAATGCCAACGAAATTTGGAGCTGTTTCATTCCAGCTGTGGTATTCAAGATGAGATCAAGAAGTACTTCCTGCTATCTTGAACTCCAGAGCATCCATAGTTTCTGCCCCTTCCATGCTGACTTTTCAGTAGTTCCTTTACCTTTTTCACATTCTTCATACCCCTTCTAATTTTTGCTTATGCTAACTTGCTAACTAGGCATCTTCTAATGTTTGTGACTGAAGAAAACAAACTGATCCATCATCTTTTTTAAAAAATGGCATTGCTCTTTTTATAAAAGATTATTTTGCCTATTTAGGGTCCCTTCAGATTTCACATGAATTTCTGAATTAATTTTCTATTTCTGAAAAAATAGAAAAAAGGTTGTTGGGATTTCGGCAGGAATTTCATTGAATCTCTTTCTCAACATTCTCGAATAATGAATGACTGTCTTACCTGGATTTATCAATTTTTCATATTTTCCAGATGCACTGCAATTGTGATTATGAGAGATAATGCAGATAAAAAATACAAAAAATCATTACATGGATAAATTTAAGAAAGTCACATTAAGAGAGAATGATGAACTATTGTGTTTAAGGCTACATCTCTTACTTTTAAAAATGATAATCAGTGAAAGAATGATATCTCCTCTCATAATATTTCCTCCAAGATCTCTATCGGATGTCTCCATTGGGACAACAGAGAGTTTTGACAGTATATAGAATAATTCGAATCTTGCATGGCAATTTCTAAGTTCTTACTGCAAATATTTTCAGAAGTAAATATATTCCAACCAAGTTATTTTAGTAAATAGAATTCTACCAAATGTGCCAAACTTTGGTGAAAAAAAATCCTTTGAGATGATATAAGAGTTTTAAAAATATTTAAATATTATTGAATTTGTTAACATGAGGTTGATATTACAATGGAAGGAACTGACTTAAGATGTTTTTTGTAATCACACACACACTCCCCTACACAGGGCAGCTCAGTATTGCATATTGCATAAATACTTCTCTTGAACTATGAGTAAAGTCACAGAATTTTAGTACAAAATAATGAAAACTAATTCAAAGAATTCAGTGCCAGGATCCTTGCGTTCCTGCCCAGATCTGTCATGAAAAACCTGAGGAATTTTGGGAACGTCACTTGTCATTAAACTTTTTAGAACCTCTTAATTTGTTAAATGTAGAGGTAGAGAGGAGGGTAGTAGTTAGATTATCTAAAACTTTATTTTATTGCTCTTATTGCGTAGCATTTTCCAAAAAATTCTTTCTTTAGAACCGATTCATAAATGGAAGCACCATCTGGTGTCACAAAAGGGAATTTCAGGTAAAGTTTTATTTACCTCTGCAAAAAATAGTGTCACTAGTTTATGGTAAATGAAAACAATGTATCAGAATGTGTCACATATTACCTTAACAAATATTCATTCAATTATATTCAAAACCCCACCATATGAGCATTAAATGTACAGCCTTTAAATTGTTTTACTAAATTTTCCATGTTTTGTTGTAATATTATTATTCTAATATCAGCTTGGAAGCTGATCTGAACTGACCATTCATTTGGGAGATGTTTTATTTAAATAAAATATTATTAAATTCATGAATTAAAATAAATTATTCTTTCAAGGTACTTTTTAATCTCTAATCACCTAGTTGTGAATCATTAAAATGTCTGAATAAAAGATGCCATTGAGTGTTATAAAAAAATAAATGAATGCTGCTGGGCACAGTGATTTAAGCCTATAATCCTAGCACTTTGAGAGGCCAAGGCAGGAGGATCCAAGGGCCAGGTGTTCAATACTAGCCTGGGCAACATAGTGAGACCCTGTCTGTACAAAAATTCTAAAAAACTCAGCCTGACATTGTGACACACACCTGTAGTCCCAGATACTTGGAATGCTGAGGCAGCAGGATCACTTGAACCCAGGAGTTCAAGGTTGCAGTGAGCCATGACTGCACCACTGCACTCTAGCCCGGGCAACAGAGCAAGACCCTGTCTCTTAAAAAACAACAACAAAAAATAATGCTTAAATGTGTTTTGGAGTGGTTCAAATCACTCATTTTAACCTTTTTGTCCAATCTATTTTTTAATTTGGATAACCATAACTGAGGCACTAGCATAGGTTTATTTCTAAATAACCTAATTTCTCTGAATCCTACATACTAGAAGAAATGAAGTGAAATATTTAAATGAGGACATTTACATGCACGTGAATTATCTTCACGATATGGAGTTAATAGATTCCTATTGTTTTAAAGAGTAGGGGACTGAAAGAGTTATTGCCATGTTGGGAAAAAATAAAGATTAGAGTTATCCAACACTAACTTAACTTACCTTTTGAGAAAATCTGACTTCATGAGCTAAAAGGAATGAAGATAGAATCCATTGATTTTTTCATTAATAATTAAGCAGCAATCTTTTAGATTTACTCTCCTGGAATTTACTACAGCAATAGCAGAAGAAAAACTACCTTGTATATCTTTACAAGCCTTAAAAATAGAATTTTAAACTGCAAATAGTGTAGCACTAAAACATTTTAACCAGTTTGGCTTCAGCAATGCCATAATAAAAACTAAAACAGATTAATTAATGATAGTTATAAAGCATTTTAAATTCAGAATTAAATTTAGCAAGTAATTAGTCTGAAACATGTGCAAAGTATATTTTAAAGGATGTTTGACTATAATCAATCATCAGGTGTCTATTTGCCTGTAAAGATGAAGCACATTCTAGCATTTAACCACCTGTCAGTCAACATTATTTATTGAATACCTGCTCTGTATGGAATAGTTAACCTTAAAACAAATCAATCATACAAAAGTCAAAATTTTAATACTAAATACAAGTAAATGAAAGCACTTACATCAACTTCTGGTCAACAATTTAATAGAAAGTACCTTTATCACTTTGCATTTCTATTATGTAACTACTCTTGGAATGTATTATTTGCCTATACCATGAAGCTAATAATTTAGGTTTTTTAATGAGAAAGTTGAAATATCTTCTGCAAGTATCCTGTCAGCAACTGTCATGTAGCTAGGCTCATCCCACGATCTCCACACAACATTGTAGTAGAAGAATTTTCCTGAATAGATTAATAAGTTGTTAAAGGATTACCACTGACCTACTACCCAATTATCCTTAAATAAGAAGTACTGCAGTAACTTCTGTGTGTCACATAATGTCATTCTGAGCAAGCATTGTAATGAAATCCTCACTTGGTTAATTTTTTTAGATGTGGACATATTGTTTTTATTTTAGGTTTCTAGAAGTTTCTGTCAATGTCCCATGTATGTATTAGGCACTTAAATATATCTTAGATCTTTTATTTACTTTGCTACTGCCTCCAGCTTAAAATGCCACTAGAAAACAATATTAGAAAATTATATAATATGGGTTATTGGAATAAAAGTATCTTCACTCCAAAAGTGAGGGTACTGGAAAAAAAAAGCTTGAAATTTGAAAAGAGGGAGGCTTAACTATTTTAGTTGAAGCCAGGATAAAAGGAAGGAAGAAAGAAAGGAAGAGGCGAAAGAAAGGAGGGAAGGAGGAAGGAGAAAAAATGAGAGAAGGAGGGGGAGTGAGGAAGAAAAAGAGAGGTGGAAGGAGGAAGAGATACATGCTCTAAATTTCTAAAGTGCCTCAAAATAATCTTAATATTAAACAAAAATAGTTACATAGAAGAAAATAATTTTCGGTCATACTTTCATCTTATTTAACCTTTAAGTAAGGGATTTTAACATATTTTGATCTACCAAAGTTAAATATATCCAGACAACAGAAAGAACATTTATAGATATAAAGTAAGTTTTTGCCAAAGATTGAGAAGATTAAAATTATATTGCCTAAATTATCATGTTCTTATATTCTGCTTTATAGTTGTAAAGACTGTAGCTTAAAAAGAAAACAATTGGGTAAGTAGACATTGCACCCATTTTCGTAGTTAAAATTGTTCAAGATAATAATCAAAAAGAAGCCAAATGGAAATGTTGGTAAACTTGTACATAAACATGTTTTCATTTCATAGATCAGTGTTGCTGCTATTCTTTATTGGCCTGTTACTGCTGTTATTAGAGAATGTTTTTCTATGTTCTTAAGGACGGTTATATGTTATATGTCTCCCTACACACAAAGTGGTAAATGAAGCTAAGCATGAACTGATAAATTGAAATTCATTTAAAAAAAAACGCTTATTCTTGTAGGTTATGCCTAGAAAAATTAAATCTATAACAGTGTAGAAATTAAAAATGTAATATGTCCATTTTGGTGTGCCCTTTAAATGTCAATTAAAAGTTATTGAGAATATTCTTTAAATCTTATTTATATATTTTTAGCTCTTTAATTGGTTGTGTACACATTTAGGATTATCATGTTTTCTTGATTGTTTAATCCTCTAAGCACTTTGAAACACCCTTCTTTATCTCTGGTAATATTCTATGTTTTGAAGTCTACTTTGTCTAATACAAATATAGCCACTGTAATTCCCTTATGACTATTGTTTGCATGATATGTCCTTTTCCATCTTTTTAATTGTATTTGTATATTAATATTCATCTTTTGAATTCTACACATACTTGTGCCTGTTTGACAAGACAGTTTTATGAAAATCTTGTGTGGAAAGTACAAGGAGTTCCCATATTCCTCCTTCCCACCTCCCCTAGTTTCTCCTATTATTAACATACTGCATTAGTATGAAATATTTGTATAATTAATGAACCAATATTGAAATATTATTAATGAAAATCTATAATTTACACTAGGTCTCACTCTATGTTGTATATTGTAAGGTTTTTCACAAATGTATAATAACATACGTCTACCACTACAGTTTTATATATAATAATGTCACTGCACTAAAAATCCCTCGACATATTCATCTCTCTCTCCATCCTTCTGAACCCCTGCAACCACTGATCTTTTTACTGTTTCTGTAGTTTTGTCTTTTACATTATCGCATTTAGTTATACAGTATGTGGCCTTTTCAAATTGGCTCTTTCACATAGCAATATGCATTTAAGTCTCCTCCATATAATTTCATGGCTTCATAGCTCATTTCTTTTTTTATCACTGAATAATATTTATTGTCTGCAGGTACCACTGCTTATATATTCACCTATTGAAAAATGTCATAGTTACTTCCAAGTTTTAGAAATTATTAATAAAGCTGCTATAAATATTCATGTGCAGATTATTCTGTGGTATATTAATCAGGCTTCTCCAGAGAAACAGAAAAAATAGGATGCATATATTTGTGTGTGTGTGTGTGTGTGTGTGTGTGTGTGTGTGTGTTTAAAGAGAGAGCGGGAGAGATGGAGGGGGAAAGAGAAGGAGATATTATTATAAGAAAGTGGCTCACATGATGATTATGTTATGAAGGGTGAGAAGTCTCAAGATCTTGTAAGAAAGTTGGAGATCCAGTAGAGCCTATGTGTATATCTAGTCTGAGTCCAAAGGCCTGAGAACCAGGAGAGCCAAAGGCATAATTTTCAGCCCAAAAGCTCAGAGGCTCAATACCCCAAAAGAGCCAATGTTTTAGTTTGAAAAGACCAACACCCCCAGCTTAGCCAGTCAGCAAGGAGGAGTTCCCTCTTACTCAGCTTTTTATTATATTCAGGTTTTCAGTTGATTGAATAAAGCCCACTCACATCAGGGAGGGTTATCTCTTTTACTCAGTTTACCTATTCATATGTTAATCTCATTCAGAAATATCCTCACAGACACACCAGGGATTATGTTTGGCCAAATGTATAGGCACCCTGTGGCATCTTCATTACTTCCAAGTTCCGGCAACTATGAATTAAGCTTTTATAAACATTTATAGGACAAATTGTGTTCAAACTGTCTTCAAAAGCAGCTGTATTATTTTGCATTTCCACCAGCAATGAATGAGAGGTCTTCTTGCTCCACATTCTCACCATGATTTCCTGTTGTCAGGACTTTAAATTTTAACCATTCTAATAGGTATGTACTGGTATCTTATTGTTGTTTTAATTTGCAATTCTCTATGACATGTGACCTTGAACATCTTTTCATATGCTTATTTGCTATTTGTATATCATTCTTGGTGCTGTATCTCTTCAGATCGTTTCCCCATTTTTTAATTGTTTTTCTTATTGTTAAAATTTAAGAGTTCTTAGCATATTTTGGATATCAGTCCTTTAATATATTTGTGTTTTAAAATTTTTTCTTCCAGTCTGTACTTTGTCTTTTCAGTCTCTTAACCATGTCTTTTTCAGGGCAGAAGTTTTCAATTTTAAGGAATACCAATTTATCACTTGTTTGTTTGCATAGGCTGTGCTTTTGCTGTTGTATTTAAGGGGTCATTACCAAACTGAAGGTCACCTATATTTTCTCCTGTTACATTCCAGGAATTTTACAGTTTTGTGTTTTACATTTAGGTTGATAGTAGGTATAAGTTAACTTTTGTGAAAGCTGTAAGATTTATGCCTAGTTGCATTGCCATTTTGCACATGAATATTCAGATTTTCTAGCACCATTTGTTTAAAAGACTATCATTTTCCTTTACTAATTGCCCTTCTTTATCAAAGATCAGTTGACTATATTTGCATGTGTTTATTTATAGGTTCTATATTCTACTCCACTGATAGAGTTGTCTATTATTTCACCAACACTATGCTATTATATCTTCATTATTATAGCTTTGTTGTAAATTTTTAAGTTGGGTAGTGTGGAATCTCCAACTTTGTTCTTCTCCAATATTGTAGTGGCTATTCTCTGTCCTTTGTCTATCCTTATAAATGTCAGAATCAGTTTCTTGATATCCACAAAATAATTTACCAGATTTTTATTGGGATTGAGTTGAATCTATAGAGCAATTTGGAAAGAACTGAAATCTTCACAATATTGAGTCTTCCTATACATGAACATAAAATACTTCTCCATTGACTTAGATCTTCTTGGATTTCTGTCATTAGAGACTTATAGTTTTCCTTATATAAACTCTATAAATATTTTATTAGATTTGTAACTATTTCAATTTTTGAAGCTAAAATAAGTAATATATTTTTAAACTTCAAATTACAATTGTTCATTGTTGATATTTAAAAAAGCAATGGACTTTTATATAATAACCTTGTGTCCTGCAACCTTGTTAAATCACTTATTAGCTAAGAGGGTTTTGTTGTTGTTGATTTTTTGGCATTTTTAAATGTAAATATAATGTCACCCATGAAAAGACGGTTTCATTTTTTTTCTTTCCAATCAGTACATCTTTCATTTTCTTTACTCATATTTTGCATCAGCTAGGAATACATGCATGATGTTGAATAGCTGTGGTGAGAGCAGATATCCTTGCCTTGTTTCTAACCTAACTTTACATCTTAAAGAACTAGAAAAACAACAAACTAAACCCAAAGCTATCAGAAGAAAAGAAATACTAAATATTAAAGTAGAGAAAAACAGAGAAGAGAAAAACAATAGAGAAAATCAACAGAACTTAAGATTTTGTTTTTCACAAACATTAACAAAATTCACAAAACTTTTACCAGATTTACCAATTAAAAAAAGAGGAGACACAATTAAAATTAGAAATAAAAAATGGGTCATTACAACTGATTATTTAAAAAAATAAAAAAGATTATAACAAATTACTATGAATGATGGCATGTTAACAAACTGGATAAACTGAAATGGGCAAATTCCTGGAAACACACAAAATATCAAGATGAAATAATGAAGAAATAAAACATCTAAACATGTCTATGATGAGTAAAGAGACTGAATGAGTAATCAAAACTTTCCAAAAGCCTGGGCACAGTGGCTTATGCCTGTAATCCAAGAATTTTGGGAGGCCAAGGTGGAAGGATCACTTGAGCCCAGGAAATTGAGGCTATGGTGAGATATGATCATAATGTTGCACTCCAGCCTGGGCAACAGAGTAAGACTCTGCTTCTAGAAAGTAAAATTAAAATTAAAAAATAAATAAAAATAATAAATCAAGACCTTCCAATAAAGAAAGGCACACGGGACCAAATGGTTTCACGAGAGAATTCTACCAAGCATTTCAAGAAGAATTAACACCAATCTTTGTAAAACTCTTCCAAAAAATTGAAAAAGTGTGAACGTTTCTAAACTCATTCCATAAGGCCAGCATTACCTTTATACAAAAGACAGACAAACACACTACAAGAAAAGAAAAATAAAGATAATTATCTCTCATGAATTATGATGCAAAAATTATCAACATACTACTAGCAAAACAAATTCTGTAATTTATTAAAAGAATTATACACCGTCACCAAATGGGATTTATTTCTGGAATGCAAGTGCAAGGTTGGTTTACCATATGAAAATCAATCAATGTAATATACCACATTAACAGAATAAAAAAAATCTACATGATCATCTCAATTGATGGAGAAAAAAGCATTAGGAAAATTCAATATCCTTTAATAATAAAAACACTCAAAAAACTAGGAATAGATAAAAACTATCTCAATATAATGCCACATATGAGAAGACCAACATTCAATGGTGAAAGACTAAGAGCCATTTCTCTAAGATTAGGAACAAGAAAAGGATAGCACTTTTGCCACCTCTACTCAACATGCTACTGTTAAGTCATAGCCAGGGCAATTAGGCAAGAAAAAAATAAGAAATTCAATTGTAGAGGAAGAAGTTAAATTTCCTCTGTATGCAGACAAAATGACATTATCCATAGAAAATCCTAGAGATTCCACAAAAATTTACAACTGATAAATGAATTCAGCAAAGTTGCAGAATACAAAATTAACATAAAAAACAGTTGTATTTCTGTATACTGACAATGAACACTCTGAAAAGGGAATTAACAAAACAATTCCAGCTCTGTGTCTTCAGCCTACTTAACATAAAGATGAGAATGAAGCCTTTGTGATTATCTATTTCCATTTAAGAATAATTGGAGATACACAAATGCAAATCATTATGGAGAATTTCCATTTGGTATCTAAGAGAGATGAAAATGTTTGCAATTTCCTAGAAGGAGGATTATTAATAGGAGGATGTGACAACAAACTAATTTATAGACATTATTCAACATTATATTTTCTCTTCTGTGTGGATTCTTCAGAAAGTAAACTTGGCATTTTTAGATCTAATTCAAAACAAAGTCAGTTGACTATACCCAACTTACACCAGAGTCAAACCCTCAAGAGTATCAAAGACTATAAAAGCAAAAACCCCTATCCAAAGGACAGCAACTTCAGAGATTAAAGGAACATCAACTGACACGGATGAGAAAGAACAAGCTCAAGAATTCTGGCAATTCAAAAAGCCAGAGTGGCTTCTTACCTCCAAATGACTGCAATAGCTCCCCAGTAATAATTTTTAACAAGGTTGAAATGGCTAAAATAACAGACATAGAATTCAGAACCTGGATAGGAATGAAGATCATCAAGATTCAGGAGAAAGTTGAAATCCAATTCAATGAATCTAAGAAATCCAATAAAGTTATACAAAAGCTGAAAGACAAAATAGCCATTTAAAGGAAGAACCAAAGTGATCTGATAGATCTGAAAAACTTACTACAAGAATTTAATAATACAATCAGAAGTACAAAGAGTAGAATAGATGAAGCTGGGGAAAGATTCTCAGGGCATGAAGACTGCTCCTTGGAATCAACATAGTCAGACAAAAAAAAAAAAAGAATGAGCAAAACCTCCAAGAAATATAGGATTATGTAAAGAGACTGAACTTACAACTCATTGGAAACCCTGAAACAGAGGGGGAGAAAGCAAGCAACTTGGTAAACATATTTAAGGATATTGCCCACAAAAATTTTCCCAACCTCATGAGAGAGGTCAACATGCAAATTCGGAAATTTCAGAGGTCATTTTTATAGTGTCCTATGGGACACCCACAAGACACATAATCATCAGATTCTCTAAGATCAATGTGAGAGAAAAAAATATTTAAGGCAGATAGAGAGAAGGGGCAAGACACCCACGTAGGGAACCCTATCAGACTAAGGCAGACCTTTTAGCAGAAACTTTACAAACTAGAAAAGATTGGGGGCTTATATTCAGCATTCTCAAGGAAAAGAAATACAAACCAAGAATTTTATATATGGCAAAATTAACCTTCATAAGTGAAGTAGAAATAAGATTGTTTTCACACAAGGAAATGCTAAGAAATTGTGTTACCACCACAACTGCTTTATAAGAGGTCCTTAAAGGATTACTAAACATGGAAATGAAAGACCATTACCGACCACTACACAAACATACTTAAGTACATAGAACATTGACACTATAAAGAAATGACAAAATCAAGTCTGCATAACAATCATCTAACAACATGATGACAAGATTAAATATGCACATATGAATATTATCAATATTGACATTGAATATAAATGGGCTAAATTTCCCCCATTTAAAAGGCAGAGAGTTGCAAGTGGATAAAGAAGCAAGACCCAATTGTATGTTGTCTTCAAAAGACCCATCTCACATGCAATGACACCCACTGGTCCAAAGTAAAGAGATGGAGAAAAATACTAAGCAAAGGGAAAACAAAAAAAAGCAAGGTTTGCTATTCTTATTTCACACAAAACAGATTTTAAACTAACAACAATCAAAAAAGACAAAAAAGGGCATTAAATTGAGATAAAGTGTTCAGTTAAACAAGAAGACTTAACTATTCTAAATATATATACACTCAACACTAGAGTACTCAGATTTATAAAACAAGTTCTTAGAGACCTATGAAGAAACTTAGATTACCACACAATAAGAGTTGGAGACTTCAACACCCCACTGACTATACTAGACAGATAACTGAAACAGAAAACTAACAAAGATATTTGGGACCTAAACTTGACATATAACATACATCTACAGAACACTGCATATAACAAAACAGAATATACATTCGTCTCATCTCCACATGGCACATACTCTGAAATTGACTAGACAATAGACCATAAAGCAATTATCAAAAAATTCAAAAACCTAAAAGAACACCAAACACATTCTTGTACTACAATGTAATAAAAATAAAAATCTATACCAAGAACATCCCTCAAAACCATGCAATGGTATAGAAATTAAACAACCTACTCCTGAATGACTTTTGGGTAATGAATGAAACTAAGGTAGAAATAAAAATATTCTTTAAAACTAATGAAAACAAAGACACAACATACCAAAATTTCTGGCACACAGCTAAAGCAATGTTAAGAGGAAAGTTTATAGCGCTAAATGCTTATATCAAAAAGTTGGAAAGATCCCAAATTAATAATGTAACATCACACCTAGAGTAACTAGAAAAACAAGAGCAAAGCAACCCCAAAACTAGCAGGAGAAAAGAAATAAAATCAGAGCTGAAGTTAATGAAATTAAGATATAAAAAAATACAAAAGATCAATGAAATCAAAAGTTGGTTCTTCAAAAGGATAAATAAGATTGATAGACCACTAGCTAGACTAATAAAGAAAAAAAGAGCATCCAAATAAACAAAATCAGAAATGACAAAGGAGACATTACCACTGACCCCATAGAAATACAAATAAACCCTCAGAGGCTATTGTGAATACCTCTATGCACAGAAACTAGAAAACCCAGAAGAAATTGATAAATTCCTGGAAACGTATTAATACAGGAGTTATTAAGAAATTATTTTAGGCAGATAGTAAGGGTAAAGGTTCTCAGTGGAAATTTTCCTGTAATAAGAAACAATCCCTGAACCATCTCTTCTCTAACAGAAGAGGCGGCTTAAAGGGCCAGACTGGGAAGCATTGATATGCAAATGCCTGGCATTAGAAACTAGGTTCACTCAATATGGTGATTACTGCCATCTTCTCCTTGTCACCACCTGTGCCAAGTGTGATGGCCACCTCCAAATAACATCATGTGTTCAAAATATCAAGGTGGCCTGCATTTGCCTATTAAAGGGCTAAATTGGGAAGGCCAAGTTTTTCATGGGCTACGTAAGTGACACACCTGGTCAAACCAATCCCCTGGGCCCTATGCAAATCAAACACCACCTCCTCTAGCCATACAGGGGGTTTTCTCTTTGGTGCATTGCCAGGAATTCATTCATCACAGTGGCGAGTATGGAATGAATCTCAATCTCAAATCTGTCCTTTAATCTCAAGGCTCTCTTACAGTCTGTTGCCAAACTTTCTTTCTCTATTCGTGGTCTCTTTCTCTCTATCGAATGTGCAGGAATTTTTACAGCCTATGGAAGTAATCCTGTTAGGCAAAATCAGGAAAATGTCCTTGCAATCTTCCAGGAACAAAGTTCTCCCCTTTCCCCCGCAGTAAGGTTACTTGCTACTAATTCTCTGGCAAGCACATGGTATTTTTTTTTTTTTTTTGTGACACAGAGTCTCGCGCTGTTGCCCAGGCTGGAGTGCAGTGGTGCGATCTCTGCTCACTGCAAGCTCTGCCTCCTGGGTTCACGCCATTCTCCTGCCTCAGCCTCCCGAGTAGCTGGGACTACAGGCGCCCGCCACCATGCTCGGCTAATTTGTTTGTATTTTTAGTAGAGATGGGGTTTCGCAGTGTTAGCCAGAATGGTCTCCATCTCCCCACCTCGTGATCCGCCCGCCTCAGCCTCCCAAAGTGCTGGGATTACAGGCTTGAGCCACCGCACCCAGCCAAGTACATGGTATTTCTAAGCCAACATCGCCACCTAGTGGAAATAGAAATCCTCTTCATTAGACACTGCTGGTTGTCTGCGACACAGTGCTGGTTCTCTGCGGCACATTGCAGCTTCACAACTTTTCCATTTTGTACTTTTCTACTGCTACTTCTGTGGACAGGAGAGCTCTGCTTTCAACAGCTAAGAATAAGATATCTTCTGCAGCCAGATTTTAGTCCCGATATTGTCCCATTGGTAGGAAAACGGCCATTCAGTCCCTACGTTCTTTTAAGGCACCTATTCTGTCTCCGATTAAGACAGTACTTAATTAGTAAGGGGATTTTAAGTTTGTAAGTTAACTGGAACCATTATTTTTTAGGGGTAAGTGCTTTAGCATGGGTCATAATATCAGGCAATCTAACAGGTTGCCTCCTTGCCCAAAAACAACACAGTCTCTCTGGAAATCCATTTTTCAGGGAGCCAGGCAAATCACACAGGTTTAGGAAGTCAAAGGGAAATCACAGAGGCAGATAAGCTAAGATTGCATGGGTAAGCATGGTTAGTCCCATCACTTAGTTCATCCGGTTCCATGGCTTGAAGGACCACACCCACAACCATGGGTGGCACATTTAACACGGTGCTGGGATCCAGAAACCAGGGAGGGGAAACAGTCAGAGGATGCTCCCTGTCTTCTCCTCCACTCTGGGTCATTTGAAAAAGAAGGAGACTAAGAGAACATTTTCATTCTCACTTCTTTTTCTAGATGGGTAATAAATTATCCTCAGCTTGCACCCCTCTGGGGTGCACTCTGAAACACTGGAACTTCCTTAACCTCAAAACTATAGAGAAAAGCAACTCATTTTCTTTTGCACAAGGGCATGGCATTTTTACTAAATCTTTGCAAGCGTTGTAAGATCAACCCAACTCTTTTGGCAATCATATTGGGCAAGCCCTGGAAGAATAGTTTCCCAAAATTAAAAAACCAACTTTCAGTGGAACCATCTGAGGATCCCCCTTATTTGGGGACCCCTCAAGTTCTCTTCTCATTACAAGACCTGAGGTAAATAAAGGGAAACTTAAGCTGATTTTCTAAATACCCTGACAGGTATATGAAAGCTTTCCAAAATTTAACTCAGGTGTTTAACCTCATATGGAGGAATGTTATGCTGCTCCTAAACCAGACCCTCACTGCAGCAAAAAGCAGATAGTTCTGCAAGCCACAAATAATTTCGGAGATAAGCAATATATCTCCTATAATACACCAAAGGGAAGAAAGCAGATAGAGAAAGTGAAGAAATAGCAGAAACATCATTCACAATAGGGAGAGAAGCAATTCTGGTAAAATATCCAATTGAAACCCAATGACTCAGGAGATGAATGGAAAAGAAAGCACTTTTTCATATGGATTTTACAAGGCCTATGGAAAACCAGGGCCAAATCTCTCAATTACTCTAAACTCTCTATAATGGACCAAAAGCCAAATAAGAATCCTGTAGCCTTTATGGAAAGGCTAAGACAGGCACTAATAGCGTACACCTCCTTATCCCTTTATTCAGTTAAAAGACAACTCATCCTGAAGGACAAGTTTATTACACAGGCAGCTCTTGATGTTAAAAAGAAACTACAAAAGCAAACTATAAAACCAGATAGCACCTTAAAGAACCTCCTGAAGGTGGCCACTTTGGTCTTTTATAATAGGGACCAGAAGAAAGCCTAAAAGAAAGAATGCCCAGAAATTGTCATAATAGCTCTAAAAAAAAAAAAGGCCTGCAAGTTAACCCTAGGAAATAAATTAATAAATTAACTGTTTACAGCCCACATAATGTGGCAGGATCACTGTCCTCTAGGGGGAGCTCTTAGCTAGCAAACAGCTGGTAAAGCAAGAAGTACATAAGGCAGGATAAGCAGTAGTCACTCTCCCCAAACACAAGTGATCAATTAGCTAAGCTAATAACTCTTACAAAAGCACTTAAATTAAGCAAGGGAAAGATAACTAACATTTACACTAACTCCAAATATGCTTTCTTAGTTCTCCATGCTCATGCTGCCATTTTAAAGGAAAAACATTTTCTTACCACTAATGGATCTCCTGTAAAATATCACCAGAAAATTAGCAGGTTATTATACTCAGTTTTTCATCCACAAAAAGTAGCAAGGATACATTGTAAGGAACATCAAAAAGAAATAAATAAGGTAGCCAAAGAAAATAAGTTAGCTGATCAGGCAGCTAAGTCAAAGGCATGAAAGCTTCAAGGCATTAATGCACTTCAAGCCTCTTCTAATCTAAAAAGGCTCCATAAAAAAAAAAAAAATAAGCCTTGGTATTTCCCTGCAAAAATAAAATAGGCCACTTCTCAAGGGCATACTTTTCAGCCTCAGAATAGCTACAGTCAGGATGGCAAACTCTATTTGCCAGCCTCCAGCCAATAAAAAGTCCTTAAAATCCTTCACCAACCTTTTCACTTGGGAAAGGATAAAACTTATCAATGTGCTCAAAAGTTGTTTTCAGGCAGGAAACCTGTAAATTGGTTAAGCATGTAACCTCTCTAGCTCACTTCCAACAAGAATGAACACAATTAGCAGAAGCCCCACCCCCCAAAAGAAAACCACCTTTGTTTAACCCAGAAAATTTAGTATTAGTAAAAACTCTCATGTCTCTCCTTCCCTAAGCCAAGCTGGGTAGGGCCCTACACTGTTCTTCTTTCAACCTTCTCAGCAGTAAAAGTTACAGGAATCAACTCCTGAATACATCACACTCAAATCAAAGCCTGAAGAGCTGAGGGAGGAACCCCTGACAGCCCAGAGGAATGTCCTGAATATTAATGTAAAGAAATAGAAAATCTTAAGCTAAAAATCATAAAAAAAAATAAGTAACCGAGTAAGGGCTACTCATCTTACTCAGTCCCACCTTTACCTCAACAAATACTTTTTGTCATTTCTGCCCTTTCCTCTCAAAATTTGCCATCAAATATTAAAACTTCTTTTTAATGCATATTTGCAGGGAAATTTTAATTATACATGGGATTGCATTTGTAACTCTGTAAATCCCCAAAGAGAAATGTTATATCTTGCCAAATAAAATTTTAAACAAAAATTATTTACTATGCCACTATTGTGAAAATTGTTATAGTCACACTACTATTTGCAATAGAACTATACACTGTGGCACCCACAGTGTGGAATTCTGGTTATAAAATTCTAATTGCTATAATATTTTGCCTGATTGTCATCCTTATAACAGGATTAATAATTGCAGGAAAAATTTAGTCAAGGTTGTTTTGCTTATAGCAGGAGTAATAGTTACAAATAAGAAGTAAGCATTGAAGTTTTACCATCATTAAGTTTAATAGGACTTTTTACTAAAGATTGGTAATATAATGCACTCTAAGCTATGAAAAGAAAGTTATAAAGAAAGACATTTTATATGAGAAAGAATTTTGTATGGTAAATACTTGCCCTAAAAGGAAATGACTGGTTGTTTAAAGGAAGAATGTTTAGGACAAGTAAAAAAGTTTAAGTATGCTCTAAGAGAGTCTGTGAAAGTCATTAAAAAATAATAATTAAAGAAAAGGAATTGTCATAATTAACACTGAAGTTATTTTAGCCACCCAATGATGTATTTCTCCCAATCATAATCCAAGTTATAAAAATGGCCTAAAGCCTAAGGTTATTCTCTAATGGCAAGACAAGGGGGAAATGTATGCTTTTCTTTTCTTTTTTTTTTTTTTTTTTCCTTTTGAGACGGAGTCTCACTTTGTCACCCAGGCTGGAGTGCAGTGGTGCAATCTCGGCTCGCTGCAGCCTCCGCCTCCTGGGTTCAAGTGATTGTCCTGCTTCAGCCTCCTGAGTAACTGGAACTACAGGCGCACCACCACACCCGGCTAATTTTTGTATTTTTTAGTAGAGATGGGGTTCCACCATAGTGGCCAGGCTGGTCTCGAACTCCTGACCTCGTGATCTGCCCCCCCCCTCCCCCAGCCTCCCAAAGTGCTGGGATTACAGGCATGAGCCATGGCACCTGGCCCAAATGTATGCTTTTCACTAGAAAAAGTTATTTATATTAACGTTTCTTGTAATGTACAGCGACATCTAGTGGGAAGAAACCGGTATTGCAATCTATTGGTGTAACTAACGTGTCAAACTCTACTGTCAGTCATGGTCTATAGAACCCCCACTAGCTGTGGTAATCTTAATACTCATATTCTAACCCTATATTGTAAACCTTATAAAATTTATCTCTTTTTGCTTAAAAAAAATTAAACTCCAAATGGTGCTGCGAGCAAAACCACACATAAACATGCCATTCTTCCAAAAACCCTTAGATCAACCTCAAAGGAAGGACCAGCTGCTTTTCCCCCACACAATGACCCTTTTCAGCAGGTAGTAGCAAAAAAAATCATCGTCCAACACCCCTAGCAGCAGTTAGGTTTACTTCTCTTTGAGGGGGAATAATACAGGAGTTATTAAGAAGTTATTTTAAGCAGATAGTAAAGGTAAAGGTTCTTGGTGGAAATTTTCCTGTAATAAGAAACAACCCCCAAACCATCTCTTCTCTAACAGAAAAGATAGCTTAAAGGGCCAACTGGCCAGCTTTGATATGCAAATGCCGGCCATTAGAAACTGGGTTCACTCAATATGGTGATTCCTGCCATCTTCTCCTTGTCACCACCTGTGCCAAGTGTGATGGCCACCTCCAGATAACACCATGTGTTCAAAACATCATAGCGACACGCATTTGCATATTAAAGGGCTAAGGTGGGAGGGCCAGGTTTTTCATGGGCTACGTAAGTGCCACACCTGGTCAAACCAATCCCCTGGGCCCTATGCAAATCACACACCACCTCCTCTAGCCTTGCATATAACCAACCACTTTTCTGCCACACAGGGTGTTTTCTCTTTGTTCCAAACTCCCCCACCTTGTCTCTGTACAGGGGAGCTGTTCTCTTCTTTTTTCCTTCTTTCTTGCCTATTAAACTTTTCATTCCTGAAAACCATTCCACATGTGTTCATGTTGTTAATCCTATTGGCGTGAAACCAAAAACCCTGGTGTTCTTCCAGTCATCAAAGCTGTATCAATATGACCTCCAAGATTGAATCAGGAAGAAATTGAAAACTTGAACAAACCAATAATTAATTCTGAAATTGAATCAATAATAAACAGCCTACATGCCAGAAAAAGCCCTGGACCAGACAGATTTACAGCCAAATCCTAACAGATGTATAAAGAAAAGCTAGTACCAATCCTGTTAAAACTACTCCACAAAGTTGAAGAGTAGGAAGTCCTTCCTAACTCAATCGATGAAGCCAGCATCATGCTGATACCAAAATCTGACACAGATACAACAAAAGAAGAAAACTTCAGGCCAATAACCCTGATGAAGGTAGATGTGAAAGTCCTTCAACAAAATACTAGCAAACTGAATTGAGCAGCATGTCAGAAAGCTAATCCATGATCAAGTAGGCTTTATTTCTGGGATGCAAGGTTCATTCAACATACACACATTAATACATATGGTTCATCACATAAAGAGAAATAGAAGCAAAAACCACACGATCATCTCAGTAGATGCAGCAAAGACTACTGATAAAATTCAATATTCCTTCATGTTAAAAACTCACTACAAAGTAGACATTCAGGATCATACCTAAAAATAATAAGAACCATTTATGACAATAAATGGCAAAATCATACTGAATGGGCAAAAGCTGGAAGCATTCCCTTTGAAAAATGGAACAAGACAAGGATACCTGTTCATAACACTTCTATTCAACATAGCACTGGAAGTCCTAGCCAGAGCAATCAGGCAAGAAAAATAAATAAATATATCCAAATAAGATGTGAGGAAGTCAAACTATCTGTCTTTACAGACAATAGGATTTGATAAGTAGAAAATCCCATCATGTCTGCCCAAAATCTTCTAGATCTAAAAAAAACAACTTCAGCAAAGTTTCAGGATTAAAAAAAAATCAGTGTACAAAAATTAGTAGCATTTCCGTATACCAACAATGTCTAAGCTGAGGGCCAAATTAAGAATGAAATCCCATTCACAATAACCACAAAAAAATAGAATACTTAGGAATACAGCTAACCACATGAAAGATATTCACAATGAGACTTGCAAAACATTGCTGAAAAAAATCAGAGACAATACAAATGAATGAAAAAACATTTCATGGGCCAGGCGTGGTGGCTCATGCCTATAATCTTAGCACTTTGGGAGGCCGAGGTGGGTGGATCATCTGAGGTCAGGAGTTCAAGACCAGCTTGGCCAACATGGTGAAACCCCGTCTCTACTAAAAATACAAAAATTAGCCAGGCATGGTGGTGGGTGCCTATAATCCCAGCTACTCGGGAGGCTGAGGCAGGAGAATCGCTTGAACTCAGGGGGTGGAGGTTGCAGTGAGCTGAGATCATGCTACTTCACTCCAGCCTGGGTGAAAAAGTGAAACTCTATCTCAAAAAAAAAGAAAAGAAAAAACATTTCATCCTCATGGATAGGAAGAATCAATATTGTTAAAATGGCAGTAATGCCCATGGCAACTTACAGATTCAATGCTATTTCTATCAAAATACCAATGAAATTTTTCACAGAATTAGCAATAACTATTCTAAAATTCATTTGCAAAATAGCCAAAGCAATCCTAAGCAAAAAGAATGATGCCAGTGTCATCATACTACCTGACTTCTATAGTACAAAGCTACAATAACCAAAACAGCATGGTACTGGTGTGAAAACAGACGCATAGACCAATGGAACATGTTAAAGAACCAAAAAATAAAGCCATGCACCAACAATCATCTGATCTTCAACAAAATCAACAAAAACAAGCAAGGGGAAAGAAGTCACTATTCAATAACTTGTGCTGGGATACCTGGCTAGCCATATGCAGAAGATTGAAACTGGACCCTTTATTTTTATCATATACAGAAATCAACTTGGATGAATTAAAGACTTAAATATAAAACTGACAAGTATAAAAACCCTAGAATAAAGCCTAGGAAATACCATTCTAGACATAGGCCCTGGAAAAGATTTCATGATGAAGACTTCAAAAGCAATTGCAACAAAAACAAAAATTGGTGAATGAGACCTAATTAAACTAAAGAACTTCTGCCTAGCAAAAGAAACTTGAAGCTGGACCCCTACCTTTCACCATATATGAAAATTGTCAAATTGAAAAAGTGCTCAGCATCACTAATCATCACAGAAATGCAAATCAAAACCACAATAAGATACCATCTCACACTATCAGAATGGTTATTATTAAAAAATATAAAAACAACAGATGCTGGTGAGGTTGCAGAGAAAAGGGAATGCTTATACACTGATGGTGGGAATGTAAGTTAGCTCAACCATTGGGGAAAGCAGTTTGGAAATTTCTCGAATAACTTAAAAGAGACCTACCATTCAACCCAGTGATCTCATTACTGGGTATATACCCAAAGGAATATAAATCATTCTACTATAAAGACACATGACCCATATGTTCATTGCACCACTATTCACAATAGCAAATACATGGAATTAACCTCAATGACCATCAACAGTGGAATGGATGAAGAAAATGTGGTACGTATACACCATGGAATACTACCCAGTCATTATAAAAGAACAAGGTCATGCCCTTTGCAGCAACATGGATGGAGCTGGAGGCAATCGTCCTAAGCAAATTAACACACAGACAGAATACTTAATACTACATGTTCTCACTTACAAGTGGGAGCTAAACATTGAGTACACATGGACACAAAGAAGGGAATAATAGACACTGGATCTTACTTGAGAGTGGAGTGTGGGAGGAGGAAGAGCATCAAAAAACTACCTATCAGGTACTATACTTATTATCTGGGTGATAAAATCACCTGTACACCAAACCCCCACAAGACGCAATTTACCCATGTGACAACCTGCACACATACCCCCTGAAGAAAAAAAAAACTATTCTTTATATCCATTTCAAGGCTAATACCTTTAGACAATGGCAGGCTGCCCCTTCACTTCATGAATAGGAACAGAAATGGGATTTAAGAATACTAAAAGAATAAAATGTCCTTTAATTACCAGTGTAATTAAAATAACTAATTATTAATCAGTGATAAAAACTAAAATTAAAAAGTACTATATTTTGCAATGCCAGTAAAGTCAATCAAAACATTTTATTTTTGTTTTTAGCACAGAAAAAAGTAAACTACTGTATATGTTTACTATCACTGCTGTAACAAATTATCACAAACTTAGTGACTAGAAACCACACAAATTTATTAGCTTACAGTTCAAAAGATCAAAAGTCCAAAATGGGTCTTCCTGGACCAAAATCATGCAGTTGGCAAAACTGAGTTGTTTTCTGGAGGCTCTAGGCTCTAAGCTGTAGGCTTGCTTTTTCCAGCTTCTTGAGGCTGCTTGCATTTTTTGACTTATAGACCTCTTCTATCTTTAAAATTAGCAATGGGATTGAAACCACCTTTGCAAAAATTATAACTGAGGAAATTATGACAGTGGAAGAGATCAGACCTAACCAATTGCATATTGCTTCTAACCTCTAAGCCATCCTTGTTCATTCCTGGGCATAGGCCAAACTAACCTTGGGAAGGAATTTAGTTTATTGTTTGATTCTGAAACCAAATTGGTAATAGCCCTTTGTGGAAAAGACCCTATTCTTGCCTGGGAACCAGTCTGCCTTTGCAGGACTAACAAATTAGCTACAAGATTAGAAATTACGCTTTAGGGGTCTTGCAGCCTCTGGCTGCAAGAGTCTGAACCACTTCAAATTGCTCTTGGGGATAAAATCACAATTTTAAAACCTAAGATCAGTGCTTGAGATATTTTGCAGATCCTGCACTGGATGGATCAGCTGACACCACCCAGGTTGTTAATCTGGCTCAACCAGTTCTGCATCCCACCCAGGAACAGAAGACAGCAAGACAACCTTACTTTGACCCCCTGCTCCCATGATTCCATCTCCAACCTGACCAATCAGCACTCCCCACTTCCTGAGCCCCTACCTGCCAAATTATCTTTAAAAACTCTGATCCCCGAATGCTCAGGGAGACTGATTTGAGTAATAATAAAACTCTGGTCTTCCGCAGAGCCGGCTTTACATGAATTACTCTTTCTCCATTGCAATTCCCCTGTCTTGATAAATCGGCTCTGTCTAGGCAGCCGGGAAGGTGAATCTGTTGGGTGGTTACAGCATCACTCTACCTTCTAATTCCAACATCACATCTCTTCTTACTCGCTTTCTTTTCCGCCTCCCTTTATACTTATAAGGACCATTGTGATTACATTAAACCCACCTGGATGATGTGAGTTGTTCTTCCCATGTTAAGGTAAACTAATTGTTGATCTTAATTCAATCGGAAGCCTTAATTCTTCTTTATTCTGTAATCTTAAATACTTACAGGTTCAGGGGATAAGGATATGGACATCTATTGGGGGCAGAGGCATTATCCTGCCTACCAAAAATATATTGGTGAACTGGAAACTCTAGAATGCTATACTTTCTGGTTTTTTTTTTTTTTTTTTCTAAAATGCACTTGAGCTGCCAACTAATTTTATACTTGAATTCCAAGGAGTGTAGGGAGACACAGAGGCCAAATTTAATTAAAAAGACGGTCTAAAAAAAGTCCAAAGGATTCTTGATAGGGACTCATGGGTATTTTATAACCACTGCTAAACAATAATAAGATATATTTAGATACCTGATATATGAACAAGTTATTCAAGTAACTAGTGAGGTCTAGAAAGATTAAACATATAATTGGAGAGAAACAAATAATACAATAACTCCTATCCAAATCAATTTGTATCAGTAGCAAATCTATAATGCCAAGGGGAAATACAATAATTCTCTCTATTAAAATAGATATGGACACTATTGAAATTGTAATCCCACCAAACACCAGGATATGCTCTGTAAGCTACATCAGTAATCTAACTTTGTTCCCCAAAAGGCAAAAGTAGTAGAGAAATAAACTTTTTCTTAACCTTTAGAATCTTCCCAAATGCAATTATGTGTCTCCCAAGACAGTGACAACTTTCATTTCTAAGCCTACACTTTCCTGCCTGTGTCCAGACATAACATTTTCCTGCTCTATGTTCTTTTTATCAGTGCTTGTTCACCTTGTTAAAGAGTTTTAAATCTGCCTGAGAATGGAAATTCCTAATCATAGAATTAATGATTCATTCTTGCATATTGCCTTTCCTCTAAATTTAAAATGCTATTACAGCCAGTCACTCGTTAATATCAATACACTTGACAAATTAAGTGGCCAATTTACCCCAACTTTATAGAAAGGGAAAAAGAATTTAAATGACTTTGCCTTTAATTAAGTTACTACAGTCACACAAGCAGATCCTTATTTCCTTGCCATTTCTATCACACCAACAGCATAAGATAAACAAATATGAAACTCACAGGAAACTACTTCCCTTTTTGCGTATACAACTAATATTGATATAGATTCTTTTCCATAGAAAGAAAAAAAATGATGCCATTTATCCTCTGTAATGTTATTTTAGGGCAAAATTTATGGAAGGAAATTGGGAGGCAACATGACCAGTAGTTAAGAGTGTAGACTCTGGAGGATACACACTAGGATTTGGTTTATGATTCTTTCACTTAATAATAGTGTGATTATTTGGAACAATTTTATGAGCCTTGGATTCAAAATATGTGGAGTGGGGATGAGAATAACAGCAGATACATCACAGAGTTGGTGAGAAAGAAATAAAATGAGGTATACTCAGCAAGTAGAATACTCCTTGGTATATTCTCATCGATAACCCTATTTCTTGTATTTCAAATTCAGAACAATTAATTATTTCTGAATGTACACAATAAATCAGTCATTTTAATATGCACTTTCATATGCATCTTTAATAAACTGCCTTGATATGTTATCTCTGAGCTATAATGACTTGCTTCTGAATGGGCCCAGTGGAAGTATTATTTTCATTAAAAGAAAAAATGTGACTAACCAACCCAATATTTTTAGCTGGCCATAGGTTCATTGTCCATCAAAATCCCATGAGTTGAGATAACTCCAAGTAAGTTGCGTTATCAAATGGAAATATAACTTTAATCAAAGCTCACATTTATTTAACTTCCAAAACTGGTTCCCACTTTAAATATATATATATGGCTTTATCTTCCACTTTACCCCAATATCTGGCTCAGGGGAGGACAGGTCTCTTCCTAGATTTGGTATATGACAAGTTTCTTTGAATTAAAATGTGTCATTATTGAATAACTTACTAGCTAATCTCTCCATCATGTACTTTTTCTATAAATGTATCAAGCAGTGAGGTAGGTGGGAGTCTTCCCATGTGAGCATTTTTTCATGGTACATCCAGTTAAGCCACACACAGAATGATAAGAGGACATGAAATCGTATTAACTGTAGCTTTTCTGTCTGTAAGTTTTCCCAATAAAATGTATTTTATATTAACACCATATAAGGTAAGTATGGGTCTGTGCCCTTTTTATGAAACACATCGGATATTTCTTTACTGTCTTTTAGTAGACACTAAAAATTATGTTGAACAGAAGTGGTGAGAGAGGGCATCCTTGTCTTGTGCTGGTTTTCAAGGGGAATGCTTTCAGCTTTTGCCTATTTAGCATGATGTTGGCTGTTGGTTTGTCACAGATGGCTCTTATTATTTTGAGGTATGTTCCTTCAATACCTAGTTTATTGAGAGTTTTTAACACGAAGTGATGCTTAATTTTATCAGAATTTTATCTATTGAGATAATTATGTGGTTTTTGTCTTTAGTTCTATTTATGTGATGAATCACATTTATTGATTTGTGTATGTTGAACCAACCTTGGATCTCAGGGATGAAGCCTACTTGATTGTGGTGGATTAGCTTGTGGTGTGCTGCTGGATTTGGTTTGCAAGTATTTTGTTGAGGATTTTGCATCAATGTTCATCAAGGATATTGGCCTGAGGTTTTCTTTTTGTTGTGTCTCTGCCAGGTTTTGGCATCAGGATGATGCTGGCTTCATATAATAAGTTGGGGAGGAGTCTCTCCTTCTCAATATTTTTGGAATAGTTTCAGTAGGAATGGTACCAGCTCTTCTTTGTATCACTAGTAGGATTTGGCTATGAATACATCTCATCCTGGGCTTTTTTTTTTTTTTTTTTTTTTTTGGTTGGTAGGCTATTTGTTACTGATTCACTTTCGAAGTTCATTATTGGTCTGTTCAGGGAATCAATTTCTTTCTTGTTCAGTCATGGGAAGGTGTATATGTCCACGAATTTATACATGTCTTGTAGATTTTTTAGTGTGCGTGCATAGAGGTGTTCATAGTAGTTTCTGATGGCTATTTTTACTTCTGTGGCATCACTGGTAGCATCCCCTTCACATTTCTGATTGTGTTTATTTGGATCTTCTCTCTTTTCTTCTTTATTAGTTTAGCTAGCAACCTATCTTACTATTGTTTTCAAAATACATGCAGCCAACAGTCATATGAAAAAAAGATCAACATCACCAATCATTAGGGAAATGCAAATCAAAACCACAAAGAGATGCCATCTCACACCAGTCAGAAAGGCTATTCCTAAATATCAAAAAAATAATAATAATAACAGATGCTGGTGAGGTTGTGGAGGAAAGGAGACACTTGTACACTGTTAGTGGGACTGTAAATTAGTTCAACCATTGTGGAAAGCAGTGTGGTGATTCCTCAAAGAGATGAAAAAAGAACTACCATTTGACCCAGCAATCCCATTACTGGGTACATACCCAGAGGACTATAAATTATTCTACTATAAAGACATATGCACGCATATGTTCACTGCAGCAGTATTCACAATAGCAAAGACATGGAATCAACGTAAATGCCAATCAATGATAGATTGGATAAAGAAAATGCGGTGCATATATACAATGTAATACTGTTTAGCCATTAAAAAAGAACAAGATCATGTCTTTTGTAGGAACATGGACGGAGCTAGTGGTCATTATCCTTAGCAAAGTAATGCAGGAACAGAAAACCAAATACTGCATGCTCTCACTTGTAAGTGGGAGCTAAATGATGAGAACTCATGAACGCAAAGAAGGTGACAACAGATACCGGGGTCTACTTGAGGATGGATGGTAGGAGGAGGGAGAGAAGCATGAAGATTTAGTTTTTAATTTAAAACTTTTTCTTTAAATCTAGATAAACTGTGAGTTTCAATTGATTCAGGAAAGCACAGTAAGAAGCAGATGCTAGAAGCTTCCTTTGTGATACATATGTGGATATGGCATTAAAAATGGTACCAGCCGGCTGCGGTGGCTCATGCCTGTAATCCCAGCATTTTGGGAGGCTGAGGTGGGCAGATTGCCTAGGCTCAGGAGTTCAAGACCAGCCTGGGCAACATGGTGAAACCCTGTCTCTACAAAAATACAAAAAAAAAAATTAGCTGGGCATGCTAGTATGTGCCTGTAGTCCCAGCTACTCAGAAGGCTGAGTCAGGAGAATTGCTTGAACACAGGAGGCGGAGGTTGCAGACATCTGAGATCATGCCACTGCACTCCAGCCTGGTGACAGAGTGAGACTCCATCTCCAAAATAAATAAATAAATAAATAAATAAATAAATAAATAAATACATCAAATAAAAATAATAAAATAAAAAACATGGCATGGTACTTATGCTGATTGTTTGACACAGTGTTAGCCTCATGTTTCCCTTTATTCATGATTCTTGAAAGGAGATGTGTTACCCAGGGTTCAGTGTCTATTTATTTAAAGGAATTCTGAGTTTAATTAATTTTAATTGAGTTGACACAATTTTAAAATACATTTAATCTATTGAGATTGAAATATTTGGCCTAAAATAACTTTTGAATACAAGTGCTTTGTGCCATATGGTAAAATAAGAATGGCAACAAATATATACATAGATACAACTTTTAGGAACACCCTGAGACCAATTATGTGAGTTAATTTTGGTTCGTTGAGTATATTCTTAGTCCAATTAAAACAATCCTGTGATTTTCTACCTGAGAAGTAGTTCAGTTCATCAGTAGCTAGGAGAAAAGGAATAAAGTGATTTAAAAGGTTGTTGTATTTGGACTCAAGCAGATTTTGCAGCATGTCACAAAGTGCAGGTTAATGGCTCTGAAATCTTGCTGGTGATTACATAATAAACAAAGGGTAAAAAAGTCCTCTGATTTAGAAATTGACACTAACAACTTAAAAGCAAATTGTTGACTTGAGCTTGTGTTAGAAGATGCAGTACTTTCTTCATAAAAATGTTCATTCATTTATTATTTCATTCAATAAATATTTATTGAGTGCCTAATTGAGTGCCTACTCTATTATAATCATCCTTCCAGGCAACACACAAATGAAGCAGAGACAAAAATTCTTCCCTCATGAAGTTTACATTGTAGAGAGAAGGTAGACAATAAATAACACAATTACAATTACTACAGGTAAAAATGAAGTAGGGGATAGCAATAAGATGTGATGGGAACAGGGGTTTAAATTTGAGATATGGTGGTCTGGGAAAGCCTCACTGAGATAGTACTAGAGCAAACAGCAAAGGGAATAAGTGGTAGAAGGTCAAGCCACATGTATATATAGACGAAGGTTGTTTTAGACAGCAAGGCCAGCAAATGCAAAAGTAGTGACATGGTAGTTTCAGTGGCCTGTTTGAGGAATAGCAAGAAGGCCTTGTGGCTAGAGCAAAGGGAACATGGGGAAAGTAAGGTAAATGGGGGCTAGATGACATAGGGCTTACAAGAATGGTAAGCACTTTGCCTTTGGCAATATGGGATGTCATTAGCATGTTTGAGAAGTGACATGATTTAACATATATTTTTAATAAGATCCCCATAGATTCCTATGCTGTATTAATGTTAGAGTAGGCAGACAGCTAGACATGAGCAGGAGAGGGGAGCCCCTGAGAAAAGGGAAGTCTGGAAAATCTCATACCCCAGAAAGTATCCAAAATCTGTATGCTGTATATGAGCAGAGAGGTGGGGAAATACCTATGCAGGAAGAAACACCCATTAAGATTCCCAGTAATCTCTGACTCTTTAGTTAACCTGTCAGAATGTTGCTAGGTACATGCTGATAAGGGGGGTGATATGGTTAGGCTTTGTGTCCGCACCCAAATCTCATCTTGAATTGTAATCCCTATAATCCCCATAATCCCCACGTGTCAAGGGAGAGACCAAGTGGAGGTAATTAAATCATGGGGGCGGTTTCCCCACCTGCAGTTCTCATGACAGTGAGTGAGTTCTCATGAAATCTGATGGGTTTATAAGGAATCTTCCTTCTTTGCTGGGAACTTCTCCTTTCTGCCACCTTGTGAAGAAGGTGCCTTGCTTCCTCCTCACCTTCTGCCATGACTGTAAATTTCCTGAGGCCTCACCAACCATGCTGAACTGTGAGTCAATTAAACCTCTTTCCTTTATAAATTACCCAGTGTCAGGCAGTTCTTTATAGGAGTATGAAAATGGACTAATATAGGGGAAGAGGGCAAAAACGGAAATTCCTAAGAAATATGCAGGCAAAATTAATATCCAACACCAGGCCCACACATGCACACCAACTAATTGTAAGGGAGGGCCTCACAAGCCTGGGGTGATAACTAGGTGGAGAAAAAGCAAGGACTTAAGGCAGTAGTGGGAAAACTTGCCAAAAAAAAAAAGTAGAGACTTAGAGCAGTAACTTCAAAAAAAAATCTGACATCATAAAAACCCAGTGCAAAACTCTTGGAGTGCTGCTGGCTCACTCCTTTTCAGCAACCCACACTGCTTCATCTTTCAGAATGTACTGTTTCTCTCTATATAAACTCTCTGCTCTCTATTTTCCTTCAATAAATTCTCTCTTTTTTTGGCTAAATTAGTCACTTGGCAAAATTATTTCTCCCAAGTGAGACTAAGAACCAAGGATTCCCACACTTCTCAGTAACATTAACAATGAGCTAAAGATTATAACACATTTTCTGTGATCTCTGCTTTGGGATATCCTATTCCTTCCCTCATCCAATTTTGTCCAATTAATCCATGAAGACTTACCTCATGTGTCTCCTTTCTCCAAAAGTATTTGCTGATGTCCCCTTACAAAGAAGTTATAAGAAAGGTATAACATTAAGGCATTTAAAAGTCTTAATTCTAGAAGTGCATGTGTATACAATACCCTGTTATAAAAAATGAAATACAGAAACTCTCTAAATTTTATAGTTATTGAATTAATGAGATATTTTTGGCTGTTAAAGCCCTGAAAGAAGTAATTTATTGGCATCAGGTAAGTTTTCTCAAATATGTGAAGAGAATGCTTGCTCTCATCCATCACCTTTATACATTGTCTTGAATATTTACACAATATTGAGAGCTACATCCTAGTGTTCAAAATATTATTGATTTTAAAGCAATTTCAGGTAATGTCACTTAGTACAAACCCCATTATTAAAACATTTTTAGTAAATAACTACTGTTTCTCTACTCCTCTCCCCCAACCCCACCCTTGCATGATTGCATCTCATTCATAGATGCCATTGGCATTTGTGCTATATTCTTATATAAAAATTCTCAGCAAGATGGGTTAGGTCTTTTGGCATAGTTTTTCTAGTGGAAAGTTAGAGTTAGTTTCAATTACCAGTTTGAGCTTTATGTTTTCAAAAATAATCATAAAATAACCATTTGTTTTAATTCTCCAATACATTTTTACAGACTATCATGTGAACATTTCATAACTAACTCCCATAAGACTTCTTTCCAAATTAAAAGGCTATTAGAAGAACTGAGCCACTCAAGTTCTCCTCTGACAAAGATCTTTTACAGATCTTTGATTTCTTTCCAATGACACATTTAGAAATGTTTTCTTTTAGACTAATACACTTGTGAAAATGGTTTATCACTAAAGAGTACTAATTACTTCACTATCATGAAGTCAAAGGGATAATTTCTAGAAATTCAAGCCTTGAAATATGCAACCTATTAAACAAATATAAAGGAACAAAAATGCAAGGAGAAGAAAATTAGTCAACAGAAACTTTGCCATTCTTTGTCAAGTAATTGGGTGAAACCATGAGCCTATTAGAGACTTTAGAAGAAGACAAAGGGAAAATTAAATTAATTATAATCAGTTGTTTATTTTAACAAGCAAGCTATCACTTTCATTCATTTATGGTCAAATGTAAACTATCAATTCAATGCCATCATTAAGGAACTATTTATCCCTTTGAGTCTACTTTTTAAAAATATCTGGAATGTGGATTTCATCTGCTTCCCTGCCCTATATGCCAGCTGATCTTGGTAAGACAAAGAGATAATGACTGTTAGCATTTTAACGCATCTGAAGCATATTTTTAAGGTGTTCTATATTAGAAGGAGAAAAGTTTGTTTGTCTAGTACAGTGCTACTGAAAATGTGGTCCTGAGATTAGCAACATCAATATAACCTGAGATGTTTTACAAATACAAATTCATGAGTCCTACTTGAGGAGTCAGAATCTCATGGGGTTGGGGAGAATCCCAAGGATTAATTGGTTTAAAAATCTTTCCAGGTGTTTCTTATGCATCTAAAGATTAAGATGTCTTGGTCTAGCAGACGTTTTACTTTGAGAAAGGACCCTAAATACATGAATGCTTCTCCACCAAGAAGAAAACAAATGAAGTGAGCTGAATAATAGGCAAGGCTCCTGATGGAACGTAGATGGGCAAACAGGCTAAGGCATAATTATGAGACAGAAGGAGAAAGAAAAACCAGAAAAGAGGAACTCCGTATAGTTCTTCTAGGTAGGCTCTTATGGACTGATGTGTTGCAAGTTCAATGTGTATAATAATGATCTCTTGAGAGTCATGTTTTATTTCTGATAATGGGCTGTTTGTAACCAGATATTTCAAATGATACAGAGATGCCAAAGGTGTTACTGTTACTAATGCGTCAACAGTGTGAAAAATAAAGGGAGTTGTGTCATCCTTTCAAACTTGATTGCTTAAGTGTTTACATAAAATGTGTTATATAACATTGTATTGCCAACACACAGCACTGGCATATCTAAATATTAAAGATACACTACTATCTGCTTTATGTATTCATGCAAAGACAGTGGTGGTGGTAATAACTAAAATGTACTTTCTTAGCATTGTTTTACTTCACATAAAATGTTCCTTTACATCATATCATTTTGTTCTTAAAATTGAACCTATTAACTTTGAGGAAAAATACGTTCCCCAAAATGGCTCATTGATTTGCACATGATAGCTAGAAAACTATAGACTCAGAACTTGAATCTATATTTTTAGAATCAGACTTTAGGCTTCTCTCTTTAGGCACATGGCCCTCTAAATATGGTCCACAGAATCACAGGCATTGATGAGACTTGTACAGGTAGTTGGTGAGTTAAGAAAATGCAAAGAATTATTTGTCTTTTTCACTGTGTTAATATTTGTATGGAAGTTACAAAAGCAACAGTAGATAAAAGTGCTAGCACCTTAGGACAAATCAAGGCAGTGGCACCAAAGTGTATGCACAGTACTAAAACGAAAATTCTGGTTTCATTTAAGAATGTCCTGGAAAAAGTAGGAAAATATTAATTTCATAAAATCTTGATTAAATATCTATATTAGTCCATTTTCATACTGCTATAAAGAACTGCCCTAGACTGGGCAATATATAAAGGAAAGGGGTTGAATTGACTCACAGTTCAGCATGGCTGGGGAGGTCTCAGGAAACTTACAATCATGGTGGAAGACGAAGGGGAAGCAAGGCACCTTCTTTCCAAGGCAGCAGGTAGGAGAAGGGCCAACTGAAGGGGGAAGAGCCCTTTACAAAGCTATCATATCTTGTTAGAACTCACTCACTATCACAAGAACAACATGGGGAAAACTGCCCCCATGATTCAATTACCTTTACGTGTTCTCTCCCTTGACACATGGGGATTATGGGGATTATGGAGATTACAATTCAAGATGAGATTTGGGTGAGGACACAAAGCCTAACCATATCAATATCTTTCAACATTTTGTGTGTTAAAATGGGAAGTAAACCCAAAGCACTTTTGCCAGGTATTGAATTACAATGGTTGTCTCAAGGAAAAACATTTGTGTGGTATTTTGAGAGGTGAAGTACTTATTTTGCTTTTTTCATGGAACATTATTTGTGCCTGAAAGTACTACTGACAGATAAGTAATGGTTATTCAAACTTGGGTACTTGGAAGACTTTGGAAGACGTTGACTTGGAAGGCTCAAAATGATCACAGTGAGCCCACAACTTCAACAAAAAACCTGACAATATTTGTTGCCAATGAATCATTTTGAGATTTTATGCAAAAATTCAAATTTTAGAAATTTTGTAATTGGAAGCTTACATAAACTTCACAGCTTCCCAATACCTAGATTTTTCTGATGAGACTGCTGATGAATTAATATAATTTTTATGTTACATAATGAAATGTCAGTGAACCAACGTTTTCCAATGACCAATGCAAAATCATATATGTATAAAACATACATTAAAAGTCCCAGGTGTAACAGAGTACAAGGAGTCTACTGATATGGTTTCAAATTTCACATTGCTGCTTACTTTTATGAAATCATCACTTATGAAGTTTCAGTGTAGTATTAAAGAAGAGTATCCAAAATTACATTAAATGACTATTAAAATATTTCTCCCTTTTCCAAATACTTATCTATGAGAGGCAATATTTTGTTCATATACTTAATCCTACCAAAGCAGCATATCATAACAGATTGAACATAGAAGTATATATGAGAATCCACCTGTCTTCTATTAGGCTAGACATTTAAAACATTTGCAAAAATGTAAAGCAATGCTACTCTTTGACTAATGTTTTATTTTGTGTTGTTAAATATAGTTCTTTCAAAAGTATTTTTAGATTTCTGTTTTAATTTCTAATATGGTAAATATTAACATATATACTGCCACAAAAAAAAAGCTCTTTGAGGAATTTCAATAATACTTAGGAGTGTAAAGTGGTCCTGAGACCAAAATGTATGAGGACTAGCTATAGTATACCAAATAGCAGTAAATAGTAGTATTTTACATTTGTATAATTCTTCCTATCTAACAGGTTTTCTTCTGAAAAAAAATTAAATTTGCTTTTCAGAATGTTTGAAGATAACTTATCTCAAGACAACCTATTGTTTACAGATATGTATATTGTGGCACATATAATTTGTTTTAGGTAAAATTTTAATTGTGGACTTTGTCATGTATCCTGTGCTGTGAAGGTTAATTCCAGCAGGCCTGAAATTGGCCTGAGCTGTTTTGCTGAGTAAGAAATGCACCTGCCCAACACTGACTAATGGCCAAAGCATTAAACGTATTGATTAATAGTGTTGGTTTGTAACTATGAGTTTAAGAGGAGTTTTGAAAGTTTGGACTGACTGGTCAGCATAATTTACTGATTACACTGAGCGTGATGGTTTACATTTGGTTTAGGGGAGACACCGCTCCACCAATCCCCCAAGGCATCATCAGAGGGCTCTGACATTAGAGCCGATTATATAGCAAGAATATGCCTATGTGAACAACAGAATATAAGAAGTCCCAGCTGAGACTCCATTTTGGGCTTCTTGGTTTCATGGTGTTCTATATACAGATAAATGGTTCCTAAGAGAAAGTATGTCTTGGGATGGCTTTTACAGAAGGAGGAGAATTGGCGCTGGAATCTAGCCTCTTCAGACCCTATTGTGAGACAGTCTTTGGCAGTAATGCATAGCCTGGCTTTAATGCCATTGCCCTATTATATCCTTTTCTCCAAATAAACTGAAGATCCATAAGCCATGCCATTTTGTTCCTGTGAGTCATCATTAGCAATGAAATGTACTAAAAATAACAATAACCTTGTGTTATTCTTTAGAATCTGTAAATATATTTCCTCATCAAATGTTCTTTTAAAATATTAGCTATTTGTTAATCCTATTGTTAATGCTCTACGTTGAAGTATATACTCTAAAATATATCAATCAAACCATTTGTGATTAACATAAAATCATCTAGTAAACTGTCATAGAGAGTATGTATTAATAAATATATCTATTAGTATTAGTTTAGTTTTGACAGCAAGTACAGTAGTTATCTTACTTACCAAGGAGCCTGGAAAGAAGAGTTTCCAGGATGTATTTAGACATTTACTGATGTCATCAAGTACTCAGGGTCCCGCCAAAATTATCTTCCACACACAGAGTACTGATATTTCATCCTCAGGGTTATTACCTCATACTGAGATTCAGGGAATGCAGACGTCACATCCATATATAACCCATGTCAAGTAGATAGGCGGTTTAGTTTGGTTTTTGTTATCACTCATGTCATTTAGCAGCAAGAGTGGCTAGGACCAGGAAAATATGCCATTTTAGCTTCCATCATGTAAGGCAGACTTTGCTGTCAACTAGGAGGAGGGAGAGAAATAGCTATGGAAAGCAAATATCCATGAGTGTTACAGCATAGTACACATATGTGAGTCCCTACATTCACATGTCAGGTGTAAAGAGGGAAAGGCAGAAGAGATGTATAATAGTAAGAAATCCCTCAAATACAACTACATGGATGACCTTCCTCTCTGTTTAAACAAAATCAGGGATATATTATTTTCTCGAAATTCTGATATGTGATGCCTGTTTTCCTTAAACACATACATAACTTTTATTCTCTCCAGCTCCAGGTCAAACATTTCCTCTCTGAAATTTTTCTAGACACCAAAGAGAGAGCGTTTCTCTCTCCTACACGACCTTTATTAGCATTGTGTTCAAACCACTCTTATAGAACTAGTTGTGTTTAAATGATCTGCTTATTTTCTGACTGCCTCAGTAGATTCACGTGCTATAGGAATAGAATTATAATTCATTTTATATGCTTGGTGCATTATCAGCTTCCATGCAATGTGTGTGTACTATCACACATGGATTAAATAAGAAACAGATGTTTTAAACCATCTTTTTTACAGCGTCTATAAAATGGGATTGAAGAAAATAGGAAAAACTCTTCACCCAACACTACTTCTTAATGATCACACAAACCCACATATCAGGGTATTATATACAAATAGGACCATGTTAGGCTCTTTACTTAAATGAATCTCTATTCATAGAATAAGAAGTCTACAATATACTAATGATATGTACTGTTTCATTAAAAAGGATTGATAATACGTTCATCCCTTTTATGTGTGAGACATATTTGACCTTTGGGTTTAATTGCTATAGTAAACTATTTATATCTTTTAAAATTATTAAAAAAAATAATACCAGGCATCTTCAGCAGTAAAAATAGCTTATTCAGCTAAAATAGCCAGCATTAAAATAAAAAGCTATAAATATGCATGCTTTCTAATATAAACCCAAATGTCCCCTATGGTATAATTAAACCAATCCTTAGAATTTAGAGAGGACTTTTTATCTGTGGATTTCAAAGTGATTCACATATTATTAATTCCACAAAATTGCCTCTAAGGTGGAAAGTTATAGATTAGGAAACAGATTTGGAGTTCATTTGCTAAAGGCTATAATGCTAGGAGAGGCTTCAGAGACAGGTTTAAAGGCCAAAGGATATTTTCCTTATCCTATTCTCAGGTCATTAAGTTAGTGTTATCATCATCATATAAAAAGCAGCCATGGGTCCATGGTACAGTGCTGGGCACAGAACAAAATATGTTTAATGAACACAGTGCACACCCTGGACTAAAATATAAGGTAAAAAATGTAGATGCAGACACATTTCAAAAAACAAAATAAGTCTTGGGATACAACATTTAATGGCCGTAGTAAAATTCTGAAAATATCAAGTAAAGATTCAACTGATATCTTTTGGTACAATGGCTCCCACTTGGAATACACAGTTGCTCTTTGGTATTTGTGGGGAATTTGTTCCAGGAATCCCCCATGAATATCAAAATCTGAGAATGCTCAAGTTCCTTATATAAAATGGTGGAAGAGGGAAGAGCCACGGTGGCTGACTAGATGTAGCCAGGAAGAAATTCTTCCACCAAAACAGACAAGATCATCAATCAGACTGGCACATTTCGAACAGACCTTTGGGGAAAAGGCACTGACAGTAGATGGATGGAGGATGCAGACCCTGGGCTGAAAGGGGAGAAATCTGGGCACCCTGTGTGGGGTTGCCAAGTGTCAGAACTGATTCCTGGCTCCAAGCAGCTCCTAGGGAAGAGGTGAATGAAATAGGCATGGAGTGGCCCACTCTCACCATGGACCTCTGGGATCCTAGCTGTGGGAGACCCTACAACCCCTATGGATATTTTAGTTGACAGAGAGAACTTCCCAAACAGGTGGCAAAGACAGAACTCCAGTTTGCATGGAGCCCAGAGGGTTTGGCATGGGAATGGTGGCAGTGAAGCATGACTATGGGTGCCCATCCCTTAAGTCTCACCATACTCCTATAGGTGACTTTAGCATTTGTTAGCTGCTGGTCCTGGAGGGAGTAGGGCTGTCTTGCCCGCAGAATTGAGCCAGTCTGATGTGAATACTCCCCTGTCTGCCAGGCTCTCTGAGGGTCCCTTCCTGGCCACACCCGCTTGCAGTACAGCCTCAGCTGCCCTGACAAAACACTTGCCAGTGGTCACGGCCATAGCTCTTATGCTGGCAGCCCCCCAACTTCCCATTGGAATACTTTTGCAGGTGAACCCCTGCTGTCCTGCAACTGCTTGCAGCCTTCCCCTGCCGGTACACATTCACTGACAGCCTTCACCCACTGCCCTACCAGTGTACATGTACCTGTGCCTACCCCACTGCTGCACACTCAGCTGTGCCCCAACCCCACAACCCTGTTGGTGTGCACTTGCCTGTGGTCCTCCACAAATGCCTTGCTAGTGTGCACTTGCCTACCGGCCTCCTGCCATCCTGTCAGAGTGCTTTTGCCAGCAGCCCCCTTTGGAGTATTGTTGCCAGTAGACTGGGAACACCTCAGTTCCACCAGTGCAGCAGGAGTGCTGAGCTGAGACTTGGGCCCCCGAAAGCAACCAGAAATGAAGCCTATTCAACTAAACCCAAATTATACCATGGTCAAACCCTCAAGGGCATCAGAGAATATAAAAGGAAAAAGCCCTATCCAAAGGATAGGAAATTCAAAGATTAAAGTAACATCAACCCACACAAATAAGGAAGAACCAGTGCAAGAATTGTGGCAACTCTAAAAGTCAGAGTGTCTTCTTACCTCCAAATGATCACACTGGCTCCCTAAAAATGGTTCTCAACCAGATGGAAATGGCTGAAATGACAGTCATAGAATTCAGAATTTGGATGGCAAGGCAGCTCAACAAGATACAGGGGAAGTTTAAAACCCAATCCAAGGAAACCAGCAAAATGATCCAAGAGTGGAAAGTCTACATAGCCATTTTCAAGAAAGAACCAAGCTGAACTTCGAGAAATGGACAATTCACTAAAGGAACTTCATAATGCAATTGGAGGCATTAATAAGAGAATAGACCAAGCTGAGGAAACAATATCAAAGCTTGAAGATTGCTCTTTTGAATCAATGCAGGCAGACAAAAATAAAGAAAAAAGAATTTTAATCTTTTTCCCCTCTGCCCCGAGACTCGCTGGCGGCACTTGTGGCTACAGTGTTTACCCTGAGATAACTTCGCCATTAAAATATCTCGCTTTTATTATTATTTTCACATCATTCTAGTATATCGACTTTGGAAACAAAAGACATCAGTCTATTTATAGCATTCTGACTTCAGTAGCTGTATTTCCATTTACAGAATATAGTAATTCTCAATTGCTGAAAATGTTGAATCCTAAAAATCACAGCATTCCTATGCATGATATTAACATTGTTCTGCAACAGTTTTTGGCCAAAGATTTATTTGATGAATCTGATTTTTCCGAAATAGATGATTCTGATGATTCAGATGATTCTGATGTTAGCTCTGTTTAGAAATAACTTCAAGAATAGTTTTAATATTTTATTTTCACATTGAAAATCAGTCAGGTTTGCTTTAGCCTTAAAGAATGTGTTTATGTAAAATTAAATGAGTGCTCTGGCAATGAGCTGCACTTTTTTTTCCCAAATGAGAAAAGGGATAAAATTTACCAAAACCTCTGAAAAATATGGGATTATTTAAAGAGACGAAACTTATGACACATTGGCATTTCTGAAAGAGATGAAGAGAGACCAAACAACTTGGAAAATATATTTGAGGATATTGTCCATGAAAATTTTCCCAGCCTCACTAGAGAGGGTGACATACAAATTCAGGAAATTCAGAGAACCCCTGTGAGACACTATAAAAGATGCCCACGTCCAGACACATAGTCATCAGATTCTCCAAGGTCAATGAGAAAGAAAAAAATCTTAAAGGTAGCTAGAGAGAAGGGGCAGGTCGGGTACTAAAGGAATCCAATCAGGCTAACAGTGGACCTTTCAGCAGAAACCATATAAGCCAGAAGAGGTTGGGGGCCTATATTCAGGATCCTTAAAGAAAAGACATTCCAACCAAGAATTTCATATCCAACCAAACTAAGCTTCATAAGTGGAGGGGAAATATAATATTTTTCAGAAAAGCAAATGTAAGGAATTTGTTACCACCAGACCTGCCTTACATGCCAACAAGCATATGAAAAAATATTCAACATTAGTAATTATTAGAGATAATGCAATTCAAAACCACGGGGCACCATCTCACACTAGTCAGAATAGCTATTATCAGAAAGTGAAAAAATAACAGATGTGGATGAAGTTGCAGAGAAAAGGGAACACTTATATACTGCTGGTGGGAATATAAATTAGTTCAGCCACTTTGGAAAGCAGTGTGTAGATTGTGTAGATTTCTCAAAGAACTTGAAACAGAGCTACCATTTGACCCAGCAATCCCATTACTGGGTATATACCCAAAGGAATATAAATTGTTCTACCAAAAAGATATATGCACCCATATATTCACTGTAGCATTATCTACAATAGCAAAGACACAGAATCAGCCTAGATGCCCATCAACGGTGGACTGGATAAAGAAAATATGGTACATGTACACCATGGAAAACTGTGCAGTAAAAAAAAAAGAGAATGAATTTATGTCCTTTGTAGCAACATGGGTGCAGCTGGAGGCCATTATCCTAAGATATTTTACTCAGGAACAGAAAATGAAATATCACATATTCTCACTTATAAGTGGGAACTAAATATTGAGTACACATGGACACAAATATGGGAGCAATAGACACCAGGGCCTCCCTGAGGGAGGAGGTTGGCAGGGAGTTGAGGGTTGAAAAAGTACCTATCAGGTACTATGCTCACTACCTGGGTGGTGAAATCATTTATATACCAAATATCAGAGACACACAATTTACCTATATAACAAACCTGCAAATGTATCCCTTAAACAAAAAGTTGGAAAATAAAAAAGAGAAAGTAGCTTTTCCTGAGATAAGCTCACCAAATTCTCTCAATAATATTAATTAGGTGGTTGCTATGAATACACTACTATATTTGATAGATTTAACATTTACTTCTCTTTCTCAAGATGAGCTTCCTTAAATCAAAAAATGTGTTGGTAATATAAGTCAATACAGAAAGCTGTGAAATCTACTATACAATGAAATTTTTCACAGTTGTTAAAAATGATGCTGTATACATATATATAATGCCTTGGAAAGCTTTCCATCATATGCACATATAAGCTAAGTAAAACATTATAAAACTTAGGAAAATGTATAATATTTACACGTAACCTACGCACAACCTCCTCTATACTTTAAACGATCTCTAGATTACTTATAACAAATAATAAAATGTAAATGCTAAGTACATAGTTGTTATACTGTATTGTATAGAGAATAATGATAACAATTTAAAAAGTGTGTACATGTTCAGTACATACATAATATTTTTTCAAGTATTTTTGATCTGCAGTTGATTGAATCCATAGATTTAAAACCCACAGATACAGACAGTCGACTGTATATAGTTAGGTAAAATGAGAATTATATATGGTGTAGATAAATAGAAAGGGGGGAAGATAAAAGAAAGGGAGAGAAAGAGGGAGAAAAACAGAAGTGTATTTGGGAATGTGAATACATGCTAAACATATTTTGATTTAAATCAAGAGTAACATGGACAAATTTGTAGATACAAGACAACTTCAGCAGACTTAAAGGATAATTGGAGGAAAATGAGATAGATCTGTAAAATTAAATGTATGGATTAAGATCTCTTTAGGCTTCATAAAAATACACTTTACTAAATTAAGTTTTATTATCTTTTGAGGAAAACTTATATTATATCCCTGTATGTCCCTAAATATAGTCGAAAACAGAAATAGAATTATCCTTGCACCAGCAGATAAACTGTACTTAACAATAAACAAATCACTAGTACTCCATAATACCTTTTACATTTTGGTTGCCAATGCTTGAGCAGACTAGCAAAATACATTCTTGTCCTCACAAAACCCTTGTATACATTCTATACACCAGGGGTTCCCAACCCCTGGGAAGCTGACCATAAGGGTCTGTGGCCTGTTAGGAACAGGGCTGCACAGCAGAAGATAACTGGCAGGTGAGTTAGCATAACTGCCTGAGCTCCGCCTCCTGTCACAACAGTGGTGGCATTAGATTCTCATAGGACCATGAACCCTATGGTGAACTGTGCATGTAAGGGATCTACATCGCACAATCCTTATGAGAATCTAATGCCTGATGATCTGAGGTGGAAGAGTTTCATCCCGAAAACAACAACCCTCCATCCATGAAAAAATTGTCTTCCACAAAACCTGTCCCTGGTGCCAAAAAGGTTGGGGACTGCTACTATACACTCTCAGAAAAAAATTACTTAATTGCATGCATAGTCTTGAAAACTATTTAAAGAGTTTTTCACCATCTAAAGGTGTTTTTGATGATGCCCTCCTTAGGCAAAACTTCACCTTTGCACTGAAACTTCTTAATAGATAGGCCCCCAGAGACTTTACCTACTAGAGTCTAGTCCTATCCACTTGGCATTTGGAAATGCAGCAAAGAACAAAGTAATAGCTTACTCCTAGAAATCACCCTGGAGCCTCAGGAGAAGCATTCAATCTGCCATAATCTCCCCAGTACACAGCATACCCAATCATTTCACCCTTTGATCTTAACTAGTAACTTCTAACCTCTCCAAGGAAAATTAAACTTAAAGGAAGAAAGGCACAACTCTGGAATTCTAGGAAGCCATTCAGCACAATTGTTACAGAATGCAATCCATAGCTATGCATTAAGAACTGCCCGTCCTCAAAAGGCTCTGAAAGCACTACTGCCCTCCATAGATAATAACATAATAATTGATGCAATTGTTGCTTTGCCAAATACTCATCCTCAAAGTGCACATAGAAAAATAGGTTTATAATTTTGAAGAACAAAGAAATGTCAGAATATGCTACCTTATAGGTAAATTTTTAAAAAGATACATGATATTCTTTCTACTTATAGAATTTTAGCGTTCCTTTGTATTTATGTCTTACCAGATGTATTAGTCTTCTAATTTGGTGTAACAAACTTTCACAAACTTAGTGGCTTAAAAAAAACAAAACAAACAAAAAAAAAAACAAAAAAACCGCTCATTTATTAGCTCAGTTTTGTAAGTCAGAAGCCTGGGCACAGTGTGGCTGGGTATTCTGCTTAGGGTATCACAAAGCTGAAACCAAGGTGTCCACTGGCTACATTCTCATCTGCAGCTCAGGATTCTCTTCTAAGTACATTGAGTTTGTCAGAATTTAGTTTCTTCCTGGCTGTAGGCCAGGAGACACTCTCAGCTCCTAGTGGCCACTCTGAGTTCCTAGTGTCTGCTTTCTCTACTTGCAGTGTAGCTCCCTCCATCATCAAAGCCAGAAGTGGAGAATCTTCTCTCTTTGTTCAAATCTCTGAATTACTCTGACTCTGACCTCTAGACCCATGTTTAAAGGGCTCATGTGATAAAATCAGGCTCATTTGAATAATCTGTCTCAGTTTCTTTCTTTTTTTTTTTTTTTTTTGAGACAGTGTCTCACTCTGTCCCCCAGGCTGGAGTGCAGTGGCGCAATCTCGGCTCACTGCAAGCTCCGCCTCCCGGGTTTACACCATTCTCCTGCCTCAGCCTCCCTAGTAGCTGGGACTACAGGTGCCCGCCACCATGCCCGGCTAATTTTTTTTGTATTTTTTAGTAGAGATGGGGTTTCACCATGTTAGCCAGAATGGTCTAGATCTCCTGACCTCGTGATCCGCCAGCATTTTTTTGTTTTCTTTTTTAAGATGGAGTCTTGCTCTGTAGCCTAGGTTGGAGTGCAGCAGCGCCATCTTGTCTCACTGCAGCCTCTGCCTCCCGGGTTCCAGCGATTCTCCTGCCTCAGCCTCCTGGGTAGCTGGAATTACAGGCGCACGCCACCAGGCCCTGCTAATTTTTGTATTTTTAGTAGAGACAGGGTTTCATCATGTTGGCCAGGCTGGTCTCAAACTCCTGACCTCAGGTGATCCGCCTGCCTCGGCCTCCCAAAATGCTGGGATTACAGGCGTGAGCCACTGCGCCCAGCCATAATCTCTGTTTCTTAAAGTCCAACTGTGACAAATAACACTATCTAATCACAGGAGCAAAATCCATCATATTTCCAGTCTCAGGGATTATACATGTTGTGTACACCAGAAAGCTGAGATGTTAGGGAATATTTTAGAGCCTAACACTTAGATTATTTTTTGAACATATTTTTATGTGTTTTTAAAAATATATTTGTAAAAATTTAAGGGGTACAAGTGCAGTTTTGTTAGATGGATCTATTGTTTAGTGTTGAAGTCTGGGCTTCTAATGTAACCACCACCCAAATAGTGTACATTGTACCCATTAAGTAATTTCTCATCCCTTGCCTAAAAATCCACTCAGGAATCAGATTGGAGTCTTTTTAAAATAGTATCTGAATGAAATTTTGAAATATGATTAAACCATTGATAGTGTTATTTCAAAAGCAAATTATAAATGCCAGTATTTCATTAAACATGTGTTTCCATTCATTTATTATAAGGAATGCCAGATGGTTAAGCCTCATTCAGAAGTAAATAATATATTTTGAATGTTTTTCATTGTATGGAATCTATAACTTTTGTGTATATATTATGCATCAAATCACAACAGTGTCTGCAGTATTACCTCACATAAGATAGATATATGAATATCTTTTCTTTACAAGAATTATTTCCCTCATATAAAAATGATTACCTTTCAATGAGGACAGAGATTATTCTACAGGTTTTTATAAGAGTAATAGTAACTCAGTCCATGCTAAATGTTCTGCTCTAGGCAAAGGTATTTTCTCTCCACTTGAAAAACTGAACAAAAATAAATGAAGTAGAATTCCTCAAAATATACAAAATGATCATTATCACATTAAAAATATTATGTCAATGTCATTACAAGTTTAAGATTCTACATAATTGCGATCTCTGAATACAGGAAGAAAAAATGATTTGTTAAATTGTTGAACAAGTAAAAATTTGTTGCTTTTCCCAATTTAAATCTGAACAAGTGAGCTATATGGACGTTAGGAAGACTTAGGCCTGTTATTACTACTATCCAGATGAAGTTCTGACCATCAGTCTAGCACATATTTAAAACTTCCTTTTATTTTTCCTTAAATAGGATGATTTAAGAAATTTTAATAAAGTAGAAAGGATTTTGAAGGTGAATGTATTCTTTGACTTCAAAAAAAAACTGTCATCTACTGAGTGCTGATTTTGTGCTGGGAAATGTGCTTTATCGCATTTCATCTTAACATTCTAAGGCAGTATCTTTAAAATATAAAGTTGTTGGAAAATATATAACTGCTGTACCATTATTCCACATTTTTCTTTTAAGAATAACACCTAATTTTTAAAAGTAATTAAATATATATTGTGTTTGAGTTTCCTCAATTTTTGTATACGATTTTAATAGTTATTTTGTTTGAACCAGAATCTGTTTAATTTAAGAGCAATTAAATCTGTTTACTCTTTAGCCCAACATTTTTTGCTTTCAAATTTTTGTTAAAGAAAATGAATCCTTTTACTCTGCAAAGTTTTCTACAAGATGTATTTGGCTAATTATACCCACATAGTGTTATTTAACATGCTCCTTTGTCTTCTGTATTTCCTGAAAGCTGGTAGTTAGATTGAGACAGGCTAGATCAGATTCAGGATTTTTTTTTTTACTAGACCACTTCATAAATGATGATGTGCCTGGCTTCTTTGAACTTACTTGCTTTGAGAAAGCTTTCAGTTTTGATGCAGACACTAACTAGTAGCAGTGGAGGGAGGCTTAGCATGATTGGTTCCACTTTGCCCCACACTCCCTGCGGTAATTCCTTTAGATTAAAAGATGCTGCTTATCTCTGCACACAGACCAGCTAATTACAGGAAGAATTAAGTTTATAGCTCAGCTTTAAAGAAAAAAATAATGACAACATTCCCTTTCCTGAAATTAACCTCTGAGGAAATAAGAAAGTATACATACAAGTAACAGTGTTATGTTAAAGATTTATAGGAATACTGTGACCTGATTTGTGTCATCCAAAGAATGAAGAAGTTTCACAACCTGGACCCTTGTTGGTGTTCTGATGTATGTGGTCATTGGTCGCCTCTTGATCTCAACCCCCTCCTCTTCCTCCTTCCCTTAATTAACATAAGAAAGAGACTGAAGTTCATACTCACTTAAGATATTCTTTAGGACACTAGTCTGCCATTTACTCAGTTTGCTGGCTTTCCAAATAAAGTCACCTGCCTTGACCCAACACCTTGCCTCACGACTTATTGGCTGTCATGCAGTAAGTGGTACGAGCTTGGACTTGGTTACATACTGACTTTAAAGATTTAATGTAATGTATCCTACTTCTCTATTAAATTGGGAAAGTGTAAAAAGTACCATTTTGGGTCCTATGAATCTTCTTTAGGCAACTGAACTCTGTTTACCTGCCACCATTAGTGTAAGGTCCATATAGATAATCTTCCTTTTTTTTTTTTTTTTTTTTTTTTTTTTTTTTTTTTTTTTGAGACGGAGTCTCGCTCTGTCTCCCAGGCTGGAGTGCAGTGGTGCGATCTCCGCTCACTGCAAGCTCCGCCTCCCGGGTTCACGCCATTCTCCTGCCTCAGCCTCCCGAGTAGCTGGGACTACAGGCGCCTGTAATTTTATGTACGCCCGGCTAATTTTATGTATTTTTTTTAGTAGAGGCGGGGTTTCACCGTGTTAGCCAGGATGATCTCGATCTCCTGATCTCGTGATCCGCCCGCCTCGGCCTCCCAAAGTGCTGGGATTACAGGTTTGAGTCACCGCGCCCGGCCCGAAAATCTTCCTTTTATCACCTGTTTTGTTACCCTAAACAATAGTTTATAAAAGAAGCAGGAAACATGCTTAAGTCTCTCCCTTTAGTAGTTTCAAAATAATGACTTGATTCCTTAGCATCCTTCAAAAGTGACCAAAGGATTTTATTTTTCTCAAATGTCATCCTAAGTTTTAAATGTAAGCACCTTTGTGGTACTCCAGTCCACTCCAATCTCTTTTTTATGTGTTGCTTAGCAATTTTCACATGCCTGAAGGGAAAAAGCAATGCACTCCCATTCTCTCTTGGATCGTGGATGTCACATCCTGGCTGCCCTGGTAGTTCTCTGATTTTTTTCAAATAGATGCTTCTTTATTAATATTTTCTATTTGTTCTTAGTAGAAGAGTTGAACGTATGCAAGCTACACTGTCAGAGCTAGAAGTTGATAATATAAATTTTTTATTTTTAATCTATTTTAATATTTAATTGACACATTATAGTTGTACATATTTATGGAGTACAATTTGATATTTTGATACATATTTGTGTTGTATAACGATCCAATCTGGATAGTTAGTGCATCCATCACCTCATGCATTTATCATTTGTTTGTGATTACAACATTTGAAAGCTTTACTTTTAGTTACTTTGTAATATACAGTACTTTACTGTTGACCATAATCACTTTGCTATACAATAAACAACATAACTTATTCCGCCCATCTGATTGTTACTTTGTACCTATTGGCCAACCTTTCCCCATCCTCCTCACCCTTTTCCCCTCCTCAGGGCTAGTAACCATTGTTCTATTCTTTGCTTTTATGTTATCAAAATTTTTTAATTTTTAAAACATTTCACATATGAGTGAGAACATGCAGTATGTGTCTTTCTGTGTCTGGCTTATTTTGCTTAACATGATGTCCTCCGGGTTTATTCATGTTGTCTCCAATGACAGGATTTCATTGTTTTTTATGGCTGAATAGTGTTCTATTGTCTATATATCCCACATTTTCTTTATTCATCCATTGTTGGACAATTAGTTTGCTTCCATATCTTGGCTATTTGTAAGTAGTGTTGCAATAAACATGGGGGCAGTGATATATCTTCAATATACTGATTTCATTTCCTTTGAATATGTTCCTGGTAGCGGGATTGCTGGATCATATGGTAGTTTTGTTTTTAATATTTTCAGGAATCTCCATACTGTTTTCCATAATAGCCGTATGAACTTAAAATCCCACCAGCAGTGTGTCACTTTTCCCTTTTTAACACTTATCCTTATCAACACTTGTTTTCTTTCATCTTTTTGATAGTAAGCATTCTAACCGGAAAAAGGTGGTATCTCACTGTGGTCTTGATTACTGACATTAAAATTTTTTCATATACTTGTGGGCCATTTGTCTTCTTTTGAGAAATCTTTATTAAGGTTCTCTGCCTATTTTATAGTTGGGTTATTTGGGGGTTTTTTTTGCTGTTAAGTCCCTTATATATTCTGGATATTAACATGTTTTCAGAAAAGTAGTTTGCAAATATTTTCTGCCATTCTGTAGATTGTCTCTTTATTCTGTTGTTTCCTTGGATGTGCAGAAATTTTTTAGTTTGATGTAATCCTATTTGTCTATTTTTCTTTTACTGCCTGTGCTTTTGGGGTCATATCCATAAAATAATTGTCCAGACTAATGTCATGGAGCATTCCTCTATGTTTTCTTCAAGTAGTTTTATAGTTTCAGGGTTTACATTTATGTCGAACCCATTTTGAGTTGATTTTTGTATACAAAGTGAAATAAGGTTCAAATATCATTACTCCACATGTGGATATACAATTTTCCCAGCCCCATTTATTGAAAAGACTCTTTTTGCCAATGTATATTTTTGACACCTTTATTGAAAATCAGTTGGCTATAGGTACATGAATTTATTTTGGGGTCTCTTTCTGTTCCATTGGTCTATATGCCTGTTGTTATGCCAGTACCATGCTGTTTTGGTTCCTATAGCTTTGTAGTATATCTTATAGTCAGGTAATGTAATGCTTCCAGCTTTGTTCTTTTTGCCTAGGATTGTCTCAGCTATTTGGTGTCCTTTGTTTTTCCATATGAATTTTTGGATTTTTTTCTATTTCTGTGAAGGATATCATTGGTATTTTGATAGGGTATGCACCAAATATGTGGATTACTTTGGGTAGTATGGACATTTTAACAATGTTGATTTTTTCAATTTCTGAACATGGGATATCATTCCATTTAGTTGCATCCTCTTCAATTTATTTCATAAAATTTTTCTAATTTTCAGTATGGAAATCTTTCACTTCCTTGCTTAAGTTTATTCCTAGATATCTTATTTTTGTAGCTATTGTAAATGGAGTTGTTTTATTGATTTCTTTTACAGATAGTTTACTATTAGCATATAGAAACACTACTGATGCTAATAAAAATAAATAAAACTTTGCTGAAGTGTTGTAAATGAACCCAAAATGTTATTTCTCAAAAAAATTATTGGAGTGAGAGCACAAGAGGTAAATATATGAAAGACAGGAGTTGGTACTCAGATTTAAGAGATTAATATTTACATACTAAGTCTGCCCCTACCCTCCATCCCCTACTTAGAATGCTTCCTAGCATGGCTGTGAATTCTAGTAAGGATATGGCTGAGGATTGAAGGAAGATCTATATTCACAGGGGCTCAAAAAGCTCTGCTTTGTGTATCTCTTTGAAACGGAAGGCATTTTTCCACTAGAGAAATAGGGAGAATAGTGTTAAGGTCCTGAGGAGGTAGTAGCAGGGAACCACCCATCAAGGTGGAGGAAACAGAGACATCTTTAACAGATGGAATGGAATAACGGATTTTGGGAGGAGTACAGGTGTTCATTAGTATTCTAAGATAATGAGAAGTTGGAAAAGGCTATAAAAACAAATTCTATTGAAATCTAGACTAAAATGAATATTAAATGATTTAAACAAAAATTCATTTAGGTTATCATCCTTAAATAGACTCAAAATTAAGTTCAGCTAATACTTAAAAATATTAAATTGCCATCACATATTAGAACAAAATTGTGTAAATCAAGCATTGAGTCCTCCAAACCCCTGTAGGCATGAGTTATTTTTCCCCCTGCTGGTATCCACAGCTTGATTGTGGAGCCATTTAGGGAAAATAATTTCAGGGCTTTATTGATTTTTCTCATAAATATTTCTTGATTCTTTGAAATTCAAATAATTATCTTTTGAGGTGCCTATCATTTGTTTTCATCCTTGTCAGTTTTTATTTTTTTCAATTTTAAACTGATCTCACTCTGTCAGTGTTTCAGGCTATGGTTCAAGCAATTCTTCACCAACACCTTCCTGGAATTAAGTACTATGTTTTAGGTTCCAGCCATGTAGTTATGACATTGCTTCTTACTGTTGCAAAGTACTCATTGGTATGCAATGGCTAGTTTTTGCCTATCTACTTTTCCAGCTATGGACAACCATATTACCACATTACCTCCAACTTCTATCAATTCCAAGACTCCACAAATAAGAACTCAGTGGAGGTCATCATGCCTGTTCATATTAGAGTAGAATTGCTGCATTTTAGGGAACCAATGTACTTAGATTACTAGGTCATATGGCACCAGTCTGTGCTCTCACCAGTAATGTATGGAACATACTAAATCCCCTATCGCTATCAATACTCATAATTACCCAGCTTTCTTATTTTTTTGCAATCATTGCAATTTGGTTTTATAATCAAATTGCACTGTATTCACATGGTCAGATACTGATCTTTGAAGGGATGGACTGGGATAGACTTGTGAGGAATATTTGAGTCTGGAAAATGTTTATAAGTCATCAGTTCATTAGTAAATGTAACCAATGTTTTATAGCTACTGTTGCTCAGTGGCCCCATAGCTGCAGGGGTCTAAAAACCATGATACTCAGATAAGGAGGACACCCTGAAGATAACAGACCAAAAAATAAAATGTCAGAGTTGTAGGCAGTGGGTTTCAGTATACGGGAGAAAGCTCCTTGTGTTTAATCCACTCCACTCCACCCTGCCTCAAAAAACACTAGAAGAAAAACCATTTTACCTGCAGCTCATTAATGTAAGAGATCCTAAAGACATTTATGTCACATATATAAGCCATCTTGGGGCTTCATTGAACAATTTCAGGAGAGGATTTCTGGGAAAATATTGCACATTCAGCTAATAAAATATATATGGGCTCAGCAGGGCCAAATTTAGGACATTACTACAGACAATTCATTTGTCCTTGTAGGAGGATCAATCTAACTGATAAATTGATGGTGTTTTGATCTCTAATTATGTCCCAGGTACTTTGCTAGGTGTGTTCATATAGAGAATCTCTTTGGAGCCTTACAATAGACCTTTAAGTCAAATTTTCTTAACCTTGGAGGTAGCTGACATTTTAGGCCAGATAATTCTTTGTTTGGGGTTGAGGGAGCTGTCCTGTGCACTGTAGGATATTTAGTAATGATCCTGTTTTCTACCCATTAAATGCCAGTAGCACTTCCCCAGGTTGTGACAACCAAGTGTCTCCAGACGTTCTTAACTGTCCCCTAGACGAGGGAATTGCCCCCAACTAAGAATCACTGCTTTAAGGTAAGGATCATCATCCCTACTCGCAAAGTGAGGACACTGAAGTTCACAAAGCTTGAGTAACTTGGTTATATAGAAAGGAAATGTAGAAAATGAGATTTGAACCTAAGCCATCCTTGCTTAAAGACCCTTGATATTTTCCTTATTCTATACTGCCACCACCAGCAATTATATTATCATATATTTAATATCATATCATATCAAATATATTATAGTTCAGTAGTTTTCAACCATTTTTTCAGTAGTTTTCAACCATTTTTTCAAATCCTGTACACAAGAAAGATATAAAACAACAACAAAATCCCCACAACAGGCAATTGGAATGTTCCCTTCACACTCCCATCCAATCCCCTGGGTAATTACCATAGTGTGAATGAGTTTTCAATGATTATACATACTAGTTCACTTAATATTCACTGTTTGATATAGTTTGGATATTTGGCCCTTCCAAATCTCATGTTGAAATTTGACCCCAATGTTGGAGGTGGGGCTTGGTGTCATGGGGGCAGATCCCTCATGAATGACTCGGTGCCATTTTTGCAAGATTGAGTTTTTGCTCTTAGTTCCCATGAGATCTGACTGTTAAAAAGAGTCTGGCACCTTCCTCCTCTCTCTCTCTTCCTCCCTTCCTCTCTCATCATGTGATGCCTGCTCTCCCCCTTCTGCCTGAAAGCAGCTTGAAGCCCTCCTCACAAGCAGATGCTTGTGCCATGCTTCTTGTCCAGCCTGCAGAATCGTAAACCAAATAAACCTCTTTTTTAAATAAATTACCCAACCTCAGGTATTCCTTTATAACAACACAAATGTCCTAAGACACCATATTTTAAGATAGTGAAGTAAATTGTTATTGTCTTCCTTTTATAAAGAGAAAAAGGGGATCTAATTATACTTGGAGATTTTGACAGAGACACATTAACAAGCCAGGTCTTCAGAGTCTTGAAACCTTATTCTCCCAACTACTACTGGCTAGATAGTTAAAACTAACCATCGTATTTGATATTAAGAATACACAAGAAAAACAAGATTTTTACTTTTCAAGGAATTATGTTAACTTTATTTTACCATAACCCTAAAATACTTAACCTCATACACATGCCAAAAGTTAATACTATCTGGGCGGCCTACCAAAATATTATTCTAAAAGAAAAACAAACAAGAGCAATGTAAAGCAAATTGTTATAATGTAGGCCTATTTCTTAATATTTAGTATGTCTTCCCTAATTTCTTTTTAGTCCTAGGGCACAATTACCACTGTTTCTCTCCAGAACAACATTATTTATGGGCTGAACTCCCATCAAGAGGGTCTCCTTTCTCTGTCAGCAAAGGCTTAATGAAATAGCCTTTCACCTTTTGTGACAGGCCTTTAAATTCTCTATGTACAAATGGAAATGCTGTAGGTCATTTTCTTCTAATTGCTTCTGGACAAGGCTTGACAAGCCACCACACATTTTAACTTGATTGGCAGATTTTTTTTCAGAAGTAGTCCAAGCTTGAACCAGCAATTTCAGAATAAGATTTAGATGTCTTGTCAGAGCTTGGTGGCAAAAATTAGCTTTACTCTGAGTTCCCAAAGAATTCTTTTTAAAAGAAAGAGAAGCACATTGCAATTATGTAACAGCAGTGATGATGCTTTTATTTGACTATCCTATGAAATAACTTTTGGTAAGCTGCTTTGTAGTTGTCATTTAGTGTCTCCTACATAATCCTAAAGTAAGAAGCACATGCAGGAAAAATACTTTTGAGATGAGATTCTTTTATATTATGTTTTTAAAATATTAAGATTACCCAGAAATGGTGGCTCCTGCCTGTAATCCCATCACTTTGGGAGGCCAAGCTGGGAGGATTGTCTGAGGTCAGGAGTTCAAGACCAGCCCTGGCAACATAATGAGATCCTGTCTCTACAAATAATAAAAAAAAATTAGCTGAGTGTGGTGGCACGTGCCTTTGGTCCCAGCTACTTGGGAGGCTGAGGCAAGAGAATCACTTGAGCCCAGGTGGTCAAAGCTTCAGTGAGCTGTGATCACACCACTGCACTTCAGCAGGGCCAACAGAGTGAAATCCTGTCCAAAAAGGGAAATAAAATAAAATATTAAGATTAAAATTATTAATATTAGAAAAATTTTTAAATATTTATATATATTGAATTGTTGTGATATGCTATAGAAAATGCCTAAATGTGATAAGTAAATACATAATGCTTTTTCTGACAGAAATGCTTCTGTTTTTTTCATCTTAGTGCTATTTCTCAGCATTTCACCTGACATAGAAATTACCAATAGTGTTCCTGCTAATTGAACTTACTGTAATCTCTACTTTCACTTTAGATTAGATCTTCTAAGGCATATTCTGAAAGTAATATAATTAAATATTTGTGTATTTTTTGAAAAGGTCAAAATCCTTGGACTCTCATATCACTTGTTAGGTCAAAGATTTTAAGATAAGATAAAGAACAGATGGAAATAGTCATATCTTTAAATAAACAGTACTCAAACTCTCCCATTTCAGGGGACTCATTTAAACTCTTAAAAATTCTGGAGGATCTCAAAAGGCTTCTGGTTAAGTAGATTGGGTTATCAATATTTACTACATTAGATATGAAAACTGAAAAGAATGTAAAATATATATTTGTTACTAAACCCATTACATGTTGATGTAACTAACATACTAATAATAACGTAATAATTTTATTTAAAAAATAAATTTTCCATAATAAAAACTAGTTAGAAGTGTGATATCACTTTCATACTTTTGCACATCTTTTAAATATCTAGCTTAGTAGAAGGCAGTTGATTGCTCATATGTATATCTGTGTCTGCTGCAATGTCATATGTCATAGAATCTCTGGAAAACTCAACTGTAACATTTGTGAGAGAATAAGAATGAAAATAGACAAATGATGACTCATAATTACGATGAAAATAGTTTTGCCTGCAGACTCCCTGGGAAGGTTTCAAGCATGTCCTGTATGAGGATAAAAAATATCTTATTTTTAGGACTGATGCTTTAGACTGAAATTTATGATCCATAGAAGGTCAATATGTTTAATTCTTTTCATCTGAAACTACTAAACTATTCCTTTTTGATAGTAACATCCAAATTATAGATTTGGTTTTGGTTTAAGATCAAATTTCATTACTTTCTTATTCAATAGTTTTATTTCACCTTCTTTAGAAAGGTTTGTCGTATATTTTGGCCCAACACTCCCACTGCTAAGAGTATTGGGATGGTATATGTAGGGTATCAAATTTTTTTTGATAAAGAACTAAAGGCTGCTGAACCACAAAATAAATCCAATTCCATAAAAGATCAAAAAAGAAAAGCCACCAGTATTTATGTTGTGTTTTAAAGAAATAGTCTCTTCATCTATTCATCTGTTAAGAACAGTAGCATGCTGAAAGATGACCCTCAGGGCCAGGTGGAATGAAGCTAAAAATCATGGACTGCCATTTGTGTATTGATGGAAGGATCCCATTAATTTGTTAAAGTTGTATATAGGTGGCAGCCATGCAATTGGCAATTTCTTTCCTAGAATATTTTTTGTCATATGTTCTTATTCCAACATTCCTGGAAATATCTGAAATCATGACAGTTACACTTACTACAGATTCTTGGAATCTAAGTTAATATAACAATAATTTTAATTATTGGTCTATAAAGTTTGCACATATTTTCACCCCTAAATAGCAAGAACCCTGACCTTGTGCTTACCTTTCCTATATTATGGCAGCCATATTTATGGTTTGGCTTTGTATTTGTACATCTTCTTGCAAGTTTACAGCTAAAGTTTATGTCAGAATCACCTAAAGATCATCTTTATAATGCAGCTGCTTGAATTCTTTCCTTAACTATTGAGTTAGAGTTTTTTTTCTTTTTCAAAGTGTTAAAATAACATAAAGAGTGTAATTGGATTGTTTGCAACTCAATGGATAAATGCTTGAGAGGACGGATACCCCATTGTTCACAATGTGCTCATTTTATTTGCATACCTGTAGGTCAAAACATCTCATATACTTCATAAATATATTCACCTACAATGTATCCACAAAAGTTAAAAATTAAAAAAATTAAAATCCTCAAAGCTCTTAATAAGACAAGGTTCTCTCCTCATTTATTTTATACCCACTTTTCTGTAACCCATAAGATATGTTAGGCATTATAGGCCTCCTCTGTTGTGTGCTGACACTCCTTATTGTCTCTGAACCCCACTGCTCAGGAACTCCCAAACACTCATCACCATCTCTAGGGGAAAGGATTTTAAACATACTTCTTACCAGATAGGATGTCACTTCCTGTTTCTTCAGGAAGTTCTTTTTTTCTAACCAACCCCATTCTCTGCCTTATGGAAATACCTCCATTTCCAGGGTATATGTGCTGTTTACCATATTCTGGTATCACATGGATCATCTTTAAGGAATCTGAAAAACATATTTTCTATGCACTCGAAAGGGAAGGGAGATATATTTTAAGGCAGCTAATGTGAGAATCCTCTCTAGGGGAACCCAACCTGTAATCAAAGGATGGTCCTATTCGTCAAAACTTGTAATTGGATGTGATGTGGAGGGGTGAGTTGGAATGCAGTTCTGTGAATAGAATATTAAGGCTGCTCTCAGTATTGTTCTGGGAAACAAATAAAATTCAGTAAATATTGTATTGGGCATTAAAAATTTTATTGGACAGATTGTTTTAATTTGGGAGATGGAAATTAACAAATGCTAGGTATTATCCATTAGTGGCTGAGGTCAAACACATAAGCTGTCTGTGTATTTAGGATCTGGACAGTGAGGTGATAGGAAAGACCTGAGATATTTAGCTTTACAAAAACATAGCTATAAGAACATAGTTCAAAATCCTTGAGACTATTCCGTGATGATTACTGTATACATATAAAGTTGGATTCTATGGTTCTGAATAGCCTTCCCCTAGTAAGTACAAAAAGTAGTATGACCTCTTGGCTTAGGTGCAGCTGGAATCAGCTGCCAGATATAAAAGGGAAACTTACAAGGCTACCACTGGTGTTCTTCCATGCAATGTGGCAATATAGACATTGAAGTGTGTGTGAAAAACACGTCCGTCATTAGAAAAGAGAATATTCCTTTTGATCTTCTTCCTTCATTTTTTTGTATTTTTTTTTTGCTTGTTTATTTGAGCTAGTGGGTAGATAATAATTATCACATTATTTCTTACCCTTGTAATCCTGCATTTTCAGTATTATCATTCATATTTTACAAATAAAACTGAGACCCACAAATGCTTAATTTTACTTTGCTAATAAGTGATTGTCTTGGTATTAAAACACTACCATGCACCCCTTCCACTCTCAACTTCAATAGAACCCTGGCCTCTGTTATCCATTTATATGAATTAGATATCTGAAAAACATTTCACCATATAAATTAGATAAGACCAATTTACTGATCACCTGAGCTTTGTAGTAGCAAGCGAGAGCATTTGGTTTTTAGCACTTGCACCAAATTTACCTTGATTCATAAAGGTACCTTTAAAATTGTCTGAATATTAAGTTGCATTTAGCAAAAATAAGAATGTAAAAAAATGGCAATTGAACATTTGATTTCACTTGGGTATTTTGTGATATTTTAAATGTTTTTATAATTTTAGTGTAGCTATGCTTCATGGGGAATTTCTTTGTTTTAGTTTCCTTTTTTAGTATAAGTCAATGTTAATTTTACATACACAGACATACTATTGTTCTAGAAAAAAAATCTTGTAAGAATAATTACCTTGCCCTGTTGACAAATTGTTTAGCCTAAATAACAGTGCCATCTGCTGAAAACAACTAGTGAGTAACAGAAGTTTTCAAAGAGCTCAGCACAGTTTGGTTGGAGAGCAGCTGCTGATGATTAAAAAAAAAAAAGCAGAGGAGGTGAAGTTATACGAAGGCTAAACCTAGAGAGAAAGAAAACTTCAGGGTACAGGAAAATGAGAACATTCATGAGGAACTTTACAAGACAAAAGGCCTTGGTATGTTATAAAACAGAGCATCACTTCAGGCATCTTGAAAATTTTAAAGTACTCTGAAATAAGAATTATCACGCAAATGAGACATTCTGGTTAATCGAAGGAGATTTGAGGAAATAGTATGATTTAATTACACATAAATAGGTTAATGAGAATAGGTTGTTATAATTCTTAAGCCTCCTCAAAAATGTTCTGATGAAGACTGGGTACATGTGGTATTGTTAAGACATCAAGATTAAGAAAAACATTATTTCTCAACAATGGTTGAGTTCTACTGATGTGTCTGCACTTTGTTAAATGCATATCAGACAGGAAAATCTATTTTCAAAGGAATATCTCTAAAATAAGCTTCTTCTGTTGTTCCTTCCCACGATATTTTAAATTTCTAGTTGTTTCTTTTCTTCATTGTTTTAATGTATTTTCCTACAAAAGTTTTAGTTTTTCTTATGTGGCATTATGTAACCTAAATGTACCAACATGGCACATGTATACATATGTAACAAACCTGCACGTTGTGCACACGTACCCTGGAACTTAAAGTATAATAATAAAAAAAAGAAAAACTGAAAATTTAGAGAAGTTTTTCTGATGTCTACATTCTTTTCGCCTATATTTTAATTTTTGATTTTTCTCAATTTATTTGCTTTAAGTTCGTCTGTTGTATACAGCATATTATTGAATTTAACATTGTTGGCCAATGTGAAAACACATATATATTTAATAGATGAATTCAGTTCATTTACACTTATTGATCTCTCTCTCTCTCTCTCTGCAATATCTTTTGGAATTTAGGAAGTTTTGGATCTTTGTAATAATTATTACCTTTATATTAATACCTTTCCATAGTCTCCTTAGTCCCTTCTTTACTTTGTGTTTATTTACTGGTTCCCAACTATGTTAATTAGTTTTAGCTGCTTCCTCATCTCCTCCATTTCTCTCAGTATCTGATATCAAATAAATTACTTTTTCTTTTGTTTAACACATAAACAACCTGCAAGTTTATTCTGTTTTTCATGTACTCTCCCCATTCTCTTTCCATTTTTCATACTTGAGCTCATCCGTATTTTGAGAACATATAGTCATTACATATTTTATTGACATCCTTATAACTATCCTATGATTTTAAGTATAGATAATACTTGATTCTCACTACCACTCTTTAAGTCAATATCTCTCTAGTCACTTGGGGTATATAAAGTTTATTATCTGGTATGCTACTAGATAAAGTCCCATGGTAAAAAACATTTGCTGAGTAACTGCATATTCAAAAGATTGCCTCTGGACTTAACATTTAAATAATTATTGGTTGAATGTAGAATTTTTAGCTCACCTTTTCTTTATCAAAGTATATTAGGCATCTCCATTGCTTTCTTGTATGATATATTACTGTTGGAAAAAGCTGATAACAGTCTATCTTTCCTTTGCATTTTCAAAGTCATGTGGCAGATTTTTGTCTGAAATTCCTTTTTAAATGTTTTTCTTATAGTCCAATAGTTTTACTAAAGTATGTCTCAGTGTTGATAGGTTTGGTTGTTTTTTTTTTTTTTTGTCCAAGTATGTGGTGTGTACTAGAGTTTTGGTGTTTTTAAAAAATATTTCAGAAAATACTTCTTGCATAATGGATTAAAATTTTTGTCTTCTTTAATTGCTTTACTTGGGGAGTAAGGGGGCGTACACATGTGTTGGCTCACCATCACATATCCTCCATTTCTGCCATGTTTCTCTCAGTCCTTCTTTGTCCTTCTTTCATTTCCTTGTGATAAAAAGTCCCTTATTTTTATTTACTATTTTCCATAAGGCAACATTCTTTGTGTTCATTTGCTCTTCATTCTAGTTTAGTTTGTATACATAAAATATTTTTCCTTTATGATTCTTTCTGGAGTCTTACTGCTTCTTTTGTCAAATATTCCTTTTCTCCAGTCTCCTCAATACTGAGTTATTCTGATTCTAATTCATGTTGTTCTTTCACAGCTATTATCATTATCTTAATTACTTTTAGAGTGAAATATAAGTTAATTTTTAAAAATCTAGTTTGTAGCCATGCATTTTCTTTTTTCTTTTCCTTTTTTTTTTTTTTTCCTTTTTTTGTGACAGAGTTTCGCTCTTGTCGCCCAGGCTGGAGTGCAGTGGCACGATCTTGGCTCACTGCAACCTCTGCCTCCTAGGTTCAAGCGATTCTCCTGCCGCAGCCTCCTGAGTGGCTGGGATTACAGGCACCCGCCACCACACCCAGTTAATTTTTGTATTTTTAGTAGACATGGGGTTTCGCCATGTTGGCCAGGCTGGTCTCAAACTCCTGCCCTCAAGTGGTCCACCCGTCTTGGCCTCTCAGAATGCTGGAATTACAGGCATGAGCCACCGTGCCTGGCCTGTGGCCATGCATTTTCGTTGTGCTTTAAGTGTCCATAGTGGATTCATTATTCTGATCCTCATTATCTTTTTTCTGTTAAGTAATTTTTTATTGGGTTTTCATGAGGGTCCATTTTGTTTTATTTTGTTTTTCATTTTAGAATAAAGTCTATTTTCTTGTACTTTCAAGAGAGTAAACTGGCCAGAATAACTCTTCTAACTTCACCAATCTAGAGTTAGCTGTTTGTTTTTTTTCTTTAACTATTATTTTAATTTCGGGGTACAAGTGCAGGCTTGTTACATAAGTAAACTTGTGTCACAGGGTTTTGTTGAACAGATTACTTCATCGCCCAGGTATTAAGCCTAGTACCTGTTAGTTATCTTTCCTCATCTTCTTCCTCCTCCCACCCTCCACCCTCCAATAGACCCCAGTATCTGTTGTTCCCCTCTATGTGTCCATGTGTTCTCATCATTTAGCTCCCACTTATAAGTGTGACCATGTGGTATTTGGTTTTCTCTTCCTGCATTAGTTTGTTAAAGATAATGACCTCCAGCTCCATCCACATCCCTGCAAAGAAGATGATCTTATTTTTTATGGTTGCATTAGTATTCTATGGTGTATATCTACCACATTTTCTTTATCCAGTCTACCATTGATGGGCATTTAGTTTGATTCCATGTCTTTGCTCTTGCAAATACTGCTGCAATGGGCATACACATGCATGTGACTTAAAAATAGAATGATTTATATTCCTCTGGGCATATACCCAGTAATGGGATTGCTGGGTTGAATGGTATTTCTGTCTTTAGGTCTTTGAAGAATAGCCACACTGTCTTTCATAATGGCTGAATTTACACTCCAACCAACAGTGTGTAAATGTTCCTTTTTCCCCAAAACCTCACCAGAATCTGTTATTGTTATTATTATTGTTATTATTTTACTTTTTTAATAATAGCTATTTTGACTGGTATGAGATGGTATCTCATTGTGGTTTTGATTTGCATTTGTCTAATGATGAGATGATGTTGAGCTTTTTTCATATGATTGTTGGCTGCATGTATGTCTTCTTTTGAAAAGCATCTGTTCATGTCCTTTGCTCACTTTTTGATGGGGTTGTTTTTTTCTTGTAAATTTGTTTAAGTTCCTTATAGATGCTGGATATTAGACCTTTGTTGGATGCATAGTTTTCTAAAACTTTCTCCCATTCTGTAGGTTGTCTGTTCACTCTGTTGATAGTTTGTTTTGCTGTGCAGAAGCTTTTTAGTTTTATTAGATCACATTTGTCAATTTTTGCTTTTGTTGCAATTGCTTTTGGCAACTTTGTCACAAAATCCTTGTCCATTCCTATGTCCAGAATGGTATTACCTAGGTTATCTTCCAGGGTTTTCAAACTTTTGGCTTTTACATTTAAGTCTTTAACCCATCTTGAGTTAATTTTTGTGTACGGTATAAGGAAGGGGTCAACTTTCAATCTTCTGCATATGAGCAGCCAGTTTTTCCAGCACCATTTATTCAACAGGGAATTCTTTTCCCATTGATCATTTTTGTCAGGTTTTTGGAAGATTCAATAGTTGCAGATGTGCAGTTTTATTTCTGTGCTATCTATTCTGTTTCATTGGTCTATGTGTCTGTTCTTCTACCAGTGAGTTTGTTCTTCCATTGTTTTCATGAATTAAATATAAATCCTGGTTCATATACACTGAGATCTGCTTCCTCTGTTCCACTCTTTAAATCTTAAATTTTATTTGAACTTTCTATTTTCTTTGCCTGTATTGCTCCTGTATGCCTCAATTTGGATTATGCAAACAGCAATTTCTCTTCAGTTATGAAGTTTGTTCTGGGAGAAAGTTTATTTGTTCATCTAAGCAGTTGACAGTGTCCACAATACTGCAACACCTTTATTTCTTACCTCAGTTCTTTTGCACTTAGTCATACAATCATGGATGTGGAAATATAAATAAATACATAACACATATGATCTTGATCCCTTTCATTATACCTAGCCTTTTATTACTATACCAATAAAGTAAAAATGTTTTAAAGACAACCTTATTAATAGCCTGTTTAAGACATTGCATACTGAATTTAGGGATTCAACTAATTCTTAAGGGTCTAAGTGTTATTTAATATTTGAAATTTATAATTTTAAAAGGTCTTATAAATATTCTCATTAAAAAGCTAAATGGCTCTTGTCTCAGCCATATTTATTAAGGACTCCAAATTTTGATAATTTAGGTAACTATATTGAAGAGTCAAAATCAAGTGTGATAAAATTCAATTATCTTATGCACATATTGATATTATCTCCTAAGGAATCCTTCTGAAAAAGTTCCAACCAGAAATAGGAAGTCTGAAAATTGCTATTTAAAGGTAAAAATAAATAACTAGGTAATTTTCTGGATTGAGGATATGTATGCCATGGGTAGAGGGTCCAGAGGAAAGAAAGGTGGCAAGAGAGTAGTCTTTCATGACTTTATAGTTATATTTGAACTGAAACTTACCCTGCCCAAATATTTTTTAGAAGAAAATAAGTGGAATGTCTTAATAGTCCATAAAATAATTCTTCTTGGTAAAATAACACTTTGGTTTCAAAGAACAAGTGTTATTTGTATTGTTTTATTATTTATTTCCTTTTTGGTATACCTTAATAACATGCATTATTCACAGATATTTCGGAATGTTTCAGGAAGTTAGTGGCTTAATTTCCACAATGTTTCTGCAATGATTCTGGTAAGGAAATGGCCTTATCACTCTTTTTAAATCATAAAGATTCAGGCTATCTCTCTTCTCCTAGGTGTAAAAGAGTAGGTATGCTTAAGGGGCTACAAAGGGGACTGTAAGATATTTTAGAGAATCTAGCAGAGGTGAAAAGCCTAGTTGTAGTACCATTAATTGGTAAGTTCAAGGTATGCATTTTTGGTATATCTTTTAAACAAAAATTACTTAAAAGTAATTCCATACTTCACAGTATATATTCCATAAGCAAGTCCACAAAGCAGCCATATTTAGATATAGGCAAATAAATATACACTTTTTTTCTGAATGTGATGTTAAAAAATAATTACGGATATTTTCTACTTATTAAAATGATACATCCTTACAAAGTATAAATTAAATAAAAAGAATACAAATCTAAATATTTCTCCATCGAGATAGCTTATCCTGTGAACAAATGATTTAAACATCAAAAAAAGTGCTCTTACAAATGTTAATTGTAGCATAGTTAGTGAATATTGCATATTTGCTCCCTTTAAACCTAGGCCTACTAAGTGCTATGTTGTGATGTAATGTGAATATTCAAGTACTTTAAGTAGATCAGTTAGCCTTCATGAGTTAAAATATGTATTTAGAACATTTTATGGATTTAAAAAATAAGAACTATAGGTAATTTATAAGCAAAAACACATTTGTTACCATGACTCCTTATGTTCCACCTGGAGTATTCCCTCACAGGGCTCCTTTGAAAGAATAAATACCAATCAAATACTTTATTGTTCTCCTACATATGTCCCTAAATGAGAAGTATGGAAAGTTACATGAAATACTCAGAAGACCAGGCTATCGTGACAGCCCTGAGGAAAAGAACAGTAAAATAAAGTTCAACCTATCAACAAAATTATAGCGCTGCATATATTCAGTCTTTAATCTCTCCAGAGCTAATTCTACAATTAAGGTAACTAATAGCGGCCAACAATTTGAACTTGGAAGAATGAAGAAATCATATTGAGAAAAAATATACCTTCACTTGTCCAAACTACACTTAACTGTTTTGTTCTTTTAGACAAGTTCAGATGGGAACCAAAGTCGTGTAAGAAACATATCCTAAGAGCTAAATCAAGCTGCCTTACTCTCAAGAAAAACAAAATCCAGTGGGTGGTTAACTAGATACTTCTAGAAGACAAAATAGCCACTGAGGAGCAAATTTTAAAGAATTAAATTAGAATCCCAGCAATTGGGATGCCAAGGCAGGTGGATCATTTGAGGTCAGGAGTTTGAGACTACCCTGGCCAACATGGTAAAACCCCAACTCTACTAAAAATACAAAAAAAAAAAAAAATTACCTGGGTGTGGTGGTGCCTGCCTGTAATCCCAGCTCCTTGGGAGGCTGAGGCAGGAGAATTGCTTGAACCCAGGAGGCGGAGGTTCCAGTGAGCCGAGATTAAGCCACTGCACTCCAGCCTGGGAGACAGAGCGAGACTCCATCAAAAAAAAAAAATTAAATTAGAAGTTCATGCAAGCCAAATTAGTTAGATAATGATTATTAGCAAACATTTAAACATTCTCAGGCAAGTCTAGCATGGCTTATCCCAATTTGGACAATGCATATACCCCAGGTGTGCTGTAATTAGAATACAAAAATCCATATTATGCAATTTCATTTTAAATATATTTATTCACTTGTTTATTTAATCCCTTCATTCTACAAATATCTGTTGAGTGTTGACCACATTCCTGGCACTTTGTATACTTGCTGCTAAAATCACAAAGGAAACAACATGGTCTAACCATGAGCATCAAACCAGCTTACCTAATTGTAATAACATTGAGGCCTACTGGTGAGTGTCAGCCCAATGCCTGGATGTCAGAAGCTGCTTTTTTCTTTCTGAAATGTTTGATATATTAACAAGGCCAGTGGTTGGATTTCAGTAAGTAAAGAGAGAGTAGCAGAATATAATGTCAGGGAGTCTCAGAGGACCAAATTATGTAGAACCTTGTAAGGTGAGAAGCTTGTTTGTTTGTTTTTGACAGGGTCTCACTCTGTTGCCCAGGCTGGAGTTCAGTATGTGATCTCGGCTCACTGCAGCCTTGACCTCTTGGGCTCAAGCGATCCTCCCACCTCAGTGTCCTGGGTAACAGACTGCAGGCACGCACCACTATGCCTGGTTAATTTTCTGTATTTTTTTGTAGAGACAGGGTTTCACCATGTTGGCCAGGCTGGTAATCCTGGGCTCAAGTAATCTACCCTCCTCAGCCTCCCAAAAAGCTGGGATTACAAATCTGAGTCACCGTGCTCAGCTGAGTTTTGCTTTTATTCTGAAAGAAACAATGGGACTTTAGGAAGAAAAGGCTTGTTAAGTAGGGGAATACTGGGAACTCAGTTTTCAACAGGTTAAGTTTGAAATGCCCATTAGACATTCGAATCCAGATGTCAAATGAGTAGTTAAATAAATGAGCCTGACATTCAGGGAATATTTGAGTTATCAGCCTGAGTCTACTTGAGAGCACCTAGAACAGAGACAGAAGCAGTCCAATGACTGAACACTAAAACACAGGATAGGAAGATAAAAAAGAATTGGCAAACACAACTAAGAGTAGGCAGAAGAGAGAAGGAAAACCCAGAGTGAGTAGTGTCCTTGAAGTGAAGAAAGCATTTGACAAAGGAGGGTGTCAACAATGGTGTCAAATGCTACTGAAAAGTCTGGTAATTTAAAAATTGAGAATTGACCAATCAGTTTGGCAAAACTGAGGTCAATTGTGATCTTGTCAAAAACAGGTTTTGCTGCAGCAATCGAAAAGCCTGTTTGGCATGAAACAAAAAAATAATTAGAGGAAAGGAAGCATAAGCAATAAGCATAGGCAATTTTGTAGAATTGTGTCATAAAGGAAAGCAAAAAAAGTGTTATTATGTTATAATAGCACTACTTAGGTGATGTAGCATATTTGGATGTGATTAGAATAATCTTATAGAGTGAGACAAAGGAATAACATGCAGTCAAGGAACTGCAGAAAAAATGACCCTGAGTAAAGAAGAGACAGTTTTATGCACTAGGGAAAGTATTAGCTGTAACCAGACCACAGCTAATTTATCCACAGTAACAAGAAAGACAAGTACATGTGCATTTATATGGATACAGAAATCGCCAGGAATTATGAAAGAAGTAGCATTGAAGACAGACAGACAGACGGACAGAGAGAGAGAGAAAGAGAGAGAGAGAGAGACTACATTTGTTAAATAATGAGGAAGAGGAACCCAGAGGGTACATGGATGCTTACAGCAAGGAGAAATAGCAGGTGATACATCAGTGGTATTTACCACTAATAATTAAGTTTCCAAGGACAGAAAGTAACAGTATAATTGCCCAGAGGTGGCAATGAGAAACAAGGAAGACACTGATGCTACTTCCAGGCCTAGTGGTAAGAGAGCAAACACTCGAGAAACTATGTGGGGAGCAGTGTTTTCAGTGGAATGTATGCTTTCAGTTAGAACAAAAACATTCAGGTAAGGTGGGATTTTCCAGGAGACAGGGTAAAAGGGTGTTGGGAGATGGAGATGGGTGATAATGGCATAATATTAGAGAATCCCCAAAACATATGAATGGGTAGCCTGGTGATGAAAAATTAACCAGGAGTCTCAGAATTCTTGTAGTTACTGACATAAGAGATTTTGAAAATGCTTGGATTAGTTTTGGAGGCCTCCCTGGTAATTTTGGTGAAGGCTTGAGTGTTTTCTGGGAAGGTGGTAGATTTCAGGAACAAGAAGACTCCAGCTTAAGGTGGTGTGAAAATCAGGGAAAGGCAGGAAATCAGGAATAAGCCAAAATCTGAGAATTTACCTCCACATTCACTTTGTTTCTGAGGTAGTTGGTATTACTGGAGTGGGGTTGTTTTTATTACTTTTAGCTGTGCATGTCTCTAGACAGATCTGAAAGCTCAGTCTCGGTTTCCTCTTTTGTGTGTGTGAAAAAATAATAGTGTTGGGTTATTATTGGCATTAAATGATCTTTTTTCAGACACAGTACTTAGTACATAATCTGGCACATAGTTCATTAAGTAATAACTTTTAGCTATTATTGGAATTACTGAAAATGACTTTAATAACTTGAATTTTAGTGAGTTTTCTTGGTTATTAAACTGTATAGGTATAACTAAAATGGCATGTTGTGGGAAGTATTGAAAATATATATATATATATGGATTTATTGACTTATATTCCTGTCAGATTACTTTTCTTAAGCTATTCAAAAAACATCTCTTTGAAGTAACTGTAATTGAGCCTGTAACTGTAATAGGGCTTATAATTTTAATTGTAATCCAAATGCCACTGTAGTTAACTCAGTGAATCACAAGATAATCATAACAAGCTCTGCGATGTCTATAAACCATTTCTGGCGATAGCATACCCTTTAGACCCCAGTATTTGGTTACTGAGTGTTCTTCTTTGGCATGTTTGATTATATTGACTCTATGGATTTGCATTGATCTATAGGGAATTATAGACATAATATTTTTCATTTTACTAATTCTGATCCAATAAACAAAACTTCTCAAGGGTGAAGAACTAAAAACAGCCTTTAGTTTAGAAACCTCTTGAAGTATGCAGTGATATGCTCTAAACAACGTATACTTCAGAAATCACTTTCTCTCTTTCTCTTTTAGTCTGTTCATTCATTTGGTACTAAGCATTTAGGCAATGACAAATATTTACCTAAACTGAGTACGAACAGAAATGATTAGATTGCCCCTGATTTCTTGAAATAATAACCTTTATAAATGCCTGATAAACTTTTCAAATCTTTTTGTTTTTCTTTCCAGAACAATTAATCATATTTGTCATACTTCTAGCCACGGTAGCCTAGTTTTGAAATCCTTAGAAGTTATGAATTTAGGATCCAAAAAGATCTCAATCTCAGCATTTTTAACAAAAGAAAATTAAATCACCAAATAAATGATTTTAATAAACATTTGAAACCTGAACATAAGACAAACTATATACTCATGGTTAATAATTATCATTATTAACATGAAAATGTAACATGATTACTTATCATTATAATTTGCACAGTATTTAGGATTATACTAAGCACTTTCACCCATACTACATGGATTCCCATAGTCATCCACGGAGGCATATGTTTTTATTGTTCTTATATTATAGATGACAAAACTAATGCTCAAAAAATTCAAGTGAAATGCTTAAAGTTTCACAGAGAACTGAAAATTGAGTCTAGAGTTTGATTTACAGACTCTATAAATGCCATATCTTTGCCACAGGTGATAATTTAAAAAATTCTACTTCTTTCTCATTCAATGACACTATATTTAGCTCTAATTGTTTTTCTTTTATTCTTTTTCTTTTTTTTTTTTTTCGAGATGGAGTTTTGCTCTTGTTGCCCAGGCTGGAGTGCAGTAGCGTGATCTCAGCTCACTGCAATGTCCGCCTCCCGAGTTTGAGTGACTCTCCTGCCTCAGCCTCCCGCATAGCTGGGATTACAGGCACACACCACCATGCCCAGCTAATTTTGCATTTTTAGTAGAGATGAGGTTTCACCATGTTGGCCAGGTTGATCTTGAACTACTGACATCAGGTGATCCGCCCACCTCAGCCTCCCAAAGAGTTGGAATTACAGGCGTGAGCCACCACGCCTGGCTTCTAATTGTTTTTCTATGCTCCTAACATTATTTCCAAGAAAGAACAAATTCTTCCTTTGCTGCATTTGCATTTTTAAAAATTCACTTTTACATTGTGACCACTTTGAGTCTTTATCATTACACAAAAACCAGTCCTGTCTTCCTCTAATCTTACCTTAATGGTCTACTCGATTGTTATTTATAAAATATGGTATCATATAGCTCCATTTTTAAATACTCAATAAATTGTTCTTAAAATAATATTCAAACCTGGACTGGAAATCTACTCACCTGCAATGTAATGCCTTCAACCTTATCCTCTATAACTCTTTTATTCCAGGCTTGGGAAAAGAGACAAAGCAAGGCCATATGCCATATATTTAAATATTTAAAAGATGTAAGTAAAGCCATAAAGTAAATAAAATATGATTTCTATTTCTGCAATAGTCTCCCCTTATCCACAGGGGATATGTGCCAAGACTTCAGAGGATGACTTCAAACCACAGTTAGTACCAAACCCTGTATATACTATGTTTTTTCCATCTGATAACCAAATGGCTACCAAATGACTAATGGGAGGGGAACATAGACAGCCTAGATCAACTGGGCAAAGAGAATTATCACTGATGGTCAGGATGAGTGGGAGCAGGACAGTGCAAAATTTCATCATGCTACTCAAGACGGTGCATAATTTAAAACTTATGAATTGTTTGTTTCTAGAATTTTCCATTTAATATTTTCAGATTGCAGTTGGCCACAGGTAACTAAAACCATGGAATACAAAACAATACACAGTAATTTGATATATTTTCCTGTCAATAAAATTTAAATAAATACATGCAAACCTGTTTTCTAAGGTTTAAGTGAGTGAAATACAAAATGACCAAAATATTAAAGATGACTGAGTATTTTTCTTTTGCACATAACTGAGTTTTCTGAAAAAAAAAAAAAAAGAAGAAGAAGAACAGGGAGTTCTGGAGTCATAATTATTATACAGTGATTTCATAAAGTTTATTTTTCTTGCCTTTATTTCAACAAAATCACTAGTGTACTGTAAAATATTTTTACATAATTTATGTTGAATAGAAATACTTTCAAGCAATTCTGTCCTAGTGATTAGCCACTAATCACACATAGCTAGTCAAATTTGAATTAATTAAAATTAATTGAAGTTAAAATGAAGTTTCTGTCACTGCAGTCACATTTAAGTAAATAAATAGCCACATGTAGCTGGTAGCTACTATAAGGGATGGGGCAGATAGAAAATATTTTCATCATGGCAGAAAATTCTATTGGAAAACATTGATCTAAAGGATTAGGAAATTAAACATAGTTGCATTTAGTGTTTATATAATTTAGATATCTATTCCTCAAAAATTAAATAGAAAAATTCAAAAACTTAATTTCATAAAAGGGTATTTTTCTTTCAAAATGTAATAGTACCCATTAAAAATCAGAAGACAAAATACAGTTTGTGAGAAATAGATATCAAATTTTTAAATCAAAATTATTTAAAGCAGAGTTTTTCATTTAATTTAGAATTTATTCTATAAAACCATATTTTTGCAATTCTAGTGTTTAATGTCTATGTGCTTTCCACTGTAAACCATGTTATGTCTAGGTCTACACATACACAAATTTAAGTGTAATGTAAATTATGTAATATTGCAAAATATTTCTCAACTACCATGTACAACTTTGAAGAATCCCACCTTAGGATTCTTCAACCATAGAATAAAACCATAGGATAAAACATTAAAGAAATCAAGAAAGGTATAGTTTGAACTACTACTGGGAAAATGTATTTCATGAAGCAGAACTGAGTTGCATTCATGCTGAGGGAAATAATTTAACAAGTTAATTAATTTGTCTTTTCTCTAATTTAAATGCTTCTGCCACTCAAATTCTTTCCAAACTCCGAAGCAACATTCATCTTCTATGCTGGCAGTGGCCCAACTCTTAAATCTTAATGGTATTTGGATGCAGTCATCTTTTGTTTTGATGACAAAATCCAGGTGATGGTTTTCCCTGGGGCCTTAACAGTGTTTGATGAGGGCAGATGTTTTCAGGGTATATAAGTTATTCTGTGCTAACATTTCTCCTACATTCACAATCAAAGAATTTCTATTTGGTCGCTATGACACACTAACAATATCTACAGTAATAAACTAAATGAGAACAGGGTGGGTTCTGAGTCACAAAGCCATCCAAGTTACCATGTATGCTCAAGATGGCCTTTCTGCCTGAAGAGAATGACTGGGAAGGTGATTAGTGGGGAGTCAGGGAGAACAATTTGTAACTATGCGTTCTGACATGGCAGATTCAAGTTACTTTTAAAAGGTCAAAGCAAAGTTCTGATTTTCTGTTAGCATCTGGCTAGCAGCCCAGGTTGTAACTCTTCTCAACTTCACATTGATGTAACTATTATATCAGGAGAAATCAAAACAAAACCATACACATAAAAATATGGAAACTCACCACTTTCAAACTAGTATCAACAAGCAACTAGTGCCAGAATCTTAACTTTAATGAACAACCCTTTTATTCCTCCTTAGTGGATTGATTTTAAATCTCAGCTAGTGTATTATTATCCTTATAATTATATATAACGATATATATACTGTCCTAAGAATTTATTAACTACATTTTCTTCCCAAGCAACCTGAGGCTATCCTTGTCAGTAGGGTTGTCAGATAAAATAGAGGAGGCCCAGTAAATTTAAAATTTGATTAAGCAATGGATACCTCTGGAGTGTAAGTCCCAAATATTGCAGGGGACATAATCATAATAAATTACTGTAAGTGGTGCATCTAATATTTTAATTTGCTAAGTCTAGCAATCCCACTTGTGGGTCTAGACTGTCGTTTTTATCTTTCCATTATTTTCACATCTTGTTAGTCTGGTTAATGTCTACTTTCTAGCTCCAGATGGGGAGGTAGAGCAGATTTTTTTCTCTCTAGCCCAGAGATCTGAAACTTTGTATTTGAACCACAGAAAGAGCTTTAAAATGAGCTGCATGCCCAGAAACCAGCTAGGTCCAAGATAAGGTACAGGCATTTGTATTTTTAAAAGCTCCAAAGTTTACAGTAATAAGCAGCTATTATGAAGAACCACTCAGAGAACTAAATGGCATCCCCCTGCCCTCCTAAGACCCAGTAGAAAAGAAATGAAAGGTTCTCTTGCTAAAGAGAGGACTAAAGATTACAACTTCTATGTACTCCACCATGTAGGAACTAGCCCATGCTGACGGAGGAAAACTGTTGATAAGTGATGTCCTGTGAAAATATAAATTGTTCCTTCCTAGTCCGGCAAGAAGAAAGCCAACATTAGTGTCATGGATCCCAGCAGACACCATACCAACAGCACAGACCATTTACTGGTTTATCCTGCCCTCTTCATAAGGCTAACTGGGCAGGGGCAGTGTAGGTAGGACCCAAGCAAGTACTATACATAGAAACTGGCCGGTGTGTTTTGGTTGGACTACCCCAGCTCACAAAGGATGGCAGGATATTTACAGAGTGGGTTTCCCCAGGCAAAAACAATCTAGTACTTTAAAAAATATAACTAAAAGCCCTCTTTTATTTCAAACATAATATTGGTTTCTAGATTGAAAAGCTGCATTATAATGAAGTTACATTAGTCCATTTTGTATCTGAAAATTAAAGACTTTAGTTGCATCAGTGAATGATCTGGTTACTACAAAAGTAAATTCTTGTTACAAAGGTGTATGTGTTTGAAGTTTCCTAGAACATTACTACTCGAATTGTGGTCAGAGAAACAGCAGCTAGATACCATCTAGGACCTTGTTAGAAATGCAGTATTTCAGGTCTCACCCAAGACCCCAAAATCAGAATCTGCGTTTTAACAAGATCACCAGATTATTTTTATGTAAATTAAAGTCTGAGAAGCATTGATCTAGACCCTTGGAGAGGTTATGGCTCAGCGACCTCTACAAAGATATACCAAAGCACAGCACAGGAAGTAAAATTAATAATACACATTTAAACACTCCATTCCCAATTTGCTAATTGGAACTTCTGTTCCACTCCAGTGTTGGAGAGGAGGACAGGGATGAGAGGTAATACAGCTGGACAGGTCTTTGCTGACCAGTACAGTCATGAACTGGCACTGCCTCCTCTGGGCAGGGTGGATGTTTAAAGCCTTCTCGCCTATTGCTTTGGTGAAAATCTCCAGTAAATACAATGTTGATCATTTCTGATCTTAGGGGTTTATTATTTTTAGTAGATACTATCAGGTTGATCGTATTTTATCAGATTTTATCATGCTAAAAGTTTTTACTATGAATGACTGTTGAATTTTATATTTTTCTACAAAAATTAAAAAAATAAAAAATACTTTGTGATTAATTAGTAATATCATATTTTTAATGCAATTGTTTTATTGATACACCACAACACCACAGTTGTACATATTTAGTGTGTGTGTGTGTGTGTGTGTGTCTTTTTGATATATGCATACGACGTGTAACGATCAAATCTAGGTAACTGGGATATCCAGTACCTCAAATACTTATGATTTTTTTGTGTTGGGAACATTCCAAATCTTTTCTTTTAGCTATTTTGAAATATGCTATAAATTCTTGTTAACTACAGTCACCCTACTGTGCTATGGAAAACTAGATATGTTCCTTCTATTGAACTGTATTTGTACCCATTAACCAACCCCTCCTCATCCTCCCTCCTAACTATCCTTCTGAGATTCTGGTAACCACCATTCTACTCTCTACCTCCATGAGATCAATTTTTTTCTAGCTCCCACATATTAGTGAGAACATGCAATATTTGTTTTTCTGTGCCTGGCTTAATTTAACTCAAGAAAATGTCCTCCAGTTCTATCCATGTTGCTGCAATTGACAGAATTTTGTCCTTTTTATGACTAGATAATATTTTATTGTATACATATGCCACATTTCCTTATCCATTCATCTGTTGATGGACACTTAGGATGATTCTATATCTTCACTATTGTGAAAAGTGCAGATATCTCTTTGATATACTGATTTCCTTTTTTGGATATGTACCCAGCAGTGAGATTGCCAGATCAGATGATAGTTTTGTTTTTTTGAGGAACCTCCATATTCTTTTCCATAGTGGTAGTTCTAGTATATATTCCCACTAGCTGTGTAAAAGCATTCCCCTTTCTCCACATCCTTGCCAACATCTCTTAGTTTCTGTCTTTTTGATAATAGCCAATGTAACTGAGGTGAGATAATAAATCATTGTAGTTTTGATTTGCATTTCCCTGATGATTACTGATGTTGAGCATTTTTTGTATACCTGTTAACCACTTATATGTCTTCTTTTAAGATGTCTATTCAGATCTCTTGTTTATTCTTTAATTGGATGATAATGATTATTATTTTTTTGCTATTGCATTATTTTAGTTCCTTATATATTCTGGTTATTAAACCCTTCTGCAGATGGATAGTTTGTGAATACTTTCTCCCATTCTGTAGGTTGTGTCTTCATTTTGTTGATTGTTTCCTTTGCTGCTCAGAAGCTGTTTAGCTTGATGTGATCCCATTTATCAATTTTTGCTTTGGTTGCTTGTGATTTTGATGTCTTTCTGAAAAAGTCTTTGCACAGACCAAAGTTTTCTTGTAGTAGCTTCATAGTTTCATGTCTTACATTTAGGTCTTTAATCTACTTTGATTTGATATTTGCATATGGTGAGAGAGAGAGGTCTAGTTTCATTCTTCTGCACATGGATATCCATTCCTCTCAGCACCATTTATTGAAGAGATCATCCTTTCCCCAGTGTATGCTCTTGGCACCTCTGGCAAAAAATGAATTAGCTGTAAATGTGTGCATTTATTTCTGCGTTCTCTACTCTGTTCTGTTGGACTATGTGTCTGTTTGTATGCCTGTGCCATTCTGTTTTGGTTACTATAGCTTTGTAGTATATTTTGAAGTCAGGTAGCATGATGCCTCTACTTCGTTCTTTGGCTATGCTGGGTGTTTTGTGGTTCCATAAGAATTTTAGGATTTTTTTTTCTATTTTTGTGAAGAATGTCATTGGTATTTTGGTAGGGATTGCCTTCAATCTGTACCAAGATTGGACACATGAACATTCTACTTCTTAAACAGTCCATAAAATGCCAGATTTTGTTCAATGTATTCAATCCAATGGTATCTATGCAATGTAAACTTATGTATATTTATATCAAATTCATCATAAATTATGTGGACCATATGGAAGAAATAAAAACATATTTTTCAACATATTTGCAATACAGATAATAGAATTTGAGCTATGCAAGGAGACCTTAGAAGTTATATGATCTAGCCCATTCATTTAATCAATAGAGCTGTTCAACAACTTGTTTCAAAGCAGGGAGTCAATGTCCCCAATGACCAGTTCAGTGCTCATACTTGTATTATGCAGCCTTTTCCCACATTCTCATCATGAAATGTTGTGGTCCTACTCTTATATTTTTGATTGGTCAAAGCACTGGACTTGCTGTAGATAAAGAATTGATTGATGGAAATCAAAAAATCCCAACTTTGGAGGAATTATAAATTAATAAAAACTTTCTGAAGGGTCATTTTTTCCATTAGGCATCAAAGTACTTAAATTTTTCATGTCTTTTTGCCTAAGCAGGCTATAATTTAGTAATTTATATTAAAGAAAAAATAGGATTTTTTTTTCTCACAAATTCTGTAATGCTTAGAGTATAGACTAGGAAACCTCATAAAGATAACTGCCATTTCTGAGCACTCAATTAGTTAATGTGACTGAGAAATATAATAAAGTCTTATTATATAAATCATAAAATAAATTACAATCTCAGAAATGAACTGAGGATTGAGTTTTAATTGATAATCAACAAAGGAGGAAGTTAAAGCATATGAAAAATATTAATAAATAAATGCCAATTAAAGCAAGAGTAGAATATTACTTTGTCAAATAACAAATTAAAAATGTAGTAATTAATTATTTCCATACCTAATTGGTGAGAGTGATTCATAACAGGCACTGCTCTGTGTTTTTGGGAAAATCAGTTATGAAAATTTTCTGCAGGGTTGATTTTTTTCATCAATCATCAAAATCCTTAAAAAAAACCGATAACTTTGCCTAAGTTCATTAATAGAAATTAATATTAATAATTATTGTTTATAAAGAGATGTCATTGAGTATAATTAGCAACAGTCAATTTTTAATAACCCTTTTAATAGCAAAACTATGGACATTCATCAAATAAATTATAATTCATCTTTATGGACACAACTTAATGGAACCAGTAAATTGGATTTTGTCAAGTAATGTGAAATTATATTTCAAATATTTTAATAAAAGTTACAAAGAAGGAAGAAAATTTGTAGTAAAATGATATGTTCCAAGTTTTAGATAATGAGAGTAAACATGAATATATATATTCTGGTTTAGATTATGGCTGATTATTTCTTCTTTTATGCTTTTTGAAGTTATCTTGATTTTCAGCAATGAAAATGAAACTCAAATATAATAATAAACTATATTTTTGGACAGAATACAATAGAAAGAAGGCTCCACATATATGTTTAAAAGCTTATATAAACACATATGAGAGAGGGAGTAAGAGTGAAGCAGTGTTGAGTTAGGGAAAGGTCAGCTTTTTTTGTTGCTATCATACAAACAAGGTTTAATACTCCAGCTATATTACCGCCTCACAGTCTTAACATCTTGGAGTTCTAGTATCTTTCCATCATTCTTTTATTTGAACTACTTTACATAGTTATCAAATTATGTTATAAAATACTATTAGGTCTGTATTCATAAAATAAAGAAAAGAACAATTACCTCTGTAGTTAAAAGTAACAGACAAAAATTTAAGCTATCTAAATGTAAAATTTATTTAAAATCTTTGTTTCATTTTACATTCATCATGTAAAGATTACAATATACTCCATTACATAATTTCACTTGGCTTAATATGAAGATATTGTAAATTGCTTAACATAAAACAATGCTTTCCTTCAGGTGCTCCATTGTTTACTCTGTGCTGTCACATTCCTGCCTATAAAATTACATATACATCTGCCTTAATACTGCCTTGGGCTCAAGAAGAGATAGCACAACAATTTGAAAATTTTTGTAGCTGTATCTAAAATTGCTGTTTGTTCTTTATTGAGAGCAGTGAAACTCCTGCATCTTAGCCAAGTATACAGTGAACCAACTATACTTTGTGTCTCCCATTGCAGCTAGGTGTGGCCAAGTGACTAAGTTTCAGACAATGGAATGTATATTAGAATGTGAGAGAAAATCTTAAGAACTTTCCTTAACAGGGAGATAATTCTATAAAGAAGGAATCCTTAAAAAAAATCGTTCTTCTAGTTTTTCTTTTTCTTGAAACGGAGTCTCCCTCTGTTGCCCAGGCTGGAGTGCAATGGCATGATCTCGGCTCATTGAAATCTCTGCCTCCCGGATGAAGCGATTCTCCTGCCTCAGCCTCCCGAGTAGCAAGATTACAGGCATGCACCACCACGCCCAGCTAATTTTTGTATTTTTAGTAGAGACAAGGTTTCACCGTGTTGGCCAGGCTGGTCTCGAACTCCTAACCTCAGGTGATCCACCTGCCTCTGCCTCCCAAAGTGCTGGGATTGCAGGCACAAGCCACCACATCCGGCCTAGTTTTTCTTTGCTAGAAGGGATGCATGTTGTTTGATGTTAGAGTAGCTGCCTGACCACAAAGAGGAGTCACATGTGAGGATAGCAGCACAATAAAATAGGCTCCTGCAACTGCTATATATTCTTTGGAAAAACTGCCTGAGCTATTGTTTAACAGAAAAGTAAATGTTTCTTGTTTAAGCTACTGTTATTTTGGATTTATTGGTTATCTACAGCTAAACCTAAGTTTACCTTTTAGATTACCTGCACCTCTTTGGATTTTGCTGAGAGAAGGTAGAAAGCAGCGCTAACTCCTCTCTCTAGAAACTGTGTTTAATTCCTCAGTCTTTGGAAATTTATTTGTTCTATTCTACAATAGCCTAAGCTTGGTCTTTCTATTAGTGTTATTGCTATTATTTTTACTCCTTCATAACTCAACTTCAGTTCCTCTGGAAACTGAATTAGACAGATCCTGTCTGAAAGAGTAATAGAGTGAATAGCGTTTTATAATTTGCTGATAAAGCTTTTCTCTTAGCTTACAAAATAAGTCTCAAGAGTACTGGGTAAAATCCGCTATAGTTCAAGAGAGTGCTTTTCAGGCTTTTCAGGCTTTACACACAGCTTATACTATTAATTTATGCAGCATCCACCTTGCTATTAATTGATAAAAGTGAAAATAACATGATCGTTAAAATTCCTGAGTAAGCAAAATAATGCTCAATCCAGTTGTGCAATACATGGAGACGTGACCGTGATTTAACACGTAAACAAATTATCTGCTCAGAAAATATATTCAGTTGATTAAATAGTAGACTCTAAAACTGAGATTTGAATTGCTCTGAAAATATAGAGATATATTGTGCCCTTTGAACTATATTTCATAATGATGATTAACCTTATATTCTTATTGGCATGATTTTCTTCATTAAACCAGTCTTCATGAATACAGTCTGAAAAGGCAGATCAATGTGAAAGAGGAAATGCTTATTTTACATCATAACTGATATGGTTTAGCTGTGCCTCCACCCAAATCTCATCTTGAATTTTAGTTACCATAATCCACACGTGTCCTGGGAGGGACCGGGTGAAAGGTAATTGAATCATGGGGGCAGTTATGCTCATGCTGTTCTCATGATAATAAGTGAGTTGTCACAAGATCCGATGGTTTTATAAGGGCTCCTCCCCACCCCCTCATAGTGCTTCACTCTGCACTTCTTGCTGCTGCCATGTGAAAAAGGACGTGTTTGCTTCCCCTTCCACCATGATTGTAAGTTTCCTGATGCCTCCCCAGCCCTCAGAACTGTGAGTCAATTAAACCTCTTTCCTTTATAAATTACCCAGTCTCGGGTATTTCTTCACAGCAGTGTGAGAACAGGCTAATACAACAACCAAATACTTTAAACAGTATATGTTGTGTTAATATTGACATCTTAATACAATATATTAAATATATTCATTTTAATGAGAAAATATTTATCAAATAAGTCCTGATATACCTAAAAATTGGGAATTTGTCCATTTTTCTTCTTATAAAAACCATCTACATCTTTACACCACAATCTTGCAAAGTTTAAGATATAAGTATGATTATATCTATTTAATGTAAGTATGATTTTTGTGTGCTTATTTTAATTTTCTATTTTTAAAAAGAACTTAATAAAGGAAAGAAAAAACATTAAAATGATAGATTGTAAAATCATGGAAGGCATACAATTTTAGCTATGAGTTGTAGCTGAGGCTTGAACTTGTAGGTATAAATAGGCTATTAATCTCTTTCTTTGTAATAATATATGAGTGAAGAATAAATATGAATCTTATTGGATATAGTTTAGTAAACATGTTTGGTTAGTCAATTAGCTGCTAAATCAGACATTTTCATTTGGTTTACTACACTCATGACAATAAACACAAATTAACAAGTATTTCATATCCTATATTATTTTGTCCCCAAGGAGACTTTTGAATATTCCTTCAGATAATATTCACAGAGAATCACAGCTATTTGGCATTCTATGGATCCAGAGGGACATATGCTTGCTGGCACATTGAGGACCATTGCTTACTTTATATACAATTGATAAAATTATTATATATTTTTCATCAGTTCTTTCTTTTGTGAAAAAGACAGGGAGAAGGTAAACTTATATATAAACTATATTTTTAAGCAAAGTGAATTTTCATATAATAGTGTAGCAATTCTGTGAGAGAAAATTTGGGAAGAAACCATAAACTTTGGCACTTGCCCATTTACTTAGTTATAATCATTTAAATGGACCCAGAACTACAATTTAGGATGAAAATGTAAAAATGACATCCAACATGCTCTAAGAGAAATAAGTCTGGTCAGTGTGGAGATTTACTCTACAAAAAATAGAACTTTATTTGAAGAATAAGATGAGTAATTACAGGAGATGATACGTAGGAAAACTATTCTGATGGCATACACTGATTCTCTGTTCAACTAGGGACTAATGATGTTTTATAATATTAATTTGTTTCACATTTACAACATTTATTATAGAATATTTCATTTTCTTATAGAAAAATTAGCCTGTAGCATAAGGGAAAAATAAAAGAAAAATAAATATAAATACAACCATGCATATCATCACTGTAATCAATTTGGGATAATTTTTCCATATACATACATATATAGTTAAATGATGATGGAATTTCATACTCTTTTTGTCATACTGCCTTGTTATATTACTAAATATATATCTAAATAATCATTTGATGGCTATCAATAATGGTGGTGGCTGACACTTTGGGCAAGAAATAAAAATCCATACCCAGAATAGATATTTATACCTGAAGAAATAAGCAACTTGTCTTCCAAGATAGAACGATCTCCACAAAAGACTCAGTATTGGCTTCTCTTGCTAGCATTCAGAGGCAGCAATAGCTAGATTAGTCTTGATAAGTCAGGAGACCATGTGTCAAACCCATGTTACCCTCCATCTCTGCCACCATGACACTCCATTCATGTGCCTATCATCCCAGTTCTGGGGTGGCCCATGTTGAAGGTTAGTTAAAATCAACCAGACAAGTCAGTTTGTCTGTTTGGTTCTTTAGTGGTTCTTCAGCAAAGGATGCTTTCTGGAAGGTATTAACATATGATTCAAATATATTCTCAATTAGTTACTATTCTTGTGTCCATCCACATGCCTTATTCCAGACTTTCTTATTTCCCATCACTCGAACTTTCTGTTTCTACAACCTTAATTAGCTGAGCAGACCATTTTCACTGCCCAAGCATACATGTACAGTCAGCCCTTCATATCTTTGGGTTCTACATCCATAGATACGACCAAGCATGGATTGAAATATATAATATATATATATATATATACACACACACACATTTTTTTTCCCCGAGATGGAGTTTCACTCTTGTTGCCCAGACTGGAGTACAATGGCTTGATCTTGGCTCACTGCAACCTCCGCCTCCTGTGTTCAAGCTATTCTCCTGCCTCAGCCTCCCAAGTAGCTGGGATTACAGGCATGCACCACCACACCCAGCTAATTTTGTATTTTTAGTAGAGACGGGGTTTCACCATGTTGGTCAGGTTGGTCTTCAACTCCTGACCACAGGTGATCCACCCGCCTCGGCCTCCCAACGTGCTGGGATTGTAGGTGTAAGCCACCACGCCCCATTGAAAATATTTTTAAAGAAAGGATGGTTGTGTCTGTACATGTGTCAAACATGTACAGACTTTTTTCTTGTCATTATTCCCTAAACAATATAGTATAACAACTATTTACATAGTATTTGTATTATATTGTATATTATAACTAATCTAGAAATGATTAAAGTATATGGGACAATGTGCATAGGTTAATGCAAATACTACACCTTTTTAAATAAGGGACCTGAGTATCTGGTGATTTTGGTATCTGTTGTGGGGGTAGGTAGGAAGGGATCTTGAAACCAATCTCCCATGGATACTGGCCACTTCTTATTTTAAATGAAGTAGATGACCTAGTGTATTGCTCTCAGCTCCACCCATTATGAAATATTTTCCCTCCCCACTTTTTCAAGGAAATTCCTGAAAGTGCCTATAATACAGCCATTATTCCTTTCTAGAATTGTCCCATATTCTGAACTGACATCAGCAGACCAAGCTTAGGTTTTTTCTTCACCTTTCAGCTGGTCATTCAAGAACTCTTATAAAGCAATAGATATGAGCTGAGAGAAGGCCAAGGTTAAAATGGAGGTGGGTGACATAGGCATCACAGCTACTTGCTCAATTATTTTCTGGGGGACAATATGAGAACAGTGTGAGCTCAACTCAAAAGATAAGGTGGTTTTTTTGTCTTTCTCAAAAATGGCAGATTAGAGGCTTTATTTGCACACCTCACCCACTTGGAAATAGCAAAATAATGTATAGAGATTCACACTGTGAACATTTATCCAAGGAGGAACACAGGGGCTTAACATAAAAGTGAAAAAACAATAAGTACTTTAAAGAATATAGTGGGCAGCAGCCTGCTCTGCAGGTTTAGCAGAAAATTGTGAGCGAGTCCCCACTGTATGAAAGGAGGAGAGTGTCTCTGTGATATGCATTCCCACTGAGGAGTCAGGAAATCCAGGCCATGGGGTAGCTCCTTGACCTCACCAAGTATTGGATCTGACGTGGGAAGCAGAGGGGAGACCCAGAGAAGGAGCATCAGCAGAAAAATGTGTTTCATGCCAGACCCAAGCACCATAGACAGAAGGCAGCCATTTCAGATTCTAACTCATAGGCGTCTGTGCTAAAAGCTGACAACAAGCACAGGCAGCAGTTACTGGCTGGGAAGTTCTCTGGACTGAGATTTGTGACCTAGTCTTGAATGGAGGAGGAGCCCACACAGCCAGAACTAAGAGGTGAGAGTGTCCGGCCTGGGGCAGTTTCTTGAACTGAGAACAGTCTGCTTGGGAAATGGCTGATTGTTTAAGCTTATTGCAAGCAGCAGGCTGCAGCGGGGAGCTCTGCCAGGTGGAAAGCAGGGAAGCAAGGCAGGTCTCACTACCACCTGCTAAGCTGCCAAATTGCCTTTCATTCCTTGTGCTGGCTCTTTGGCACAGCAGAGATTTCTCCACTCCTCCCTGGAGTGATGTTCCAGAGGCCTTCTGTTCCCTGTTGAGGCTGGCGCTTGCCTCTGCAGTTGGGGAGCCCAGGCACAGACCTCTCTGGCCAACTCCCACCCAGCTTTGCCCCTCTCCACTCACCTCAGAGGCATAGCAGGGGACCAGGACCCCTGGGAGTTTCATGGCCCAACACATCTCCTGGGACATTAGAGTACTTCTAATTAACAAAGGTTAAACATAGGCTTTGCTGCCACCAACACAGCTGGCTCTCACCTGCAAGAGCCACCCACAGACAATTACAATATCTGCTGACACAATTGCGCAGCATTTGGGAAGGAGACAAGCTTTGCACAACCCCTGGTCTCACCATTTCTGGCACCACTCCAGCTACTCAGAAGGCCCTGAGCCCACTCACCCAGCCAGTATATTACTACTACAACTTGTATTTGAGAAAGCCACCACACTAAGGCTATTTATAACCAAGGAAATTAATAAAGAGTTTACGCCAAGCTCTACCACTCCCACCAGGGCTGGTGATTGTGCCTGCCGTTGGGAGACCTAAAGGCAGGCCTGCCCGGCCCAACTCCACCAAACTTTGCCCTTTCTCCAGGGCTGATATTGGATGCCAGGCCACTAGGCATTTTACAGATGAGCCCACTGCTTGAGGAACCGGAGAGCCTTTCCTGGTAACTAAGATGGAGCATAAATTCTTCTGCTACCACCGCAGCCAGCTCGTACCTGCATTTGCAACCTACTGCCTAAAGGTTGAACTACACAACCCCATCCAAAATCTGCCAACACAAGTGCACAGCACTTGGGAACAAGATAAGTGTCTTAAGATCACCGCCATCTCAGCTGTACAGGAGACTGTGAGCCTGCTCAAATGCCCAGTACATCATTACTACAACCAGCATTTGAGAAAGTCACCACACTAAGGCTATGTATAACCAAGCAATTCATAGAGAGCTTTTGTCACTGCTAGGACCCAGAAAGCAAAGCTAAATGCCCCTAACCACACATTATGTTCACATCAAGGGAAAATTTTTTAAAAGGCTAGTTTAAATGAAAGTAAATTCAAAAATAAGAAGTGAAGTTTCTCCAGATGAGAAGGAGCCAACATAGCAATTTTGGAAGTATGAAAAAACAGTGTGTTGCAAGAGCCCCAAAGGATTTTTACTAACCCTCCAGCAATAGATACTAACCAGAATGAAGTATTTGAAATACCACATAAAGATTTCAAAATATGAATCTTAAAGAAGTTCAGTGAGATTCACACAAAAGGTGAAAGCCAATACAAAGAAATCAGAAAATCAATCCAGGATATGATAGATACCAAAGAGACAGTTATTTAAAAAAAGAAAACTAAACAGAACTTCTGGAAATATACAATGCATTGAAGGAATTACAAAATAGAATTGAAAACTTCAGAAATAGACTGGACCAAGCAGAAGAAAGGAATCTCAGAACCTGAAGACAGGTCTTTTGAATTAACCCAGTCAGACAAAAGCAAACAAAAATGATTTTTAAAAATGAGCAAAGCCTTCCAAAAGCATGGGACTACATAAATCATCCAAACCTATGAATAGTAGGTATTCTCGAGGGAAAAGATAAAAGAAAATGTCTGAAAAATCTATGATAGGAAGTAATTTAGGAAAACTTCACTAGTCTAGCAAGAGATCAAGACATCCAAGTACAAGAGGCTCAAAGAACTCCAAGAAAATATATTGCAAGAAGGACCTCACCTTGGCTATTGGGTCTCTTTTTTGGTTCCATATGAATTTTAAAATAGTTTTTTTTATACTTCTATGAAAAATGTCAATGGTAGTTTAATGCGAATAGCATTGAATCTATAAATTACTTTGGACAGTGTGGCCATTTTAACGATATTGATTCTTCCTATCCATGATCATGGAATGTTTTTCCATTTGTTTGTGTCATCTCTGATTTCTTTGAGCAGTAGTTTTCAGTTCGCCTTGTAGAGATCTTTCACTTCCTTTGTTAGCTATATTCCTAGGTATTTTATTCTTTTTGTGGCAATTGTTAATGGGAATTCATTTGTGATTTGGCTCTTGGCTTGACTGTTGTTGGTGTATAGGAATACTAGCTGGGCTTAACCATTGTTGATGTATAGGAATGCTAGCGATTATTGCACATTGATTTTTTATCCTGGGACTTTGCTGAAGTTGCTTATCAGCTTAAGAAGCTTTTGCGCTGGGATGATGGGGTTTTCTAGATATAAGATCATGTCATCTGAAAACAAGAATAGTTTGACTTCCTCTCTTCCTGTTTGAATACCTTTTATTTCTTTCTCTTTAAGAGAAAGCAGTCAGGATATTTCTCAAAGAACTTAAAACAGAGTTACCATTCAATCCAGCAATCCCATTACTGGGTATATACCCAAAGGAAAATAAATCATTCTACCAAAAAGACACATGCACCTGTACGTTCATCACAAGAGCAAAGACATGGAATCAACCCAGGTGCCCACCAACGGTAGACTGGATAAATGGAATATGATACATATACACCATGGAATACTATGCAGCCATAAAAAAGAATGAAATAATGTCCTTTGCAGCAACATGGATGCAGCTGGAGGCCATAATCCTAAGTGAATTAGCACAGGAAGAAAAAACCAAATACCACATATTCTCACTTATAACTGGGAGTTAAACACTGAGCACGTGTGGACATAAACATGGAAACGATAGACACTGTGTACTACTAGATGGGGGAGGGAGGGAGGGAACAGCTATAGGTTTAAAAACTACCTATTGGGTACTAGGCTCACTATCTGGGTGATGCGATCCATATCCCAAACCTCAGCATCACAAAATATTCCCATATAAAAAACCTGCACATGTATTCTCTGTATCTAAAAGTTGAAATTAATAAAAAGTAAAAAAGAAATTAGCTTAAATGAAAAAAGTGAGAGTTACCCATCTGTATATTGCTGATATCTTGGAGGCATTGTCTCCGTAAACTTTGTATAAAGCATCGATGATTCCATCATTCTTCCACCCTAGCTTCACCGTAAATTCGATGTTTGTTTTTGCTTCAGTTTTTGCAAAATTCATGTTGCTGTGGTAAAGGCTGTTTTCAAACTAATGTCTTGTCTTTCTTAGTGCCTCAAACTAGATCCTATTCAGACATGTTCTAAGAAGTTAGTACAAGCTTATTTTGGTGCAAACAAATTTTGAAATCCATGTATAGTTTTTCCATAATGTGCATTTTCATGAGCTTATTGAAGACCCTTCGTATGATCTACATAAAATATCCTCTGGTTCAGATTTTAGTTAAACTGGATCATGACCCATGCTAGAGAATTTAGTTGCTTAGTCTTAATTTTCCTGCTTTAACAGTAAAAAACATGCTGTGAATTAGTTTTGTCAGACATATTCTGAAAACTGTTTAAAAAACGAATTTTAAAAATCAGCTTTTTATACATTTTAACCACTTAAATTTAGGTGGTATTAATGCAAATGAAATAATATATTTGGAATCTATTTCTAGTTTTGGGACAATATGCCCCTCATATATCTGTAGTAAGGGTGATTTTTGTCTAAAAGACTAGTCTAAGAAGACTGAGATCCCTTTAACATTGAAAAAAATAAATGCACCATCCACAGGTTGCTATGGTTTCAGGTTAGCAGAAAAATGAAATTGGAAGGTCACCAATAAGTTCTGAGCATATTCCTTTATACAAAAGAAATCATATCAATGCAGTGTAAAAACCTAACAAGATTTAGGACAGTACAGGCACTTTGAAAATTACAAAACCATTAGTCAATACCATATTAAGCTGATTTATTACCCTCTAGTGCCACAGTCTTTTAGCTGCTGATGGGGATCCAGTTAAGAAATAAGATTATGACTCCTTTCTTGAGGTTTTCATACACTACCTTCTCAAAAATAAAGCAAATTAGACAATAAATCATTGTCTATATCACTTCTCAACTAGTACCAATCTAAGAGGCGGATAATTAGATTGAAAATTATTTTCCCTTCCCTTGTATCAAAATTCTGTACAGTAGTATTCATTCAAATACAATAATGCAGAAAACTCCTTGATTGCAAAGAAAGAAACCTAATTTGAACCAGGTTAAAAATATTAGAGGGCAATATTTTTCTAGATTACATAGTAAGAGCTTCATGATCAGTCTCCAGTACAAAATCTCAAGGAAGGTTTTGATTGCCCCTATTTTGTGGGTTCCTACTTGGGTCACGTATCTTCTTAGTTCATGGACAGTTCACTTGACCAGGTAAAGAAAGGCTGATGGTGTACTCACAATCACTTAATTGCCCTCTTGCTCACCTCTCCGTTAGAATCAGGATGCTGTTTGTTAGCAATAAAGGAACTGCCATCCAAAATCCATGATACCAACCATCGTATCTCTATATTGCAGCCTCTTTGTCTACCTTTGGGTACACTGGCCCTCAAGCACCTCTGAATCTTCTCAGTAGGTCACTGTCACACACATTGACTGGGAAACCAAGGTTATTTCAGAGACAAGCAGCTTCATGCCCATTTATGTAGCCATCTCCCTTTGCCACCACTATGCTGTCACTGAAGGTTGTTGGATTTAATCTAGAGAGAGGCTTTTTAGCCATTTCCAGGCTTTCAGGTTCCTACAGCTTTATTCAGGAACTATACCTCTAATATCCCTGTTGTTTTCAAGATCTCTGATACTTATCTTGGTATTTCTGAAGTTCCCCCTTCCCTGTTTCAGCCCAACTGTTAATGGACTGAAAACAGCTGTGCCTAATCTTTTTCTACTACCTCTCTCTTCCACTTCTCACAAACCACTGAGAAAGAAGAGTAGACTTACCACTTCTTTTCTTACATAGACTTCTCTAGATTATATCTTTCTTCTTCCCTATAGAAACTAAAATTCACAGCTCTGTAAGGCAAAAGTCCATCCCCTTTAAAATATGTGGTAACTCTGATCTAGTCTTCCATGTTCATCTCTCAATGTTATTATAACCTATGAAAATTTAGAAAATCCTTTTCTGTATTGATAAAATCTGGCTTTTCAGATTATTATCATGTTTCTAACTCACAGAAAGTTGATTTTATATTTCTAAAGCTTCTCATTGATCCCTAATTTCATTTAATTCCTGTTCTAATAATCCTAATCTTTCCCAAGTCAAATGAATGCCTCTAACTCTATAAGAGGAAGTCATAAGCACAAAAAATGTAAAAGTAAAGTGCAAACATTTGTAGTTTCTTTGGAACACAGTATCTCTGAGATATATAGATACCAAGTTTTTGCCAAAATATTTCAAACATTTTCCAAATACATTCCTATTTAATAGTTGTGGTTTGGGTCACTGAAAATGATGAAGACCATTAACATTTTATGCATATGTGACAATTGCTCATAACCCCAAAGATTTAGCAACCCAAAGGTCACATATTCTTCACCTCAAATACCATGAATCCCTCAGTGTTTAATAGCTAATTAGTATGCTCTTTCCCATGAGACTGAAAGCCAAGAGAACCTTTAATCTAGTTACTATGTAGATATTTTTGTGTAGTGGGCTAGTGGGGTCTGAAGGAGGTGGTGACTCAAAAGGACAGTCACTCATCAAATAATAAAAATAAAATGGAGGGAAAAGTGAAGAAGGTTTCAAGTGGCAAGCTTTCTGCTGAGCAGTATTGAGAAAATAGATAAAATATAAAGTCTTCTACATTACAAAACCTAAAATACAGTGAAGTGAATTATTGTGGTCATGTAATTAATCATTAAATGCAGATGTCTGTGAAAAGTGCCAAATCTTATCTGATATTTAGATTATTTGATTGTTTTAGGGTACTAGCAGCAACAACAACAACCCCAATCATTTCCTGAATGCTTATCCTGTGCTTGGTGCTTTTCCAAGTGCTATATACACTTGGAAAATATATTATCAATTTTTATATAGTGTTCCTGAAAGTCACTTATTTTTTTCATTGCTCTTTTATGGATTAGAAAATTGAAACAGAAGAGGTGAAATATTTTTTACAAGGACACACAGATACAGATATTGTAATTAGTATGAAGCTTGACTTTTGATCCATGCATTTTGACTTTATACTTTTAATATGTAAGCCATCATATGTCTTCAGAGTCATCAATCTGGTTGGTTGAGAGTTGTGGACTTCAGAGTTTACCCAGGTGTGACCAAGTGGTTATGAATTTAACATGATGATACTGTCTCTGGGTAATAAAAAATATATATTATTATTCCACAGAACCCTTAATTCTCCCTCATTTAGACATGCAGAATTGGCTATTACTCAAAGTTTAGCAGTGATTATTATATTGAGAGTATGAGAGTCAATAAATCATGTTGTTGGATTTCAGTGAAAAAAGAAGACTTCAAGGACTCAATCCAAAATGTAATGAACAACAGACATATAGGGCAGGGGATAGCTCTGTCTGGAGCCTTAGTTATCCAAGAGAACTATCGTTTCCCCCTTGGGAATACTGACTGGTAACTTACTGGAAATGCCTGCCATTTACACTGCTAATATAGTTACCAAGTTATTTGTGCCTGAAGCCAAGCTTTTGGCTTCTACCATTCTTTCCTTGGCCCAAATAACTCTGGTTCTATGGAAAACAAGACACTTCCACAATTCAAGGTCATATTCAGAGTCTTGAAGTGTTCAAGGACAAAAGAGAACGTGAATATGTGCCCTGGCTGAGAAACTGGATCCCAGGATTCCCCATAGAGACAATTTTGTGAATAAACTTATCCTCTATTGATGGCTTTTCTTTTCCATAGGATGGGGGTTCTGAATATCACAACAAACTAAATCAATAAAAGTAACAATATAAATAAAACTATAAAAGAGCAAAAAAAAAATCAGAAAAGAAAAACTCACTTTGAATCACAACGATTTTTTAAATAGAAGATAGCTACATGGGCACATAAATATTATAGATATATTTTACTTTGGACGTTTTAGTTTATTACAAACAAGCATATTCAACAATATTGAGAGATATATGAAATAACAAAGATAGTACAATTTAGTTGAGGTTTTGTGTAGGGGTTCAGAATTATAACCTAAATTAGCACTAGGTTATAATCTTATTTTTAAAGTCATTATATAAACTATTATGAAGTTTTGACAAAATCATTTAATATATAATTAGAAATCTCTGATAAAGGAATAAATTATTCATCTATCAATTAAAGTTGTATTTATGAATTTAAGAGATTAAAACAAAGGAGTGACATATATATACACATATATATATACATATATAAAACAATTCCTATTGTTCATTTAGTGTCTACTGATTGCCATACATTATAATTATCTTCCTAATCCTAAGAATTCTAAAATGAAGTTATCCACTAGTTTTACATATAAGAAAAGTGAGGCCCAGAGATATAAAGTAGCTTGCCCAGAGATATAAAGTAGCTTACCCAAGATTACATTTAAGTAACTGATAGAATCAGGGTTCAAACTCAGACCCATCTAACCCAATACCATTAGTATTTGTAAAATGACTTATTATATATGGATAAGGAAGAACCATTGATTGGTGCTAAAAGTAAATAATTTTACTAACAAACCTGATGACTGAAGCTATATTTTTATTCAGATGAAGAATTTCTGATTAAAATGACCCAGATAGTATAACCCCCATGAGAAGAAATCAAAGCAGAACAAAAAGAATGCAAACAAACAAAACAGGGTAGGGGGTTACAGGAAAAGAGAAGTCCTAAGCTAGCCAAAAGGTGGTTGTTACATCATATCCATCGCCAATCATGTTCAACCTGAGAAAGAACGTCAGGATGGAAGAGTGTCTTACCTTGGGGCTTTGAGCATAGAACAGGGCCTGGAATATAAGAAGTATTCAAAATCTGTTATTTTATTTGTGTTGTTGTTGTTGCCATTTGATACTGTTATTTTTACTGTTTTCAGGAGGAACTGGAATGAGGGAATAAAAGAAAGATGGGCAAATGCTATCACATCTCTCTTTGGTTTTGTTTTGTTTGCATCCACAACACATGGATTTAAAACAGCCCTTAAAAAACATTCCTATTGCTGAGTGTTCCCTTCAGTTTAATAATGAGGTGAGGACATATGCATAATTTTGAAAAGGATTTTCTTAAATTACTCAAGCTAGTTCAAAAGACATTGTAGCGGGGTGAAAAGAGCAGCACTTTCCTGGCTTATAATACCACTAGAGGACCATTTTAGGGCTAGACAGCATGTGATTTAGTGTACTCAATGAACTCTCTGGCTTTTCTTTCAGACAAAACTTCCTGTGGGCGGGCACACACACACACACACACACACACACACACACACACACACACACAACACAGGGATTTTCTGACCAACTCTACTTATACATTATATAATGTAAAACTTTCTGATAACCCTTGGTGCAGTCAGACATAATATGTTAGAAATAAGGCAACTAGATGACCATGCATTATAGAGTTAGATAGCCACTGTTTTATGTCATCTCCCCCTCACCAGCTTTATTACTCTAGGTAAACAGTTTCTTACATTATAAAATAGTTATGTTACTTCCCTCATCTAGTTGTCTTGAGGTGACTAAATGAAATAATATGTGTAAAATGTCTGGAATCAGTATTAGCAATAAATGTTACATAATACATAACAACAATGTTAGTTTGTTGCTTCTGAAGGAAATTGTTGCTTCTGAAGGACATTCCATTCAAGTTTCCCTGGTCAAATAAATATATTTAGGAGACACTTCTTTAGACAAACTATATTAGTCTGTTTTGCATTGCTACAAAGGAATACCTGAGACTGGGTCATTTATAAAGAAAAGAGGTTTAATAGGCTCACGGTTCTGCAGGCTGTATCAGAAGAATGGCACCAGCATCTGTTTCTGGTGAGGACCTCAGGAAGCTTCCAATCATGGTGGAAAGTGAAGGGGGAGCAAGCGCATCACATGGTGATAGAGGAAGAGAGCAAGAAGAGGGTGGTACCAGACTCTGTTAAACAACCAGCTCTCACGTGAACTAACAGAGTGAGACTCACTCAGTACCGTAGGGAGGGCACCAAGCCATTCATGAGGGAACTTCCCCCATGACCCAAAGGCCACTCACCAGGCCCCACGTTCAACATTGGGGATCACATTTCAACTTGAGATTTGGAGGGGACAAACATGCAAACTATACTACACATTTACATAAACATTGTGCTCCTCAGCCTGGCTTTTTATAGATATAAAAAATGGCAGTGAAATTAAAGTTAGTCACAACGGAGCTTCAGGAGCACAGCTACTCTGTTTTGTCACTGAGATGCAGAACCATGCCCTTTAAGGCTCCACATAGCTGAGGGAAGGTTTGGCATTATCTGGTGAAAATTAAGGCACTTAACAAGAACATACTCCTGGGCCAGGAGCAGTGGCTCACGCCTGTAATCCCAGCACTCTGGGAGGCCGAAGTGGGCCGATCACCTGAAGTCAGGAGTTCGAGACCAGCCTGGCCAATATGCGAAAGCCCGTTTCTACTAAAAATACAAAAATTAGCTGGGCATGGTGGTACATGCCTGTAATCCTAGCTACTCGGGAGGCTGAGGCAGGAGACTTGAACCTGGGAGGCAGAGGTTGCAGTGAGCCAAGATCGCACCACTGCACTGCAGCCTGGGCAATAAAGTAAGACTCTGTCTCAAAACAAAAACAAAAACAAAAACAAAAACAAAACAAAACAAAAAACACAAGAACACACTCCTGAATGGAAAGTCATTTTGCCTGCTCCCAGAATTTAACCTAGATAATACCCACAGAGAGGCACAAGATTTTTCTCAGTAATATTCTGAATCTAGCAGTCTCAAGTGAACAATTGCTTTGACAAAGTTTTTCAGCAGTTGATTTTGTTTACTGAAGAGACAAAAAAGGTGTAACAAAATATTTAACTTCTAAAGTTAAAAAAGATAGCTATAATTAAATTTTAAAAAATAAAATACCCATTGATTATCCAGTTTTCCAAAAAATAACTAATGTGTAACATGTAAAATAAAATCCATGTGTAAGAACAGATGACTAATACCTCTTGCATGAAGTTCTTATTCACTTCCAAATTTATAGATTACAATAACAATAGCATTATTTTATATATCATTTTATACAATTCTCAGGTATTATAAATTATCCTTGAAGTATGTGTTAACAGTGATAAACTTTTAATAAATTATATTCTCCCCCATGTCATCTGCATTTGCTTTTTTGTATTCCTACACAATATTTCATATCCAAACTGAATCACTGTAATTTAAGACAATGTCAAAATCTCACCACTTTTGCTCTGTCTGCTTAAGACCCAGTGCCAAATATCCTTGGAAAATTGGCAGAGTTTAAGGTGAAATCTATAGATGTTGATAGAGATCAATGTGGTCTCTAAGAAGTAGATGGTTATCTTGCTCAAAGTCATTTTTTCACTTAAGAAATGTAAAACACTTCCATTCACCATTATAATCAATAGTCTTTGTAAGTGATGCAACTAGAGACACTTGAGCAGGTACAAACGAGCTGTCCAGTTATAACTGTCTACCTGGAATATTATAAGTCCATCTCCAAATGTCCTTAAATGCTACCACTATCACCACTAACCCCCTAAAGAAAGGAAACATGAAAGAAACATTAGTAAATTTAAAAGTACATGCAATAAGCTCTGCTTAATTTTTCCATTATACCTTGATTCACTCAATTGTGAGAATGATCTTGCCAGATAAAAGTTTAGACTTTCAGATAGATAGAGTACTAGGAGAAAGCTATCTTGGGCTTAAAAAACTGTGAGCTGAGGTGGTAGGGGAAAAAACTAGTGGCTTGACTTGGAGATCAGAGAATAGGTTTACTGTTATTTATTTTTTCATTGCTAGAAAACAATTTGCTTTCTCTGACACTGTTTGGTAGATACCCTACTTAAAAAAAAATACCTGATCCCTTAATATGAAATGGAGCTACTGTTGTCTTTCCAGAAAATTTTTGACTGTGTTTTTTTCATGAGACATGTTTAAAAGAAACAAGTCTAGAAGATGTGGTTTATGAAAACGATTCCTATGTGTTTACGTTTGTCCAAATTACACACTCATAAACAACAATTAAAGGATTTTTTCTGGCAGAGCATGGTGGATCACGCCTGTAATCCCAGCACTTTGGGAGGCCAAGGCAGGCAGATCACAAGGCCAGGAGTTGAAGACCAGCCTGGCCAATACAGTGAAACCCCGTCTCTACCAAAAATACAAAAATTAGCCAGTCGTGGTGGCAGGCACCTGTAGTCCCAGCTACTCGGGAGGATGAGGCAGGAGAATTGCTTGAACCCTGGAGGTGGAGGTTGCAGTGAGCTGAGATCGCACCACTGCACTCCAGCCCGGGCAACAGAGCGAGACTCTGTCTCAAAAAAAAAAAAAAAAAAAGGATTTTTCTACTGCTTTTAATTCATTAGTATAGGAAACTGACAGGCTCAGCAGGTCTTCACATGACTAGCATTCTATCCCTACGTATTTTCATGTTCATTCATTTATTTGTAATTGTGTATTATGTCTCTTGGCTAATATATACAGAAGTCAAAGATACAATCTCTGAAGGGGGAATATAGATAAACCAAAACATATTAATATACAAGTGTATACACAAGGTGAGGCAGGGTCACAGAGGAACAGGACCTGACTTTTGAGAGAAAGTAAAAGAATTAGAAAACAAATCCTAAGTGAGATGACTCAGACCAAGAAGAATCAGAAGGAGTTAGAAAGAAGCAGACTAGTAGGCCAGAAGCAATGAAATTGAGTGTACAAAAACATCTTTAAGAAGTCCTCCTTTTCTATTTTGTTATTTGATTAATATAATTATGACTTTACCCCTAATGTTAACCCGCAATCTATTCTTCCAAAAGCTAATGGAATAATTTTTCAAAAATCAAATGTGATAATATTACTACCATGGTTACAAATCTTCAATAGCTTACTAGAGACATTAAGAGAAAATACAGTCTTTTTAAGTCCTCTTATGATTTTTGACCCATGTTCTATTAACCCCTTTGTAGCCAGCTTTTGTAGACTCTTTATTTAATGACTAACATCTACTGATGTACTTCTGAGAATTATTACTATAAATGTAATAGCTGTATTTATTATAGTAATGTTTAACCCAAATATTTCATGAATCCAACAGCTGCATTTACTAGAGGAATGTTGAAAATATTTACATTACTTTATATGGTATCCTTTTTATGAGGGCTCTTGAAAGAAATATCTCTCTGGTCTGAGTCAGAAATAGCTGTGTTTCTTCTGAGGAACTGTTTAATTTCCTCTTAGGTACATTCTGAATCATATAACTATTAGTTTGCCTCTTTGACTGTACTGATGGAATGCTTAGAATCCAGAATATACTACCTTTTAGAATAGGAATATATTACCTTTCAGGATTTTAAGACATTTTTAAAAACTAGTCTTACTAATTGCCTTTATCTTATGGAAATAATCTCCATCTTACTTTATCTTAGACGGAATTTTTCCCTCCCTCCCTCCCTCCCTCCCTCCCTCCCTCCCTTCCTCCCCTCCTTCCTTCCTTTTTACTTTCTTTTGTTTGTTTCTTTCTTTTTTTTTGAGACGGAGTCTCGTCTGTCACCCAGGCTGGAGTACAATGGCGTGATGTTGGCTCACTGCAACCTCTGCCTCCCGGGGTTCAAGTGATTTTCCTGCCTCAGCCTCCTGAGTAGCTGGGATTACAGGTGCGCATCACCATGCCCGGCTAATTTTTGTATTTTTAGTAGAGACAGGGTTTCACCATGTTGGTCAGGCTGGTCTCAAACTCCTGACCTCGCGATCCGCCCGCCTCGGCCTCCCACAGTGCTGGGATTACAGGCGTGAGCCACTGCCCCAGGCCTTGTTTTATTTCATATTTCATATAGGTATAACATACCTGTCTCTGAAATTCACAATAAATCTTCTCAAACAAGATATTACTTAAGGAAAGGAGAATGAAAAGAAGGAAGGAAGGAGTGCAAAAGAAGGCCAAGGGAAAAGAAAGGACAAGTGCACAGTTATCTCAACTTCATAACTTTTAAAGGACAAAAGTAAAGGAAGAAAGGAAAAACTATTGCTCTGTACTCAAATTATATATGCATATACTAGGTTTTGCCTCTCTGTCTGAAATGTCTTTTATAAGATAACTTTTAAAGAATATAAGGATGTTTGGACTTTGACAGATTAGCTGACAGAAATGTTTTATCTATTAAAAATTGGTTGAGGGGGCCATCAATTTCCCATTCTCATTCCAGGTGATTCAACAGTTGCTCACCTGACCTGTAAGTTCCAGGGGAAGTCACGTAATCTGATCCTAGCCAGTTAGAACATCCTAACCCCTAAGCAAATTGATTGGCTTGGAAATAGACTCATAACCCAAAGCTAAACAGTTGGAGCCCTTTGTGAGACTTTTCATGGAACTGGTGTTGCAAATAATGAGGGAAACCTAGAGTCACTGATGGTTCTTGTGCTTCCATCTACAGAAGCCTTAGAACTAGGTCACCATTGAAGGATGAAGGCCTGAAGGCAGTAATAGAAAGAAAGTTAGCCTAATGCAATTATGCTTTCTAGTTACATAAGCCACTGATTTTCTTTATTGCTTAAAATAGTTTGAATTGTACCTGTGTCATTTGCAAACTAAAGTGTCTCAACTAACAAAATAGATATGTAGGTCATTGATTAAAGCAGAGAAAAGAGGTTTTAGAACCTAATAATAATAGTAATGGCCAATATTTAGAAGATGCTTTTTTCCTCACTATGTTCAATGAACACACTGTCTTGATATATGAACGTGCATATACTTTTCTCACAATCTATAAAATAGAAAATTTAAATATCAGTTTATCTGTAGCTCTAATATATTTTATTACTTTAGTCTATGAAAGGAAAAAAAATTGCCTTTTTAAATATATTAAAGATATTCATTTGAAACACAAATAAAACTGAAACTACGGCAAAAGACAGGGTAGCCCACACTCAGAAAAATAGAAACTTTATATGACAATAATGTTTCAAGGATGAAAGCAAACCCACAAAGTTAAAACATGAAGTTCTGAAATTCTGAAAAATTAATAATTTTATTTGATGCCATCCCTATATGTATTTCTCTGATACCATTATCTAAATTTAAGATTTGACCTTAGATTACAGTGGTCATCATACACTTATATGCTATCTCTCTAACGGTCCTCATAATTTCCCTCTTCAGGGTCACAGTCAGTGACCTGAAAGTCATAGAATTTTAAAATTCATTTTAAGAATCATTATACCTCAATTTTCTAGGTGTTGTATATCTAATATAAATGAAATAAATGGAAATCACATTTTGGCTATAAACCCTCATTTTCCTAATATTCTGTTTCAACTGAAAGATATAGAGAGGCTGTTTTTCATCTATGTAGGTGGAGAACAGAGAGCAGAAATCTGACATTTCTAATCTATAATAACACTCTTCTTCATCTAATAAGATTATTAAGAAGAAAACATATATATGTAAGAAGGATGGGTGAAGCTATACTTTCAACTTTAATCAATTAGTTAATAAGAACATTAAATTATTCTCCTTACTTTATTATTCCTTCCCTGTTCCATCCACCCACTTTCTTTACTATAATCATTACAGCAGATCTTTCAGAACGGGACAAAAGGGAGTAAAATAATTGACCATTTCAAGTGCCACGGGAGTCAAACAAGTAATCTGCAATTCAGAGAAATCTCACTGGGATTAAACATCAATGCTGTTTTGTACTTATGGGTGATTTTCAAGGTACTTATGGGTGATTTTCGAGGCCATATTGAATCATTCTCTGACACTTGCCACAATATATTCATGACTATTTCTCTCTCCCAAACCCACACAACCTTTTAACCTGAATATTTCTTTTTAACCTCCTAGGTCTGTAGATGTGCGTTCTTCTTTTCACTGTTATCTTTTATTTTTCCTCTCTGACACCTATGTGCTCTGAAAGCCCTCCAATCCTACTCCTCTTTATCTTATTTTATAATTAGGCTCTTGAAGTAGACACTTGAAAATATGATATAGTAATACTCCCATCTACAGTTTTCTTTCTCAGATACAGCATCTGTATTACCACACAGGGTTTAATTATTTAATCAGGCCCACATTAATAATAGTTCTTACCTAGGACCAAACTATACTAATGACTCAATACAGATAAAATATTGTCTCTGGAATAGTTCAAAATAGTCAATTTTCCATTTTCTAGTGAATTGTGAAAAATTATACTATTGGATTAACAAATGAATTTTTTAGAGTTTTGGGACTCCTTCCTTTTATGCACTGTTAACTCCACAAATAGAAAAATGCTCACTTGACTACTCCTACTCTCCAGCCAACCATGCTTATTGTTTATTTATAATAAGCAATCTAGATCAGAAGTATGTTTATAAGATAATCAGGTAGAGGTCATTCATCACCCATCCTCTGTTGTCCAGGTAGGAAGGGAATAGGTTACATTCCTATGGTTAATCTTTAGCAGCTAACATAAAGCCTAGAAGATATTTTTGTATTATAACAGTACTATATGTGGAGTGCCAACAGTTTGTTATGCATTGTGCCATAAATAGAGGTTCACTGACAACTTAAGTATAGCCCATTATCTTTACAGAACTCAAATATAGAGAAAATAATATACAAATAAACAATGCAACATGTTTTGGCAAGAGTAAAATTTATGCCAAGTTATTAAGAGAACAAAAATGAGGGATACCTAAATCACACTGAGAGATTCATAACACTACCTTGAAAAGAGGATACTTGAACAGTCTTAAAGGATAATCATAATTTAGCTAAGAATAGAAGGGAGGATAGTCACTTCAGGCTCAGAAGCCAATAAGTGAAGAAAACAATATGTGACTGAAACATATGATTTATATTGTAAATGCTTTATTATAGTTTGAACAAAAGGTGTTTTTAAGAGTGTGGTGAGAGGAGAAACCAATGAAGGAGGTAAGGCCTGATTCTAAACTTTTCATTTTTATTTTTGCGTTTAGGTGGAACCAGTGAATAATTTCAAGGTCAAAAAGGACATATCATATCTATGTTTTTAAATATTCCTTTATTATTTTCTATGTAACTATTCTTCAACACTTTCAACAGATACTTAGGGAGAGCCAAGCACTGCCTTATGGCTGACTGTACAATGAGTGAATAGAATAGCATTCCTTCCTTCTTTGATTTTATACATAAATGGACAAGGATAAACAAGGAAAAAGTAACAAATATTCATCATTATAAATTATAAAATTTTTGGCAGGCACAGACAGGAATCTCTGAGAATAAAAATACCAAGTGGGAGCTACCTAGGAGAGTTCATGAAGGCCTTTCTGTGGATGTGGCATTCAAACTGACACATGAAAAAAGGGAGGACACCCATCTTTGGTGAATGCATGAGAGACAGAGAGAACTCCATGAACTTCTAATGAAGGAAATAATCAGGCATATTTAAGAAACATATAGAAGCTAAGGGCAGCATTAGGAGTAAGTTGGAAAGTTTATATAGTAAATCAGGTGAGAAAGAGAAATGAGGGTATTGATAATAAAACTTAACACTTCTTGTACTTACTCGGTTTGAACCACATAAAATTGTTAAGATACAACTATCTGATCTGCCAAAATGACAGTTTCATATGGTTGAGCCTGTATATTAGATACTACACTGAGCACTTTAATACACAATCTTATTTAATATTCATGAAAACCATGTGAAGAAGAGACTAATATTTGTATTTTAGCAATGAGAAAATTAAGGCTTATTGAAATTAACTAACTTGGCCATGGATGGTAAGAGACACATGGATGGTAAGAGGATTAATTAGCCAAGTCCCAATAAAGAGCAGGTGACACACCCAAACAAAATGTAGAAAGTATTAAAACAGGGACTATTTACAAAGGCATTGACAGAGTATTTGGAAACAAAAAAGGATAGTGTGGTTATACCAGCCACCAGCTGTAATCATTGTAAGACCTGAAGGGGCAAATGAAGTAAGTGTTCCCAAGAGAAGTAACTATATGGAAAAAATTACCTGACAGGAACAGTGGCCTTTGGTAAAGACATGAAGACAATACATGGAGATTCAGTAAGGAGAGAAATTGGCTAATAAATATTCCAAGGTTGATTCCCTACACAGCTCCAGTCTTCTTCCTAAGCTTCCTATTAGAACTCATCTAGAAGCCAGATGACAAGAACCCTGTAGATCTAGTCCATAAATGTCCATCTCACAGGGCATAGAGCAAAATAGAGAAGGTGGGGTGGATCTGGCAGGAGTTGGCAAACAGAAGCTATCCAGCATTATATTACAGTATATCTCTTTCTCTAGATCTATTAATATTTGCTTTATAGGTTTCAGTGCTCTGACGCTGGTTGCATATATATATATATTTATAATTGTTATATTCTCTTGCTGAATTGACCCCTTTATCATTTTATAATGACCTACCAAAATGCATTCCAAAATATTGAATCAACCTCAGTATCTATCAATGCATGAATGTATAAAGAAAATGTTGTATATATACACAATGAAATATTATTCAGTCATAAAAAGAATGAAATCCTGGCATTTGTATCAACAGGGATGGAACCAGAGGATGTTATGTTAAGTGAAATAAGCTAGGCACAATAAGACAAATATCACGTTCTTACTCATATATGGGAGCTAAACGAATTGATCCTCATGGAGGTAGTGAATAGACTGGCAGTTATCAGAGGCTGGGAATGGTAGTGGGGAGTAAAAAGGGGTGGGTTAATGGGTACAAAAATACAGTCAGATAAAAGGAATAAGCACTACTTTTTGATAGTACAATAGGTCAACTGTAGTTAACAATAATTTATTTTATATTTCAAAATAGCTAGAAGAGAATATTTGGATTGTTCCCAACACAAAGAAATGATAAGTGTTTGGGGTAATGGATATTTCAATTACCCACAATTTAACAGTTATGCATTGTATGCTTGTACCAAAAAATCACATGTGCCCCATAAATATGTTCAACTACTATACATTCAGAAAAATTAAAAATAAAAAGTAGATATCTTGCATTACCATGGAGTCACATATTAAATTGAGCTCATGATAAAATGCACAATGAAATGGCTTGCTTGGTGGTCTGAAGAAAAATAGTCAAAGTACAGATTGTAAGGTTGAACAATTTAAAAAATAAATAGAGGAGCAATCTGCAGAAATTTGTAGAGGGTGAGACAAAAGGAGGAATGTAGGATGAGTCCAAAGCCTTCAGCTGAGGTGACTGGGCAGATAGTGATGGCTTTAAGTGAAATAAGGACAAATGAAACAAGAGGGTTGGGCGCGATGGCTCACCCCTGTAATCCCAGCATTTTGAGAGGCTGAGGCAGGTGGATCACCTGAGGTCAGGAATTTTGAGACCAGCCTGGCCAACATGGTGAAACCCTGTCTCTACTAGAAATACAAAAATTAGCTGGGCATAGTGGCGTGCGCCTGTGGTCCCAGCTACTTGGGAGGCTGAGGCAGAAGAATTGCTTGAACCCGGGAGGCGGAGGTTGCAGTGAGCGAAGATCATGCCACTGCACTCCAACCTAGGCAATAGAGACTCTATCTGAAAAAAAAAAAAAAGAAAAAAGAAAGAAAGAAAGAAGGCACAAAAATTCAATTTGAAAAATGCTCAATTGCAGTGTGTATGGATAGTGCAATCTAATGGAGAGATGAATAGATAGATAAAATTTTGGAGATAGTCCTTAATTAGGGTTAAAGTCTGTAAATCATTAGCATGAAGTTTTGGTGATTGAGGTTTGGGATTTTATTAAAGTTCTCCATGATAAATATATAGAAATAAACGGATAAAGAGTAAAAACAAATAACTAGGCTATACTCATTCTTAAGGGGTAAATTAAGGAAGAGAATCCACCAAAAATCTTTGTTCAAGTAAACATTATTTTTAAAATAGGATAAAATAGTATTGTAAAAAAGGGGAGAGAAGAGAATTGTTGAATGATGGTTCACTTTTCTTCTAATTCTAGAAAAATTTCAGGTAATGTCTATCGTAAAGAGGATCAGTTAAAATAATGTATATGCATCTAACACAAATGCTTAGCTGTAACGTGCATGCTCTTTGATCCTGCTACCCTATCAGTTAGGTGGAAAGTTTAGGTCAACCAGTGGGAATGAATTCAGGAACCAAGTATGCATACTGAGAAGGGGACTCACTACATCATGGGTGAGATCAACCAGTGAGAGTACCAAAGCTAAAAGTCTATGGGTTGGCTGTGGACAGGACTTGTAAAGGAAGAGCATCCACATAGAATTCAATAAGAAAACCTGAATTATTTGAAGATATATTTGTAAATTTCTCAAACATTTTTATAGTGGAAGTTATATATTCTCTTGACTTAATTTTCCTTATGAAAGATAAAGAGTAAACGGGCAGATGAGCTAGATTTTAGACTATAAGTTTCCTACTAACTCATGAGAGTTCATGTCTTGTTAGGTAATATTTAACTTTCTATTGATTAAACAAAAGTACCATGTTTAAAATTGATATAACATAAAACATCTCAGGTACCCCATAAATATATACACTTACCATGTACCCACAAAATTTTTTAAAATATTAAATGTTATAACAAAGGTGAACTTAAAATAGGGACACTTTCTAAGGAAACTGGTTTGAATTTATTTGATGAAAGACAAAATAAATAATAAAATGCGATCGTTATGGTTTCTTTACTTAGGATATGATAAAAATTCAAACACATGAGTATTTTTATATATTAAGAGTATCACTTACCAAGATCACAGAGTGTAATCTCTAATGCTTACTATTGCTGATGAGCAACACTATTACTTTTTTTTCCAATTAGCTGGAGAGCATTATAAAACCATTAGCAGAGTGGCCGATTTTAGACTACAAGGTTCTGGCCAAACTAATATATATTCTGAAGCACTAAAAATAATTTCTTAAAATAGACATATTTGGTTCCCATATAGAAAAGAATCTACTTGTTACATTCCAACAAAACTCTCTACAGTTCAAAGATAAAATTAAGACTTTCCTCTATTATCAAAGACTATTAATTGGCCATTATACTGAATTCTCAGGAAGTTGTTTTAAAAAATAATTTCTTGAAAAAATATATTTCATTTCCAAGATGAGTTTCTCATTTTCATATTTATAAATGCAATCATGCTTGTCTTTTTATTAGCCTTTTATAGGAGAGGTATAACCATACTAAGATACAAATATGAATGACCATTTCCATTCCATTTATAATAGTTCTCCCCCAGGGTAATAAAGCACATGGGATGCTTTTTTTGAACCAAAAAATAATAATAATTTTGACCAGGCATGGTGGCTCGCGCCTGTAATCCCAGTACTTTGGGAGGCTAAGGCGGGCGGATCACGAGGTCAGGTGTTTGAGACCAGCCTGGCCAATATGGTGAAACCCTATCTCTACTAAAAATACAAAAATTAGCCAGGCGTGGTGATGTGCACCTGTATTCCCAGCTACTCAGGAAGCTGAGGCAGAAGAATTGCTTGAACCCGGGAGGCGGAGGTTGCAGTGAGCCGAGATCGTGCCACTGCACTCCAGCCTGGGCGACAAAGCGAAACTCCGTCTCAAAAAAAACAAAAACAAAAACAAAAACAAAAACAAAAACAAAAAAACAAAAAAAGAATAATTTTGAACGAAAATCACAAGATATAGCTTGGTTCACTATAATATTCAAACTCTTTATGGTTAAATAGACATCTGCCACTAGATAATTAACTGATAGTATAATTAATATCAATACTTAGAAAATCATAAAAATAATTCATACTTTAGCTGAGATCCATTTTTATTAATGTAGGGTATTGCACATTATATCATTGTTCAATTAATATTTGTTCCCTCCCCTTTCTCTACCTCCAAGTGAGGAGTATACTTCCCTGTCCATTGATTTTGGGCATGCCCAGATGACTTGTTTTGGACAATGGAAAATAGGCAGAAATGGCAGTGTGTGAGTTTCAAATTAAGAACTAAAGAGGCCTCATAAATTTCTTCCTACCCATCTGGTAGCTTATGACTACAACCATGAGAAAAAATATTGCCTAGATACCCACTGCCCCTTTATCCTAGGCTCAGAATAAGACCCATGGAGAAAACCTGAATTTGACTTAGAGCCTGAAGCAGACAGAGGCCTCCAAATGTACTACAGACATGCAAGCAGCTTGAAACAAAATGGTACAGGCCAATATTTAGATATAAGGCTGAGAAATAATGTGTTATTGCAAGCCACTGAGTTTTGAGGTATTTTGTTATGGGGCATTATTGTAGAAATTGCTGGCAGATTAATGGGAAAAACAATTTATAATTGTTCTTTATAATACAGCATGATTTAATGAAATTCTACTATAGATTGAGTAAAAAAATGGTAAATTTTGAAGGATATTTTTAAGAGAACACTTTTCCCATTATACACAAATAGTGTGACACAACTGCTAGATAATAAGCTAAATGCAAAGTACTTGTTTGTATGTCTTATTTCTCAATTACAGCTTTAGCAAAGTCTGTTAGGGCATCCTATATATGTAAAAATTGTGCCAACTATATAAAAAAGCAGGACACATTTTTACTAGTATAAAGTGCCCTACTTCTTCATAAGGCAGCACTGAGACTGACTTTGAAAGCTTGTCCTTGAGTACTTTTTAGCTCTTTATTGTTCCCTTTTAAGATGATGTATTAGGTTTTTATTGCTGCTGTAACATCCCTACAAACTTACTGTCTTAAAGCAACACAAATTTATTATCTTACAGTTATGTACTTCCGAAGTCTTAAACATGTTTTGCTGGGCTTAAATCAAGATGTCAGCAGGGCTGCATTCCTATCTAGAAGCTCTAGGGGAAATCAATTTCCTTGCCTTTTTCAGCTTCTGGAGGCCACCCACATTGCTTGGCTTATGGCCTTCTTACTCCATTTTCAAAGACAGAACTATTAGGCCAAGTCTATCCCATGCTACCCTCTGGCTCTTTCTCCTCTGCTTCCCTCTTCTATCTAAAAGAATCCTTGTGATTACATTGAACCCATAGAGATAATCCAAGATAATTTCCTCCATGTCAAGGTCAGTTGATAAGCAACCTTAATTCTATTGGCAAACTTAATTTTCCTTTATAGTGTAATTTAACATACTCACAGGTTCTGGAGACAAGAATGTGGATGTCTTTGTGAGTTTATTAGTTTGCCTACCTCAGATAGTATCATTGGAAGTTGATTTTGCTAACAGTGATATTAAGACAAGATGTTATCATATACATACACACACATATTGCTATAGCAAATTTATTTTATATCGTGAACTCAACAATAAGCTTTCCAGTATTGCATTATCTGTTTTCAAGCTGCATACATTTTGGGCAAGACATCAAAGCTCCCTAACCTTTATTTTTCTCATCTGTATAATTGGGGGTAATAGCATAATCAACATCACTATTTTGTTGTGATGATTAAATGCAATAACAATACATACAATCTGAGCAAGTGTCTGATGCCTATTGTTTAACAAATATCTATTTTAATTACTATCCTAAAATAATTGTGGCTATTTTGTATAGCTGTAGATTAGATATTATGTCTAGATATAATAATCAGTTTGTTCTTTGATATTATATTGAATACTGTCTCTGGAATGGGAAATTCAAATTATGTATCTGGATGTATAAGAAGAGCATATGAGCCAAGAAATGAGCCCATAATGTTTACACTCAGAATTTACATTTATCTGAATCATTGTAGGGTCAAATCTGAATGCAAATTTATTTACTACTAACAGTGCTGCTTTCCAATAACATTTCTCACCAGCTAAATCTCAAAATAGATATCTCATATTAAAGTGTTGAGACGCCAAAACCACATTTTATCGATTTAAAAACAAATACAAATGAGATTTTTGAGGTTCTGATATTGCTTGATAATAATAGCTCATTTCTTACAGAAGAACTAATTGAAATTCAATTCCAAATTAAACTATAATTATATCTATGGCATTATTAAGGTATCAGTCATGGTTAATGATGACTTTCTTGAGAAAAAATTCCTGCCATTTTCATAACCTGTGTGATACACAGAGATTACTTGCAGTAGACACAGAGGCTTGAATAAAATTTACCCTCCACAGCAGCATAGAATTTGAAAGTTAGGTGACACTATAAAGTGTTTTTATTTTGTTGTTTTTTGAATCAAATTTTAAATAGAGTAAATCCTCTAGCCTTAGGCATTTCAGGATTCTGTTGAGTATTTTACAAAATTCTTATAAGAAATATCTGTCTTAGGCAATTTGTGTTTGAAAGTAAAGAGAATGGTATCAAATGGTATTATAATTTTGCTACCCTGAAAATGTATAAAATAAACTTTGCAAATATTTTTAAAGGCCATTAAGAAGTACAAGATGTTAGAAGAATAGTTACAAAAACTCTTTAGACCAAAATGATTATTGCTTCACTTGAAATCTTTTTTGTGTATATTATTAATAAGCAGATCAAATATAACAATACATCTGTTAAAATATAAATTGTCACTGTAATATTATAATTATTACCATATTAGTACATTGATGATATTTTCGTGGATATACACCCAAGGAAATAGGTAAACAGAAAAACAAAGGAAAAGAAAAATATGTAAGCAGGCAGATGGGTAGTAACTGATTTATTAGAATGATTAGATCATAGAACTCTTTCCCTACTGAGCTCACTGGCAGAATGTTATGGTTCAGACAGAAGACTGGAAGAATCCTTTGGGGAATTAACCAGCTCAAAAAGGAAAACCTAAAGATACTCTCACCATGATTTCCCTGAGAACTCCTTATTCAGATTGATCTAAAATAAAGCTTACATTTATTAAGCTTCTCCCCCACACTCAAAGTTTTAGTTTCCCAATTATAAGATAGGTAGATGCCAAGGTATTCCCAGAAAGTTTCTGGCATAGAATATGATAAATGAGGGAAAAAAAGATAAAGAAGAGGAAGACAAAAAGTAATAAAAACACAAACAACAAAGAACAAAAAAAGAAAAAAGTATAACTTGGAGGGGTAGCCACTCACCATACAGGGAGAAGAAAACTTCAATACCTACAGAGAGATAAGAGAAAATATTGCACCTATGACATCAAACCAGAATGTTATTAAAAAGAAAGAAATGTTCAGAAAACAATAAGAGTGTTTAAGTTATTATTTCTCAGCTCCAGGCCTGTCCTTGTATAATCTGCTCTGTGATGTTGAAACAGAGACTTTGCAAACCCCATTTCTGTTTTGCCAGCTGCTCCCTGTTAGGCTTCATTACGAGGAGGATGAGAGGGCAACTGTGAGGTTGGAGCAAGGACAAATGGTTTACTTGTTCCCTTTTGCTTTTCCACAATACTTCTACACCCTAGCAGCAGCTCTTTCTTCTAATAGCAGCAGTCAAATCTAGTTTGCAGTTTTTTTCCAACACTGGCAAAACTAGCTTCACCATGTCCTGCCCCATCAGAAACATCAGTACTAGTCCACTGGCATCCCCTCCTCGAATTTGAAAGTTAGGTGATACTGAATTTGAAAGTACAGTGAAAGCTTCATTCACAGGTCAATAGGGGCTCTCCTCTGAACTCAGAGAGACCCACAGTAACTGAGTACTTCTCAGAGATCAGAGCAGACCCCTTTTGTATATTTCCAGATTTTAGTTCAACATCTTGTGTTTATTCCTTTAGTCCTAAGATTGGTAGCCCCTTCTTATAGCTACTAACTTTATGAGTTTTCTTTTTACTCTTTCAGTTACCTAGTCAACAATCTTATAGGTAGTTAACAATTTTTTTCTATTAAATTGCCTTTATTCACAAAAGGGGCATAATTTCTGTCTCCCCAAATGATGTCTCCCCTGACACAGCATAATAGGAAAAATAAAAATAGCAGAGGATGGGTTGGAACATAAAATCAGGCAAATCTCCAAGACTAGGGCAAAAAACAAAGAAAACAAAAGCAGAAAATTAGCACACTGTTCCAGGAAGCCTAATGGCTGAATAATAAGCATCTTAAAAAGGGAAAACGGAGAAAATGCTTGAGGGGAAATAAGCAAATACTTTAAGAAAATTCCCAGAATTAGAACGCATGAATTTTCAGTTTGAAAGTATCCACTGAATATCCAGCAGACTTGATGAAAACACATTCATTCCAAATAAGGTCATTGTAAAATTTCAGAACAGTGGAGACAAAAAAAAGTTTCTATGAGATTCCTGAAAGGAAAAATGAATACCACATACAAAGAATCTGTAATCAGAATGGCTTTGCACATCTCGATAGTAACACAGTAACAACAACAACAACAGAAGACATCAGAGCAATGTGTTAAAAATGTAGTATAACTATGAATAAAGCATGTGCGAGGAAAATAAAAATATTTTCAGACAATCAAATATCTCAAAAATATACTTCCCATGCACTTTTTTTTACAGTAATTAACCAAAGGATACCCTCTAATAACATAAGCCAATAAGTGAGGAAAGAAGAAGAAATAGCAACATTATATAGGAAAATTTTAAAGAAAACTTACAAGATCGTGATTATGAGAGGGTACCAGGTAACAAGTGTGCAGCAGGCATAAATAGCACTAGTCCAGATGAATGCATGATGTTTATTCAATATCGATTTAACCAAAATTTTCATAACAATAGCAGGCATTGGAAAGAGGAAAAACATAGAACTGGCATCATGAAAGAGTTCATCTATAACTTACCAGAAGATGAAGTCAATCAGTGTAGTAACTGTAAGCACTCTTCATGTGTTATGTGTGCATGCACACAAGTATGTGTGTATATTTATCTACAGTTTTTAGGAGAGATGGATTTAAAACTGATTCATCACCACACTTCTGCTAAAACTTGAAGTTTGATAATAATTAACATTTATAAATCAAAATAGCTATATTTACATATTATATAAAACTATGGAGATATATAAATGCCAAATTAAGCAACTGAAAGATTCAAAAGTGTTTGCCCCCAGGATAGAAAAGTAAGACTGGGGAATGATGGGACAGTATCACTGTATTTTTATTTTAAGCTTGGTATTGCATTTAATTTGTCAAACTACACATGTCAATTATAAAATAAAGTTACTTTAAAATTAACAATACCAAACTTATTGATCTAGTTGATTTATTTTATTACCCTGTAATATATTTTAGGTATCTCTGAGCAAAAGGTATCGGCCTTTTCTACAGGTTTTCAAATGTTCATGTGAAAAAAATAATTACTACCAAGATACTTTATCTGCATGAAGACAAACAGAAATTTCCAAATGTCCAAAACAACAACAACACTAGTACATTTGCTGGTATATTATCTGATGCAAAGTGTTCATGCAATAAAGGTTCAAATGAATGAACAAGTAATGCTACTCTTTATTCACAGCCTTTACTAAAGATACAGAATACTTATGGTTTGATCATTGATTACGATTCAGTTCTACATGCCTTGAGAAAGTAGAAATAATGTGTATTGAGTGCCTAGCTACCAAACAATGCTTATGTAGTAAGATTCATTGCATTTAAACATGCATATTTATGAGGGCATGAAAAAGACACATTAAGATTCATTAATTCACTCATTTTTCAGAGAGCATACATTAAGTACCTTAGCAGACATTATTCTAAGATGAAAGGATGAAAAGGAAAGTAGGTCACAGTCCCTGCCTTCCAATGATTCATGGTATGTTTTTGAGCAACGAATAACTACACGACATTTTCTTTTACTTATACAAAATGATTCCATTATCCTTACTTCACATGTGACAAAATACACAGAGATTTAATAACCTGTCAACAGTCAAATAATTTTTAAGTGACAACATGAGGATTTAAACTTAAATTTACCTTACTCCAAAATTTGCTTTCAGCTACTGCAGATTACCTGTATTGTCCTCAGAAATAATTGTTTCAAAGACATCAATTGTTAGGAAATGTTCTAAGGTTAACTCTATGTTACCATTTAACATTATCAACAAGGTTAATACAATTAAGTACATATGCATAGGTCTGATCATTCTAGAAATCTAACACTGGTTGTTTTTTGCATGTTTCTATGAAGAAAAATGCCATTAATGCCAACAGTTAGAGCCTACCACAATTCTTGTACCCTTCATATTAGAAACACCATTAAGCAAAATTTCCATTTTCTAACTATTCTAACTATTCTAGAGTAGCTTAAATTGTAGAACTTAAAAACGTATTTGAGGTATGATACAACTATAATTTTTTTCCTTTCTTACCTGAGGTTGTATTATGAAAGCACATGCTGGTTGTAAACACTTCCAACAATGCAGAAATGAGCAAGGTGAAAGTGGAACTTGCTGTGGACACGGCCACAGGACCACGCTTTTGTTCTTGTTGGGATGCCTGGGTCGGTTTCACAGGTCGCCTCGCAGTCCTGCAGGCTGAACCCGTCTGTCTGGGCGCCCCGCGCTGCCTGCCTCCTGGGCACTCTGGGGCAACATGGATGGATGCCCGCTTGTCTACGGTTCGGTGCGTGCAGTCAGGAATCTGCACCAAGAATGGTCCGTCAATGAGGGAGAGTCCTCCCTGGGAGGGGCTTCCGTGCCTCCCATTCTGGGCACTTCTAGACTTTCTGCAGGAAGTGCTGTCCTTGAGTCATTCTGTTTTGTCCTGAGGCTGCTGCGAGGAGGGGGACAGGTGAACACATGCTGGAGGGTGGGGACATGCGGGACGGCTTCAGTCCAGGCACAGCCGCAGGTCCCCCGCTGCCCCGCTTTCCCTGGCCCGAGAAAGCAGCCCTTAGCAGGCTGCGGGCACAGTCCCGGCTCAAGCACAGCCTAGAGCGCACTGCAGGGCCCGAGCATCCCCGCCTTAATTTTCACCTTTGTTCCCTCCTGCTTTCCAGCTTTGGAGTCCTTGTTAAGAGGGACTCGAACCACAAGGTTATAAACACGACACCTGCATTCCCTTCCAATCCTTCATGGTTTTCTTTTTTACACACAAAGCTTACAACCTTTACTTTTTCCAAGTAGAAAACCAGTTTTTCCAACACTTTAAAAAACAAATATCCTTTTATCATATGCTGAAAGCCCTACCCATAACAAGCCCACTTCTGCGTTTGACTCTGTTCACTGACCCTTCATTTACTTCCTAAACTGACCCTTTTGGTAACTTTCAGTGAAGAGGTGGCTTTAATAAATATATTCTCCAGAAATCTCCAGAACCTTTGCGTGGGTCAGGGTGAGAGGTGCCGCCACGATGTAAACAGAACAGCTGAGTCCTCCGGGTAGGCGCCTGGTGTTAGCTGCACAGACCGCGTGTGTGGGAGGCATGGAGTCAGAGGCGCTTCCTCAAAATGCATCCCCCCGGTCTCCAGAAGAACACACAAGCCCCACGGCCCCCTGGAGAGGGCTGGTCCCAGCGTATGCACGCCACTTCCTGGGCTTGGGGAGTGGTACGCCGGCGGCGGAGGATGCCCGTAGCAGGAAGCCCACGCAGAGGCTAGGGCCTCTTGTTCCACTTGGCAGAGACCCCAGAAGGAGCCAGGGGGCAGCATCAGAGCCTGGGGCCTGGGCAGGGGTGTCCAAGGGCATAGCAGCTGCAGGCCATTGGCAAGGCCAGAAGACGGTGAGTGAAAAGCCGGGGGCGCGTGGAGAGACCCCGAGAAGGGGCTGTGCAGCTGGGAGTCCTGCATTTGCCGGCTCCAGAGGGCCCAGGTACTGGTGGTGCCGGAAGACGCCCTCCAAGGCGTCGACCTGCCCCATGGTGAAGGCAGCCACTGTCCTCTCCGGCGCAGGCCGATTTGAGGACCTAGCCTCCTTGATGCTGACCGCCTGACGGGGCTCCGGGTGCCGGATGTCTGGCCCGGGCCAGGGAGGCTCCCAGGGGAGACGTCGGCAGGCCTGGTGTAGGTCGGCCCCGAGCAGCTGCTCTGAGAGAATCAATCCATGGAGCCAAACCTGGAGGGCTGCTGCCGGCCGCGAGGTGGGGAGGAGGCGAGACGCATGGCGGTCAGCTGGGCCTTAGGGAAGGCCGGGCGGGGCTGGCCAGGTGCATTAAGTGACTAATGAAAGATCAGAGCTACTGTGAGAACAGTTTGGGGATTGAATCCACGCTTGCTAACACCCACTGCTAACTCCAGAGAGTGTGAAAAGAAATATTGAAGAATCACCGCCTAGACTGTTTTCAATATATCACTTGCTGGTTTTTATTTCCTAATGATTCTCTTATGAAGCCTTTTTCAAAATGACTGGCAAAAGCCAAAAAATATTCCATTAAAAATAGGTGTGTTTTGATAAATAGGAAAATAGTAGACATTCTAGAAAAGTAAGATGAGTGAAAGTGGATTCTTTTTAAAGTTGAATAAACTATGAATACTATGCAGCACTAAGAAACAATTAATTAGTTGCATATAGAGTCTAAGAATACATTTTAAAAAGGCCTTATTAGGCTGGGCACGATTGCTCACCCCTGTCATCCCAGCATTTTGGGAGGCCAAGGCGGGAGAATCACTTGAATCCAGGAGTTCAAGACCAGTCTGGGCAACATGGCAAAAACCCTGTCTGCACAAAAAATACAAAAAAAAAGCCATGCATGGTGGCACATGCCTTTGGTCCCAGCTACTCTAGAGGCTAAGGTAGGAGGATTGCTTGAACCCAGGAGGTGGAGGTTGCAATGAGCCGAGATCATGCCACTGCACTTCAGTCTGGGTGACAGAGCAAGACCCTGTCTCAAAAAAAAGGGGGGGTGTTATTGAAAAAAAAAAGTGAAGAAACACAAGAACTATAGCAGAATATTATTCGTTAATATTAAAACAAATAATATATTTGTCAAGGATACAAACATGTATTAGGATATAACACAAAATAGTAAGTACCATGGTGGTAATATATGGTGGGGAGGAAGTGAGTGTGGACATTGAGACAAATGAGCAAACATAAAATAGTATTTTAAAAATTAAATAAAAAAGAATGGAGCCTTGCATAGGCTGCTAATATGAGAAATAGGAGTAATTGAGCTCTCTGCACCTGAGGTCCAAAAAGCAAATAAAATATATTATTGTTGACATTCTTTAATAAAATCAACTTATTTTTAAATAAGTAATTACAAATATGAGTGATAAATACAATCCTGCCCAATTTATAAATAGAATAAATCTTTAATTTTTGGAATTTAGTTACATTTACGAAAATGATTTTATAAGACTTCTTTTATTTATTTTCATTTTAAGTTCCAGGGGATACATGTGCAGGATGTGCAGGTTTGTTACATAGGTAAGCGTGTGCCATGATGGTTTGCTGCACTCATAACCTAGGTATTAAGCCCAGCATACATTAGCTATTTTTCCTAATGCTCTTCCTCCCCCCACCCCACTTCCAGACAGGCCCCAGTGTGTGTTGTTCCTCTCCCTGTGTCCACGTGTTCACATTGTTCAGCTCCCACTTATAAGTGAGAACATGCGGTGTTTGGTTTCCTGTTCCTGCATTAGTTTGCTGAGGATAACGGCAAAGGACATGATATCGTTCCTTTTTTATGGCTGCATAGTATTCCACGGTGTATGTGTACAACATTTTCTTTATCCAGTCTGTGATTTATGGGCATTTGGGTTGATTCCATGTCTTTGCTATTGTGAATAAGGCTGCAATGAACATACATGTGTGTGTATCTTTGTAATAGAATGATTTATATTCCTTTGAGTATATACCCCATAATGGGATTGCTGGGTCAAATGGCATTTCTGGTTCTAGATCTTTGCGGAATCATCACACCATCTTCCACAATGGTTGAACTAATTTACATACCCACCAACAGTATAAAAACATTCCTATTTCTCTACAAGCTCACCAGCATCTGTTGTTTCTTGACATTTTGATAATCGTCATTCTGACTGGTGTGAGATGGTATCTCATTGTGGTGTTGATTTGCATTTCTCTAATGATCAGTGATGTTGAGCTTTTTTTCGTATGTTTGTTGGCCACATTAATGTCTTCTTTTGAGAAGTGTCTGTTCGTGTCCTTTGCCCACTTTTTAATGGGGTTGTTTGTTTTTTTCTTGTAAATTTAAGTTCTTTGTAGATTCTGGATATAAGACCTTTGTCAGATGAATAGATTCCAAAAATTTTCTCCCACTCTGTAGGTTGCCTGCTTACTCTGATGAGAGTTTCTTTTGCTGTGCAGAAGCTCTTTAGTTTAATTAGATCCAATTTGTCAGTTTTTGCTTTCTGACACACAGACAAATGGAACAGAAAAGAGACTTCCAAGGAAGTCTAAAGGACCCAGCTAATTTAGCTTCCTAAAAATTTAGAACAGTTGCTAAATCTCCTTCAGCAAGAATATCTGGTTCTTTCTCAAATATTTATTTTTAATATTTTTATGATGTGATTAATTATATCACTAATTTTTAACTTATACTTCCTGTGCTGCCAGCACTGATTCCAAAGTGTCAATAAATGAAACACACATTATTAACTATATTGCATTCTATAACACTTTAATATTTCATAAAACTTAAGAATATTTATGCAAATGAAGATAATATTGCTTATAAATGATGCTTTATATTGCAAGAAATACCAGTTTCTATGTACCTGTACATCATACATTAGCTATAAGATAAATAGAAATCAATGATTTAAGTTTGGTAGAACAGCTTTCACATAAACGTATAAGTTCCTAATGATAATATGGGAACTAAAATTAAAATAATCTTCAATATTTAGATATTTTGGTTAAGTTTTGACAAGACAGTTGTCTCAATATTCAATGTAGCTCTGGCAAGCCCTATATCAAATAGTGGTTTTATCTATTGCCTTGGTTTTGGCCACATATTACAGAATTGCCAACTAATAGTAACTAAATTCATGATTAAAATGGCATAATATTGGTGGGAGGTAATGGGATGTCTTGAATGAGCACAAGCCTGGCATGTCATTTAGACTCTCAGAGCTTCATTTTGTTTGTATGGAAAATAGTGATGTTAAATTACACAAGCCCTTGGGTTCAAATATGCTTTAAATTATTATAATTCTAATTGCATTTAATGGTCTTGGTCATTTATAGAAATATTTTAAAGTTATGTTTCTGATTATCTCATCTTAATTGAGGCAGATTAAGGCAAAGCAGGAGGTCAGCTCTTTTTCAGAATTATCCTATAGAATATGGTTATGCTTTGGGTGGAGGAAGATGGGATTAACTAATGAGAGAGAGCCACCACCTCCGATATAACAGAATTGGGGGAGAAAAAATCAATTTTGCTCACAGGCCATGGTGAGAAAAGATAGGGGATGCAAGAGAAGGTTTATTTCCCTCTTGGGTTTTGAAAATGTGTTTGAGAACATCCTTAGTATTCACATGAGGAGTTGCAACTTTGTTCAATATCTAATGACACTCTCCATAAGATTAGCATAATCAGTCAATAATGGGGCCATAGATGCAGCCAAGTCCTTAAACCAAAAACATCAGAATGACATAAAGTGTAACAACTCCAAGAATGTCTAGATCATGAATATCTTCTAACTTTAGTCGAGGGATAACAAAAATGTGATTCTAATCTTCTCTTATTACTACCTTTTCCTTTCCTTCCATCTATAGATACAAAAAGACATTTTTTTCAGACCTTTCATTAAAACATGGCTAATTTCAATGACATAAGAAAAGGAGAAATGGGGCCAGGTACAGTGGCTCACACCTGTAATCCCAGCACTTTGGGAGGCTGAGGCGGGTAGATCACCTGAGGTTGAGAGTTAGAGACCAGCCTGACCAACATGGAGAAACCCCATCTCTACTAAAAATACAAAAAAAAAAAAAAATTGCTGGGAGTAGTGGTGCATGCCTGTAATCCCAGCTACTCAGGAGGTAGAGGCAGGAGAATCACTGGATCCTGAGAGGCAGAGGTTGCAGTGAGCCGAAATTGCGCCATTGCACTCCAGCCTGGGCAACAAGAGCAAAACTCCGTCTCAAAAAAAAAAAAAAAAAAGAAACGGAGAAATGAAATACAATCTCTGTAGTCAACATACACTAAGATAAAAGCAATTTTGAATCTGATATATACATGTACATATATATAAATTCATTTCAAATATTATCTATTTTCATGGACAGTTAGTGGGAGGAAAAAGGATACACACTATATGTTTGGTTCTACTATTTTACGTTTGTTGGAATATCTAAAACATGTTTGTTCCAAATTACCTATCGTCTGTCTATCTAGCCATCCACAAACATACACATACTCGCTCAATATACACTCACAAACATAAGACAAATATAACTGCCAATTCATAAATAACAATATTTGAAAGCTATTATTATTTGAATGTTATTTCAGTAATATTTATTATTTTAAAGTTTTTTCAAAATATCAGTTTGTATATTATTGATTTCAATAATTGAACAAATCTGTTTGAAATTTATAAATTTATATTTTTTAAGTTGAAACAAAAATATGCAAGATTTTTATAGGTTGACAGATATAAAGAGTGAGTGATATGGTTTGGCTGTGATCCCACCCAAATCTCATCTTGAATTCCCATGTGTTGTGGGAAAGACCCAGTAGGTGGTAATTGAATCATGGGGACAGGTCTTTCCCGGGCTGTTCTTGTGAGAGTGAGTAAGTCTCATGAGATTGGATGGTTTTAAAAAGGGTAGTTTCCCTGCACAAGCTCTCTCTTTGCCTGCTGCCATCCATGTAAGATGTGACTTGCTCTTCCTTGCCTTCTGCCATGATTGTGAGGCTTCCCCAGCCAGTTGGAACTGTAAGTCCATTAAACTTCTTTCTTTTGTAAATTGCCCAGTCTCAGGTATGTCTTTATCAGCAGTGTGAAAACAGACTAACACAGTGAGAATAAATAAAATTTCAAATGTAAATGCATTTTATAAAGTTTCTTATCATTTTTGCTGATGATGGATATTAATTTAACCTTTCAGCTCAGGTACCAAGACACAACAAAATACCCTTTTTAAAAAGACAGAAAATTGTAATTAAATCTTAATAATTCTGTTTACAGAGTGCCAGTTAGAAAGTACTTAAAAATTACTGGTTTAAACAAATGAAATACACTTTAGATTCTGAGGCAGCACATATTTATACATCCATGTTATGTTACTTGAGTATAGATTAAACTCATAGGTCCTGAACCACATGCTGTGATGATGGATTTAACACTTCATAATAAACAGCAAATAATATTTACTGTGTATCCTCATTGCATTAAGTTGATTTATGCTAGAGAAATAAGAACCTAATGTTGAGTTTATCAGAGTAGTATTAGGTTTAAGACCTCCAGACTTTTGTTCGTCAGTTAACTGAAATAACTTTTACTTGTGAAGGCAGACCAAAATAAATATTCTTCAATTAAGCTACTTGTTTTACAACCATAGGATGTATTTTAAATTATACATTTTCAGTCTCTGTGGGAGTTGGAGAGTATGCAGAGGCAATGATGTCTTTATTAAAGTACATGACTCCATTGAAGAAAAAATAAATATTGTTAATGAAAAGCATGTTATAAATTAAAGACAAGCAAGACACAAAAACTGGAAAACTTTCTGAAGTATATAATTAATAAATCTTATATTGCATCTACTTTTAAGTTTTTATATAAATCAACATATTTTTAAGAAAAACAAGCATCAAGGTCAGTATTTCTTCTCTGAACTGATTTTAGCATTTCTCTTTACTCACTTAACTCAGTTGTAGTTATGGAAAATTGAAGAGTCTGTTTAAGAATAGTGTTGACAAATAGCTAAATTGTGGGTAACCTTTATTTGTAAGACATATATGTCCAACTGAATTAGCAAATTAACTACATTTTATGAGAATTAAATATATATGAATCCTTGGCTACTGCAATCAATTGCTGCAAAAAGGTTATGGGCCATAAAAAATACTGCTTCTCTATTGATGCCCTAATTCTTTCTCTTCATCATTAATATTTAATTAAAAATATTTTTCTTCTAAAATCTACATAAAACATTCAACCAACCTTTATTTTGCTGTTATTGTTTGACGAATGGTTTCCAACATCCTTAGCTTAATCCCCTTTAATCTAGACCACTCAAAATCAATATAGTTTTTTTTTTTTTTAGCAAAACTAACTAGCTGCTGATAACCTTGTGAACCTGGTGAAGCATGTTTTTCAATGACTTATTTCCTCTTTTGAAGCTATTTCCTCATTTTTCTGATTTCTAGAGCCATAATGTTCTATTTTACCTGTAACAAAAGCTGCTGTAACAAAATATCTCCATACTAAATCATTCTACATATAAGGCCATCATATGTATGAATTAACTGTGTTTCAAGCAGGAAGAGAAATCAGCAATATACAGTTCTAATAATGAAATTTCAGAAATAGGGGACTGGTAAATGAGATATTTTGGGGGTAGAAGTGCTACCTGAATCTTAGTATGTGGGTGGTATTGTGCTCATTTTGTGGAAAGAGTATGTTTTAATGAGAAAAATAGTGTAGTCTAGAGTGTGAAGTCATTATGTTTATATATTTGCATTATTTGCAAACTATTTAAAGAAAATTTTGGTAGAATGATTTATTTTCCTCTGGTTATATACCCAGTAATGGGATTGCTTGGTGGAATTGTAATTCTGCTTTTAACTCTTTGAGAAATTACCATACTGCTTTCCATAATGGTTGAACTAATTTATACTCCCACCAACAGTGTATAAGTGTTCCCTTTTCTCTGTAATCTCACCAGTATCTGTGTTTGTTTGTTTGTTTTTGACTTCTTAATAATAGCCATTCTGACTAGTGTGAGATGGTATATTATTGTAGTTTTGATTTGCATTTCTCTAATAATCAGTCATATTGTGCTTTTTTCATATGCTTGTTGATTGTGTTAACACGCACGTGAATGTTCACTGCAACATTATTCACAATAGCAGGGACATGGAATCAACCTAAATGCCCATCAATGACAAATTGGATAAAGAAAATGTGGTACATATACACAATGGGATACTATGCAGCCATAAAAAGGAACAAGATCATGTCTTTTGCAGGAACATGGATTGAGCTAGAGGCTATTACTCTTTTTCTTGAGACAGGTTTTCGCTCTGTTGCTCAGGCTACAGTGCAGTGTGGTGGCTGTTATTATTGGCAAACTAACAGAGGAACAGAAAACCGAATACTGCATGTTCTCACTTATAAGTGGGAGCTACATGATGAGAACTCATGAACACAAAGAAGAGAACAACAGACACTGGGGTCTACTTGAGGGAAGAGTCTGGGAGGAGGGAGAGGATCAGGAAAAATAACTATTGGGTACTGGGTTTAATACCTGGATGATGAAATCATCTGTACAACAAACCCCCGTGCATGAGTTCACCCGTGTAACAAACCTTCACATTTACCCCTGAACCTAAAACAAAATTTTAAAAAATAAAGAGAATTTTGACCTCACATTTAAAGGCAACATCTACAGAATGATCATAAGGGAGAATTATTTCTATTAGGCTGTGGGAGCAGTCAAGTAAAAATATTCAGTCATTTTGTTTGAATTACATGAAACTATATCAATCAGCTCTTTATTACATATGGCCTTTATATTTATAGATGGTACTAACAATCATGCTATTGTTAAGTTGCTTAAAAAACATGGAGGCCAAGAAAAAGTTGTCTCTTTTTAAGTGAAGAATACAGAAAAATTGAATCAATTAACAAAGATACCTATAGAGAATAGCTATTAAAATTTCAACTATGATTTGAGGAAATTGTGGCTAAATGATAATTACACGTATTTATTTTAAGAAACAAAATTAGAGTAATTTATATCATAATAAGGCTTTTATAATGCTTAACTGGGAAAATTTTTATTAATACTTCCAATATTCAGGTCATATTCTTAAAGGAATTTTTAAATGACTTCAACTTTGGTAATGCATCTCTAAATCTTCTTAGAACACACTGAAGATGGTTGACATCTGCTTCATGTTGGAGTATAGAAATGTCACTGCTTCTATGTTTGTTAATACAGCAACATCAAAATTTAAACATGAACCCTATACATTTGGTGTGACATTTCAACCATCCCTATTGGGAAAGTTAACTGTGCCTTCTGCTGCTATACTATGCATTCTGGAGAAAAAAAAAAAAACCCAAGCAATTTTGAGAAGTAATAATCAGTCACTATAGAACTGAGAAGTTTAAGAAAAAAGCTGTATAATCAGAAAAAAATATATATATTTTATTTCTCAACATTATACCTTGCCTTTTTGCTTTCTATAGACCTAGAGAAGAATAATCAGAAATTGTGTCCCCATGCATGGCACTCTGTACAGACTTGGGAACTTCGTTGCTGGGAACTATCTGTACTTTTCTCAAAAGTGTCCAAATGGGGTTGGGGAAATTAGATTAAGTTAGTTATATTATCTAAGAATTAGCATTAGTATCTCAATACCATCATCTAAATTGCTTTTCCCTCACCTTTATCAGCATCTTTTATTTTATTTTTTTAAATAATTTCACTTTGTATTTTAGATTAAGGGGGTACATGTGCAGGTTTGTCACACAGTGACATCAGTAGCTCTTAGAATATTGGATCTATTTCTTGGTAGTGTAAACCTACCACCATATCAAATTATCCATTTTTATTTAAAGAACAATAAAATGTAGGCCACTTCTAAGGTGAAGTGTAATAAAATAAAACTGAACAATTGTCTTGTGTTTTCTAAACCATAATTTACAAATTAAAAAATATTCTAATATTTTCTTCTTATTTTGTTTTTCCATTCTAGCTTATAAAAATGAGAAAACAAGTTGGAGAAAATAATAAATGGTAATAATAATAGTGATAAAGATGATAATAAGTTGGGCTATGCTTTTAGAGAATTTAAAATTTTTTGTGGTGTATTAGGAATGAGTAATAAGAACAATTTACTACTCCTGGTCAAAAGAACAAATGATCTTGAAAAGACTATCACTATAATTAGAAGTGCAAAACTTAGCCAGTGAGTAATGTTAATCACAAAATATCTTAAAATGATTGGATATATTTGATCACATTTTTCCCCTTTTCAATGCCTTTCCTTAAGTATTTTAGCTGAGTTGTACGTGTGTATGTATGTATGTAAGTTTGTGTGTCTGTGTATGTTGACTACAGGATTGAGTGTCTAAATGGAAATCCTCTCAGTTTTAGTGTTGCAAGTCAGAGTCATCAGGCCACCTTGGCCAGGCACTAGCTCCCAGACAACATTTCTAGACACACTCGGGACCAGAAGGGAACCTGCTGCCTTGAAGGGAATGATGAAGTCCTGGAAGGATCCATCACCTGTTGACTAACAAGCCTTTGGGCCTTGAATAACCAGCATCAATACTTATGTAGTATGCTGTGGGCCTTGGGTGAGATTCTGAGACTTGCTGGCTTCAGGTGAGATTCAGCACATTCCCAGATTTGGTAGCTATGGGGAGAAACACCTTCCGCTTCAGGAAAGTAGAGGGAAAAAGAAAGGGGACTTTGTCTTGCACCTTAGACACCAGCATGGCCACAGTGGGTAGAGTACCAAGCAAGCTTTTGGAGTTGTAAGGATGTGGATAGAAGGGAATCCTCATATAGTGTTGGTGGAAATGTAAATTAGTATAATCACTATGAAGGTTCCTCAAAAAACTAAAATAGAGCTACCATATGATCCAGCAATCCCACTGCTAGGTATATGTCCAAAAAAGAGGAAATTGGGATATCATAAAGATATCTCCACTCCCATGTTTATTGCAGCACTATTCACACTATTCAATATACACAATGGAGTACTAGTCAGCCTTAAAAAAGAATAAGATCCAGTCACTTGCAACAACATGGGTGTAACTGGAGGCCATTATATTAAGTGAAATAAGCCAGGCACAGAAAGACAATCTGCATGTTCTCACTTATTTGTGGGAGCTAAAAATTAAAACAATTGAGCTCATGGAAATAGAGAGTAAAAGGATAGTTACCAGAGGCTGGGAAGGGTAGTAGAGGTTGTAGGGTGGTAGTCAGGATGGTTAATGATTCAAAAAATAGTTAGAATGAATGGATAAGATCTAATATACACTAGCACAATAGGGTGACTACAGTAAAAAATAATTTAATTGTACATTTTAAAACTTAAAAAGTATAATTGAATTGTTTGTAACACAAAGGATAAATGCTTGAGGCCATGGATACCCAATTTACCCTGATGTGATTATTATGCATTGCGTGTCTATATCAAAATATCTGAACCCATAAATATATATACCTACTATGTACCCACAAAAATTAAAAATTAAAAAAGGCATGGTTACAGTGCAGATTTCTGACACCCTGGCTGGTGCTCACACACACAATCAAAGGAATCAAGCCCTCCTCTAGGCGCAAGCTCTTGTGTGGCCCTTGTGTTAAATACAGGACAGAACATAGCATGGCAGGTTCCAAACCCTGGACTCAGGCTTCCCCACCAATTTCCAGTCCTGCTACCTAACATCTCTGTGCCTTAGTCTCCTCTGACTATAGAACTGGGATAATTATAGTACTTACTTTGGAAGCTTGCTGTGAGAAATATATGAATAAATGCATGTGAATATATGTATTTAAAATAATGGGGAAAACATAAGCATGCAACACTTATTTTATTGATTTCAGATTGCTTATAATGTACATTTACATAAAATAGTACTATGTTAACATAGCACTTTAAAGGAGGAGTTCAAAATTTAAGTCCCATGGACCAGCTCAAAGATAGTGTTCCAGTGGACTGTGAACATACTGTGCTCATGAGCAAAAAATTCACATCATTGGTAATATGTTGGTGTCTCTAAGGAAAACACCTGTGGTCATTATTATATTCGCAAAAGAGTCTGTGACACTGCCTGTATTAGTTCATTCTCACAGTGCTTTAAAGAACTGCCTGAGGCTGGGTAATTTATAAAGAAAGATTTAATTGACACACAGTTCCATATTGCTAGGAAGGGCTCAGGAAACTTACAAGCATGGCAGAAGGCAAAGCAGGCACCTTCTCACAAGGCGGCAGGAGAGAGAAGAGAGCAAAAAAGGAAAAACTTCCGCTTATAAAGCTGTAAGATCTCATGAGAACTCACTATCACAAGAACAGCATGGGAGAAACTGCTGCCATAATCCAATCACTTATATGCCTTGACACATGGAGTTTATAGGTCTCTTCCTCACCACATGGGAATTACAATTTGAGATGTAATTTGAGTGGGGACACAGAGCCAAACCATATCACTGCCCCTGAAAATAATATTACCTTTGGCCCCAGAGTTCTCAAAACAACTTTGCCCTGATATTGAAAATAACACTGTGTAAACAAAAAATTATAATTATTCTTATTTACACAGAGGAGATTGGAGTCTCAGGGACATTAAGTAATTGGTCAATCATACAAGTAATAATTTAAAAAATCAAGCTGAGATCCCAGGAAATACAACATCTAATACAATAATCTTTTATATAAGATTAAGAATGATGAAATTAGTTTTAAATTCACTGTCTATACCTTTTTAAAATATAACCATAGATTCAATTTTTTTTGCTAATTAAAAATAAATAATAACTTTTCTGTTCAGAGTAAGTCACTCCAATTGTCAAATAGACCTTTGGCCTAATACTATGGACCAATGTCCCTTCAGTGTTATATTTTGCATTCTGGCAAATGAAAACAATGAGGTATGAAGACTGTGAATACTGAATTTAGTGGTGGGTCAGAGGATGAGGGGAACTTATTTGCAAAGCAGAAGGCTGGAAAAAACAGTATTTCAGGTCTTTGCCCTCAATGATAAAGGAAGGTTATTTGATAAGCAAAGTCAAAGGGCATTCTTTCCTTTCACATAAAATGAAATACAATGCTGATACATTCAAACAAAAGATTACACAAACCGAAAATAAGCTTTGTTTGTTTTCGTCTTTTGATTTGGTTTGACTTTTTCCCCCTAACTGAACATCAGGCAGAACTAATAAATTAGGAAGTAACCTTTGTCACTGAGGAAAGTTAGTATATCTTCTGAATGTCATAGAGTTAGAGGAACTACATGGGATTTTAAGAAGGAAATAATTTTTTGTTAATAGTAAGTTAGCTTTGACAATATTCAAATCAAAGAAATGAGAATTGCATAATGGATTGAAATAGCTGATCTATTAAAAATCTTAATGCCATTTTTTATCAGGTCTTTTATTAGGTCAGGGCAAAATTATGGTAATAATACTACTTCTCAAGCCTCCTATAAAAAGATTTTGACATGTTTTAATACATCCTTTCTGGTATGGAAAATAAACTCCTTTATTGGAGTGAGCTTTAACTTCTTCAGGTCACAAAGATACATGAATCTGTCAGAATTTAACCAAAATAACTGAACAAGTAGGATCCCAGTCCATGGAACTTATATTTTGAACCCCTCCTTTAAAGTGCTGTATTAAATATATGTATATAAAGGGATTTATTGCAAGCAATTGGCATATGCAATTATGAGGGCTGGTGAGGCACGTCTGAAATCTGCAGGGCAGGCCATCAGGAAAGGCAGGCGGGAAATTTATTATTCTTGTAATCCTCAGTTTCATGCCTACCTAGATTATCTAGGATGACCTTCTTTACTTATCATCAGCAGATTATGGACTTTACCTCTACAAAATACCTTTACAGCAGAACCTACATTAATATTGGATTGATTGAATAACTAGGGACTTATATCCTAGTCAAGTTTATACATAAAACTGACCTTCATAGTGCACTGTTTATTAAGTTACTACTTGGTACAATAACTAGTGCTTAGACAAAGTTGATGCATTGTACCCCCAAGTAGATATTATTTATTTCCATAATTATACTGTCTAGATTGTGCTAAACTAGGGGTCAGCAAACTTTTCCAGTAACTGTCAGGTAGTAAATATTTTAAGCTTGCTGACCATATAGTTTCTGTCAAAACAAAACTACATAAATGAATGAGTATGGTCGTGTTCTCCAAAACTTTATCTAGAGAAACAGGTAGTCTTCCTTTAGGCCACAGTTTGTTGACTCCTTCTTTAAACCAGCATTTAAATTCTCAATATCATCATGCAATTATGGGACATTTTCTGAACACTTGTGTACAGGATGTGTAGTGATAAAAGATAAACTTCAGCTGAATTAAATTTAAAGGAGTTTAATTGAGCAATGAACGATTCGTGAATCGGGCAGCCCCCAGAATCACAGCAGATTCAGAGAGACTCAAGTGCACCCATGTGGTGGAAGAAGATTTATAGACAAAAAAAGGGAAATGACATACAGAAATTGGCAGTGAGCCACAGAAACAGCTGGGTTGGTTACAGGTTGGCATTTGCCTTATTTGAACACAGTTTGTACACTTAGCAGTCTATGAGTAGTTGAAGTATGGCCACGGGGATTGGCTAAGACTCAGTTATTGTTACAGGCGCATACTCCTAAGTTAGGTTTTCAATTTTGTCTGACTATTAAGCTAGGTTACAGTTCATCCACAAGGACTCAAATATAGAAGTACAGAGTCCTTCTCAGGCCATTATTTAGTTTTGCTTTAACAGTGTGAGATCCTGTGTTAGAGCCTGGATGAGTTGGAAGTAAGATTAACATCTTAATATCTAGTGGGAAGAATGAATATATAGATACTGGAATACAAATACAAAGGTAGGAAAATATTTATATAATAAGGTTCTATTTAAAGTTCTCTGATAAGGCAGATAAGGCTGTCCTTAAATGCACCTGCAGCAACCAAGTAGGATTTCCCCAAATAGTTCATATATGAGTTGGCCCTCTAAGAATTCTCCAAATATTGTAGGGTGATATAATCTTTTCCTTTTTTACTTTTATCTTAGGTTCAGTGGTACATGTGCAGGTTGCAAGTTTGTAATAAGGTAAACACATGTCACAGGGGTCTGTTATACAGATTATTTCATTACCCAGGTATTAAACCAGTACCCATTAGTTATTTTTCCTGATCCTCTCCATCCTCCCAATCCCCACGCTCCAATAGTCTGTTTTTTCCCTTCTACATGTCCATGCATTCTGACTATTTAGTTCCCACTTGTAAGTGAGAACATAAGAGTATTTGGTTTTCTATTCCTGTATTAGTTTGCTAAGGATTATGGCCTCCAGGTTCATTCATGTACCTGCAAAAGACATGATATCATTCTTTTTATGACTGCATAGTACTTGGCTGCATATACTTTTATGGCTGCGTATACTCAGCAATGGGATATTCAAATGTTAGTTCTGTTTTTAGGCATTTGAGGAATTGCCACACTGTTTTCCAGAATGGTTGAACTAATTTACACTCCCACCAACAGTGTATAAGCGTTCTTTTTTCTCCACAACCTCACCAGCTAACTGGTGTGAGATGGTATCTCATTGTGGTTTTGATTTGCCTTTCCCTAATGATCAATGATGTTGAGTTTTTTTTCATATAATTGTTGGCCTCATGTATGTCTTCTTTTGAAGAGTGTTCATGTGCTTTGCCCATTTTTAATGTGTTTCTTTCTTTCTTGTAAATTTGTTTAACTTCTTTATAGAAGCTGAATATGAGACCTTAGTCTTTAATCCATCCTGTGTTAATTTTTGTATATGGTGTAAGGAAGAGGTTCAGTTTCAATCTTCTGCATATGGCTAGCCAGTTATCCCAACACAATTTATTGAATAGGGAGTTCTTTCCTCATTGCTTGTTTTTGTCAGCTTTCTTGAAGATCAGAGGGTTGTAAGTGTATGGCCTTATTTCTGGGCTCTCTTTTCTGTTTCATTTGTCTATGGGTTTGTTTTTGCACGAGTACCATGCTGGTTTGGTTACTGTAGCCCTGTAGTATAGTTTGAAGTTGGGCAATATAATGCCTCCAGCCTTGTTTTGGTTTTGCTTAGGATTTCCTTGACTATTTGGGCTGTTTTTTGGTTCCCTATGAATTTTAAAATAGTTTTTTTTTCTCATTATGAGAAGAATGTAATTGGTAGTTTAAGAAGAAGAGCATTAAATCTATAAATTGCTTTGGGAAGTGTGGCCATTTTCATGACACCGATTCTTCCTATACATGAGCATGGAATGCTTTTCCTTTTGTTTGTGTCATCTGTACTAGATAATTGAGGCAGAAAATTAACAAGGATATTCAGAACCTGTATCAAATGGACCTGATAGACATCTACAGAACTTACCACCTAAAACAACAGAATATATATTCTGCTTATGGCCACATGGCACATACTCTAAAATAGACCACATAATCAGATATAAAATACTCCTCAGCAAATACAAAATAATAAAATCGTAACAGTCTTTTTGACCACAGCACTATCAAATTAGAAATCAAGAATGAGAAATTCACTCAAAACCATGCAATATTATGGGAATTAAATAAACTGCTCCTGAGTGACTTTTGGTTAAATAATGAAATTAAGGCAGAAATCAAGAAGTTCTTTGAAATGAGTGAGAACAAAGATACAACATATCAGAATCTCTGGGATACAGCTAAGGCAGTGTTAAGAGGGAAATTTATAGCACTAAATGTCCATATCATAAAGTTAGAAAGATCACAATTTGACAACCTAACATCACAACCAAAAGAACTAAAAAACCAAGAGAAAACCAACCCCAAAGCTATCAGAAGTCAAGAAATAACCGCAATCAGAGCTGAACTGAAGGAAATTGAGACATGCAAAAGCATTCAAACCATCAATGAATCCAGGAGTTGGTTTTTTGAAAAAATTAATGTAATAGTTAAACCACTGGCTAAACTAACAAGAGAGAACATCCAAATAAACAATCAGAAATGACAATGGAGATATTACAATAGACACCACAGAAATACAAATAACCAGCAGAGAATGGTATGAACACCTCTATGCACCTAAACTAGAAAATTTAGAAGAAATGAATACATTCCTAGACACATACACACTCCCAAGACTGAGCCACAAAGAAATTGAATCCCTGAACAGACCAATAATGAGCTCTGAAATTGAATCAGTAATAAATAGCCTACCAACCAAAAGAAGTCCAGGACCAGAAGAATTTACAGCCAAATTCTACCAGATGTACAAAGAAGAGCTGGTAGCATTCTGACTAAAACTATTCCAAAAAATTGAGGAGAAGGGACTTCTCCCCAACTCATTTTATGAGGCCAGCATCATCCTGATACCAAAACCTGGCAGAGACGCAATGACAACAAAAAACTTCAGGCCTTATCCTTGATGAACATCGATGCAAAAATCCTCCACAAAATACTGGCAAACAAAATCCAGCAGTATATCAAGTAGATCTTGAGAAATCCACCACGAACAAGTAGGCTTTATTCCTGAGATGCAAATTTGGTTCAACATGCACAAATCAATAAATGTGATTCATCACATAAACAGAACTAAAGACAAAAACCACATGATTTTCTCAATAGATGCAGAAAAGACTTTTGAAAAAATTCAACATCTCTTCATGTTAAAAACTCTCAACAAACTAGGTATTGAAGGAACATACCTCAAAATCAGAGCCATCTATGACAAACCCACGGTCAACATCACACTGAATGGGCATAAGCTGAAAACATTCCCCTTGAAAACTAGCACAAGACAAGGATGCCCTCTCTCACCATTCCTATTCAAAATAGTATTGGAAGTCCTGGCCAGATCAATCCGGCAAGATAAAAAAAAAAAAAGGACATCCAAATAAGAAGAGAGGAAATCAAACTATCCCCTGTTTGCAAATGATATGATCTTATATCTAGAAAACCCCGTAGTCTTGGTCCCAAAGCTTCTTAAGCTGATAAACAACTTCAGCAAGTCTCAAGATACAAAATCAACGTACAAAAATCACCAGCTTTCATATGTACCAACAACAGTCAAGTCAAGAGCCAAATCAGGAATGCAATCCCATTCACAATTGCCACGAAAAGAACAAAATACTTAGGAATACAGCTGACCAGGGAGGTGAAAGATCCGTACAAGGAAAACAACAAAACACCAGATCATGCACTTTGAGGACCAGTTTCAGGAGTGAGTATGGCTGTTTTAAGAATAATCCATCTGCCTTGCTATGGGTATAGAAAAATAAAAAATTAAAAAGAATGCTGTCTTATCTATGAGTAGGGATAATAAAAATATACCCTTAGTGTGCAAAGATTTCCGTTGCAGATAGTTCCTATTACACCTAAAGCCTCAAGCCAAAGTTATTAAAATGTTTGTCAGTTGTATTAGTCCGTTCTCACACTGCTATAAGAAAATACTCAACACTGGGTAATTTATAAAGGAAAGAGGCTTAATTGACTCAAAGTTCCACATTGCTGGGGAGGCCTCAGGACACTTACAATCATGGCCGAAGTCAAAGGAGAAGCAGGTACCTTCTTCACAGGGCAGCAGGATGGAGTGAGTGCAAGCAGGGGAAATGCCAGATGCTTATAAAACCATCAGATATTGTGAGAACTCACCAACTATCACGAGAACAGCATGGGAGAAATCACCCCCATGATTCAATTATCTCCACCTGGTCCTGCACTTGACACATGGGGATTATAGGGATTACAATTCAAGATGAGATTTGGGTGGGGACACAAAGCCTAACCATATCATCAGCATAAGGAAGAAATGAGTGCTATGTACTAGATACAAAATTGGGAAGTGAAGTTAAAAACAGTTAAAATATCTGTGGAAATTAAATAATTTAGTTAAATTAGGATGAAGCTTAAGCAGGAGTGAGCGAGATTGTACTATGTCTCTATTTGGTATTTAAATGTTTCTACTATAATTCTGAAATGTAAATTTTGTTTTAAAGCCAGTCTCTCACGTAAAGCAATCCAATGGGAATACATTTACAGATAAAACTTGTTTTTATTTTGTAGAAGTACACCATGGTTCTTTTCTTTTTTTGACTACAAGGAATGAGTGTCTACCCAAGAAAAATAAATTATGCTGCTGGAAACTACATGTAACAAATGATTTATTTAAGGTATACTTTAAAAGCGTACATAAAATGCTAAGAAGGCAAATAGCTATAAAAAATGGCTTAGCCCCTTCTCACAAGAAATTCTGCATCTTGTAAATTTAGTGTACCTGCTGGTGTCTGTTTGGAGTTTATATTTAGCTTTTCAAGGACCAAAAAAGATGCTTTTGCTCTCCTAACATTGGTAATTATCTCTAATTATAGGAAGCATTCTCTATGTGTATGTCAAACAGCCCATGTTTTTTATTTCTGTTGGTTGCATATGTTAACTGGTGCTGTGCTTCCAAGCATCTGTTGGATTTAGATCATTAGCATCTCTACCAATATAGCAGTCAATGAGACCATAAGACTGTCTGCCTGCTGATAACCATGAGAAGATAAAAAAAAAAAACCCACAAACTCATTTCTTTTTCATTTCCAGATAGACTCCTATCAGTGAAACAGCTCAATATTCAGTCAGAGAATATGCACTGTTACAAAGTAAAATACGCAAAGTCAAGTTCAGGATGAATTTCTACAGAGTCTGAATGTGTTTTCTCAAGATCTGCTACTCTAAAAACTACAAAAATGTTATTTGGGTTTGTTTTCATTCAGTAGATGCATATTTCTTGTCACATCCAAATTCAGGGAATATGAATGTTTCCTCATTTCAGAATGGCCAGGGTTTTTCAGGGCAGAAAAAAAGAGAGATTCTAGAACTTAATAGGAAATAACTGAGAGGCATAAAAGTAGATATCAGGAATTTAGCAGGACATCCCATGATGGATTTCATAATTGAGGGTCAGTTCACATAAACTCAAAAGTAAGGCTGCATCAACTTACCTCTCCCATGGTTTCTCCATGTTGGTCCTGGGCCTAAACTTTCCCTGTATTCCAAGATTTATAAGACCGTTCACTCTGACTGGGTATTGTTGATATAACTCAAAACAGAACAGAAAAGTGTTAAAGCACCAACACTTTTTCAGGCTTAAGCATTCAAATTTAAAATATATATAATATATTCCATGAAAAATAAATGAACAATTGAGGTACAATTGTGATAAGCTGTCTTCTAACCAGTTGACCTGTGAGTTGGAATTATTGCATTAAAGACCTGTGAATTGGAGTTATTGCATTAAAGACTTCGTTTATTCACTCCTCCTTCTGTCCATACCCATACTCCGTAGTGCTCTTCAACTGTGACATTAGGCTTGATCATGTGGTTTGCACTGATTGCAAGAATGTTAGCAAATATGATGCAAGAAGATGTTCAAGAAACATCTGTATTCTTCTGCTTGCTGTGTTTGTCTTCTGTCATCACTGTGAGAAAGTTCTGCTTGGGCCAGCTTGCTGCAGGATGCGACATATGGAACAAAACTGAGATTTCTCCCCAATTATTCCAGCTGAGGCTATCCTAAGATGAGTCAACAGCCAGCCAATCTCTAAAAATGCCTGGTGATCCTAATCAAGAGCTACCTAGCTAACTCACAGCTTACCACAGACAGATGAACAAGTTCAGTCAAAATTGGTTGAGTACAGTCCAGATCAATTTATCTCTGCAGACATCAGCTAAACTAATGATAATTTTTGCTTGATACTAAAATGTTTGGTTGTATGTTATGCAATATTATTGTGGCAATAGATAGACTTTCGTGGAAATAATGGGAATCATGTTCAGAAGACTTCTTGCATCCTGGAATCTCCATCTGTAATCAAGGTGACTAGTCTTTACAGAGACTTTGTACAATTACTTTAAAAATGTGTAGACCTGGCTGGGTCAATATCATACTGGCATCTTTACTCCTGCCTGCTCACACATCCCTGGAAAGTGATTTATACATGTCACAAGTGGCATCCATACTCTGCACTCACCCACCCCAGTTAAGATGGTTATGTCAAATTCCCAGATAGGAGGTGGTAGGCATTATGTCTTCAACAGATACTGGCAGGCAAGAGAAGTCATGCCAGGGAATATCCAGAGCAGGGTCTGGATAGAATGTAGCCCTCTGTAAATGTGTATGTTAGTTGGTGACTCTGTTTTTGTGCTTTCTTCAGTGTGTATAGTACCCTGTGGAGATGAGAGTTTAAATAGAAGTAGGATCTCTCTGCCGCTCCAGGTAGGAAACTATGGGACTCCACGCACCCATTCTCATTTAACTTAATTAAGTCTGCAATGTGAATTGTGCCCTGTAAATGTAGAAGCCCTGTGCAATGCACAAATGGAGAGACTGTTGTATAGCAGGCTACCTGTGAAACCTGTGATTATAATTGGTAAGGTTTTGCTCTATAAAAGGTGCTTATTTTTTCTGTTCGTTATACTGCAGAAATTTTTTGACCTTCTATTGTGCCTGGGAGTGCAAAGATAAACAAGGTACTGTCTCTGCCCTCAAGGATTTCAAAGCCTAATCAAGAGACAATGCAAAACACATTTTTGTATAGTGTTACGGTGGTCTTTTTAAATAATAATCCAAGTACTACAGAGAAACAGAGCAATCAGTTGTTTGGTATGGGGATACAGGTGGAGTTCATGGAAGGATTCACAGTATACAATTTTTTTAAATGAGTAGATTAAGTAGAAGTTATTTAAGAAGACAAAAGAAAGGAGGGGAAAAATACTTCCTAGGGATAGGGAACAGCAAGATTATTTAAATAACTGCACAGAGACATAATAAAGATCACTAAATTCAATGGTGACATGAGCCAGGGCTTCAAAAGAGATGAAGAAGGGATAGGAAGTTAAGAGCACATAAAGGATTATAGGAGACATGAAAAGGAGTTTGACTTTATCCTGTAAGCCATGGATAAATATATAAAACAGTGAAGTACCATGACCAGATTTGAATGTTAGAAATGTCACTCAAGTAGTAGTAGAGAATGGGATTGCGGGAGAGAAAGACTATGCTAATAGTTTAGATAAGTGCTACCCATATGGTAGCCACTAGTTGTGTGTGGCTACTTTGTACTTAAACATGGTAGTCAGAATTCACATATGCTATCAGTGGAAAATACCCACTGGGTACCAACAAAAAAATAATGTAAAGTGTCTCATTAATAATATTCAATACTAAGTATATTATAAAAATAATATCATTTTTGATATATTTGGTTAAACAAAATACACTAGTAAAAGTAACTTTGCATGTTTTCTTTTAATTTGTTCAATGTGGCTACCAGAAATTTTAAAATTATCAATGTGGCTCACATAATATTGCAATAGGTAACTAAGTGTTACATAAGTGATGGCCTACATTATAACTATGGCATAAAGATAGAGAGAAGGTTTGACAACTACTAAAGGAGTGGAGACCGACAAGGATTTATGTAACATTGAGATAGATGGAGACGTCTAGAATTGCTCTGAGACTTCTGACTTGATTTACAAGGGACAATGAGTTGTCGAACAAGTGAGTTCAGTCAGCAGGATATAGAACTCAAAAAGGAGAGTAGAAGCTAAAGAAATGAATTTAGTGGTGAATATGTTGAGTATAGGATTTGGATTTCTAACAGGTGGAGGTGGCAAATAAACAATCTACACATTTCTAACATTTAGAACAAAGATTGTGTCTAGAAATACTTAGGTTATTAGCCTATGGAAGAGAAAGTAAATCATAAGCATGGATGATATTGCCTCAGAAAAGAAGCATGGAGAGAAAGAGACGCAAACCATGAGATCTGGAGAACATAAGAACTTAAAGGGAACAGAGAGGTAGAGGAACCCCTTTAACTAAGTCAGAAATATTAGGTGACTTTGAAGATGGTGGTTGATGACATTAGTGGGAGAATATGTCAAGAATAAAGGAAACTGAGCATTTTCTTATGGTAAAAGATACATCATGTAAAAGTAAGACATGGATGGTCTTTGGATTTGAAAATTAGCACTCCACTGTTGACCTTATTCTGATTCTGAGGATTTGTATCAACATTAAAATTTTTTTAAATTCAGCATTAGTTGTAGCTTTCACCTTCTGTCAACTTCAATCAGTTTGTCTTCCTCTCAATTGCTATGATTGTAGCAAGAATTTCAAAATGTAGTTTCTAATAACAAATCTATGACTTGATCCTGAGGTAAAGTATGCAACAATTCCACATTATTTTATTCTTGTGACTCACCAAACAGTTTGGTTATTTCTTTAATTTATATAAATTATCTATAATATCCAATGTCCTTTTATGTTCAGATTTGAATTGTTGCTGGCTGTCCTTTTTCCAGGACTGTCCTCTCTAGCTATCACAATAGCCTTATTTTTTCCCAGGCAGTTGCCTTAGATTGGGTTAATTCAGAAACAGTCCTTGAGATGAGGATTTGTGTCCAAATAATTTATTAAGAATGAGTTCTGAGAGGCAAACAGTAAGTGAGAAGGGAAAGCAGGACAAGGAACAGGAGGAAGCAAAGCAAGAGTACAATCTCAGGTGACATCCTACAGAGGCCTCCTTCAGCCTTATTCCATGGGAGGATTCTGGTATGTAAGTTATACCTCAGTGTTCCTCTGACCACTGGATGCCCCAGGAGAATGTGAAGTACCAGGCATTTCTGGTTTGTGAGGGTCAAGTGGCTCCAAGAGACTAGGGGATGTCTTCTCACAAAGAACCACAGTTGCTAACTGGTGGAAGTGAAAGCACACAGAAGAAGGAGGCACAAGAATGGACAAAGGGATCCAATAGGTCTAGGTCAAACACCAACCATACCCTCCCTAGGTAACACAATAGCCTTATATTTTTCTGGGAAGGTGCCTTAGAGTTACCTTAGAAGGGTTTCATCTTACTTATATTTATATCTCTAGCACACAGCCTAGATTCCATCCTAAAAACCCCTAAGAGCCACAATGTTAATGCTGCTCCTGGTAGAGGTAACCCAGAAACTCTACTTTGCCACTCTATCATTCAACCTTAGCTGTGTTTTTGTTTGTTTGTTTGTTTGTTTCCATCTGCTGTTGCTAAGGCTCTGATTCTTTCTCTGTGGAACCCACATATGGCCACCATCCTTCCACCACCTGTCAAAGTATTCTTTGACCATCCTTTAAGAATATAAGTCTCTACTGGCCATGTGGATCATTGTACCTCCTGAATTCTACTCTAGACCTGGAAGCTGTCTTCAGCACCATCAAAGCCACTGACACCAATAGCTGTTTTTCATGAAATCTAGCTATCCCTTTAGCCAGGTGAAAATTGATCCACTCCAGTTAAATTTATGGGGCTTTTGTAGTTATTTCTGAGTGCCTACTGTGTGCCTGAAAGATTGTTGCATTTTGAAGATGAATAAAATAGTCTTTATCTTCAAGTTTGCAGTCTACTGTCAAATTTATACATTTGAATATGCGATTAAAGAATTATGTAATAACAGTCTTTGTGAGCAGTGTGGCTTGAGAATGTGGAAAAGTGAGAAACTAACTTTGCCTGATAAATGTGGAAGGTCTTAGAGTGGATTAGTAATTTCACTATAGCTTGAAGATAAGTGAGTTGGAAAAAGCATTTGCAAGAAATGAGAGTTTGTGCAAAGGTACAAAGGCAAGAAAGAGAAAGGGGTTGTAGAACACTAAAACCAGTTTATTATGGCTAGAGGAGTGTTAGGACATAATTATAATAGATCGCCTCCAAGGCATCTCTTCATCTTAAAACTCTAAAGTATAGGCTGCTTATTATTTCTTCACAGTCCGTAACACTCTCTCTTCTCAGTGTCACTTCCCCACCATTATTATTCCATCCTCTCAGAACAAATCCTGTTCCTTGTTGATACCTACTAGCCACCTCACCATCCTCTCACATGAAGGCTTTGATCCTGAATCACAGCCTCCCTTTTGTCCCCTAAGTCTGTGATTATTCTCAGAAAGTTTAAGGACTTTGTGCTTATCCACAGCACACTGGCCTCTCAGCTATTGACTAATGTCAAGGATCTTACTTCCTATAAACCCTAATACAAAAAGAGCTTTTGTTTTTAATTTTAAGAATAATAATTCCCCAAATTGTGAAAATCCTACTTCTCATGTTGTAGCAAGCATATCAGTCTATTTTCCTTCATTCCCCTTAGCTCCTCTCAGAAAACGTATTTCAGCCTAAAGTGTCTTAAATTTTGGCATCAGGTCATATGACCCTACCCTTACTGACCATAACTTTTTCTTTTTTCAAATGAAACGGAACTGACTCAAGCCAAGCAATCCATTGACAGCCAGCAGGCAATCAGAATACCTGTCCAGATTCTGAATTAAGGGGGTAATCACTGTATCTGGAAGACATTGAGCACTGGAACTGAGATATCTGGTAAAGTAAGATCCAGAATCAGTACTATGGCAAGCCAAAAACTTTGTGCATGCCAAAATTATGAAAGAACAAACATCAAAACTTTTCCAACATGGGTGGCCTTCGGAGAGGACAATGGAACAGATGTCATAAAGACACACAGAGAGAAAACTCTTTGGTAATAAAGTGGAAGAGAAAATTTGAGAGAATACATCTTTGATAACTTCCTATTCTTCAGGAGGCTCAGTAATATATTCTGCAATTGAGTTCTGTGAGGTTCTTCAATATTTTATAATAAATTCTTTGTTCACTTGAACTCAGTGGACTTCTGCTTTTTCCTCAAAATAATGTCTAATTAATAAAGACACTATTTCTGTTTCCATCACTATGCTCAGGTTTGTGAGACACATGTATAACTGATTGAGAAGCTTCATCAGACCCATTTATGCTAGATGAAAAAAGCAATAAAAACTAATGATGGAATTTTAGCCATACAACTCCCAAATAAATTTATTTTTTCCTGTGAGTCCTAAAACTAGGAAGTGATATTTATCCTTTTGATCATTTAGAGAGTAAAATTATCCTACAAAAGTTTAACTATAAATAAATATTCTTCATATAATGTAATGACTATGTCTTATAAGTGCCTAATCTATGAGCGTGCTACATTATGGGTACCAATAATATAATTTTTAGGTTTATAATATGAAAATAATCTAATGAGTAAATATTTTTTCACTTTATTTGAAAATAAGAAATAATGTTTACATAGAAGTTTATCAAGTATTTGATTTAGTAGAATATGGGTCTGCAAGCCATGACCTATAGGCAAAATCTAGCTTGCCCCTTTTTTGCAAATAGTTTTATTGGAATACAGCCACATTCATTCTATCTATTGTCTATGCTGCTTTTGTGCTACAGTGGCAAAGTCGCATAATCACAACAAAGATCATATGGGCCACAAAGCCTAAAGTATTTGCTATCTAATCCCATACGGAAAAAAAACCCACAATGCTTACCCCTGCTATAGAAATAGAGGATACATAATTTATCAACTTAACAAAACAGCCTAAACATCAGATATTAAACTTATGTGAGACTTAAATTTCTATATCTATGCTGGGTTATACACTCACAAAATGTTCAAACTTCTTCTAGGTGATAACTGAAATAAACTTTTTTTTTTCTGCACAGAATTATGATAAACAGTGAAAGATGGGTAAGTTTGAATAGAAAACATCTGTAATAATAATAATAACAGATGGTATTTTATTATCTAGAATGAATAATTTTAACAAAACAAATCAGTTCAAAGAAATAAAATTCATTAGGGAAATTAGAAAGTAAGAAAATGAGATTGTATTTAAAAGTATAGATGGCTTCAAAGACATGGGGAAAATAGTAAAATAACAATTGTCTAAAATTAAAATAGAAATATCAATTGAATGGAAAGTAGGCTAGGGTACTAAGAAGGAGAGCAAAGATATTTCACAATTAAAAATGTATTTAAAAGTATAGATGGCTTCAAAGACATGGGAAAAATAGTAAAATAACAATTGTCTAAAATTAAAATAGAAATATCAATTGAATGGAAAGTAGGCTAGAGTACTAAAAAGGAGGGCAAAGATATTTCATAATTAAAATTAAGTCCAACTTGTTTAGGAATATAAAGTTGTAAAAGTGAAGAGGCAAACTAAAATATCAACTTTATGTTTCTAAAATCATGAATAGCATCAAAAAAGAAAACATCCATTGAAGAAAACATACATTAATAGCATGTTAAATAAAGCACACCATCATTATATTAATAAGCTGAAAGAACAGTTCTTCAGGCATGATACATTACAATGTTCTATTAATTGTTCTCTTTGCCTCCAAATTCACTCTCCTCCAACATATAGATGATATGTTTGTCATTGTTTTGCACATCACTCTTCCTCATCAAAATCTTCAATGACTCCCCGTTGAACCGTGGTATTTTAGAGCTAAAAGCATCATTAAGTCCATCAAGTCCACTAATCATATCTTACACATGACAGCAATGGGAAACATAAGGTGCAATAGATTGTCTATGTGGTATAACTGAACAATGGACATTAAAATCGAATCCTGAGCTCCCTAACAACCAGGTCAGTGTTTTTCTGCCACAGTGAGCTTTCTGCAACACAGCTCCCTTTGATCTTCACTTTCATTGATCTATTATTTGAAAACACTGCTCTAGATACACTAGTTTTCTAGGTTGCTAGTATAATAGCATGTTTGGCTGTAAGAGTCACACACTGTCTATATTTTTCTGCATTTTATCTTTCTTTCAAGATAAGACATGGTGAAGAACTGTGTACAATGTCTATTACATAGAAAGCACTAGTAAAGTTAACTATATTTAAAGACAAAATATAAAGCCCCATTCTTCCTCTATGAAGCTCTGTGATCTCCCTTCTTTCTAAGTTTCTTTAGAAAATGTGGCCTGATGTATTCATTTGACTTTTGGCACTTGCTCCCCTGTATTACATTTTATTTTTTTTCTCTAGTTATAAGTCTGGTGTTATCCAACTAGATTGTGATTCCTTAATGAAGAATATGATGTGTAACACTCTAAACATAACAATTGCTCAGTAAATGCTTATTGAACACAATACTGATTAAAAGTGTGCTTTTAAACTCCACAATAATCACTATATAGTTAGTTGTGATAGCATGATAATGAACTGCAAAATTTAAAAATTACTCAAAGAATAAAAATAGTGTTTAGCTACATGTAAAAAAACGTCTTGAGTATATTTGAGAGTAAACAAAACCATAAAAGGTAATCTGCTTATTCAATTGGAATATTGTTTTTATTTTTATTTATTTAATATATATATATATATTTTGAGACAAGGTCTCACTCTGTTGCCCAGGCTGGAGTGTAGTGGTGCGATCTTGGCTTGCTGCAACCTCCGCCTCCTGGATTCAAGCAAATCTCCTGCATCAGCCTCCTGGGTAGCTGGGGTTACAGGTGCATGCCACCACGCCCTGCTAATTTTTGTATTTTTAGTAGAGACAGGATTTCACCATGTTGGCCAGGCTGGTCTCAAACTCCTGACCTCAGGTGATCCGCCCACCTTGGCTTCCCAAGGTGCTGGGATTATAGGCGTGAGCCACCACATCTGGCAGATTATTATTTTTATTACAGGGATAACTAACAGACATTGTGATTCAATTCCAGACCACTGCAATAAAGTGAATACTACAATAAAGCAAGTCACATGAATTTGTTATATTTCTGGTGCATATAAAAGTTATGTCTACACTATGCTGTATTCTACTAAGTGTGCAATAGTATTATATATAAGTATATATAAATACCTGTAAGTACTGTATTGCTAAAAAATGCTAATGATTATTTGAGACTTCAGTGAATCATAATCTTCTTGCTGGTGGTGGATCTTGCCTCAATGTGAATGGCTGCTGACTGATCAGGGTGGTGGTTGCTGAAGGTTGGCGTGGCTGAGACAATTTCTTAAAATAAGACAGCAATTAAGTTTGCCACATCAAGTGACACTTCCTTTTAAGAAAGACCTCTCTTTAGCATGCAATACTATGTGATAGTATTTTATCCACAGTAGAACTTCATTCAAAGTGGAGTCAAAATCTGCCACTTCTTTATCAAATAAGATCATGTAATATTCTAAATTCTTTGTTTTAATTTTAACACTGTTCACAACATCTTCACTGGGAGTAGAATTCATCTCAAGAAACCACATTCTTTGCGAATCTATGAATAACAACTCCTCATGTATTTAAGTTTGATCATGAGATTCCATCAATTCAGTCAGATCTAACCTCACTCCTAATTCTAGTTCTCTTGCTGTTTCCACCACATATGTATGACCTCCTCCACTGAAGTCTTGAATCTCTTAAAGTCACCCATGAGGGTTGGAATCAACCTCTTCCAAATTCCTATTAATGTTGACATTTTTGACCTCCTCCCATGAATCATAACTGTTCTTAATGGCATCTAGAATGGTGAATCCTTTCCAGAAGGTTTTCAATTTGCTTTGCCCAGATCCATCAGTAGAATCACTATGTATGGCAGTTATGATCTTATGAAATTTATTTCTTAAATAACAAGACTTGAAAATAAAAATGACTCCTTCATCCATGGACTGCAGAAAGAACATTGTAGGTGTGCAGCCATATTTCTGGATTCTCTATCCTGTTCCATTGATCTATGTGCCTGTTTTTGTACCAGTACCATACTATTTGATTACTGTAGCCCTATAGTATAGTTTGAAGTTGGGCAACTTGATGCCTCCAGCTTTGTTCTTTTTGCTTAGAATTGCCTTGGCTATTTGGGGAATTTTTTTTTTGTTCCATATGAATTTAAAATAGTTTTTTTCTAGTTCTGTGAAGAATGTTATTGGTAGTTTAATAGGAATATCATTGAATCTATAAATTGCTTTGGGCAGCTTGGCCATTTTAACAATATTGATTCTTCCTATCTATAAACATGGAATGTTTTACCATTTGTTTGTGTCATCTCTGATTTCCTTAAGCAGTATTTTATAGTTCTCCTTGGAGAGATTTTTCACCTCCCTGGTTAGCTGTATTCTTATTTTATTTTTTTGTGTGTGTGGCAATTGTGAAGGGGATTACATTCCTGATTTGGCTCTTGGCTTGACTGTTGGTGTATAAGAATGCCAGTGATTTTTGAACATTGATTTTGTATCCTGAGACTTTGCTGAACTTGTTTATCAGCGTAAGGAGCTTTGGGCCAAGACTATGAGCTTTCTAGATATAGGATCATGTCATCTGCAAACAGGGTTAGTTTGATTTCCTCTCTTTGTATTTGGACGACACTTATTTCTTTCTTTTGCCTGATTGCCCTGATCAGGACTTCCAATACTATGTTGAATAGGAGTGGTGGAAGAGGGCATCCTTGTCTTCTGCCAGTTTTCAAGGGGAATGCTTCCAGCTGATCTTCGACAAAGATGACAAAAACAAGCAATGAGGAAAGGACTCCCTAGTCAGTAAATGGTGCTAGGATAACTGGCTACACCTTCCTTACACCACATACAGAAATTAACTCAAGATGAATTAAAGACTTACATGTAAAAGCCAAAACTATAAAAACCCTGGAAGACAACCTAGGCAATACCATTCTGGACATAAGAATGTGCATGGATTTCATGACAAAGATGCCAAAAGCAATTGTAAGAAAAGCAAAAATTGACAATTGGGATCTAATTAAACTAAAGAGCTTCTGCACAGCAAAGGAAAACTATCAATGAGTAAACAGACAACCTACAGAATGGGAGAAAAGTTTTGCAAACTATGAATCTGACTAAGGTCTAATATTCATCATCTATAAAGAACTTAAACAAATTTACAAGGAAAAAACCAAACAACCCCATTAAAAAGTGGGCAGAGGATATAAACAGACACTTTTCAAAAGGAGACGTACGTGAGGCCAATAATCATGTGAAAAAAAGTTCAACATCATTGATCATTAGAGAAAGGCAAATCAAAACCACAATGAGATACCATCTCACACCAGTCAGAATGGCTATTATTAAAGTCAAAAAATAACAGATGGTGGCGAGGTTGTGGAAAAAAAGGAAAGCTTATACACTGTTGGTGGGGGGTGTAAATTAGTTCAACGATTGGAGAAGAGAGTGTGGTGATCCCTCAAACCCTAAAAAAAGTAATACCATTTGACCTAGCACTCCCATTACTGGGTATATACCCAAAGGAATATAAATTGTTATATTATAGAGACGTATGCATGCGTATGTTCATTGCAACACTATTCACAATAGCAAAGACATGGAATTAACCTAAATACCCATAAATTGTAGACTGGATAACAAAAATATGGTATATATACACCATGGAATACTATGCAGCCATAAAAAAGAATGAGATCATGTCCTTTGCCACAAAAAGGATGAAGCTGGAGGCCATTATCCTTAGCAAACTAACGCAAAACAGAAAACCAAATACCACATGTTCTCACATGTAAGTGGGAGCTAAATGATTAGAACACATGGACACATAGAAAGGAACAACACACACTGGGGCCTATTGGAGGGTGGAGGGTCAGAGAAGTGAGAGAATCAGGAAAAATAACTAATGGTTACTAGACTTAATTCCTGGGTAACAAAATACTCTGTATGATAATCTCCCATGATGCAAGTTTACCTATGTAACAAACCTGCACCTATACCACTGAACTTAAAAGTTAAATTAAAAAAAAAAATCTAGGCTAGACAAAATTTTTTAATAAAGAAAACAACCTTAATCTCATTGTGTATCTTCATCAGAGCTCTTGGAGGACTAGATGCATTGTTAATTAGCAGCCATAATTTTAAAGGAATTGTTTTTGTCTGAGCACTAGGTCTCAACAATGGGCTTAAAAGATTCAGTAAACCATCCTCCAAACAGATGTGTTGTTATCCAGGAGATATAGTTTCATTTATAGAGCAATAGCAGAGTGGCATATGGCATAGTTTTAAGGGCCCTAGGATTTTCAGAATGGCATGTGAGCATTAGCTTTGACATAAAGTCATTAGCTATGTTTGCTCCTAACAAGAGCATCAGTCTCTCCTTTTAAGCTTTGAAGCCAGAGATGACAGCTGTCTATGAAAGTCTTAGATGACATATTTGTCCAATAAAAGACTGTTTAATCTACATTGAAACCTTGAAAATCTGTTGTTTAGTGTATCCACCTTCATCAATGGTCTTAGCTGGATCTTTTGGATAACTTGCTGCACCTTCTACATCAGCATCTGCTGCCTCACTTTGCAGTTTTAAGTTTTGGAGATGGCTTCTTTCTTTAAACTCCATGAACCAACCTCTGCTAGCCTCAAACTTTTCTTCTGCAGCTTCCTCACCTTTCTCAGCATTTATAGAATTGAAGAGAGTTAGGGACATGGTCCAGATTATGTTTTGGCTTAAGGGAATGTTGTGGCTGGTTTGATCTTGTATTCAGACCACTAAAACTTTCTTCATATCAGCAATAAGGCTGTTTCACTTTCTTATCATTCATGTGTTCACTGGAGTAGCATTTTCAGTTTCCTTTAAGACCTTCTCCTTTGCATTCACAACTTGGCTAACTTGATGCAAGAAATCTAGATTTTGGCCTATGTGTGGGGGAAATAAAGAGAGATCAGACTGTTACTGTGTCTATGTAGAAAAAGGAAGACATAAGAAACTCCATTTTGATCTGTACTAAGAAAAAATCTTCTGCCTTGAGATGCTGTTAATCTGTAACCCTAGCCCCAACCCTGTGCTCGCAGAAACGTGCTGTGTTGACTCAAGGTTTAATGGATTTAGGGCTATGCAGGATGTGCTTTGTTAAAAATGTGTTTGCAGGCAGTATACTTGGTAAAAGTCATTGCCGTTCTCCAGTCTCGAGTACCCAGGGACACAGTGCACTGCGGAAGGCCACAGGTACCTCTGCCCAAGAAAGCCTGGGTATTGTCCAAGGTTTCCCCCCACTGAGACAGCCTGAGATACGACCTCCTGGGAAGGGAAAGACCTGACCGTCCCCCAGCCCGACACCTGTAAAGGGTCTGTGCTGAGGAGGATTAGTGAAAGAGGAAGTCCTCTTTGCAGTTGAGATAAGAGGAAGGCATCTGTCTCCTGCTCGTCGTCCCTGGGAATGGAATGTCTCAGTGTAAAACCCGTTCTATTTACTGAGCTAGGAGAAAACCGCCTTATGGCTGGAGGTGAGACATGCTGGCAGTAATACTGCTCTTTACTGCACAGAGATGTTTGTGTAAAGTCAAACATAAATCTGGCCTATGTGCACAGCACCTTTCCTTAAACTTATTTATGACACAGAGTCCTTTGCTCACATGTTTTCCTGCTGACCCTCTCCCCACCATTACCCTATAGTCCTGCCACATCCCCTCCGCCGAGATGGTAGAGATAGTGATCAATAAATACTGAGGAAACTCAGAGGCCAGTGCCGGTGCAGGTCCTCACTTGCTGAGCGCCAGTGCCCTGGGCCCACTTTTCTTCCTCTATACTTTGTCTCTGTGTCTTATTTCTTTTCTCAGTCTCTCATCTCCACCTTGTGAGAAATACTCACAGGTGTGGAGGGGCAGGCCCCCTTCACTGTGTCAGCTTTTGACATGCTTTCCTCACTAAGCTTCATCATTTCTAGCTTTGGATTGAAAGTGAGAGACGTCTGACTCTTTCTTCCACTTGAACACTTAGAGGCCATTGCAGGATTATTAATTGCCCTAATTTCAATGCTATTGTGTGTCAGGAAACAGGGATGCCTAAGGAGAGGGAGAGAGACAGAGGAATAGCTGGTTAGTGTAGCAGTCAGAACACACACATTATTTGATTAGGTTTACCATCTTATGTAAGTATGGTTCGTGATGCCCTGATATGGTTTGGCTGTGTCCCCACCCAAATCTCAGTTTGAATTGAACCCAGTGGGAGGTAATTGAATCATTGGGGCAGGTCTTTTCTGTGCTGTTCTCATGATAGTGAATAAGTCTCATGAGATCTGATAGTTTTACAAAGGGGAGTTCCCCTGCACATGCTCTCTTGCCTGCTGCCATGTAAGACGTGTATTGCTTCCCCTTTGCCTTCTGCCATGATTGTGAGGCCTCCCCAGCCGTGTGGAACTGTAAATCCATTAAACCTTTACCTTTATAAATTACCTATTCTTGTGTATGTCTTTATTAGCAGGGTGAGAAAAGACTAATACATGCCCCAAAACAATTACAATAGAAACATCAAAGATCACTGATCATAGATGACCATAACAGATAAAATAATAATGAAAACATTTGAAATATTGTGAAATTTATCCAAATGTCACAGAGAGACAGGAAGTGAGCACTTGTTAGAAAAATGGCGCCAACAGACTTGCTTGAAGCAAGGTTGCCACAATCTTCAATTTGTAAAAACACAGTACCTGCAAATTGCAATAAAGCAAAGTTCAATAAAATGAGGTTTGCCTGTATATTTGTGTTAGTGCATTGAGCTCACCCTAGACATTTTGAATAAAATATGCTCTAATTCTAAGATTAACAAAGCTCATATTTTATGAAAAATAAAAAATGTTTACAATATAGTTAAATTATGAAGACTTTCTGTATGAGAGTGGCAATAACATTACTTGATCATAATTCCATTATTTTGAAGCCCCAGCTTAAGAAATTGATTGGATCAGAAGAAAGAGCAGCAAGTCAGAAAGTAGCATGTAATTAAAGGTGTTCAATACAATCTATTACCACTTCATTTAGAGGGCAGGATCATAATCTATACCTTGTGGCTTAAATACATTTCTAGATTTTGTAGCCCATTTGCACCATAATTTATTTATTTATTTTACTTTTTTTTTTTTTTTTTTTTTTTGAGGCAAGGTCTCACTCTGTTGCCCAGGCTGGAGTGCAGTGGTGCAATCTTGGCTCACTGCAACCTCCACCTCCTGGGTACAAGTGATTCTCCTGCCTTAGCCTCTGGAGTAGCTTGGATTACAGGTGCCCGCCACCACACCTGTCTAATTTTTGTGTCTTTAGTAGAGATGGTGTTTCACCATGTTGGCCAGGCTGGTCTCGAACTCTTGACCTCAAGTGATCTGCCCGCCTCAGCCTCCCAAACTGCTGAGATTACAGGCATTAGCCACCATGCCTGGCACATAATTTTTAATATATAAATTTAAACATAATTAAGCTTAAGTCTAAAATAAACATCAGACAGATTTGCATGCAAACAACTGATATATTCATTGTATAAACCTTAGCATATTTTGTACATACAATTTCAATTGAAAGAGAGAACAAGGTGATAATTTCAGGAACACAGCACACACACTTCTAAAATCCTGCAAATTCCAAATAAGTTCTAATTATAATGTGTATATTAAATGCTTGTATTTGTCTGTCATAAAATCTTCATATTTGGGTTTATACCTAATATTCTACTCACTAATAGAAAAATGGTAAAGGTACCAAGAAACTAGTTTTGAAGTATTATTAATAAAATAAATTATGAGTAAAATATTAGGATTTTAACTGACCCCTCCACCCAACCAAAACTTATTTGTGAAATTAAAAATAAGTACTATTTTCATTTCCAAATTATTTTTACCCATTAGCCTTAATATTTTAACTTTTTAACAAGTGTGAACTTCAGAATGTTACATAAATTATCAACTCATGGCCTCATCTTTTAATTTTGGTCTTGTGTGCATATGTTGTAATTTATTACAGTTGGATACCCCTGATACATCTTTTTAATAATATAAATACTGTCTTTAATGTTTCAATTAAAATGTTATGGAACAACTCTGAAATATTAAGAGAATAATTAGCTTAATGCCTCATCCTAAAATGACCAACATTTTAGTTACTTGTAATTAATGTTCTCTTAAAGATATAAAATTAGATTCATTCTTGGAGTTCATATAAACTTAATTACCTCCACCCTCAGGCAGCTCTTGAAACTCCAAGAATGAGCAAGATTTTCAGTGCAGAAGATGAAACTATCATAATGGCTGATCATGGACGGTAGGCCAATAGAGAACACATTGAAAAAAAAAGTATTAGAAAATATGAGAGGGAAATAAATCTTGGGACCCCAAATTCACTAAGCCAAAGGGAAAAGTCAAGCTGGGAACTGGGTCAAGCAAACCTGCCTCCCGTTTTGTTCCTAAATAAGATATGTATGAAGATTTAAAAACAAAACAAAACAAAACAAACTACATACCTCTCTCACAATTTGCCCACAAGGTAATTCCTTGTGGACTCCAAGAGCTTTACCCTAAAACACTTCTGTTGAATTTCACCCTGGGAATGTAAATTGATAGCTTATCTTCACAGGTAGAGGACAAAGGACAGAATTCAAAGAGCCTCTGCTCACCTGAGACAAATGCGTATCTGATTGCTTCTTCCTCTGCCCTATGTTTATGTTATCATATGTAAAAATGCAGATTCACTGACCTAGACGAATGCATAAGTGACTATTCCTCTACCTTCCTCTCACATGTAAATTGTGTTTTCAGTAAACTGCTGATCAAAGACCAGAAAAAATGCAACTGCTGGCCTCCAATCTACCCACACCCTTTTGAAAAAAATTTCTTCCTCTTTCCTGGATACCTGTCCTTTTCCCTTTAAATATTAAGGTCCCCAGACACTCTGGAAAAAGCATGGACCACAATTTTTCCTGTGGTTGTGTATTCTTTCTTAGGCATGTCTTTAACCTTGGCATATAAACCTGAAATGATTGAGACTTGCCTAGGTCATTTTCTTTGATTCACAAAAGTAATTGAAGGCCTGAGGTCCTTGATGAGAGCAAGAGAACATTCAGAAAATATGGGGAAAATAACTAAGAGAGTAAATTTCAAATGTCTCATTACCAAAAATTATAATCAAATAAAGTGATTAATACTTTAATTAGCTTGTTTTAATCATTCCACATTGTATACATATATCAGAACATCACATTGTACCTCAGAAGTATATACAATTATGATTTGTCAATTAAAAATAATATTAATAAAAGATGGCAAAATGGAAAATGTCAAAGAAAATTGATATAAATTATCAGTGAATAGACTAAGGTACTTCTGTTTCACCAACATGGCAGACCTGTTGCCTAACTGTACATGCATTCCAGTCCCCATCACAATCCTTTCCTAGTGACATACTGTATTCCACATCCAAAAATAGAGGCTGACAATATCTCCGTCTTTCTTGAAGTTATATATTGACATGCCCACCAATACTGAGGAAAAAGACCTGAGTGGAACGTTGCTGATGGCATTCTTGAAAGAAAAAAATCCCTCACTAAAAGATAATTTATGAGGAGAAACTCCCTTTGTGACAAATGCAGCTGTGGTGGCCATATTATAGACATGTGAAGATAAAACAGAAGTGCATAGCCAACATGTTAAGAAAGGTAGTCCAAGAGATTACTAGGGACTGGATTTTTGAAATCATAATTGAGCTAAACCAACCTTACATCATCTGGTTTCCAGTCTTCTTCTAATACAAGATTATAATGAACATTTGCACTAATGAAACAGCCTTTGCAAAATTATGACTGAGACAGTTGATCTTACTTAACTGACTCCATCTTGCTTCTAACCTACAAACTGTCCTTGTTCATTCCTGGGCTTAGGCTGAACTAACTTTGGGAGAAACTTAGTTTATAGTTTATAGTTTAAACAAAGAAAGTAACAGCCCTTTTCCAAAGCACACCTCCTTGCCTGGGGACTAGATTGCCTTTTTAGGACTAACATTAGCCACAAGATTCGAAATTATGGTTTAGGAGTCATGCAGCTGGAGGCCGCAAGATTCTGACCCTCCCTAAACTACTCCTGAGATCAGTGCTTGAGATATTTTGCAGACCCTGAACTTGACGGATCAGCTGTCACCACCCAGATCGATAAAGTGGCTCATCTAATCTTGAGGTCCCCCCACCCAGGAAATGACTGAGCACAAGAAGACAACTTCGACTCCCTATGATTTCATCTCTGACCAATCAACACTCCTGACTCACTGACTTCCCCAACCCACCAAGTTATCCTTAAAAACTCTTCTCCCTGGGCTGGGTGTGGTGGCTCATGCCTGTAATCCCAGCACTTTGGGAGGCCGAGGCGGGTGGATCACAAGGTCAGGAGTTTGAGACCATCCTGGCTAACATGGTGAAACCCCGTCTCTACTAAAAATACACAAAATTATCTGGGCATGGTGGTGGGTGCTTGTAGTCCCAGCTACTCAGGAGGCTGAGGCAGGAGAATGGCATGCACCCAGGAGGCTGAGCTTGCAGTGAGCTGAGATCGTGCCACTGCACTCCAGCCTGGGCGACAGAGTGAGACTCTGTCTCAAAAAGAAAAAAAAAAAGAAAAAAAAAAAAACTCTGCTCCCTGAATGCTCGAGGAGACTGATTTGAGTAATAATAAAACTCCAGAGCCAGCTCTGTGTGAATTACTCTTTCTCTGTTGCAATTACCCTGTCTTGATGAATTGGCTCTGTCTAGGCAGTGGGCAAGGTGAACTCTTTGGGCGGTTACCCTAACTTCTATTTAATTATGCATTTTGAGAAGGAATCTTAAGGAACGTTGAGTACCGATTATCAAAGATTTATTCATTCCAAGCATTAAAGTTGCTCTTCATTTCTGGGACTATTCAGGGAACTATGAGTTAAAGATCAAGAGTTAGAGGAAGAAGTGACTATGGACAAAAGGCACAGAGAGATGCAATGTGGCTGGCTTGGAAGGTGAGGTTGAAGTCTAGAAATCAAGAAATGTGAATGACCTCTAGAAGCATCTCTCCAACAGTGTATGAACAAGGGTTCCTTTTTCTCCACACCCTTGCTAACACTTGTTAGCTCCTGTCTTTTTTATAATAGCTATCCTAACAGATGTGAGGTGAGATCTCATTGTGATTTTGATTTGCATTTCAGTGACGATTAGTGACACTGAGCACCTTTTCATGTACCAGTGGCCCATTTGTACACATTGAAGAAATTAAAGACAAATACATGGAAAGATACTCCATTACTCAGATCAAGGGTTCTAAGTAATAAAATCAGAAGAGTAATGAAGATTGAGATATTGAATGAGAAAAAAAAAGTCTCTTAAGGATATGAATCAATAATAAAAATTATATTTTCAAGCACCTTTTCTCAAATGTGAGGGAAGAATATACAAACAAGTTTCTTGCAATTAAGAATGAATACTTGAAAATTAATTGTATCCTACTGCCTCCAGTTCAATGTGTAAAATATCATTGATTATTTACTGTATTTTCTTTAGTAATTCATTTTAATGAATACTAATATGTTATTTATGGATAGCATAGATTCATACTCAAGCTCCATTATCCATTCCAACACACACTACTTCTTCATATCCCCATTAAATCTGGAATTTTAAATCATGCTCTTACTTACACAGGGGTTTTCAGGAATCTATTCCTCACAGCTTCATTGTTTTAAATTTTCTTGGAGAAAATTCAGCCTCTGTCTTTTGTTTTTATTATTGCTGTCTTTATTTTTATGTTTAAATCTGTTTAATTAAAATTCTGGAGAGACAGACAAATAGTCTTCTAACACCATACACTTTCCCTGATGACACGCGCAGAGTAATAAGTACAATGACAATTTAAGTTATTTATTAATAATGCTGATTATAATAAATATACTAATCCAATTACACATCGTAATTTTGCTTTATTATGTTTGGTAACATTTTTAATGTTAGAAACTGACAATGTGTTTTATTCCCTATGTGCTTAAATTAGCAATGTGTTTCATTCTCAGTATTAGATTTTATTGCTGCTGTAACAAATTACTATAAACGTAGTTGTTTAAAACAGCACAAATTTATTGTTTTACAATTCTGTAGTTAAGAAGCTAAAATCAAGTTGTCAGCAGGGCTACATTCCTTTCTGGGGGTTGTTGGAGAGAACCATTTCCATGATTTTCATCTTCTAGATGTCAGTCGCATTTCTTGGTTCCTGGACTTTTCCTCCACCTTCCAAGACAGAAGCATTGAATCTCTCCATACCTTTCTTCCTTAGTTACTTCTTCCTCTAACTTCCTCTTCAGCCTTCCTCTGCCACTTATAAGGACCTTTGTGATTATACTGGACCAAACTGAGTAATCTAGAAAATTTTCCCTACTTTAAGGTCAAATGACTGGCAATCTCATTTCTGCCTGCAACCTTAATTCGCCTTTTGGCATGTAACCTAACGTGTCTACAAGTTCCAGGAATAATCTGGACATCCTTAGTGGGGCCATTATTACACCTACCACTTTTCCCTTAAGCCTAAAATTCTTTTGGATTAAAAAAAAGCAAAAATTTTAAAATGGGGCAACATTAAACTAAAAAGCTTCTTCACAGGAAAGAAAACAACCAATAAAATAAAAATGCAGCCTACAGTATAAGAGGAAGTATGTATAAACTGTATATCTGATAAGGGGCTAACATCTAAAATATATAAGAACCTTTAAAATTCAATTGAAATAAAGTTTTAAATGGTCAAATGATGTGAGTATTTTCCTAAAGAAGACATAAAAATGGCTGATAGTTGTATGAAATAGTGGTAAACATCACTAACCATTAGAGAAACACAAATAAAAAACATAATGAAACATCACCCCATACCTGTTAACATGTCTATTGTTAAATTTAAAATAAAGTGCTGTTGAGGAGCTAGAGAAAAGGAGGCCCTTGTACATTGTTGGTGGGAATATAAATGAGAACAGCCACTATGGAAAATGATATGAAGATTCCTCAAAAAATTAAAAATATAATTACCATTTGACCCATGAATTTCACTTCTGGGTATTTATCCAAGAGAATTAAAGTCAGTATCCCCTAAGAGATATTTGCAGTCTTATGTTCATTGAAACATTATTCACAATACCCAAGATGTGGAAACAACCTCAGTATTCATCAATGGATAAATGGAAAAAGAAAATGTGGTCTTTATATAATGTATAGCGTGGTGCTATTATGTACCCCTCCCAAATTCATATTTTGAAACCTAATATCTAATATGATAGTATTAGAGAATGGGGCCTTTGGGAGGTACTTAGGTCATGCGGGTAGAGCCCTCAAAAATAAGATTCCTTAGAGCTCTTTAGGCCCTTCTGCCATGTAAGGAGACAGGGAATACACAGTTGTCTGTAGTCCCATAATTGGGTCCTCACTAGACACTGAATTTGCTGGTGATTTGAATTTCTTAGCCTCAAGAATGTTAAGAAATACATTTCTGTTTTTTATGTCACCATATCTATGGTATTTTTGTTACAGCAGCCTGAATGAACTGGCACTTAGTGCTTGTAGGTAAAAATACTGTACCTGATACTTGAAATTTGCTAAGAGTGTAGATTCTAAGTATACTCAACACAAGTGCACACACACACACACACACACACACACACGATTACTCTGTGAGGTGATGGATACGTTAATTAGTTTGATTGTGGTAATTATTTCACAATGTATATGTATATTAAGCCATCAAGTTGTTTTGTATCTTCTTTGGAAAAAAATATCTATTGAGGTCCTTTGCCCATTTTTAAATTGGGATATTTATTTCTTTGCTGTCGAGTTGTATGAGTTCCTGATATATTTTGGATACAAACCTCTCACCACATACGTGGTTTGCAAATATCTTCCCCCATTCTATAGGTTACATTTTCATTTTGTTGGTTGTTTACTTTTTGTTGGTGGCCTTGTTTCTGGGCTCTCTATTCTATTCCATTGGTCTTTTGTCTGTTTTTTTACAGTATCATACTGTTTTGATTACTATTTATTTGTAATATATATTGTTGGGGTTTGTTTTGAGCCCTATGATCTCTTCTGGATAATGTTCCATGTGTACATGAGAAGAATGTGTATTCTGGCGTGGTTGGATGGAATGTTCTGAATTTGAATATGTCTGCTAGGTTCATTTAGTCTATAGTGTTCTATTCTTTTTCTTTATTGATTTTCTATTAGATAATCTATCTAATGTTGAAAGTGTCATGCTGAAGTCCCCTATTATTATTGTTTTGCTATTTATTAATACCTTCAGCTCTGCTAATATTTGCTATATGTATTTAGGTGCTCTAATGTTGGGTCCATATATAATTACAATTGTTATATCCTCTTGATGAATTGACCCATTAATCATTATATAATGACCTTTTGGTCTCTTTTTACAGTTTTTGACTAAAAGTCTATTTTGTCTAAGTATAGCCACACCTACTGTCTTTTGTTTACCATTTGCATGGAACATCTTTTTCCATCCCTTCACTTGCAGCCTATGTATGACTTTAAAGCTGAAATGAGTCTCTTTGTAGGCAGCATATACAGTTGACTCTTTAACAATGCAGGGGTTAAGGGTGCCAGCTCCCTACACAGTCAAAAATTTGCATACAACTTTTGACTCCCCCAAAACGTAACTACTAATAGCCTACTGTTGACTGGAAGCTTTACCAATAACATAAATAGTTGATTAACACATGTTTTGTAAGTTATATGTATTATATACTGTATTCTTACAATAAAGTAAGCTAGAGAAAAGAAAGTTATTAAGAAAATCATAAAAAAGAAAAAATATATTTTCTATTTATTAAATGGAAGTGGATCATCATGAAGATCTTCATTCTTATAATCTTCACGTTGAGTAGGCTGAAAAGGAGAAGGAAGAGGAGAAGGTGGTCTTACTGTTTCAGGAGTGATAGAGGCAGAAGAGGTAGAGAAGGTGGAAGGGGAGGCAGGAGGGGCAGGCACACTTGGTGTAACCTTATGGAAATACATTGCAATTTCTGTCTGAACTTTTTGCCTTTTCATTTCTCTAAAATGTTTCTATATGATACCAATCCTTCTTCCACTATTTGCTTTAGTTTTAGTGCCTGTATCATAGAAGGATCTACGTTATAAAAGAAGTCAAAAAAGTCATGAATAATCAGAACGCTTCTGCCAGATAGTCCGATGTCAATGTGTTTTCTGGCACTGCTTCTTCTACATCTTCTTCCTCATTATCTGGCACTGGTTTAGAAGCCACTTATCTCCATCAACATTTACATTTGTAGTAATTATTGATAGGTAAGCACTATTGTCATTTTAATCATTTTCTGACTGTTTTGCAGTTTCTTCCTCTCTTGATGTCTTCCTTTGTGATTTGATTTCTTTGTTTTTGGTAATGTTATGTTTTGATTCCTTTCTCTTTTCCTTTTGTATATCTATTAACAGATTTTTTCTTTGTGATTACCATGAAGCTTACATAAAACACCTTATAACAATCTATAATAAGTTAGTTACAACTCAACTTCAATTATGCACAAAATCTCTATACTTTTACTTTCCCATACACATACTTTATTGATGTTATTATTTACATCTTTTTATAATGTGTATCTGTATTACGCTGTTTGCTAATTGCTATAGAGAAATACCTGAGACTGGGTAATCTATAAATAAAAGAGGTTTAATTAGTTCACAGTTCCACAGGCTGTACAGGAAGCATGATGCTGGCATTTGCTCACTTCTGAGGAGGCCTCAGTAAACTTACAATCATGGTGGAAAGCAAAGAGGGAGCAGGCAGGTCACATGGCTGAAGCAGCAAGAGAAAGAGATTGGGGAGTTGCTACATACTTTTAAACAACCAGATATCACAATAACTCACTCACTATCATGAGAATAGCACCAAAGGGATGGTGCTAAACCATTCTTGCAAATCTGCTCCCGTGATCCAATCACCTCCCACCAGGCCCTACCTCCAACATTAGGGATTACAATTCAGAATGAGGTTTGGGTGGGAACACAGATCCAAACTATATCAGTATCCATTAACAAATTTTTGTATCTATAGATATTTTTACACTGTTTTCTTTTGACTTTTATACTAATGTTAAAGTGATTTATGTACCACCATTATACTATTAGAGCATTCTGAATTTGAATATTTATACTTTCTTACCTTTACCAGTAAGTTTTATATTTTCATATATTTCCATGCTACTATTTAGTGTTCTTTTGTTTCAACTTCAAGATCTCCTTCTGCATTTTTGTAGGGCAAATCTAATTGTGATGAATTTGCTCAGCTTTTGTTTGCTTGGGAAAATCTTCATGTCTCCTTCATTTCTGAAGGACAGTTTGCCATTAAAATATTCTTGGTTGAAAGGTGTGTGTGTGGAGTGCTGGGAAAAGGGTATCAGCCAAGTGGGAGGGAGATAATAGGTGAGGCATCCCATTGAGTTTATGGATGGGCCTCTTGGTGAAGGGCCAGCCAGTTAGTAGGATCTTTGGCTGTTCAAGAACTGTGGTGTGGTTGCTATGAGCTTCCACCCCTTTCCCATGCTCCTACCTCCCCCATACTTTTTAGTTGTTCCCAGTTCCTCAGTGATCCAGGTAGGGCAAGGCAGAAATGGGTTTCTTGAGCAATATCCTACAGTGCTGAGGAAGCTAGGTACTCTCCTGTCTTTTATTTTGCCCACTTGTCAGAGAAATCATAGGACAAAGGGACCTCTCTTGGCACTGTGCAGGGCCACCTTGGGGAGGGGTGATGTAGGTAAAGAGAAACTGTTCTTCTTATCCTCTTCAATGAACCCTTTCCCAGACTTTTTGCTTTAATGGGGTCCTGGAATCTTCTCTCCACTAGACTCCAGGTTCCCACACAGGTATTCCCATCTGTGGATTGTTGTCAAAAATTGATGTTTCTGTGGGGTATAAAGGCTGGAATCTTCTATTCAGCCACCTTGCTTATGACACTCTCTGATAACTTTAATTTTTTATATTGCATAATTGTGAACTGATAAAATTACTTATTTGAACATGTTTAACTTTTCTATAAAGAACATAAAATTATATGCATCCAATAAAATAAAATCTATAAAATTTTACTCATGTGTAAAGATTTTCGAGAAATGTCAGTGAAATTTTTAAAAATCTAGTCAAAAATATTTAAATAGTGTGATCTCAGTTTTGTAAAATACATGTTTAGCCTTGAGAAAAATAATCAGAATGTTAAAACATGATGTTGTGCACTTTAAATATATACAAAAAAGAGAAAATAGTTAAGATAAAATTTCAAGGAAAGAAGAAATATCTGGCTTCCTACACAATGGATGAAGTAGAAATCTTAGAAAGGGGCTGAAGAAAGAAAACAAGTATGCATTCACAGAAAGGAAGAATAACATTGAATTTACAAAAGATAATATGAAAAAAATCTGAGTTCATATGTTTGTACAGGTACAAAGAAGAGACCACAACTCTGGGGGGAATGCACAGGATGGAGATGCCTATTAATGCCAGGAGAGAGGAACTTAGAAAGAAGAAGGGTAGACATTTACAATCAACTTCCTGTTTCTCTAATTTAATCTAATACCTGTGCTGTGGCATTGTTCTCATAAACTGGAAGATCATCAGAAATTATAGTAAATAGTGTAGCTGCAACTAGTAGCTAATTCACTCTAATAAACACAGTCAGATAACTCAGGATTGTTTCTACAATGTTGGTTGTGTGAGAAATTAATGATGAGATAATTTATGTATTTTTCATATGTTTACCTACCTTCATGTAATTTAAATCCAGGGCATTCAGATACTTTCTTTGTTACTTGTCTACTAAAAAAATGGCTACTGGGTTTGCTTATGTAAAATTGCATTTCATTTATAAATTTTAAAATGTGACATTTCAAACTACATAAATACAAGTCATTTAATTAAACTCTCGAAAGGCTTTTAAATCATAGGAATGCAGTACCTTAATCTAGTGTTGTTCAATATGTGGACCCTAGACCAGCCGCATCAGCATGACCTGGGAACATGTTAGAAAAGAAAATTCTCAGACTCCACCTTGGACTTACTGAATGAGAAAGTTCAAGGTGGGATCTTAGCAGTCTGTGCTTTAATAGGCCTTCTAGGTGATTGTGATGCTGGCTAAAGTTTCAGTAGTGCAGCTTTAATCCATAAGGATACAAATTATGGGCAAACGGCAGGAAAAGGGGCAATGAAGACATGAATCTAACTTTTCTTTCTAAGTGATTTTGAAGCAGCATTGTTTCTTTGGGAAAATACCCAAGGTTTGTTGTCTCGTGCTAAGGAAATCAAAGACGTGGACACACACAAGTAGGTTTAAGAGCAGAAGTTTAATAGGTGAAAGAAAGAAGAGATCTTCCTTGTGCAGAGGAAGGGGGCCAGAGTGGGCTTCTGGGTTTGGGCGAGGTGGTGTCTAATTTATATAGGGCATAGTGGATTGGTTGGAATAGGTGTACCATTTACACAGCATGCGAGGCGGCTGGCCATCCTACCCTAATCCTTTATTATGCAGATGGGGCCTCTACCTCACCGGCGCCATGACACCTGCACACATGGTGACAAAGAAAAGGGAAGAGAAAACCTCCATGTTAAATATACCTGACTTCCAGGTATCCTTTTTCTATTGGCACAGCTGCTGGCATTCATCTATGCAAGCTTCCAGCTTGCTTATCTAGGCTTGCAGCTTGATTTTTCAGGCTGCTTTTTGTTAGAAAAGAAATGATTTGGGGGCTGCTTTTTATTAAAAGGAAATTCCACCAATAACTCTTTTACCTTTACTAACTGCCTAAATAATTTCTTATTAACTCCTATATCAACTTGAGATTTTATAATTAGAGTAGAGGTCCGAATCCTCAACTTTCCTAGGGTTCCTGGCCAAGCCTGAAAATAAAACTGGGGGAAACGTCATCCAGGCCTGTTTGTTCAGATTCTTTCCTGTGTCTCTGTATGACATTTCATCTCCCCATGTATGGACACAGGTCAGCTGTCGATACATCTGTCACCTGAGCATCTTTAAGGGGAAAGAGGAGGTCAGAAAGTGACCTTCTTATGTTTTATGGCTTGCTTTTGGAAAGGGAAATACTAGTTTTATAACCCACTTCAGGGGGAGAAAGTAGGAAGGGAGAAGGGGAAGTCAGCGACAACTTCCTCCTTCTGGGGCCTGCCCAATTTCTTTCAGCTCAAAGTACTCAGCATGCTAAGGTGCTATGCTTTGGATTATTATAGTCCAAGCTTTGACAGGCTTAATGTTCCTTATATTTCAGATTCACACCTGTGAAATACTTAATTTTCATTTTTTCCCTTAGTGAGCTGAGTGTGGACAGAGCAGATTCTATTAAAAACAAACAAAAAACACTGCTGTCTTCTTTTTCACTGCTGAGATGCAGAATGGGGAAGTTCAAAGCTCTCCCTAACAATACACTGCTCTATCTCCACAGAATCTGGCAAATTATGAGCACTGGGGCTCTAGAAATTTTTTCTGTACTAATGCACAAAGCTATTTCACACCATCTGGCTGTGAGCCAAATTGCCTCAATATCAAAAGCTGATGGCTGGGTGGACGCATTAAGGCTGAGTATGTTAGCACCGTTCTGTGATAAATGTCCCATGGGGCAAGCTTGAGATATGTCTTATTCAATTCACTGTTATTAATGAATCCATTTCCATTATTATGAAATCCACCTGCGAAGACTAAACATCCAAAATAGTTTTTTTCTTTTTAATAAAATGTAATGTGGATATAGCCTCTTTCGAAATGCAATTTAGCAATTTCTTACAAAGCAAAAAATAGTCTTACAAAATGACCTAGCAGTCAGACTTCTAGGTATCTACCTAACTGATTTGAAAACTAATGTCCACATGAACACCTGTACATGAATGTTTATAGCAGCTTTATTTGTAATCACCAAAAATTTGAAGCAGCATAGAAGTCCGTCAAAAAAAATAGATAAATAAAATGTATTACAACCATACGGTGGAATACTATTCAGTGATACAAAAGGATGAGTTACCAATATAAGCAAAGACATATATGAATCTTAAATGCATATTGCTAAGTAGGAAAAAAGAGTTGAAAAGACTACATATGCCATAATTCAATTTATATTACATTCCTGAAAAGGAAAAGCGGTAAAGATGACAAACGTATCAGCACTTGCTACCAAGAATGTGGGAATGGAGGAATGTTGAGTAGGTGAGACATAAGGGATATTTTAGGGTGGTAAAGCTATTGTGTATGACACTGTGGTGGTGGGTTCATGACCCTGTGCATTTGACAAATTCCATAGAATTTTACAGCACAAAGAATGAGCCTTAATGTTTGTAAATTTTAAAAATATTTAAATGATTAGGGAAATCCCAGGATGAAATGCATACTGTTACAGAGTCTGCATGTATGAAATATCCTTATTGAAGGGAGTGCGGTTGGGAGTGGAAGGTGCTGACTCAAGTAACTTTGAAAATGGGTAGACAATTTAAGACTAAAGACAAAAGCAACTGTACTCTAGCACAAGTAATAAAATTATTTCTCCTGGGGTATGGGTTACCAATTCTGAAATTACCATACATATATAGTGGAATTGAAAAATTAAGGACATGGGTGTCAGATGGTGGGACAGAGGTTTTTCACTATTGGAGGGAGAGGATACAGATAAGCAAGAGGGAAAAGCTAGAATAATCAATGTGGTATTGGATTAAAGTTTGAGACATTAGTATAAATTGTGTTTCATTACTGTACATACAAATGAATACACACAGAAATATTTATAGATATGTATATATATACAAAGGTTAGTACATATGCATATATTTCCTTGCTCTGTTAGCTAAAAGGGCCTGAAAATAATAACACCCATGTAGCAATGAGCACATCCAGGGCCCAGATCTTGGTTTCCAATTTCATTCCCAAGAAAAGGAACCAGGGCTACTTAGAGAAATAGCTGATTATAGAATTGAGGCTGGGAAAATACAAGATGAACCTGGCACATTTTATGGTGCCAAAAAATAAGGTAGTGCTAAGAAAACATCCACAATACGGTTATGTCAAAGTGATACAGGAGCTTACTGAAAGAGCTTCCAATGGCCAAAGCCAGAACAATTTGAACAACAAAATACACAATGTAGTATCAAAGACACTATACCGAAATAAATGATTGAATGAATAAGTAGATGGAAGAGAATAGACAAAATTTCTGTGTAGAAAAGTTCCAAATAAATTCTATAGGCTTTCCTCCTCTCAAGAAGGTGGCATTGCGAGGCGTGGTGGCTCACGCTTGTAATTCCAGCTCTTTGGGAGGCCAAGACAAGAGGATTACCTGAGCCCAGCAGTTTGAGGTTACAGAGCACTATGATCGTACCACTGCACTCCAGCCTGGGCAACAGAGTGAGATTGTGTCTCTAAAATAATAATAAGATGGCACGTAACTTCCAACCTCTTAAGTATGGGCTGTGCATAGTGACTTCCTTCCAAAAATACAGTGTGGATAGGGGGAAAAAGAGTTACTGAACAGTGGAGACACCTGACAAATACTACCTGAACTCGGTAATCAAGGTTAACATCAGCAGTGATAAGGCATGATGATAATACCTTGAACTCTTGACATAGTATGATGAGAATGATACTTTACCTCTGTGGTCTTCCTCCCAAAACCCCTAACTCCAGTCTAATTAGGAGAAACACATCAGACAAAACCAAATTGAGAGAAATTTTACAAAATACCTGATCAATACTCCTCAAAACTGTCAAAGTTCAGCAAAAGCATGGGAAGTCTGAGAAACTATCACAGGGTAGAGGAGCCTAAGGACTACATGATGACTAAATGTAATGATAGCTTGAATGGGAACCTGGGACCTAAAAAGAACATCAGCTAAAAACCAAGGTAATCTGAATAAAGTATGGACTTTGGTTAATAACAGTGTATCAATACTAATGCTAACAAATATATCACACTAATGTAAGTTAATAATAGATGAAACTTAGTATGGAGTACATGAGAACTCTCTGGATGTCCTTACAACATTTTTGTAAATCTAAAATTATTCTAAACACAATTATATTATTATTGAGTATGAATATTTCATGTAGTTAGTGTGGATGGAACATATTAATAATTGTGTGATTATTCTTACCTTGTTTAGAATGGATTACATTTGGGAAATTTTGTTGTACTTAAAAAGGTGGTGATCATAGCTCAGGTGCATATTTTGCAAATATGACAGGCATGGTATTATATTAACAGGTTTTATGATCAAAATATAAATTGAAAAAACTCAGTGACTGATGAGGAAGGTGGAAAATATTTTTCCCCTTCCTGGCAGGATTTTGATTTATTTTAGATAGGAGAGGTAACCAGAGGATAGTATGATGATGGAAGTTGATCCATTAGAAAAGGGAAAAGCAATGAAGCATAAGAGAAGGAAACATCTTCAGAAAAATACCATGGAATAAGAAAGGAGATGGAATCTAGTGTGCAAATAGAGAAATTGGCTTAGATAGAAGTACCACAGACAGTTCAATCATAGTCAAAATGTGGAGAAAAGAATGACCAATTTAGTGGTACTGGGCCACTGTGAAATTGTTTTCTGACTTTTTTTTTATTTTTCAGTGAGATAAACAAAATCTTTAACTGAAATTGAGCAGCAGAGAGGATATAGGGAGGCTCAAAAGGGAGAAGGAAAGTTGTAAACTAATACAGGCAACCTAAATTGCCCTGCTCCAATTGTGGTGTTGACAGCTAAAAGGCAAGTTTAGGAGCTGTATTCAAATATCCATTCCCCAAAACCATACTGGATAAATCAAGATGGATTTATTTGTTTAATTTCTAATAAAGATTAGCAGGAAAGCTTTTCTCATTGTTGTTACTCAAGGGCCCAAGTTAAAGAGAGATCCTTCTGAAGTGTTTTAGTGATCACCAAGGCAGGGGATGAGCTGAGCTCATGTGTCTCATACTGACAAACATCATCATGGCCCACTCTCATTAACCAGAGCTACTCATATAGTTATATTTGTCTTTAAAAAGTTGGGAAGAATAATTTTTACATGGGGCTCAGAAGAGAAATGTCCAGATTCCAGCAATCATTTGCAATATATGCCACAAGGGCCATCTGATATTAATTTAAAGAAGGTTTAAGTGGAAAATCCAGAGGAATATTACTTCAGAGTAAGAAGATTCTGTAGTTATTAACTTGCTAAAGTGCCTTTATTCAGATATTTTCAAGAGTAAGAGTAGACAAGCAATGATTCCTCCAATACTAATAGATTTGATTTTGAAATAAATATTCATTTTGGAAAAGAGAAGTGATGTGACAGTCATGAATCTTGTTCCTCACAACAGAGCTATCAAGTCGGTATGTCCATCTAAATAAAAGAAGAGCTGATGAGATATGTATAAAATAGCCATTCATTTAACAAATATTTATTGACAACTCTGTGGCAGTAGGAACAGAACTAAGATTTGAACACAGGGACATCTAACACTACATCCAGAGCAGTTTCCTCTATAACATATAATTTTCCTTATTAGCAAAGACTAGCCGATTTTACGTTCTATGTAGACTAGGGTAAAGAACATAGGGCATCAGTTTTGTTTTGCAATAAACTATTTATACTACCTTAATAAAGACCTATTCCTGCCTCTGTGCTTCCTTTCCTATAAATTGAAGGGAAAGAACTAATGATGTTTAGAAGGGCAGTGTATCTGATACATGGGCTGTGGGAATGAATAGAACTAGACTCAAGCTGTTGCCTCAGTACATCCCAGCAAGTAATTGACTCTCTATTCCATCTGTATAAACATTCTGGGTGTTAGACTTTCTGTCTCTCTACATAAAATTTAAATGAGATAGTTTGTATAAAGGCACTTAGTATAACCTCACATTCTTTCAAATATCCATTTATTATCTATTTTGTAGCAGCACTATTCTAGGCAGTTAGAACAGACTAGTGAATAATACATACAAAAATGCTTACTTTCATGTAACATAAAAACACAAGGAAAAACTGCAAAATCTTTCCTTTCTTTTTCTCCAGATAGTATTGCTTTTGCTTCCAAAACTCTGCTTATATTATCTTTCCTTTCCTTTCTCCAAACCCTTTCTATTCTTTTATTAGTATGGAATGATGGGCATGGTCCACATTTTTGTTAACATATAAAGATAAAATAAGACTTTATAACTTTATAATCTACCTGTGGTATGGAAAAGGGCTGATCCATTTTAAGACTGCATTTTGTAACCAAGCAGCTGAGAAAATCTGAGAGTGCCACAACATAATAATAAAAACTTTCATCAGAAGATGGCTATTTTAAAACATTTAAAAACATTTACTGGACCTATGCCTATATCTGTGGCATCATCTTTGCTGAAGCACTTGAAATTAAATTGTAGATATGATGACAGATCATAAATAATTTATCCTGTATCTCCTAAAATTAAGGACATCCTACTACATAACCCCAGAGTACTATCACACCCAAGAATTTTAACAATGATACAATTGTAGTCAACACAGAGTCCATATTCAAATTTCCTCAAATGCTCTTTTACAAATCTTTGTTTCTACCCCAATATCCAATTGAGGATCACTTATTGCATTTGATGATCATATCTCCTTAGCTTCCATTAATCTAAAAAAATCCCATCTCTCTTTTAGTCTTTCATCATGGGGATATGTTAAAGAGTCCAGGTCAATTGTCTTGTAGAATAGCTCACATTCTTATTTATCTAAATGTTTCCTTGTGATTATATTCATGTTAAAGATCATTTTATAAGAATCCTACAAATATAATGTGCGTACTTTTCATTATAGTGTATCAGAAAGCATGTAATGCCAGTTTGTCTCATTATTGTTATGCTAAGTTTGAAGACTGGATTAAGATGGTGTTTTCTAGCTCTCTTTATTAGAGATAATTTTCTCATTGTAATTAATAAGCAACTTGTGCCTTCATACTATGAGAATATATTACTATCTTGGCCTCCTACTACACTTCACCTAATGGTTTTAGCATCTGTTGATGATTCTTGCCTAAATCAATAATTGTATTAGTGGTTGCAAAGGACATTGGTGATTTTCCAATTGTATTGTTACATCTAAGTTGATTAGATGGCATGTTTCTGCAATGAAGAACTTTCCTTTTTCTTATTTTGTTTTGAGTATTACTGTGGACTTAGGAATCCATTTTTTTTTCTTAATTTTCAATCACCTAGCACATGTTTATTGAATAGAATCACGTAATAAACTTTTAATAATTCAGTAAATGGTCGTTCGGTATTCATCTAGGCATTTTGCTTTGCTCCCTGCTCTCTGGTCAATGGCAAGATGTTTCTTTCTGGCCCTGTCATAGAGACAAGGTTTGATTTCTGGCTCCATCCACAGAGTATGCTGGTGGTTTTTTTTTTTTTTTTTTTTTTTTTTTTGAGACAGAGTCTTGCTCTGTAGCCCAGGCTGAAGTGCAGTGGTGCAATCTTGGCTCACTGCAACCTCCGCCTCCTGGGTTCAAGTGATTCTCCTGCCTCAGCCTCCTGAGTAGCTGGGACTACAGGTGCATGCCACCATGCCTGGCTAATTTTTTTGTATTTTCAGTAGAGACGGGGTTTCACCGTGTTATCCAGGATGGTCTCGATCTCCTGACCTAGCGATCCACCCGCCTCGGCCTCCCAAAGTGTTGGGAATTACAGGCATGAGCCACCGCCCCTGGCCCGCTGGTGCTTTTAGCATTGTTTAGCTGTCAACTTTGAGATGGTATCAGAGATAGGTTTCTTTCTCTCCTTTACAGCAGTTTTAGAAAACAATTCCTCAAATTCATGACAATCTATAGATGGCTCTTCAATTTTTTTTCCCAAATAAGTGAAGCACTGGAGTCTCTTTTACTATGTAGTTGAATTCTTGTCTAGTAAAGAGGCTTCACTGGTCGACAAGGCTCTATGGGCTGCTTCCTACTCCCTTTGTCCTGATTCATCCCTAATCCAAACAAGCCATTTGTCAATGGAGGAGGAAGAAACCCACACACCTGTGGTGTTAGTAAAATGCTCCTCCCAACTTGTGGGAGGAGTGGAGGGCCTGATGGAAGAAGCAGAGTGGGTGGGGGGATTCCTCTCTCAGGTGAAATGGGAGGGGGAGCTGGAGCAGGTGGAATCCCCATACCTGGCAAGGGAAGAGGTGGGGGAATCCCAGCACCAGGTAGAGGGGGCAGAGGAGGTATTCCCACTTCAGGTAGAGGGGGTGGAGGGGGTATTCCCACTCCAGGTAGAGGGGGTAGAGTGGGTGGAGGATGTATTCCCACTCTGGGTAGAGGGGGCGGAGGAGGTATTCCTGCTCCAGGAAGTTGGGGTGGAGGAGGTATTCCTGCTTCAGGTAGAGGGGGTGGAAGGGGTATTCCCACTCCGGGTACAGGGGGCAGAGAGGGTATTCCAGCTCCGGGAAGAAGGGGAGGAGGCGGTATGCCCACTCTGGGGAGTGGGGGCGGGGAGGTATTCCCACTCTGGGTAGAGGGGGCAGAGGAGGTATTCCCACTCTGGGTAGAGGAGGGGGAGGGGATGGCAGCATTTCTGTACCTAGCAGAGGAGGAGGTAGGGGAATGGCTGTACTGGGCAGAGTAAGCACTGTCATGCCAGGGAGAAGGGGAGGTGGGGGAGGCACTATGCGCAGGCCAGGCATGGAGCTGGAAGACTCTGTGCAAGGCAGAGGTGGTGGGGATGGGTTGTTACAGCTGTTTTCAAAGTAGAGAAAACAGAGTGTTCGTGGCTGGTGTGAAACTCAGTAGAGAGAGAAGTATGGGGCAGCTGTGACCCAGGCTGTCCTTGACCATCAGACCACAGAAGGGATGGGGGTGGTGGAGGCTGTGAGATGCTCTGCGTGGGCTGATGGCTGTCGAGCTGGACTGATACTTGCTTTGGAGACACAGTCAATGAAATCTCTGAACAAAATTTTGTCTGAGGTCCACTTTCAGCCCCAGGGGGGGCATGGAGGACCCCCCAGCAGTGCATCCCCAGGAGGCAGTGTCAGTAACCCGACCTATTCTGTCCAGGAAGCCTGTATCGATTTTGCCTCTAAAAAATGGATAGGGGCGAAGAAGGGGCCCTGCAGTGGTAGTGTCCTCCAGAGGGGAACTCTCTTGGCCAGCCAAAGGGTCAGTGGGTCGGTCCCGGAGTCCTTGGTAGAAGTTGTTAGTTGAGCTCATTTGGGGTTCCATTTGTAAGACCATCTGTAGCTCGATGGCATCGATCCTGGAGGAGACAAATTTGACAAGGAGGTTAAAAGAGCCCCAAGGCAAGTAATAGCAAGATGGCTGTCACAGGACCTAGAAAGGGGAGAAGCCATGTCGCCCAACTCCAGAGGTTGGTATAAGAGTTTGAATGGCATTGTCTGATTTCAGAAGCCTTTTCCTGTAAACGCTGGGCAGCATCTCTTACTATGCCTGACTGGTTAGTGTAAAAACAACACTCTTTCTCTAAGAAGGTGCAGAGTTCTCCTTTCTCAGTAGTGAGGAGGTCTAGGCCTTGGCGGTTTTGGACAGTCACTGCTGCCAAAGAGTCTATTTGGAATTGTAGACTAAGGATAGATTTTGTTATTTCTTGCAGCTTGAGCTTTGAGGGGCACTGATAGGGTCTGATTTCCACAAGATTAGAAGTTAGGATAATACATATTACACTGTTAACTTTTAGCAAACTTTACTTTTATTGAAAATCTTGTAAGTTTGGGATTTCAATTATTCTTTGCTATTAATAAGACCTAGTTCAGTCCATATTAACTTAAAAATGGTATAGATGGCTCTTTCCTGATTCTGTAAGTACTTTAAGGTTTGGGTGAGTGCAAACAGCTCTCACGTTTGAGCAGACCAATTATTAGGCAATTTTCCTAACTCTGCTTCTACAAGAGTTTCCTTGTCACTTACTGAATACCCATTGTGTCTTTTTCCCTTAATCTCCTGGGAGGAACCATCTATCATCCTGTCCTGAAGGGAGTTCCTCCTAGGTCTGGTTGGACCTTTGTATGGTAATTAATTAAGATTTAGATCCCCTGTTAGGAATCCTGCTGGGTTAAGGATTTTTGATAGGAAGGCTATGGGTTGTCAGTGGCCTCAGTGCTTTCGGGCTACCCCCTTGTTTACACTAACAATAAGGTGGCATTGGCGTGTTCTAGGTCACAGAGAAGACCTTCAATTATCAATTATAGGTTTTAAATTTACCCTGGCTTTTAAAGGAATAGGGTACACTTTTTTCTTTACTACTTCTCTCTCTCTTTCTTTGACTTTCTGTCTCTCTCTTTCTTTCTCTTTGACTTTGTCTCTTTCTCTCTGACTCCCTCTTTGTCTCTCTGTCTCTTCCTCTCTCTTTCCTTCTCTCTTTCACTTTCTGTCTTTCCCCTCTCTCTCTTTTCTTTGACTTTCTGCTGGTCTTTCCCTGCCTCTGCCAGCCACTTATGCTGCTGTTCTCCCTTCTCCTTCCCCTTTGGCTTTGGCTTTGGCAGTGTAAGACTGCCACCTCCTTGGGTTTTTGCACTGCGTGCAATAACTCTATGATTTCCTTATGGTATTTAATGGGGGTTCCCCCAGAGGTAAGGAACTCCCTTTCTTTCCATATTGCAGCATGGGGATTTAGGATTAGATAAGCATACTTGCTATCTGTATACACATTTATTCTTTTTCCCTTTCCCAGTTCTAAGGCTCAGGTCAGTGCCACTAGTTCTGCTAACTGGGCGCTGGTCTCTGGGGTAAGAGGCTTACTTTCAAGTACTGTTGCATCACTAACTATGGCATAACCTGCCCGTCATATACTATTCTCCACAAATGAACTTCCATCGGTATATAGGTTAAGGTCAGGGTTAGCTAAGGGGACTTCTAAGAGATCCTCTCAGGCGGCATAAGTCTGGACTATAATGTGTTGGCAGTCATGCTCGATTGGTTCCCCATCCTCTGGGAGAAAAGTGGCAGGGTTGAGGGACGCACACATGCATATTTGAAGCACTGGTCGCTCAAGGAGTAGCACCTGGTATCTAAGCAGGCAGTTGCCTGATAGCCATAAACTTCCTTTGGCACCTAGTATGCCATTTACATCATGAGTAGTCCAGACAGTGAGATCCTTTCCTTGTATTATTTTGATAGCCTCTGAAACTAAGATGGCCACTGCCGCAACTACCCATAAACAGTGAAGCCAGCCTTTTTCTACTGTGTCAATTTCCTTACTTAGGTATGCCACTGGTTGTGGGGTTGTCCCACGAGTCTGAGTAAGGACTCCAAGAGCTATTCCTGCTCTCTCTGCGAGGTATAAAGAGAAGTTTTGTCCTGTGGGAAGGCTTAAGGCTGGAGCTTATACTGGGGCCTGCTTTAAAGTTTTGGAGGCTGTTTCTGCCTCTGTTTCCCATTCCACTAGATGAGTATTTGCCCTCTGGGTCCCCTTGATTAGAGTATAGAGGGGCCTGGCTATCTCGCTGTATCTGGGGATCCATAGTTGGCAAAAGCTGTTGATTCCAAGGAACCCCTGCAACTGTTTTAATGTCTTAGGGCGAGGATAAGCCAGTATAGGCTGTATTCGCTCCTTGCTGAGGGCCCTGGTTCCTCTGGCTAAGATTAGGCCTAGATATTTGACTTGTTGTAGGCAGAGCTGGGCCTTTGATTTAGATGCCTTGTACCCTTGATTAGCTAGAAAGTTTAAGAGATCTAGAGTAGCCTGCTGGCATGAGGCTTCTGCACTGGTAGCCAAAAGTAACTTCATATACTGAAGGACTAGAGTGCCTGGATTTGAGAAGTGGCCTAGATCTTGGGCCAGTGCCTGACCAAACAGATGAGGGCTATCCTTGAACCCTTGGGGCAAGATTGTCCATTAAGTTAGGACATGTGGTCTGTGGGATTCTTGAAGGCAAAGAGAAACTGGGAGTCAGAGTGCAGGGGAATACAGAAGAAGGCATCCTTGAGGTCCAGAACAGTGAGCCATTTTGCTTCTTCTAGTATTTGAGAGAGCAGGGTATAGGGGTTGGGTACAACTGGATATAAAGGAATTACTACCTCGTTGATGAGTCTAAGATCTTGCACTAGTCTCCACTGACCATTTGGTTTTTGTACTCCTAGAATTGGGGTGTTGCAGGGACTGCTGCATTTTCTTACTAAGCCTTGAGCTTTTAAATGTCTAACAATATCCTGTAATCCTTTATGAGCTTCAGGCATTAAGGGATATTACCTTTGATAAGGAAAAGTGGTGGGGTCTTTTAGCTTGATTTGGACTGGGCAGGCTTTTTTTGCCCTTCCAAATTGTCCTTCCAGTGCCCAGACTTCAGGGTTGATTCCCTCCTCAAGTAGGGAAAAACAAATGGGTAACTTGTTCCCCATATTCATATAGATAATAGCTCCAGTTTGGCTAATATGTCCCTCTCTAATAAGGGTGTGGGACTTTCAGGCGTAACAAGGAAGGTATTTGAAAAGAGCAAAGTTTCCCAATTACAACTAAGGAGGTGGGAGAAATACCTGGTTACAGGCTGTCCCAGGATTCCTCAGATCATAATGGACCTTGAGGACAGCTGTCTGGGACAGGAGATTAACACTGAGAAAGCCATGCCAGTGTCCAGGAGGAAGTCAATTTCCTGGCCCTCAATGGTTAAACATACCTGGAGCTCAGTGAGGGTGATGGCATGAGCTGGCACTTGCCCCAGGCACCCTCAGTCCTGTTGTTGGATCATCTGGTTGGGGGCTTCTGCCCAGAGAACCTTTGTCCTCTGGGGCAGTGCACCTTCCAGTGATTGCCTCAGCATAGTGGACATGGGTGAGGGGGCAGCTTGTTTCTCATTGGACGATCTTTTTTAAAGTGTCCTTGCAAACCACACAGATAACAAGCCCTACTGGGTGATTGGCCTGTTCCATTTTCTATCCTCTCTGAACCACCAAGGTTTGTTTGTCTGAGGGCGAGGACTAAGGCTGCAACTTTCCCTGATCTCACTTTTCCTTTTTGGCTTGTTCCTCTTGGTCCCTATTATAGAACACCGAGGTTGCCAGGTTTAATAATGCCTCCAGATTTTGTTCAGGGCCCAGGGCTCATTTTTGGAGCTTTCTCCTGATATCTGTGGCTGATTGGGTAATAAACTTATCTTTTAGGATCAATTGACCCTCGAGGGAGTTGGGCAACAGGGGAGTATATTTTGTTAAGGCCTCCCGTAGCCACTCGAGGAAGGCAGAAGGATTTTCTTCCTTTCCCTGAGTTATGGTGGACATCAGTGAATAATTCATGGGCTTTTTCCTTAATTCTCCTTAGCCCTTCTAGAACACAGTTCAACAGATGTTCATGACTCCAGTTCCCATGATCTGAGTCGAGATACCAGTCGGGATTCATACTGGGAACAGCTAGCTGACCAGTAGGGAATTTGTCCCTTTCTTCAGCTGTCATTCAGTCATATACTTGACTAAGATACCAGGCATCTCCAAACTCTCGGGCTGCAGCTAAAGCTGCATTCTTTTCATTAAAGGCCAGGGTTTGATCTAACAATAGCATGACATCTCTCCAAGTGAGGTTGAAGGTTTGCCGTAGACCCTGTAGGACATCTGTTACCTATCAGGATCATCTGAAAACTTTCCCAGGTCTACCTTGATCTGCTTTAAATCAGAGAGGGAGAATGGGACATGTACCTGGGTTGGGCCAAATTCCCCTCCCCCTAAAGCTTGAAGGGGAACACTAACCGATAGCCAGGGGGTTTTTGTGGTCCTTTGGAGATTTCTTTGCTTGTTTCCTTCTGGGCAGGGGAGATTAGAGGAGGCTTATTATTAATAGGAAGGGGAGCTATAGGAAGGCTAGGATATGGAGGTAAGCTGAGAGGTCCTCTTGTGGGATGTAGTTTGCAAGCTTTGCATAGTTGTGGATTCTCCTTCAATGAAAAGAAAGCTTGGACATAAGATATTTCACTCCATTTGCCTTCCCTCTTACAGAAAAGGTCAAGCTGCAAGATAGTATTGTAATTTATACTTCCCTCAAGTGGCCATTTTTCCCCATCAGAGAGAGAATATTGGGGACAGGCCATAGTGCAGAAAAAAATAAGCCACTTCTTTTTCAGGGTTTGTGGGTCAAATTTGTCCCAGTGGCTTAGGATGTATCTCAAGGGTGAGCCTGTTGCTGCCTGAGTGTTTCCCATGTGAAAGAAAAAACTGCCCATGGTTTTGGTTTGTCCCCCCACCCCCTGCCCAAGAACCTGCAACAGTCCCTGGACCCTTCTGATTGGAATAGTTGCACTCACTGACACAGCAGCAGATCCCCCTCTTGCCCAAGAACCCACAAAGGTCCCTGGACCCTTCTGATTGGAATAGTTGCACTCACTGACACAGCAGCAGATCCCCCTCTTGCCCAAGAACCCTCAATGGTCCCTGGACCCTGCTGATCAGAATAGTTGTGCTCACCGAAGCAGCAGCAGAAACTCTAGTTTTCCTCTTAGACCACAAAGAGGACTGAGGAAGGTCGAATTTAGTGGCCCTTACCAATGCATTCTCAAAAACCTGCACCCTCACCTTTCCACTTAGACCACAAAGAGGACCGAGAAAAATTGGATTTAGTGGCCCTTACCGACACATTCTCGAAAACCTGTTAGAGTCCTAAGCCTTTTTTTCCTGTTAGTATTGCGACCTTACCCTTGTCCTCCAAAGGTGATATGCTCCAAAAATTGAGTGGAGGGCCATACCCTGAGGGAGGGAAGGGATTTCTAGGGTTGGAAGAGTGACGCCTTTTGTCCTCACTTCTCATCATGTGGATAGGAAGGATATCATTTCTCAGGCTCCCCATACCCTAGCTTTGGGAATAGCCTTTGTTAGGCCTGCTTTTCTGAGGAGGGATCCTAAAATTCCAGATAGTCTCCCCACCAGTGGGGCTTTGGGCAACAATTACGTCTGTCTGATTGGTGAGCCCAGGTGCCTAAAGAAGGGAACAGAGTCCTGAAGTTTATACTAGAAATCATTCTTACAGGAGAAACTAGAAAAGCACCAGAGACAGGTAGTGGTTTTTAGAAGCAGGACTGGCCTTGGAGAAGAGAGGCGAGAGGAAGTTTGTCTGATAGGCATTAGGACCCAGGAGGCAAGGGTCAGGATAGATAGGATAGATGGGTGAGTCTCGCTTGAGTGACATGACTTTGACAGTTCCGCTCATGGCTGCAGGGTCAACCAGCTTTTTGTTGGGACCCCGGAGCTGAATGGCTTTCTTCTCTGTCGATCCTCGGCTCAGCCCAGAAGTACAGGAAAAGTGGAAACTGGTTCCAGGCAAACCAACACTCCAAACCCTGAAGAGTTGGAGGTTGTTAGAGAGCCCTTTCCCAGAAAGCCTGACACCCGTGTCTTTAGTCTGGCGGCCATGCTAGTCACTTTTAACTGGCCGACAGGTGCCCCATGTTTAGCCCCCGAATTCTACGGAAAAATAGGACAGAAAGGTAAGCAAAAGGGGTCCAGTGGTAATCGCTGCTTGGTGATAGTCCCTTCCTGGTCGCCAAGATGTGTCCGGATTTGGTTCCTTCTGGTGGATTCTTGGTCTTGCTAACTTCAGTAGTGGAGCCGCGGACTTTTGTGGTGAGTGTTACAGCTCTTAAAGGTGGCACAGACCCAAAGAGTGAGCAACAGCAAGATTTATTGTGAAGAGCGAAAGAACAAAGCTTCAACAGTGTGGAAGGGTACCGGAGCAGGTTGCCACTGCTGGCTGGGTTGGCCAGCTTTTATTCCATTATTTATCCCTGCCCATGTCCTGCTGATCAGTCCATTTTACAGAGTGCTGATTGGTCTATTTTACAGAGCACTGATTGGTCCATTTTACAGTGTGCTGATTGGTCCATTTTACAAACTTCTAGCTAGCCACAGAGCGCTGATTGGTGCGTTTTCACAGAGCACTGATTGGCGCATTTTACAAACCTCTAGATAGCCACAGAGCGCTGATTGGTGTGTTTTACAATCCTAGCTACAGAGTGCTGATTGGTGCATTTTACAATCCTCTTGTAAGACAGAAAAGTTCTTCGAGTCCCCACCCAACCCAGAAATCCAGCTGGCTGCACCTCTCAGGCTGATGTCTTGTTTCATCAATAATCATTTTACTTCTGTGTACAGAAGAGACTAACCAGTTTCCATCCACATTATTTGTTGACTATGTCTGATGGATGGCTGACCTCAAATTTTCATTTGTGGTTCATTGTATCTACAAGCATCCATGATCTTTGTATATTGATATAAGCTTCTGTACAAAGTTTTGTTCAAAACATCAAACGAAGCTGCACTCATCTGGACATTCTGATTACATGGTTCCCTGAAGCAATCACTAAAAGAAAGGAGAAGAGCCATGGCAATGATCCCTGAGCAAAACTTCTCTGCTTCTTCTGGAGGCCCCTTCTCCTGCTGCTGAATAGCTTCTCCAACAGTGTTTGCCCTCAAACTCATGGGCTCAAGCCATCTTCCTGCCTCAGCCTCCCAAGTAGCTAGAGCTTCTGGCACGCACCACCTCACTTAGCTCCCTTTTGGATTTAATTGGTAAACCAATTTTGGATTTAAATTTAGATCCAAAAGGTAAACCCTTTGAATGTAATTGCAGATGGTTCTTGAAGGAAGCAGTTAGTAACCCGACATGCCACCATTTTGACTCAGAAATGTCCGTGACTGACATTCACAGTCCCAATCATGGTGATGGGGAGGGGACAGAGAATGAAGAGACAAAGAGGCAGGCAAAGGCACCAACCCACATGAAGTGAAGATTGCTGGCCAGCCAAAAAAAAAAAGAGTCACTCAGAAAAGGGATAAAAATTCACATTTTTCTCAGATGCTCCTCAGAAATATAACTCTAGCATAGGTCTGAACTTAAGGACCTTTTTTAAAAAATTATTTATTTACCTTAAAAAAAAGGCAAGAGAGGCATAATAAGAAGACACTGGCTGAGGATCCTCAGGAATTCTTTTTTATATTCAATATAATATAAACCATTACCATTATTATTCTTTCTGATGTTCAATTTGTCCCAATTTGACCAGTGGGAGCTCTGTCAAGGCAACTCTTGTCCCCCTTTGGTGTGTCCTAATATGAGTATTTTAAATGTTAATGTAAAACATTATTTATTGAAACATTATAACAGATTTTATTATTCCAGCAGAAAAAAGTCTGTTCCTTTGATATTGCCAATGAAAACTTAGAAATAATAAATGTAATCATCTTTCTCCATTTAATTCAACAAAATGAGTAGTGTAAAAAAATGATTTAGTCACTTCATGCATGATGAACTATTAACAACAAACCAAACATCAAACACCTGTGTCTCAGCTGTTCTCAGCTGCATCTGTGTCATTGGTGGTCATTCTGAAAAAAACTGCAACTTTCTAATGAGAGTTAATTATAAAGAGGAAAATTTTCACGGAGCTCTCAGGAAGGTTACTAATGTTCTTGGATGGTGTGTGATGGGTAACAATGATTTATCATTCTACATAGTTGCTGATAAAGCAATACTCAGTGAAGTCTTAACAATTTGTTATCCTTGATGTACAGTATATTATTATTATTTTTTAGTTGGCCATATCATTCATAGCTGAGAAACAGGACACAGCATCTATCAGGCAGAAAGCTTATTTAAAATTGCTACTGCATGCAGTAGTGTATATTTAATCTTTGATTTTCTGTGACTACTGAAGTTAGCTATTTCACCATTTCTGTGTTGAGCGTAAATGCTAGTCTTTTTGAGTGTTTGTTTCCTGGTATTTTGTATAATTATTTAAAATTAATGTTTACCCCTTGGTCTTAGCTACATAAAATTATTTTGTCATCTGAGTATGACTTTCACAAGGAAACACATGATTTTCTTAGTTCCAGCTCCATATGTAGCACTAATAGATATTCAGTAAATATTTGTATAAGGAAACAGATGAAGAATTTAAGAAAGGGAAGAAGATGGAACAGTGTGTGATAGTGTCTAATAAAGATGTACCTTATGTTCTTGGCTGACCTTTACTGGTAGCCAAGCCTCAATCCTTCATTCCTTTGTTGCAAAACCTTACCCTAGGTAAGCTAAAATAGGTAATCAAACAGATGTGGTGGGAGATGTAGAAAAGCCATACAAGACTTTCATTCAAGGTAAAAGGGAAGGAGTCAAGGTAAAGGCTAAGTGAGAAATAACTCTATTGTGAGCATCTAACTTAAAGAGTACCATAGTCATACATATTAAGTATACCAATTCAAAATTAGGGGTTCGCTGTGGTGAAACAGCATTTACAAAATACTGAAGTTCTGAAGCCAGAGATATTTTTCATGAACACTGCTGTCCTGATTTGGTTTTCTTCCTTTGGCTGAAGATGTATCCCTGCTGAGTCTGAATTTGGTGTAGAAATCCAGAAAGCTTAGAGTTTATAGTCGTTCTCCTGGACATAATCACTTGGATTATCAGAGTAAGTTCTTCCAAAACAATGAGGAAACCCTTTATATAAAAATATTAAAAAGCACTTTGACAGAATTAGGCCTTTTCTCAACCTCAGTAAGGCCATAATTATCCAGACATTATCCCAGATGCTCCTGTAGGGAAGGAGAAAAGAAAGCTTATGCTACTGTTGCTGCTGTCAATCTAGGTTGCTGACTTGTTCTTGTTAAAAAAAAAAAAAAAAAATTAGGAGCTCACATCATGTTTCTTCCTTACCTGTAATCCTACGAGTGGTTTCTTGATAAGGTTCCAATTTAATTTAGGAGCAATATCCACTCATAGCTATTGTATCTTATTGACTGAAATTATTTCATAGCACTCATCATTACCTGAATGATTAATTATAAACAATGTACATTCATTTGATAATTTAATGATTGGTCTCATCTTCCATTAGAATACAGGTTCCATGAAGGCAAGAACTTTGTCTTGTATACGATTGTGTCACTAACCCCAGGAAATTTAGCCTGGTGTGAAGTAGATGGTTATTGTTGAATGAAATACTGCTATTTACCTGATTTATGGGCTAAAAAGCATATGGACTCTGTCCTGTTCTTTACTCCATCCATTTACCTGAAGCAGAGTACAACATTCTCCTCGCGGAAAAAGGCAACAAAGATTTATTTGGGGCATCCTTATGGGGATGAATGATGAATTGGGGGTAAAGTGAGATATTTGCCATGGTAACTGAATTCTCTGTCTTTATTCTGAGCATCTTACCTCTTGCTCTATATTCTTAACCTCAAACTTCAATTTTTTAAATGAACTGAAATATACCAGTTTTGGCTTCCCTTCTCTATTATTCTTCATTGTTATTTTGCTCTTCTGTGTATATGTGGGAGAGGAAAGAGCGTTGGATTTCCACTTTGCAGCACTCAACATTTGCTTGGATCAAGAGATGGCTTACTCCATGTGAAATGCAAGTCATTTTTATAGGCCAATTGAAGAAACATTTTTTTCTGCTGAGTATCCTGCTGAAAGATTTGTATAGAATTCAGTTTATTTCCATTATTACAGCCCTCAACCTATTCATAATTGGATATCTTCTATAGTCCTGTTATTTCTAACTAGCAGGTAATTCATCCTAGCAATTTAGTCAGCAATAGTAGATATGGCTCTAAGATGTGAACCACAGAGAAAGATAATTCAAATTGTAAAAGAGAGAAAACCCCCTTTAGAAGTTCCATCCTCCAAAGTAAGAGATGAAAATGCTTCTAGACTTTAAACTCTGGATTTTCTCCAATAAATTAATCAAGCTCTTCTGATTTCCAACACTGCCTCACTTAGGATTACACCTAGTTATGTATTTACCCAACTTGAGTTTCATAAATAACTACCTGTGCCTTTGTAAAAATTCCTAATATAAGAATTCCAAAGAAATGGATCTAAACACGAGTGTTAGGGCTTTTGATAGAAGGGAACCTGAAGTGAAAAGTGAGCACAAGATTGCATTTCATAATCTAGCAAAAGGAAAAAGTAAAGGCACAAGAAAGAGTACTAAATAGGAAAAGAAAATCTTCATAATGTCCTTGATGATGTTACTATTATAAATAATTTCAACATCCAAAGCCCTTCATTATCTTAAAATCAAATTATGATGATAATTTTTCAGTAATGTACTCATTGTTCTGGCTATACATTGAATCATGCTTAATATGCATATTTATGCTTACGTGCATTTGCTAATAATGTTCCGTCTACCTGGAATTCTTTTCTCTGTCTCTTTCTCCATCTAGTAAAATCATCTTAATATCTTCAGCTTATATAAAGTATATGGTATCGTCTCATGTATAGATATGAAAACAAAAGTTAATAAAGTTTAATTTGATTTAATTTACCAATTTAATAGCAATTGGCACTAAGTCTACACTGGCATAAAATAAAATGTTTGACTTAAACATATTTCTGGATAGAGAAGCTATGGTCAAGGAAATGTGAATTATAATTTATTTATGGATCCCTCTTTCGCTTAACTTTGCTCTACGTCAGATTTTGTGGTGAACATTAAAAGAATGATGAGGACACTGGTGATTATCTCTCCTATTTAACAATAGGAAAAATTATCAGCTCTTGGGGCTTAGAAAAGCTCATTCCAGAAGTCATACTCTGAGCCCTATGTAGCCTGTCTGGAATCCTCTGTTTTGCCTTTAGCTTATCAACCAGCTAACCCACCTACCTATATTATTCTCTGCTCTTTGTCCATTGTCCTGTTTTATCTGTCAAATAGCTAACAAAAATCAGAATAAATTGTGCCCAGGAATGCGCCACAACTCAAGCATGCCCAAGAATTTCACGTAGTCCAGAACTCCTGGGGAAAAAATCCAAATAAAAGCAAATTGACAACCATGCAAGATAATGACAATAGTAATGATACTAACAACAACAATGACAAACAATAAAAAATGCTGTTTTGGTTACTGTAGCCTTGTAGTATAGTTTGAAGTCAGGGAGCGTGATGCCTCCAGCTTTGTTCTTTTGGCTTAGGATTGACTTGGCAATGTGGGCTCTTTTTTGGTTCCATATGAACTTTAAAGTAGTTTTTTCCAATTCTGTAAAGAAAGTCATTTGGTAGCTTGATGGGGATGGCATTGAATCTATAAATTACCTTGGGCAGTATGGCCATTTTCACGATATTGAGTCTTCCTACCCATGAGCATGGAATGTTCTTCCATTTGTTTGTATCCTCTTTTATTTCATTGAGCGGTGGTTTGTAGTTCTCCTTGAAGAGGTCCTTCACATCCCTTGTAAGTTGGATTCCTAGGTATTTTATTCTCTTTGAAGCAATTGTGAGTGGGAGTACACTCATGATTTGGCTCTCTGTTTGTCTGTTATTGGTGTATAAGAATACTTGTGATTTTTGTACATTGATTTTGTATCCTGAGACTTTGCTAAAGTTGCTTATCAGCTTGAGATTTTGGGCTGAGATGATGAGGTTTTCTAGATACACAATCATGTCATCTGCAAACAGGGACAATATGACTTCCTCTTTTCCTAATTGAATACCCTTTATTTCCTTCTCCTGCCTAATTGCCCTGGCCGGAATTTCCAACACTAGTTGAATAGGAGTGGTGAGAGAGGGCATCCCTGTCTTGTGCCAGTTTTCAAAGGGAATGCTTCCAGTTTTTGCCCATTCAGTATGATATTGGCTGTGGGTTTGACATAGATAGCTCTTATTATTTTGAGATACGTCCCATCAATACCTAATTTATTGAGAGTTTTTAGCATGAAGGTTGTTGAATTTTGTCAAAGGCCTTTTCTGCATCTATTGAGATAACCATGTGGTTTTTGTCTTTGGTTCTGTTTATATGCTGGATTACATTTATTGATTTGTGTATATTGAACCAGCCTTGCATCCCAGGGATGAAGCCCACTTGATCATGGTGGATAAGCTTTTTGATGTGCTGCTGGATTTGGTTTGCCACTATTTTATTGAGGAGTTTTGCATCAATGTTCATCAAGGATATTGGTCTAAAATTCTCTTTTTTGGTTGTGTCTCTGCCTGGCTTTGGTATCAGGATGATGCTGGCCTCATAAAATGAGTTAGGGAGGATTCCCTCTTTTTCTATTGATTGGAATAGTTTCAGAAGGAATGGTACGGGTTCCTCCTTGTACCTCTGGTAGAATTCGGCTGTGAATCCATCTGGTCCTGGACTCTTTTTGGTTGGTAAGCTATTGATTATTGCCACAATTTCAAAGCCTGTTATTCATCTATTCAGAGAGTCAACTTCTTCCTGGTTTAGTCTTGGGAGGGTGTATGTAACCAAAACAGCACGGTACTGGTACCAAAACAGAGATATAGATCAATGGAACAGAACAGAGCCCTCAGAAATAACGCCGCATATCTACAACTATCTGATCTTTGACAAACCTGAGAAAAACAAGAAATGGGGAAAGGATTCCCTATTTAATAAATGGTGCTGGGAAAACTGGCTAGCCATACGTAGAAAGCTGAAACTGGATCCCTTCCTTACACCTTATACAAAAATTAGTTCAAGATGGATTAAAGACTTAAACATTAGACCTAAAACCATAAAAACCCTAGAAGAAAACCTAGGCATTACCATTCAGGACATAGGCATGGGAAAGGACTTCATGACTAAAACACCAAAAGCAATGGCAACCAAAGCCAAAATTGAAAAATGGGATCTAATTAAACTAAAGAGCTTCTGCACAGCAAAAGAAACTACCATCAGATTGAACAGGCAACCTACAAAATGGGAGAAAATTTTCACAACCTACTCATCTGACAAAGAGCTAATATCCAGAATCTACAATGAACTCAAACAAATTTACAAGAGAAAAACAAACAACCGCATCAAAAAGTGGGCAAAGGACATGAACAGACACTTCTCAAAAGAAGACATTTATGCAACCAAAAAACACATGAAAAAATGCTCACCATCACTGGCCATCAGAGAAATGCAAATCAAAACTACAATGAGATACCATCTCACACCAGTTAGAATGGCAATCATTAAAAAGTCAGGAAACAACAGGTGCTGGAGAGGATGTGGAGAAATAGGAACACTTTTACACTGTTGGTGGGACTGTAAACTAGTTTAACCCTTGTGGAAGTCAGTGTGGCGATTCCTCAGGGATCTAGAACTAGAAATACCATTTGACCCAGCCATCCCATTACTGGGTATATACCCAAAGGACTATAAATCATGCTGCTGTAAAGACACATGCACACATTTGTTTATTGCAGCACTATTCACAATAGCAAAGACTTGGAACCAACCCAAATGTCCAACAATGATAGACTGGATTAAGAAAATGTGGCACATATACACCATGGAATACTATGCAGCCATAAAAAATGATGATTTCTCACTCATAGGTGGGAATTGAACAATGAGAACACATGGACACAGCAAGGGGAACATCACACTCTGGGGACTGTTGTGGGGTGGGGGCAGGGGGGAGGGATAGCTTTAGGGGATATACCTAATGCTAAATGACGAGTTAATGGGTGCAGCACACCAGCATGGCACATGTATACATATGTAACTAACCTGCACATTGTGCACATGTACCCTAAAACTTAAAGTATAATAATAATAAAATAAAAAAAGAAGAAAAAAAACAATAAAAAATACTAAAGTGAAGGCAGAACATGTTTTCCCTAGTTATAATGTTTTCATTCTTCACATTTCTATTTGTTCTTGAAGAAAACTATCTTTGAGTTCTATTTGTACATTTTGGGGATAACATCTTTTCTTAACATGATGAACCAAGCATAATTAGAAAAAGTAAAACCCACATAATGACTTCAAAATAAAGAGAAATTAGAGCTTGTCATTTTAAGCAATGACTTTATTTTTAAGCACAAATGGCAGTGTATAAATAAATAATAGTTATGACAAGATGAAACAGTGAGTTTAAACAAAGATGGGCACACCACCCAAATAGAGTTTCATCGAGGAAAAATGTAGCTGTAGCTAAATTAATCAACATTTACCTTATTTATTCTAAAGCAATCTTGTGTTCTGTTTTTTTCCATCTAGAGCTAGATTTATGCTTTTGTTTCCTATTGACAAAGATTGACTAAATATTGCCCAAGTGTAATTTTCCTGTAGCATTAATTATAAATGTCTTGCTGGAATAATGTGAAAGCAGAAACTCATTTGGAAAGCTGATCACCTAGACTGCATACTAATAAATTTAAACCAACAGATGAGAAACTCACCCCTTTCTCACAAATAAAAATATCTTTCTTGGTTCAACTGAGTTCACATATCACAAATCCACAGTCTAGCACTTAATTTCCATAATACATTAATATTATTAATATGTATTAAATGCATTTAAACTCTGTTACAAACCATGCTAGGCTCTAGAGTACATCACATCCACATCAAAACTGTTAAACAAATTGTGATTCTATAATTCAGATAAGATACTCATCTGCTTGATGTACAGTATTTAATTAAATCTTAAGTAGAAAAAAGAAGATGGAGAGGATAGACACATACATATGCTCGCATATGTATGAGTGCAAGTAAAACTGGGGAAAACTGAAGATCCTTGTATTGTATTACTGCCAGTTTTCTGGTTGTGATATTCTGTGATTGCTTGCAAGACGTTACTTACCGTTGGGGGAAACTGGGTGAAGGATGCACAGGCTCTTTCTGTATTTTTTCTTACAACTACATGTGACTGTAAAATTGTCTCAAAATAAAAAGTTTACTGAAAATATGTGAGAAAAAATATCTTGTATTTGGCAGAGAGAAAAAGGGAGCTTTGGGAAATGGGAGTTAAAGAGGATCAAAATAGAAGGACTTAAAATCACTGACATATTAGGGCTGCATTCAAATGTCAAGAATGCTTATTCAAAGTAGATAGTTTAGAAGGTCCTATAAAATTTTATTTGACTCCGGCATGAAGCTTCCCTGGCTAAAGTCAACAGCTTCAACAGCTTATGTAATTTTACTTTCAGGAATGTTCCTATGGATTTCCTGGTTTTGTTTTGTTTTGTTTTGTTACTTAAGCTGTAATAAGGTCAGTTCCAACATAAGCTTATCCTAAATCATCCTTGTTGCTTTCAGCTTCAATGGCCATGACAGGAGGTAGAAATTAGCAATGTATATAACTGAGAAAAATGTGAAAGACTTATCTAATCTGTTGGTTGTATCTTTTCTATTCATGTTGATAGTTTTGAAATTTATAAGTAAGAAAATTTATAAATTTTATATAGATGTACATTGTCTCTAAAATCATCTATGATTTTAATGTAACTTCAATTAAAGATACCAAGATTATTATGGAAAAGTCTCACCAAAATTAATATTTTTGCTTTTGCAAAAAGGGGAGGTTTATTTTTTAAACATTTCAGATTCATGGGGTACCTATGATCCTATCACTGAAGTAGTGAACATAGTACCCAATAAGTAGTTTTTCAACCCTTGTCTCCATCTCTCCCTCCCTCCTTTTGAAATCCCATGTTTATTGTTCCCATATTTGTGTTTGTGGTGTTTAGCTCCCAGTTTTTTTTTGTTTTTTTTTTTTTGAGATGGAGTTTTGCTCTTATTGCCCAGGCTGGAGTGCAATGGCACGATCTCCGGCTCACTGCAACCTCTGCGTCCCGGGTTCAAGTGATTATCCTGCCTCAGCCTCCCGAGTAGCTGGGATTACAGGCATGTGCCACCACACTCAGCTAATTTTGTATTTTTAGTAGAGACAGGGTTTCTCCATGTTGGTCAGGGTGGTCTTGAACTCCCGACCTCGGGTGATCCACCCGCCTCAACCTCTCAAAGTGCTGGGATTACAGGTGTGAGCTGCCGTGCCCAGCCTTAGCTCCCACTTATAAGTGAGAACATACACTAGTTGGTCTTCTGTTCCTGTGTTAATTCACCTAGGATAATGGCCTGCAGCTCTATTCATAGTGCTGCAAAGGACATAATTCATTATTTTTTTGTGGCTGTGTAGTATTCTATGATGTATATGTGTCACATTTTCTTTATCCAATCCACCACTGATGGGCACTTAAGTTGATTCCATGTCTTTGGTATTGTGAATAGTGTTGCAATAAACATACAAGTGCAGGTGTCTTTTTGGTAGAATGATTTATTTTCCTTTGGGTATATACCTAGTAATTGGATTGCTGGGTTGAATGGTAGTTCTATTTTTAGTTCCTTGAGAACTCTCCAAACCATTTTCCACAGGGGCTGAACTAATTTACTGTATTAGTCCATTTTCAAGCTGCTATAAAGAATATCTGAGACTGGGTAATTTATAAACAAAAGAGGTTTAATTGACTCACAGTTCTTCATGGCTGGGGAGGCCTCAGGAAATTTACAATCATGGCAGAAGGTAAAATGGCAAAGGAGCCAGCTGGTTCCCATACTTGTTTTATTAAAAGTATTTACTAAATATCATATCCCACCAAAGAAATAATATCACACACACAGATATACGCAGAAATGCAAACACACAGAAAACTATGAAAAATGGCAGAAAATGTAATAAAATGACTTCTTGGTGTCAAGTAGAAAAATCAGATGTTTGTAGATTTTGGTTGTTAACTGAATGTGTGTGTTTCATATACAAGCAAACATGAGAACTTAAGTATACATGCCAAACCAGACTTAAAATTTTGTTCCATTTTTCTAACAATACTAGGAATCCTAATATTACATATTGACTAATGATACTCACTGTTTTGCTTCCTTTCATGTTTGTTTTACTCAAAATGCCCCTATTTAGCCCCTGGCCTAAAGGCTGGTACCTGAGACACTGGGTAAGAAGAGCCTGATGTCTTCCAGCCTGTGCACAAAAACCCTGATGTCTTGTACCTCCTGATACTCAGTTGTTCTCATCTCTACAGAATGGATCTATGAAAGAAATACAAATCTGAAACTTTCAGAAGGAAATTTTTTTTCCTCTGAATACACACACACATACAAACACACACTATACACTACACAAAACAAATATATTCTACTACAAGTATACTACACAAGTATAGTATACAATTATACTATATATTACACAAATTGTGTTTGTATAGTATACATACAGTACACAAACACAAATACACACATATCTTCTTTACATGTTTATATATAATTATTTACAAGTACATTCTATAATATATAATAGTATCTATTATATCTTCTTGATATATTTAAAAGTATTCATTTGCAAAAGTTATACATAACTTATGGAAAGACTAGAAATGGAATGACTAAATTCAATATGAGTAAAGCAATGAAAAAAGTCTAATAAAAGTAAGGAATGTAGAAAACTAAAATGATACAATGGAAGGCCAAAAATAGAGGAAAAATAAGAATATGTTCTTTATTATAAATAAATAAGAAATATGGCAGAAATAACAATAAGCATATAGATAAACAAAAGAATAACAGTATTATCATACTGTTTTGCTTTCTTTCATGTTCCTTTCACCCAAAATATCCTTACTGAGACCCTCGGTTAAAGAATGAGGTCTGGGAATTAGGAAGAACTTGATAGCTTGCCCAGATGCCTTAATAAAATGAATAGTCAGACCTTAATATTTGATAAAATAATAACAATTAAAAACTTTTAACACACCATTTTAAAAAATTTTAAAGTAAATAGATGTTTTTTATTTGCTCTCTTTTATTAAATCTAGATGATCTAATTCTATAGAATCCATGATTAACTTTTATTTTTCACTCCGGTTGCTGCTCACATGTATCTTTCAGAAAGTGGCTTTTCCTGGCCTTCTCATTTCTTTTTTCTTTTCTTTTCTTTTTTTTTTTTTTTTTTTTGTCACCCAGGCTGGAATGCAGTGGCATGATCTCGGCTCACTGCAAGCTCCATCTCCTGGGTTCATGCCATTTTCCTGCCTCAGCCTCCCGAGAAGCTGGGACTACAGGTGCCTGCTACCAAGCCCGGCTAATTTCTTTTGTATTTTTAATAGAGATGGGGTTTCACCGTGTTAGCCAGGATGGTCTCGATCTCCTGACCTCGTGATCCACCCACCTCGGCCCCTCAGAGTGCTGGGATTACAGGCGTGAGCCACTGTGCCCAGCCTTGGCCTTCTCATTTCTATTGCACTTCCCCTCAATTTCTTTCCCATGCTTTATCTTTAGGATCTCAATAGCACTTGGCTATTATGTGTTTATTAATTTGTATATTCTTTGTCTTTCCCACTGGTTTGCAGTCTCCAGAATGCAGTGCTTAATCTGGCTCCTGGGGAGGGAGGGATGGCAGCTCTCTTCTGAGAAACAAAAAAAGCAGGCAATAAAATCATTCTAGGTCCTCTCTAATCCAGTGATTCATCTCCACAGGGGGTCCCATACACTTTAATTAGTCTTTGCTGAGGGATTTTTAAGTGCCAATATCCCATTCCTACCTCCAAGCTAAAATAAAAAGGATCCAGATTTAGAATACCAGATTCTCTTCTAGAAGCTGTCTAGACTATACATTTATGTGTAGAGTACATTTTGCCTTCAAATGGGATGGAGGCATCCCTGCTATGGTATAAGGGGGTAGGAACCTCTGCTTGATACAAGGTCAGGGAAGGCTGACCTGTTTATCTTTTGCAGACAATTTTTCCTATCACTCAATTTGTACCCTTCATCCAAGCCCTGCTGTATGAATCCCCTTCCACTATTGGCAATTTCTGTGTACTCTGAACCTTTGTGCTCCCCAGAAATGCTTATTAATTAATATGATCCCATATGCTTCCTCCCTTCCAGAAATTTATGACATCCCTGCTTTCCTTCCCATTTGTCACTTTTATAAATCTATAACAATTTTTAGCTTTTTTGAAGTATATTTTATATAAAAAATGCACTAAAATATGTTAAGAGGACAGATTTTATGTTGTATTCTTACACACACACACACACACACACCTCATGCTGCTAATAAAGACATACCCGAGACTGGGTGATTTATAAAGAAAAAGAAATGTAATAGACTCACAGTTTCACATGGCTGGGGAGGCCTCACAATCATGGCAGAAAGCGAAGGAGGAGCAAAGACACATCTTAGATGGCAGCAGGCAAGCGCATCTGCAGGGAACTCCCCTTTATAAAACCATCAGATCTCATGAGACTTATTCACTATCATGAGAACAGCATGGGAAAAACCCACCCCCATGATTCAATTACCTCCCACCGGGTCCCTCCCATGACACATAGGGATTATTACAATTCAAGGTGAGATTTGGGTGGGGACACACAGCCAAACCATATTATTCCACCCCTGGCCTCTCCCAAATCTCATGTCGTCACATTTCAAAACCAGACATACCTTCCCAACAGTCCCCCAAAGTCTTAACTCATTTCAGCATTAACTCAAAAGTCCACAATCCAAAGTTTCATCTGAGATAAGGCATGTCCCTTCTGCCTATGAACCTGTAAAGTCAAAAGCAAGTTAGTTATTTCCTAGATACAATGGGAGTACAGGTATTGGGTAAATACACCAGTGACAAATGGGAGAAAATGGCCAAAATGAAGGCACTACAGGGCCCATGCAAGTACAAAATCCAATAGGGCAGTCATTAAACCTTAAATTTACAAAATGATCTCCTTTAACTCCATGTCTTATATCCAAGTCATACTGATGCAAGAGGTGGGCTCCCATGGCCTTGGGAAGCTCTGCCCCTGTGGCTTTGCAGGGTACAGCCTCCCTCCTGGCTGCTTTCATGGGCTGGCATTGAGTGGCTGTGGCTTTTCCAGGTGCATGGTGCAAGCTGCCCATGGATCTACCATTCTGGGTTCTGGAGGATGGTGGCCCTCTTCCCACAGCTCCACTAGGCAGTGTCCCAGTGGGGGCTCTGTGTGGGGGCTCCAACCCCACATTTCCCTTCTGTACTGCCCTAGCAAAGGTTCTCCATGAGGGCCCTGCCCTGGTAGCAATCTTCAGCCTGAACATCCAGGCATTTCTAATCATCTCCTGAAATCTAGGCAGAGGTTCCCAAACCTCAATTCTTGACTTCTGTGCACCTACAGAGTCAACACCATGTGGAAGTTGCCAAGGCTTGGGGCTTGCACCCTCTGAAGCTACAGCCCAAGCTGTACCATGGCCCCATTTAGCCATGGCTGGAGCTGCTGGGATGCAGGGCACCAAGCCCCTAGGCTGCACACAACAAGGAAGTCCTGGAACCGGCCCAGGAAACCAATTTTTTCCTCCTAGGCCTCTGGCCCTGTGAAAGAAGGGGCTGCTGCAAAGGTCTCTGACATGCCCTTGAGACATTTTTCCCATTGTCATCATAATTAGCATTTGACTCCTTGCTACTTATGCAAATTTCTGTAGTTGGCTTGAATTTCTTTCCAGAAAATGGGTTTTTCTTTTCTATTGCATCCTTAGGTTCCCAATTTTCTTATGCTCTGCTTTCTCTTGAATGCTTTGCCACTTAGAAAATTTTTCCCCCAGATACCCTAAATCATATCTCTCAAGTTCAAAGTTCCACAGATCTCTGGGATAGGGGCAAAATGCCACCAGTCTCTGCATAGCAAGAGCGACCTTTACTCCAGTTTCCAACAAGTTCCTCATCTCCATCTGAGACCAACTCAGCCTGGAACTTATTGTCCATATCACTGTCAGCATTTTGGTCAAAGCCATTCAACAAGTCTCTAAGAAGTTCCAAACTTTCCCACATCTTCCTGTCTTCTTCTGAGCCCTCAAAGTCTCTAGGAAGTCCCAAAGTTTCTCACATTTTCCTATCTTCTTTTGAGTTCTCCAAACTGTTTCAACCTCTGCCTGTTACCCAGTTCCAAAGTCACTTCCACATTTATAGCAGCAACCCACTACCTGGTACCAATTTACTGTATTAGTCTGTTCTCATGCCACTATTAAAGACATACCAAAGCTGGGTAATTTATAAAGAAAAAGAGGTTTAATGGACTCACAGTTTCACATGGCTAGGGAGGCCTCACAATCATGGTGGAAAGTTCAGGAGGAGCAAAGGCACATCTTACATGGTGGCAGGCAAGAACATGTGCACGACACTCCCCTTTATAAAACCATCAGATTTCATGAGACTGATTCACTATCACAAGAACATCACAGGAAAAAACTACCCCCATGATTCAATTACCTCCCACTGGGTCCCTCCCATGACACATGGGGATTATTACAATTCAGCATGAAATTTGGGTAGGGACAAATGGCTAAATCATATCACACACACATGCACATACCACAAGAGAGAACAAGAAAATTTCAGAATCTACAACTTATGTATATCTTCTATCTATATGTATTTTCCATCATTTTTTGTAACTTCTACTGTACCAGGTTGTATACTTTGTTTTTTTTTATTGTTTGTTTGTTTTGACAAGGAGGTGAAGCAAGTTCATGCACTTGTCCACCATCTTAAATAGAAAGTCTCTTGCAATAAAAAAGGTTCTTCTTATTTATAAATATATATTTTATACTTTTGCACATCTTTGGTTTCTCTCATTTTATCCTAGACTGGCAAAGAATGCATTCTACTACTAATTCAAAATTCATCTTATAGTTTCCTGCTTTTGTCTTTGTTAATTTGATTTCTGAGATTCTTTTGTATATCTGAAATAATTTTTATTAATTTTTAGAGTTAAATGCATTATTAAATTATTGCCATTTTACTGTTCAGTAATGAAAACATTTAGATACATTAAGTATTATTTAAAGTTTATTATACATGTAGCTCTGTGACATTACTTCAGACATGTAACAGTGTCATTGTCTTTACTTACCAAGGAGTCTAACATTTTACATTTTTCCTAATTTTCCAAAGTATTATTTGGTTACTTCTTTCACACTGTTTTTCTTCAAAGTATATGATGGCTTAATTCAATTTGTTAGTATTGAATTTTATTCTTGTACATTATGAACATTTTCCCTGAGAAATTACATTTTTTATCATATTTAGTGAACACATTTTCAACATATATCTAAACTTAGTTCTATTTATGAATGGTTTTAAAACCAGCCAAATTTTCTTTTAAAATTAATTTTCTTTTTTATTGTTTTTATACTGACTTATCTCTTAGAAATGTTTTTGTTTTTCTCAAGAGAAATTTATGATGGTATTATGTTTTCTGATCTTTTTCCTATCTGAGATTATAAAACTTTTATGAGTTTTAATTTTGTGGTCACATTCTCCCCTCAAACATGATAGAAGTCAGAGATGGAGACACGAAATTGGAAGTCATCATCATGATGAGACCATGTATGCAGTTGAAATTTTATGTAACGTGTAAGTACTGAGAGACTAGAATAAGGCTGAAAGATGAAACCATAAGAAACAACTTTTAAGAAGTTGAAAGAAAAGCATGATCCTTGGAAGGTATAGAGGGGTAAAAGTGATCAAAGAACAAAGAGGAGACTAAAGATTTCAAAAAATATCTGGTCAGCAATGTCAATATCTGTTGAAAAGTCAAGAAAGGTAAAGACAGAAAAGGCTTCAAGGAAGCTAAAAATTGGGAGGCCTTTGGCTACTATAGCAAGATCAATAAAAGTAGAGCAAGAATAAAGTCAGATCGCAGGGTATGAAGAGTTGAATGTGAATTAAGGTAGAATATATTGCAGTTTCAAGAAATAAGTCTGTATTATGAAACAAATAAGAAAATGTTTGGGAAAGGTAAATAGATCTGCTCAAGAGAGCAATTATATTTGTTCTTCTTAGGGTTCTGTTGGGTTTGGTTGGTTTTAAGACAGGGAAGTTTTGAGCACAATACCTTTCCTGAGACCTCAGGAAAAAAGCCAGGAAGAGGATCAGGTTGAAGAAATGTGGAGATGGTTACTTTGAGATTATTTGAAGAGGTGAGAGCAAGAGTATAGCTATTGATTAGTAGCAATACCTTAAGCAGGGAGAAGAAAATCCCCTTCTCTTAAATGGCTAGGATACACTTTACAATGGTTGCAAATGCAGGTAGTTTGGGTGGAGAAATGACTAGTAAATTCAAGTCTGAAAAACTCAGGTTTCTGCATAAGGTACAAAGGTGAATTATCTGATAAAGACAGAGGCATAAGTGAGGTGTAGAATTAGCATTTTTGGAAATTATAATAGCAAAAAGCATACAATGTATTTCTGAATGGCTCTGAAACATCACTTGACATTAGAGATTGCAAATTTCTTAGAGGCACCAGGACACACAAATTGCTATTCTTCAGTAAAGCTGAGGAATCCAAGAGTAGTAACAGAAAGCAGGATTCTGAATTTATCTAAAATTAGTGTTTGCAAGGTATATATAGGTGATAGACAAAGAGATAATGGTGTTGATGATGCTAGTAAGATGTGGTTTATCATTCACCATGGAATCTGAACCTGCAAAAGAATGATACGAAGCCAGAAGTTGGGTGATAGATTAATGTAATGAGTTAATAGACTAGACATACAACAGAGAATAAAAGGTAGGTACAGTGAGATTAAACTGTGAGAAAACTAGAGGAATAAGGAATTACAGACAAAGGCTGTACATTATGCCAGTTCTTTTCAGACTTAATGAGCATAGGAATTACATGGGGATCAAGCTAAAATGCAGATTCCGATTCACTAGATTGGGGATTGGTCAGAAGTATTTGCAATTCTAGCAAGCTCCCAGGTGATGCTCCTGTTCCATGGACCACATTTTGAATAGCCAGAATCTAGGTGATCTATTCATGTCAGACTTTTGAATTCATGATTAATAAAAAGTAATTGGTTTGATAGTTCTTGAACTCAGTATTTTCCGTAAGCATATACTATAAGTACTTCATTTTGGTCCTTTTGGAAGGTAATAGACAAATGGAAATTTTTCCTTTTGTAACGTCTTTATTGAGAAATAATTCATTAATGTCTCATAAAATTCACCAATTAACATGCATAATTTGATGGCTTTTGGTAAATTTAGAGTTACACAAATATCACCATAAGTTTAGAGTATTTTTATCACTCACAAAAGAAATTCTATGTATAAGCAATCACTCTTCATTCCATTCCCCTTAACTCCAAATCCCCCAACCCTTGAGAACTATACTTCATATACATATATAACTTCATATATATGAAGTACAGTTTGCTTGTTTTGTTTAACCCTTTGAGGAACTGCCAGACTGTTTTCCAAAGATGCTGTACCACTTTACATTCCCACCAGCCATGTACAAGGCTCTACATCCTCTCTACCACATAACATTGTCAGTCTTTTTGGTTATGGCCATCCTAATGGTTGTGAAGTGGTATCTCATTTTCGTTTGATGTGCATTTCCCTAATGACCAATGGCATTTACTATCTTTTCATGTTCTTATTGGCCATTCTGCATATATTGTTTGCAAAAACATCTATTCAAATATTTTGCCCTTTTTAATATTTTTTGTCCATTTATTATTGAGTTGTGAGCATTCTTTATATATTCTGGATACAGATTCTTATCACAGATAACTTTTGCAAATATTTTCTCTCATACTTTGGGTTATCTTTTTACTTTCTTGGCATTATCCTTTGAAGCACAAAAGTTTTAAAATTTTGATGAACTCCAATTTATCTATTCCTTTTTCATTGCTGGTGCTTTTGGTGTCATAACTAAGAAACAATTGCTTAAACCAAGGTTACAAAGTTTTCTCACATATTTTCTAAGGATTTTATTACATTTATACCTATAATCCATTTTGAGTTAATTTTTGTGTATGGTCTGAAGTAAGAACCCAACTTCATTCGTTGATATCTAGTTGTCTTTGCACCATTTGTTGAACAGATTATTCTTTCTCTAGTGAATGGTCTTGACACTCTTGTAGAAAATGAGTTGGCCATATATGTATGAGTTTATTTCTGACCTCAATTCTATTCCACTTATCTGTTTGTCTGTCCTTATGCCAATACTACATTGCTTTGATTACTGTATCTCTGCAGTAGGTTTTGAAATTGAGGAGTGTGAGTCCTCCAACTTCTTTTGCCTGATTGTTTTGGGTATTTAGGGACCTTGGCATTTCCACATGAATTTTATAATCAAGTCTTCAGTGTTTACAAAAAAGCCTGCTGAGATTTTGATGGAGATTGTGTTGAAACCATAGATCAATTTGGGAAACATTTTCATATTTAAAAAATTTACCTCTTATGATCCATGTGCATGAAATTTTTTCAATTTGTTTAGATCTTTAATTTCTTTCAACAACTTTTTTTTAAGTTCTAAGTGTACCAGTCTTGCACTACCTTTTAAAATCTTTTCTAAGCATTCAATTCTCTTTAATGTTATATAAAAGTGTTTCTTTAATTTCAGTTTGGGATTAATTGCTAGTATACAAAAATACAATTTTTATTTTACATGAATCTCACAACATCGCTGAACTCATTTATAAATTTTACTAGTTTTTGGTGAATTCCTTAAAATTTATTTTGACCTTTTTTTTTCAGAGGTAACTTTTGATGGGTCTAGAAAAAATGAAGGAAGGTCAGAGTCTTGGCCCAGAAGCATTTCTCTATATAAGAATATGATGCTGCCTCTAGAGTTAGTGTTGAACGACTTGCTTCCTCCAGAGAAGTATTTGAGTGTTTATGTCTGATGATCTGAGAGATATGGAAATGATCAGTATCACTCAGTGCTTTCTAAATGCAGCATTTTTTTCAGTGTCATAACCTTTGAAGGGAGTCACTGATGTGGAAAAACAGTAAAGCTCATTTGGAGTGAGAATGTCAAAAGTTGTTTGATATTGAAATCCAACTGTGACTTTCTATCAGTAAGAATGCATTCATTCTGATAGTGACCTGGTCTGTATTTCCTGCTTTCCTATACGTTGTAGGAAAGAGTAGATGAATTGGACATATTTAGGATATAATTCTATTAAAGAACAAGTTCCCTTGAGCACAGAGATGCATAATTAGTTTTTGGATCTTCACAGCATCTATTTCTTATTTTCATATATTTAAGTCATCAAGAGTGCCTATTGACTGAATCAAATAAAAAGTTATCATGCACCTTAATTTAAGTACTGATGATTTTTCTTTTTTTTTTCGAGCATTTACTTAAAAAAAAAGTGTTATTTTAGGTTCAGAGGTACATGTGCAAGTTTGTTATATAGGTAAACTTGTGTCATGGGAGTTTGTTGTACAGATTATTTCAAGACCCAGGTACTAAGCCTAGTACCCATTAGTTATTTTTTTCTGATCCTCTCCCTCCTCCCACCCTTCACCCTCAGGTAGGCCCCAGTGTCTATTGTCTCCCTCTTTCTGTCCATGTCTTCTCATCATTTAGCTCCGACTTACAAGTGAGAACATGTGGTATTTGATTGTCTGTTCTTGCATTAGTTTGCTAAGGATAATGGCCTCCAGCTCCATCCATGTTCCTGCAAAAGGCATGATCTCGTTCCTTTTTGTGGCTACATAGTGATCCATGGTGTCTATGTATCACATTTTCTTTATCCAGTCTTGCATTGATGGGCATTTAGGTTGATTCTATGTCTTTGCTATTGTAAATACTGCTGCAATGAACATACGCATGCATGTCTTTATGATAGAACTATTTATATTCCTTTGGGCATATACCCAGTAATGGGATTGCTGGGTTGAGTGGTAGTTCTGTTTTTAGCTCTTTGAGGAATTACCACACTGCTTCCACAATGGTTGAACTAATTTACACTCTCACCAGCAGTATATAAGTGTTCCCTTTTCTCCGCAACCTTGCCAGCAACTGTTATTTTTTGGCTTTTTAATAATAGCCATTCTGACTGGTATGAGATAGTCTCATTGTAGATTTGATTTGCATTTCTCTAATGATCAGTGATATCGAGCTTTTTTTCATATGCTTGTTGGCTGATGTATGTCTTCTTATCAAAAGTGTCTGTTCATGTCCTTTGCCCACTTTTTAATTGGGTAGTTTTTTTTCTTGTAAATTTGTTTAAGCTCCTTACAGATGCTAGATATTAGACCTTTGTCAGATGCATAGTTTGCAAATATTTCCCCCATTCTGTACATCGTCTGTTCACTTGTTGACAGTTTGTTTTGTGTGCAGAAGCTCTTTTGTTTAACTAGATCCCATTTGTGAGTTTTTGCTTTTCTTGCAATTGCTTTTGCCATGAAATCGTTGCCCATTCCTATGTCCAGCATGCTATTGCGTCAGTTATCTTCCAGAGTTTTACAGTTTGGAGTTTTACATTTAAGTCTTTAATACACTGATGATTTTTCTTAATAATAAAATTGCTTTGGACTTTTACACATATACACAGTCTTTTTATTAGACATTTTAGCTCTTATATTTATTTAATTGACAAAATCATATATATTCATCCTATACAACATGTAATTTTGAAATATGTATACATTGTGGAATGGCTAGATCAAGCTAATTAACATATGCATTTCCTTACATACTTATTTTTTTATGAGAACCCTTAAAATCTACTATTTTACTAGTTTCCAGTAACACAATACATTGTTATTAATTATAGTCATCATGTTGTACAATAAATCTCTTGAACTTATTTCTACTGTCTATCTAAAATTTTGAGTCTCTTGACAAACATCTCCCCAACGTGATCCCCAGCCACTGGTTTAACTACATTTTACTCTCTGTTTCCATTGAAATCAGCTTTTATAGATTCCACATGTAGGTGAGATCATGCAGTATTTGTCTTTCTGTGCCTGGCTTATTTGAATTAACATAATGTCCTCTAGGTTTATTCATGTTATCACAAATGACAGAATTTTCTTATTTTCTAAGGTCTAATAGTATTCCATTGTGTATGTATACCATATACCCTCAATGAACTGAGCCTGGGAAGTCGAGGCTGCAGTGAGCGGAGATTGAGCCACTGCACTACAGCCTGGGTGACAGAGCGAGACCCAGTCTCACAAAATAAATTAATTAATTTAATTAAATAACATTTTATACTAGTGTTGACAACCATGTTCACATAAATATGTAAAGAAATATTTTAGCCATTCAAGTATTTAATTCATCATAAGTTGTATACAAAAATAAACTAATGATCCAACATTATATATTATTTTAATGATATATTAACTGACAACTTCATTAGATTCACCTTAAACTTCTTGGAAAGCAATGAAGTGGAAACCACTTGCCTCACAAGACGATTTGTTATCCAATAATTAGAGTCATTAACTTTCTCCAAACCAACATAATTATAGGAAATTGTCCCTTTGTTCCATATCCTGGAGGTTTTTTCCACCTGGGGCTATGTTTTGAAACAGAGTGGAGTTATTCTTCCTTTTACATGGGTCGAAGGGAGTTGTGAAAGGAAAGGAGGGAAAGAAGGACCAGCACCTCCATCAGATGTGTGCCCTTCATAGGTAGATCCATTTTCAGAAAAGCTATGGAAATTTAAGATCTAGAAATCAAGATTTTGTGCAATGCATTTATTTCTATTGTAGGAAGTCTTTGCTAGAGCCAAGGTTACACATATTCTATATTGAAGACTTCTGACTTAAGTCAAAATGACATTGATTGTTTATTTGACCAGAAGTCCTAAGATTAGGAGTTTCTGGGTTGGTTATGTGGTTTTACTGTGTCTTCTGGTACCCACACTCCTTCCACCCTTCACTAATGGTATTTTGATGGCTAAGGTAGTTCCAAGCACATAGTCTTAAGTGGTGACAAACAAAAGCAGAGAATAAGGAAAGAAGGATTCCACCTTTTTAGGGAGAAAAATCATTCCCAGAGGCCTCAAGTAGATTTTCTATTTACCATACAAGATGAAGATATCATGCTCAAATTAAGATCAATCAAAGGCAAAGGAAATAGTATTCTTGTAAATATAATAGACCAATTGTGATCTAGCCCCTGATTAACTGGAGTTAGACATATTGCCACCTCATGCCCCCACCAACTTAGAATTTTTAAGGAAAGAATCACGATGTAGTCACAGAATTGTCAGTGCTTTGGGCATATCCCCCAGGATTATTTTATTATTTTTGTGTCCTTTATCATTTTAATGTATACCACATGCTTATGTGCTTTCATGCCCAATCACCAGTACCTGTGTCTTTTTGTTTTGAGAACTGTCCTCAAACTGGCAGAACCTGCTTTGCTCATATGCATGAATAGCCAGAAGTGCCTGAGAATTTACTGTTTCCTTCTCTATACCGTGCCAGGAGAGGTTTCATCAATAACTGACTGGTATGGGGAGTATGAATATTCTAGCCCCCTTGTGCCATGATGGAGACAGCTCTCAAGTGTGATCAACATTATTGTTAAAGCCAAAGTCACCCTCCATGGGCCTTTGCTTGATATTGCACACTTGCTTAAGCCCCTCCTCATACTGGTCCCTCTTTCCCACTCTCCTAACATTTTTTCCCAGGTATAGCTTATAGCAAATAACTTTTACATGAGTCCTTGCCTCAGGATCTGCTTCTGTAATATGCTGCCTAATACAGAAGAGTGGGCTATTGTCTAGTAATCAGTGTTTTCTGGATAGCCCAGAACAGAGGATCTTGCGATAGAGAGACCTGGGAAAAGAGCATATGAATAGTTCACTGCTTGCAAAATACAGCCTACCAATGAGTCTTCAGGCAGCAAATAAATGTCAGCTTACTTTCTCAATGTGTATAACTTTTAGACAAATTCATTCCCTAAAGATTCCTCAGTTTGGAATAGATAATTTTAAAAATAAATTCCAAACCTATAATGCTTTGGTTTATGAAATATAGCTTGATATAATTTTATCACACAACTCCCTGAGCTGGTTAAATGAGAGATTTCAAAATTGAGGCATTTATGAAAGTAGAACTTTGCATATTTAGACTATAAAAAATACATTAGAATTACTTTGTAGTTCCCCAGTAGGACTTAGAGTAGAAGAATTATCTCTCCATGTTATACAAACTATGTCCCTAAAATGATAAGATCGATTCTCCAACTACATGGGAAAATCTGTTTTATTATTTAAAATCTATCTTATTACTTGATAGTAACACTTTATACAAGAAAATCTCTATGTACATTGGAACATCCAGTGGAAATGTTTATATTTAAAATATAATAAAATAACTTTTAAAATTATTTTAGTTAGAGTCAATTAATAGAACTAGCTAGCTAGCTAGCTAATTGGAAGAGAGAGAGAGAAAGAGCACTCATGAATGGCTGATGAACAGAAAATCCCTACATTTTAAAGCATACATGTAGCACAAATGTTGACTATGCCAACAGGGAAAATTGGTGAATGGAATGATAACAGATAAAATTATCTTTATAAATTCATTTGTCCATTCTGTGCAATGCACTGAATTTAATTTAATCTTAAATTTAATTCATCTTTAATTTAATTGAATCTTAAATTCTTTTAAGACTCATAATAGCTCCCTATAAATTAAACGTAATTATTCCCATTTTGTATATGGACAAAATGAGATTCAACGAGATTAAGGTACTTTTCCAAAGACATACAACAAACCAGTAATAGAGCTGAGATATAAACACAGGTCTGTATAAACCTAAAGTATATGATACTACACCATTGTGTCTGTGTCATTTTATGAGAAAAGAAATTTATCTTTTTGGGAGGAATCACCCTGGGAAAGCATGGTGTACTTTCACTCCAGTCTGTAGATGTAATCTCTAAGAACATGAATTGGGACAAATAAGGAAAGAAACCAGACTAGCAGTGATGGATCCAGGAAAAAAAAATTCATAACTGCTCTTACCAAAGTAGTATGTGACCTCTCAGGGTGTTCATCACATTTGTGTTAGTTTCCTTGTATTCGGGAACATGGCAGGAAAGTCAGAGACTAATTCCCCATAGAAGGTAATAAGCCATAGGATGGAGGTTCTTCGAAACTTCAGCTGGTAAATCAAAACCATCACCTGAATTTCACAGAGCCAGAGTACCAAATTGTTACCTCTAAGGAAGAGAGACTTGGTTAAAGGTGTGCAACTTTTTTTATCAAGGAATTTGTCTTTTTCTCTTTGTGCTGCTATAACAAAATACCATAGACTGGGTAGTTTCTCAATAAAATTTATTTCTCACAGTTTTATAGGCTGAGAAGTCCAAGATCAAGGCACCAGCAGATTTGGCATCTGGCCTGTTCTTCATACAGTGCCTTCTACCTGCATCCTCCAATGGTGAAAGGGGCTAGTTATCATACCAGGGTCTCTTTTATAAAGGCATTAGTCCCATTCATAAGGGCTCCATCCCCATAAATCAATCAGTTCTCAAAAGGCCCCACTTCTTAATACTATCTCACTGGAGATTCGTTTTCAACATATCAATTTTAGAAGCACACATCCTGACAAGAGTATGTCATAGTGACATTACTTCCAGTGCTGAGTTACAAAGAAAAAGTGAGATATTCATTATCCATGAGAAAAAAAGAAAGAAATGGCTAGTTGTAGAAATAATGTATTGATATAAGAAAAAAAATAGTTCATGTTACATTATCTATATTTTCATAACAAAGTAGCAAACTTAAAAATTGTACCTCACTTAAACATTCTTAAAATTCCTTTGCTACTTTTTGTATGGGGAATTTTTCACTGGCTATGTTTTATCCTTTGGCCTCAGAATCTAGCCATAATCCTAGAATTTGTCCTTCTTCCTTGTCTGTGTCTTTTTTCCCCTTGGCTACTCTGGGGTTCTTGATAGGTGACTAATTACCTGGAGCTAGTGATTGAAATGGGAGTTGACTATACATGAACATGAGGGATTTTCTGGAGGGTGATGCAAATGCTCCGAAACTGGGTTGTGTGTTGCACAAGTCCATAAATTTACTAAGAATCATTAAATTGTATGCTTACAATGAGTGAATTTTGTAAAATGTAAATCATATCTCATTGTTAAGAGAAGAAGCTGGGGACATTTCGACTCTGATTAGTCACCCACCTGACTAGTCATAGTGCAGAAACTCCTGACCCAAAGGCTAACTTTGGGTAAGTGGTGGGGTCCGGTAACATCTTTCTGGTGAATGCTGAAGGGACGATACTGAGGAACCCCCCCCACATCCAAAGGAAATAGACTGCGGCACTGATTGGACGACTTTGAGTAAGTGGTGGGGTAATTGAGTAAAGAATAGGATTGGGTTAGAGGCCCAACTTAGGAGAGTTAGAGTCTCTCCTGAGACAGAGAGGGTTAAAGGCTCCTCTCAATAAAGGGCAAGGATGCTTGACTGAACTTGGGTTATAGGCTTGACTTAGGAGGGCTAGAGTCCCTTCTAAGAGTTAGGGATTTAGAGGTTTTAGAGGCTCCTCTCAGTAAAGTCCGTCTCAGTAAATTCCCTCTTGGATAAGAATGGGTTTGGCACTACGGGATGTTAACTGCTATTCTCCTTGGATTAATCTGCCTTGCACTCTTTGCTGACAGCTGTGGGTGACAGGATTAGGCATGTACAAGATCATCGGACAAAGGGAACTTTTTCCTTCCTAAAAGGGGAAACTTGAGAGCTGAGAGGACAGCTGGAAAAGATCCCTTCACAACTGACAAGCGGCTGCCTGAACTTTTCAGTGTCACTGCAATGGGTGGGTCTTTCTCTAGCCTCCCTGAGTGCCTCGCCTTCCCCACCCTGCCTCAGGCAATGCTTTCCTCTCTTTCTCTCTCTCTCTGTGCAAACTGTTTGAATGGTAAAAATCACTGTTTATCTCCTTAAGAGTTTAATTAATGGAAAAAAGGACTTGTGAGGTTAATCTTAAACGGTAGCAAATTTGGTGTGCTTTGTGTGTCTTTCTGTATTATTCTGTCATAAAATAGGTATACCTTAGGATAGAACACAGGCCTAGGACACCTGTAATTCTGCTTTTCAAGATTGCCCAGCAAACTGGTCAGTTACAAACTTTGCTGCAGGTCCCTGAGAAAAACTGGATGAGGTTTCCCTCTTGTCTTGTGTGCCCTTGGGAGCTTAACCTTGAATCAAGTGGCCATGCTTTCTCTTTTCACAATGGCAGCCCGGGTTCAGGGTTCAATTCCCTGCTTAGGGGATGAGTCCTTTATTTCTGTCTATGTATTTATGTGTATTATGTGTGATGTTTATATATGAAAGAGCTTTAATTGGTTTAATAATAATAAGAGACTAAATCAAATATTTTGTCAGAAAAGTAAAAGTGTAATGCCTTTTATTTAGTTCATGTGACTTTAGAATTGGAGCATATTTGTTTATTTCTACCTGATTTCTCCAGAATTTGGAAACTATTTGTGAATATTTTTGATTTATGGCAATACAGTTATTTGCATAAGTGCAATAAGAATCTGTTTTATTTTACAACAGGACACAATTGGAGAAATTGGTTATTTTACCAAGGGTTTGACTGGAATGGTGTGTTTTCCTTTAAGGAATTAAACTTGACTTATAGAGCCAATAAAAGCCGCTTGGGGAACTGGCCTCATACCTTGCCTACCCAGTCTCTTTATAGGGTTTATGACCTGTAATGAGTGAAGAATGTTTCTTTCTCACAGGTCCAGGAGTCGCAAGTTATCTTGGGACCTCAAAAGGAGAGGAATTTACTCAACTCACAGGTATTTGAGAGTACAAACCCATGGCAGGGCTTGGCTCTAAAAAAGTCTTATCTCAGATTCTTTCTATGGAACAGAGTTCCATCAAAGCCAATTTACAAAGAGTTCATGTAAAAAATAATCATTCTTGCTGCACTTTATACAACTAATCAGGCCAAATATAATAAAGCAAATCAGTCTTACCATGATTTGTTTTTAGTAAAAATGGGAAATTGGAGGGAGAAATATTATGTTTCAAAAACTATGGTACACTTATTATTAGATTCTAGTATCTTTGGTTGTTTTTAAGTCTGTTTCTGCAATTTAGACTGGCTTATTCTTGTGAACCAACCAGTGATCTCTGGCTACTACTCAGAAGAAACAAGAGGGAAGGGTAATGTAAAAATCTGAATCAATATTCTAGTTCTGGGCACATTAGAATCAGCTAGCAACCCCATGTCAGCTTGGTTCCAACAGTTGCCTAGTTCATGGAAAGCCTTCTAATTTAGTTTACTTGGGATAATTTTACTTATTTTGCTTTGCTGTTGTAGAATATATTGCAGCTGTGCTCTTTGTATAGGAAGGCAGAATAAGCTTACTGAATGTTTTCTTAAATTGAACACTTATTAATCTTTCAGATAGCACCTCTTGTTGAAACTTGTTGTTATGAATGGCCCTCACCATACTGATGCTTTCTTTCTTTTTTTTTTTTTTTCTGACATGGAGCCTCGCTCTGTCACCAGGCTGCTGGAGTGCAGTGGTGTGATCTTGGCTCACTGCAACCTCCGCCTCCCGGGTTCAAGCAATTCTCCTGCTTCAACCTCCCAAGTAGCTGGAACTACAGGTGTGTGCCACCACGCCTGGCTAATTTTTGTATTTTTAGTAGAGACAGGGTTTCACCATGTTGGCCAGGATAGTCTCGATCTCTTGACCTCGTGATCCACCCACCATGGCCTCCCAAATTGCTGGGATTACAGGTGTGAGCCACCATGCTGGCCCCATACTGATGCTTTCTGACTGAGCTTCTCTCTACCCTGAATACAAGAGACCCTCATAGTTAGGCGGGAATATCATTGGCCCTATTCAGCCTGAAGAAGTTGCAGAAGATGGATCTTCATCCCTCCACAACCCTTAGGATTAAGGATTCTCTTATAAAAGAAAGGGGGGAAATGTTAGAGGTATGTGAACCAGAACAATTCCATCTTGAATAGGAGCTAGGTAGAATGAGGCTGAAACCTACTGGGCTGCATTCCCAGGTGGTTAAGACATTCTAAGTCACAGGATGAGATAAGAGATTGGCACAAAATACAGGTCATAAAGACCTTGCTGATAAAACAGATTGTAGTAAAGAAGCCAGCTAAAACCCACAAAACCCAAGATGGTGACGAGAGTGACCTCTGGTCATCCTCACTGCTACACGTTCATTAGCGCCACAACAGTTTACAAATGCCATGACATGTCAGGAAGTTACCCTATATGGTCTAAAAAAGGGAAGCATGAATAATCCACCCCTTGTTTAGCAAGTAATCAAGAAATAACCATAAAAATGGGGAGCTAGCAGCCCTTGGGGCTGCTCTGTCTATGGAGTAGCCATTCTTTTATTCCTTTACTTTCCTAATAAACTTGCTTTGACTTTACTCTCTGGACTTACTCTGAATTCTTTCTTGCATGAGATCCAAGAACCCTCTCTTGGGGTCTGGATCTGGCCCCCTTTCCTGTAACGTTATGAATAATGTTGCTATGGCCATTTGTGTGGAAAACTTTGTGAGGATATACATTTTTATTTTCTTTTTGGTGGATACGTAGGAGTAGAATTATTGATTTGTATAGTAAGTTTAACGATTTAAGAAATGTCAAACTGCTGAAACTAATTAAAGTCTATTAGATTAGGATTATGGGAGGTACCTAAATTCTGCTAAGGTGTAGACATAGCTTCTTATAATCCCTTACTGCTCAGGAGGCAGTTATGTGGCCAGAGATCACAAGATTTGTGACTTCTCCAATTGCTCCTATAGATAACATGGCTATTTTAGAACCTAAGATTGGTCTTTTGAGATGTTTTTCAGACTTTTGCATTCTCACAACCAGCTGACCCCACCCAAACTCACGACTCATGACTCATGACTCAACCAGTCCTGTGGCCCCCCACCCAGAGGTAGACTCAGATCATGAGAAGCATTTTTCACACCTTTTTGATTTTACCCCCAAACCATCAGTAGCACCCATTCTCTAGCCCCTTGACAACCAAATTAACTATAAAAACCCTGGCCTCTGAGTTCTCACAGAGACTAATTTTAGTAATAAACTCCATCTTCTACATGGCTGCCTTCCATTAATTAAACTCTTTACTACAATAGCTTGACCTCAGTGAATTGGTTTTGTCTGTGCAGCAGGCAGGAATACTCCATCAGATGATTTGTAACTAAGAAACAGTAGCTAAGTTTAAAATGTTCCCCTATTAGAAGTCCACTAAATATACCTTTTTGGTACTTCACTAGCTATCTTAAAACACTTTTGTGAAATAAATTAACATCTGTAAAGGAAATTTCCATTTGTAATGTTGTCTGAGTGGGAGAACTGGGTAACTAGAAACCCTTACTATTGTTTTAAATTTACATAACAAGGCTTCCCTTTGTTTAAGGTAATTTCTGTGGCCATCTTGTCTTAATCGGGCCTTTATGAGCCTTTATGTACAATTTTTCTCCTGGGTTTGAGCACATGATGGTACAATATTTAGGTCGAAAGTCTCAACTCTGTGCTTTTGAGATAAAAATTTTCCACCTTGTTCCACCTAAGAGTCATCCCTTTAGAAGACAGATTGTTGCATAGTTAACAAGTACTTACAGTAATAAAACAAGTAGTTGCAAGACTGATAGACTAAATGTGGAAAAGAAAAACTATTTGAAAGATGACAAATGAGAATTCATTATGGAAACTATAAGACCTGCTTTTGTTTGTATGTCTATATGTGTTATGTATATGAGATAATGCTTGGTAAATAAAGCTAGTTTTAAAATTGTGGTGGATCCACAGCAATTTTGGTCGTTGCCTCCCCAGAGGAAATAATTCAGCCAAGAAGGCAGAGGTGGGTTTTAAGGGACAGGTAAAGGTTTATTGAAAGAAGCAAAAATACACTTGGAAGAGGGCCAAGAAGGCAACTTGAGAGATCGAGTACCCCACTCAGTTATTGGCTTGAGATTTTTATACATTGGCTTATTTCTGGGGTTTTCTTTTCTCCTCCCCTGGTCCCTCCCTTGGGTCAGGCTGTTGCTTAATCGCTGCATGCACAATAATTGCCAGTATCTGGGGGGTCATATGCATGTGCTGTGGGTTAGCTGAAGTTGTGCACATGCTCACTTGTGTCAAGTGCCCCTAGAGGAAGGTCATATACTTGTCAAACTCCACCATTTTGCCCCTTACTTCACATGCTGAAGACCTTATCAGGAATTGCAGTTTGCTGGCTCCAGATGTCTACTATCTGTTGGGAAGCTCCCCGTCCTATTGACGCCAGTCATGGCCACTTATCATTTCAGACGGACAGTTTTATGACTGCTTGACCATCACCTGAAGAGCACCTCCCATTTCTGGAGGCCCTTTCCTACCCTGCTTATATCTGTCTAACTATCTACTCTAACATCTGCACCATTTTACATTCCAATAGCAATGCGTTAGGGTTATAGTTTTTCCAAATCCTTGCCAAAACTTTGAGTTTTTTTAGTAGTGTGATTTGAAGCCCAAAAGTTTTAAATATTCTAAATTATCATTTATTTATTTATTTATATATTTTTGAAGTAGAGTCTCACTCAGTCACCAAGGCTGGAGTACAATGGCGTGATCTTGGCTCACTGCAACCTCTGCCTCCAGGTTCCAGCGATTCTCCTGCCTCAGCCTCCCGAGTAGCTGGGATTATAGGCATGTACTACCATGCTGAGCTAATTTTTGTATTATTAGTAGAGATAGGTTTTCACCATATTGGACAGGCTGGTCTCAAACTCCTGACCTCAGGTGATCCTGAGGATCCGCCTTCGCCTCCCAAAGTGCTGGGATTACAGGCATGAGCCACTGCACCCAGCCGTCATTTTTTTTATTTTATGAATTTTGCTTCTGGTGTCTTGTCTAAGAAATCTTGGGCTAGCTCAAGTTCATAAGGATTTTATTTTCTATGTTCTTACCTAGAAATTTTATACTTTTGATAATGGAGGAAGTCCCAAAATGCCAGTGGGACATTGACTCCAGCTGGTATCCAGGCTCTTGACACCATCACAGAAGGAATTCAAGGATGAGTCATAAAATTGTGATGATACGGAGGTTTATTGCAAAGTGAAATTACATACTTAAGAAAGGAGCATGGGCATACTTGAAAGAGTCATGTGCAAAGGGTTTAGGGGCTGCTACCTTTATGAGTTGCTTTATCCAAGGGGTAAAATATTCATGAAGATTCCTGGAAGAAGGTGGAGATTTCTCAAAACTGTGGTGCCACCCATGTTTGCACCAAATATGAGTGTTCCTAGAACTGTCATGGTGCTGGTGGGTGTGTGATTTAGTATGTTAATATTATACTAAATCACACACCCACCAGCATATAATAAGCTGTTATTATTTTTATTATTTTTTATTTTGTTATTTCTAACATGGTTCAGTATGAATCGTCATATAAACATACAAACATTTATATAAACGTAAATATAAGAGCCTGTCTCATTTCTGGCTCTTATATTTAGATCAACAATCCTTTCTTTCTTTTTTTTTTTTTTTTGAGATGGAATCTTGCTCTGTTGCCCAGGCTGAAGTGTAGTGGTACAATCTCAGCTCACTGCAACCTCCTCCTCCTGGGTTCAAGCAATTCTCCTGCCTCAGCCTCCCCAGTACCTGCGATGACAGGCGCATGCCAACACGCCCAGCTAATTTTTGTATTTTTAGTAGACTTTGGGTTTCGCCGTGTTGGCCAGGCTGGTTTTGAATTCCTGGCCTCAAGTGATCTGCCCACCTTGGCCTCCTGAAGTGCTGGGATTATAGGCATGAGCCATAGCACCCAGACTTATAATCCATTTTGAGTTCATTTTTGATGCGATATAAAGTAAGGGTCTAAATTCATCATTTGCATGTGGATATCAAATTATCTTATAATCATTTGCTGAAAAGATTGCCCTTTCTCAATTGAATTGCCTTGGCACTTTGATCAATAGTCAATTGTTTATGATGAAGTATAATGATTTGTTTCTGAATTTTTAATTCTGTTTCACAAAGCTATATGCCCATCCCTATGCCAATACCACATTGCCTCAATCACCGTGGCTTTATAATAAGTTTGAAAATGGGAAGCATAAGTCTTCCAATTTTGTTATTCTTTCAAGATTTTTTAGCCTATTCTAGATCTCTAAATGTTCATATACATTTAAGGGTCAGCTTGCTTGTCAATTTTTAGCAAAAAAAAAAAAAAAAAAAGGCCTTCTAGCATAAGGATTGTATTGAATTTATAGATAAATGTAGGGAGAATCACCACCATAATAATGTGTTATTTTCCAATCCATGACTACAGCACACTTTCTCATAAGGAAGAGTGAGTATACTCAATACAATAAGAGAAGTGATTGGCATTAGATTTATAGACAGTCCATCCTTTCTACCAATATTAAGGCCCATTATAGTGAGCAGTTTGATAGAAGAAGAATGAGAAGATTTTGTTCTGATCCCTTTCATTTTTCTCAGATAGATTAGTAACAAGGTCATCACATGAGAAATAGAACAAGGAATGGAAAGAATTTATGAAACTTATGCTTTTAATGCATATAGCCAAAATGTACTAAGTAAATATTTTTTTTTAAAAAAAACTATTCCACTGGCAATGTTTTATATTATTTTTTTGCAAATGTCACTTTAAACTCTATTAAGGTGATCTATATTTATACAGATGAATATTCATAATTCCATCATCCCCAATATTGGGGATATATATAGATATAGATATAGATATATAGATATATAGATATACAATTTTTATATTTTATATATGTGTATTTCTTATATTTTATATATATATATATATCATTGGTCCAAACCAATGATATCCTGTTATTTACATTATATTTCTTTCATCACTTAAAATTTGTTGACTATAGTTCTTTTTTTACATTTTCTATTTGTATGCTTTGCCTTTCTATAATAATGCATTTATCTTTTTTTAACTGATTTTAAAAACAAACTCTTGCTGAATTAAAATTAACTGATGTTAAGGATCATTTTCCTCTTTCACAGTATTATAAAATTAACATGGCAAATAGCCTTTCAGAATAAAGAAAACATGTTTCTTGCAGTTGATCACAGATATGTAACTAATTTCTGATCAGCAAGGTCTAGTAAAAACACTATGTGGTAGACTCTTGGAGCCTTCTGTTGGTGACTCCGTTCTGTCATGTGATTTTCAGATCCATTCTCAAAACCGCAACTTATTAGTCAACTTTTGCTCAAAATTTCAGTTGTGTAGCTTACTTTGTTCCTCATGGGTTTGCAAGTTGGTTGTGGCAGCTCTTTTTCAGGCAGCATATCAGGTTCAATTATGCTTCACAGAGCTATCATTCTGAGATCCAGGCTGAAGCAGCAGCAACACCCTAGGGCATGTTCTCCTCCTGAAGGATGGCAGGAACACAAGAGAATGAGTCAAAATGCAAGATTCGTCTTAAAGCAACTATTCAAAACTGGCATAGTGTCACCTTCATTTGGTCAAAGTAAAAGAGTTGGAGACATATTATGTGCCTGTTCTACTGGGAGACACTTCAATATCACAGACATAGAGCTTAGATATACAATCCTATAACTTGGAGGGAGCAAAGAGTTGGCAGCAATAAAACAATATACTCCACTCAGATTGTATTCTGTTTTTACAAACCTCCCCCAAATACTGTGAGGCATTGAGTTTCCTATAAAAAATTCATTCCTTACTTAATCTAACTTGAGTTGCTTTTCTTCTCTCACTCTCTATGGGATGGGCTTTGAGTGGAATAGCCATCCTGCCAGGATATCACCTGAAATCAAACAAGAATAAATACATATTTAAGTACAATGGAGTTGCAGGCAGTCTTATAGATTCCATAATTAAAATTCATGAATAACTCAGGAAATAATTAAACCAATGGAATGATGAAGACTAAAGAAGACAGAGTGCTATTCTGAATATGGTGGACAGCTATTTATGTGTAGTAAACATGGTAAATGGGAATATCTTTAGGGTCAGCAGGAGATCTAGGCTAGTCAGTAATGATGGGTATACTTATCGATAAATTTTGGCTTTTTGAAAGTGAGCAGAAAGGCTGCTGAAGAAAATTTACAAGTAGATATGCATGTGAGCATTTATATACACACCATTTTCTCTATATAAAAATATTGAATTTGTTTTTCAGAATGATTGTTTTTCATTAGTTCTGCAAAAATCATCAGATAGAAAGGAGCAGGTGGGGAATATTTTAAATGAGGCAGAAAAAGATTAGTGAAAGGAAGAACGAATCAAAGTCATAGGGTAGCAATAGATTCAATTCAATTCAGATTGTTATGAATGGAGAAAATTAACTTGGGAGGTTTTTTTTCGCTTTCAACTTAGGAAATTGATTTTCCCCCCCAAAAATTCTGATTTTTTTCTTGTATCAGCTTCATCTATTCTTTTTGTAGTACTACATTTTCCCCTTGTACTCATTGCCCACTTCAAGGGAACTCAATACGATTTCCAATCAAAGTTATGTGAGACCTTACTAAGTATAGTTTGAGACACAATATGAAATATCTTTCAAAATGATCCTGTCTAAGTGTTTGAGAGGATGGATACTCCATCTTCCATGATGTGATTATTATGCATCATTGCATGTCTGTATCAAAACATTTCATGTACCCCCAAAATATATACACCTACTATGTACCCATGAAAATTAAAAAATAAAAATATGATCCTCTGGCATGTACTTCTTTTCTCAAGCACATGTTATATTTCTAGAAGCATATCAAGAGAGTGGAATAAGATTTTTTTCAGTAATACAAATAATTGATGTCATGTTCAGGGACATTTTTCCTGTAACTTATTCCACTGCAACAGTTATCCACGTGGATTTCTACTTTGTTCTTTGTGGTGACTGATATATCCACAAACAATTTAAACCTATTAGATTAAATAACCTCATTTTGGAAAACTAAATTCTATATGTTCTCAATTGGGAGATATCAATATGTCACTGAAAACCATAGAAAATTTTCTTTTTTACTATTATTTGGAAACAAGTAAGACAATAAGAGCTCACCACGAAAGCTCAAAGCAATGAGTTGTGTTAAAATGTGTGGAAAGAGAAAAGAGGAGACAGATATAGTGTTTCCCAGGTGTACTGTACAGTTGGAGGATCATTGGACAAATAAAAAATATTACTAGAGCCATGAAGAAATAGCCTAATGTCATTACATCTAAAATCTAAGAGACAGAGTAGCAGGACATAGGGACATTAGGATAAGAAAGTAAGAGACAAGTGAGCTAGATTTCAGGCACATTGTCTTGTAACAAAGGTAGAAATGGAAACTCTGGATAAATAGGCAGAGTCTAGAAACCAGTTTTGAGTCACAATCATTATACACCAGCTGTGAGAAATACACTAGATTTTGTGGCTATTAAAAAAATTAATTTTTATACCTTTTTTTTTTTTTTTTTTGAGACAGAGTCTCTCTCTGTTGCCAGGCTGGAGTGCAGTGGTGTGATCTCGGCTCACTGCAACCTCCGCCTCCTGGGTTCAAATGATTCTCCTGTCTCAGCCTCCCGAGTAGCTAGGACTACAGGCATGCACTACCATGCCCAGCTAATTTTTTGTATTTTTAGTAGAGACGGGGTTTCACCATGTTGGCCAGGATGGTCTTGATCTCTTGACCTCGTGATCCACCCACCTCGGCCTCCCAAAGTGCTGGGATTACAGGTGTGAGCCACTGCGCCCCAAAATTTTTATAAGTTTTAAGTGGAAATTAGTCTCGTTACATTAGAATTTCTGACCAGAGTTCGAATCGGTCCCAAAGAATAAAATATTCTGAGCCCATGGGTTGAAATAGCTACAACCCTACCTTCATCTTCTCTAGTTTGGATTTGAAACTGCTATGGTATGGGGTCAGAACAGAGCAGTACGTAGATTCTAATTACCAGGATGACTAAGGATTCCTATCATGACTTCCAAGAAAAGGATCAATGATATAAAGAGATCATTGTTGACTTTCTCAAGTCAGAAGATATCTGATCTGTCAAGGGGATCAGGGGACCCTTGGTCCCCTGACCATAAACAAGGGGACCATATGTTTATGGTCCTTGATCTCTAACTCAGACACTACTATAACAGGCTTTAAATTCATCTTTAAATACATTTACATTTAGAATTTTATCATTTCAAATATTACTTAAAAATAAGTCAATCATTAGAAGGATTTTACCTTTAATAATGTTTAGAAAAGCTATTTAGAAAGTTCTTATTGTACCAAAACATGTCTCGTAGATGTACTTTTTCTCCAGTGAAGCTCTGTATTTATCTTCAAATTTGAAATTATGTGTTCTCATTGATATGTGTATAGTACACTAAGCCCCTTTAAGTCTATTCATTCAATGGCTTAATATCTTCTTCTGTTTTCATGCATTTTATTTTTATGGTCTTAGGCTGTATACTATTTTAATTTTTCATCTTCTTAATGTTGATAAACAAGTTAATTAAAACCAACACGCTTGTATTAAGTCCATCCTCTACAAGATCATGTGTCTCCACCAGCAGGAATCAAGTTAGAGATGTAGAATTTTGCAGGCCCCTGGCAAGAATCTCCCACTTTTTTTTTCCCCTTGACAGATCAGATATCTTCTGACTTGAGAAAGTCAACAATGATCTCTTTATATCATTGATCCTTTTCTTGGAAGTCATGATAGGAATCCTTAGTCATCCTGGTAATTAGAATCTACGTACAGCTCTGTTCTGACCCCATACCATAGCCAAATTAGTGAGGGGACTTACCATGAAACAGAATTCCATTCAGATGGTTCAACTAAAGAGATGTCATGAAGGGGCAATTTATAGAGATCTAGGGAAACCTAAGGGAACTAACACCAGATTTTGATGTACCAAGAGACAAACAACCAAAAGAAACCAAGCCATTATAAGGACAATGAGAAGAAAGAGTGTTTATGGAGCTTAGTAAACGCTGGACAGAAGAGAATAGTGAGGATCTATAGTGATGAAGGGGAGCAGATATTGACAGAACAATGGCCTGAAGTAGAAACAGAATGAGGAAGAAAAGCATGAATATCCCTGTCCTCCACTATTAGGAGATTGGATGGTGGGAGGGATGTCTTCTCCACCCACAATCCAATCTCCTAATAGTGCTTTCTCTTGGTCAAACTCAGACAAATACTGGCTGATTTGGTTTGGCTGTGTCCCCACCTAAATCTCATCTAGAATTGTAATTCCCACAATTCCCACATGTCCTGGGAAGAACCTGGTGGGAGGTGACTGAATTATGGGAATGGGTCTTTCCTGTGCTGTTCTCATTATAGTGAATTAATCTTACGAGATCTGATGGTTTTTAAAAACGGGAGTTTCTCTGCACATGCTCCCTCTTTGCCTGCCGCCATCCACGTAAGATGTGACTTACTCCTCCTTGCCTCTCAGTTCTGATTCACCAATCTACTTTCCATTCTCCTGCTAATGTTATGTATTTATTTTTCTAAATATTTTATCAGACTCAATTATCATAGTTTCTGGAGATGTGAGAGAAGAAATATACAAAACAGATGCTTTCCAGAAGCTTTTATAATTAATATTCTTATAGTTCAAGTAGTATAAAGAAAGGTCAATTGGTGGCTCTTAACTAATTAAGTGTTTATGTATAGACTTTTCAAGAGACTAGCCATTACAGATGCAAGATTTGCAGTCTCCCTCAGTTAATGCTCAGAATGACAAGTTTAAAGCATCTGAACTTCATTAGCTCCCCACCTATTTTAAAATCGTTATCAAACAGCAAAACAAACAGAATATCAATCACTTCATTTTTCTATACCACAGGAAAAGATAGTTTGAGAAACAGTCACCAGCATCCAATTGAGATCAGCATTTTATGGCAACATACTATTTCTAAACTAACATTTGTTTTAATTACTTGAAAAATTTGAGTAAGGTTAGATTTGAGAAAGGATGTCTAATCAATGTAGGCTTTATTTCACTTTTAGCAGTATAGATATTACTGCATACATGAATAAAGAAGTGATTAAAATACCAGGTAAAATTATTTAACAGTAGAAATTAATACCTTATAATTGGAATATATGTTCGTAGTTAATGAATATGTATGTAAATTTATTTCTAAAGATAGAAAATGGCTTTATATCAATTAATGCTATATGTCTATTTTAAAATTACATCCTACCTTGTTTTTAAAGTGGAGGACTTATCCTGAAGCAGTTTTCTTAATTTCCTCAAAAATATGATCATACCTTCTTCTCATAAATCATACTTCCATAACGCTTAACGAAGCTTTGTATTTTTCTAAAAATATCTTATATATATAATAAATCTTCTAAAACATACTAATTTCTTATATTCACACAAAATATTTAACATTTAAAATACAACCCCTTTGTTTTTACATACAAGAAAAAGGGTTTTAATACAGTTGCTGAGATTCTGGTTCTTAGAACCCCAGTTTGTGGGGAATTGGGGAGAGTATGCTCTACTTGTTCTATTTATTCCATGGTTACACACTATTATCCAATTTTTTTTGTTGTTTTTTGAGACAGCGTCTTGCTCTGTTGTCCTGGCCGGAATGCAGTGGCTTGATCTCAGCTCACTGCAACATCCTTCTCCCAGGTTCAAGTGATTCTTGTGCCTCATCCTCCGGAGTAACTCCCGGTATTACAGGTGCACACCACCACTCCCGGCTAATTTTTGTATTTTCAGTAAAGATGAGGTTTCACCATGTTGGCCAGGCTGGTCTCAAACTCCTGATCTCAGGTGATCCACCCGCTTCACCCTCCCAAAGTGCTGGGATTACAGGCTTGAGCCACCATGCCCGGCCTTCAGAATGATTTTTAAAGCTGGAATTAACCTTTTCTTTTCCACCAATTCATTTTCCCTTTCAACAAAATATTCCCATTCACAAGAAGTGTGGTGGGGTTTATAAAGCATTTTGTTAGACATGACAGGGAAAAACTATTTCCGTGTTGCAACCATTTACCTTTTGTCCTGAGAGCTTTATTATAATAACTAGTCCAATGTATTTATCTCATTCTTTGCAATTCTTTATAGGCCATAATCAGATTAACTGGTGTCCCATGCTAGGCTTTAGTAATCAAAAATACACTGCATAGCCTTTCCAACTTTTATTCTATTTACAAGTAGGGAGGGTATCCACATGAAGGTAATGTTTGTTGTGTGTGTGTGTGCATGTATACACACACACACACACACACACACCCCGCATGTATATCATATATTATATATGCATGTGGTGTATATACCTTACACAAATATGCACACAGAGTTCCTAGCACATCTCCTCATATCTTAATACAAGGTGCCACTCAATTAGCTGGGAATGAGAAGAAGAAATAATAACTTATATGCAGATGCCTGAATATTCAAAACCTGTTTGACTCAAATACTAGCTTTTATAGGTAGAGAGAAAAAAAACCTCTATACATGAGAAGTTTCTAACTGCAAGACTATTAATACACAACTCAATGGACCATAAATCCAATTTGGAAAAGAAATGAGTGAGGGCATAAATACCTTAATGGACAAAGAGGCAATGCCTAAGGAATAGATAAGAGTTTATTGGATGTTCATCTACCCTCTATCCCAAGGAACAGGCCATAGTCTGGTGTCATATAATACAAGAGAAAATTTAAAAGCTCATTAAAAAAACCTCTTAATTCTCTTGATTTTAATATATTTTCAATATCTTTGGATTTTTCTCCATTAAACAAACATGACTAATTTTTAAAGAAATAACATGTATGCATACTGATTATTATTTATAACCCATCTGCTACATTAAGGTCAAAAATAAACTAACAGGAATATAAACCAAAGGTTAAAAGCACATTTTTAAAAACTAAAATTAACAAAAAATTTTTATTTAAAAAATGATATCACACAAATAATTACTATTTTAATTCTTTGTCATCTTTTGGAACAGCTGTTATTGTATATTCTCTATTGGAAATCTTGACATTATCATTTGTCTTTCCCCACGTTTAATGTTAATTTTCTGCTTTGAAATGGTTTCCCTTCATGAAGCTTTATGAGTTTTTTTATTTTATCTTGTTTTAGGGTGAGAGTTATAGTTGTTTGTACTATTTATCCTGTCTTATTTGAAAATCCCAAAGGAATTTAAATTATATATTGGCATCTAAGCAAGTCCCTCTCTTAAAAGAAACTGTATTATTCATCTGATGTACATTTTTAATTACTATTAACTTGATTCCTTAAAAAATATATCTTCTTCCATGATCATGCTATTTACTGCAGCAATAGAAACCACTCTTTATTTGTCTAATCTACATCAGCTCAATATGTTGAAGAATACTAAAATTTGTGTATTTTAAAACCCCAATTTAAAACTATTTTATGTATACATTTGATGCTTATTCTCACTAAAATAAAGGATCTAAATTTACTTTTCTCAACAAATGAAATAATTTTAAAGACCAATTAAACTGTTTTAACTAAAAACAACTAGAATGCTCAATAATTCTTGGTTTTTAATATAATTCATTTTTTACTACAACTTTATTGGCTGTATATATACAGGTACACATAATAGTTCTATGGCATAATATCACATGGTACGATGTTTTCTGTATATATGTTCATGACCATTTTTAAAAGCAGAAATGAGATTTTAGAAGAAAGTTTGAAATAACGGTGCATGTATTATTACATTATAGATAATTTAGTAGGGATTTTATTTGAAGACACTAATGCTTTTAACATTATGAATGGAAATAAATTTACAATGCATTATAATCTGGTGGAGTTTGATATACCTTTCTGAAAAACTGTGTATCATATTGCACATGTGCTCACATCTGTGTATGAACTAGGAGGGCATTCATATATAGATAGGGTCATGCTCAAGTCAAAGCTTTCCTGGCTTTTGGGTTTACTCTTATCTGTGCATACCTAAAGAATAGGTAGGGCCGGGCATGGTGGCTCACATCTGTAATCTCAGAACTTTGGGAGGCCAAGATGGGGGGATCACTTGAGGCCAGAAGTTCAAGACCAGCCTGGTCAACATAGTGAGACCCCATCTTTAAATAAATAAACAAACACCAAAAAGAATAGCTGGAGGTAGGCTTATCAATTATCCTCCTAGGAAAGATTAAGAAGGAAAAACTGAGGTATACATAATGAGCTCAAGGCCAGGAGAGATAGAATAAGGCAGGGCTACTATGCCGTTTAGATTTGTTCCTTTCCAACCCCTTAGGTACTTGATAAGTCCCAGCATAGTTTAACAAACTGCAATCAGAGAACAAATAAAATACTAAAGTCAAATTTACACAAAAATCAGATGCATTATTACAGCAGTTTTTTATTCTTCTGAAAAAATGAAGCAAGTGGTGGTTTCTGAAACATGATATTGGCATGTCTGTAGCTTTGCCAATGACAGGAAAAGACATTCTCATCTCAGACGTTAGTCACTCTCAATATCAGGCATTAGCCAACATGATAGAAGCATCAGCAGACACTGATCACTGCAACATTGCCTTTGGCCGGCATGAACAAAAGCAGTACCTTCTGGGGGAAATGACAAAATTGTTGCTGCCTATTAGTTTCAACAGAAAGAGGAAACCTCAATATAGGGAATTAAAATTAATAGTAAGATAATCATTGCTGCCACCCTTTGGTCAAAGAGACAGATGTCACTCTCTAGGTATTCTTGGAACCATTTTGAAGTACTTTTCAATGTTATGGATTTCTCACAAATGGACGGGGGTAGAGGCTGACAAACACTAATTCATGCCTGCTATTTTGATAATATTTTTCTTCTCAGGGTTTTGTAATCTTAAAAAAAGGTTACATAGTCTTAAATATACCCAATATGTGCATTCTTAAAAAGTGTGCTAAACCTAATTTTTATATATTGAATATATTATTTCCATTCTTTTAAAAAAAAGCAATACATAGCTATTTGTTTTCCAAGGATAAAATGTTTTATTTTTTAATTTTTAATTAGAAATACTTTATTTTGGCTGGGCATGGTGGTTCATGCCTGTAATCTCAGCACTTTGGGAGGCTGAGGCAGGTGGATCATGAGGTTAGAAGTTCAAGACCAGCCTGACCAACATGGTGAAACCCCATCTCTACTAAAAATACAAAAATTAGCCTGGTGTGGTGGCACATGCCTGTAATCCCAGCTACTCAGGAGGCTGAGGCAGAAGAATTTGCTTGAACCTGGGAGGTGGAGGTTGCAGTGAGCCAGGATCACGCCACTGCAGTCCAGCCTGGGCGACAGAAGACTTCGTCTTAAAAAAAAAAAAAAAAAAAGAAATACTTTATTTTTCATTCTCTTTCAATTCATTCATCAAATCACTTCATAAATATTTCTTGATTATATTCTGCATTTCAGGCACATACTACATCTGCCAATGACATATTGATCTTTTTTGTATAAATATTTTAAAATTAAATCTTAAACTTGCAGGAAATTTACAACTAAATTTTTAATTCTTAACTATGAGACAGTAGGTCATTAAATTGATTCCCTTAACACTCCCAAAATGTTTCTATTTCTACATAAATGACATAGAGGAATGCCTTTTTTTGTAGCATTTAAGTCAGAATTAACATTATTAATAGTCACTATATAATTTTCAGGTCTTATTTAAATAATTGTTTCAATCATGTTCTTTATAACAAAAGGATCCAGTTGGTAATCAGGTATTGTACTAATTTATCATATCTCTTTAGTCTTCTTTAGTCTGAAGTAGCTCCTTAATCATTGACTTACATGATCTTGACATTTTTGAGAATTACAGGCCACTGAATTTGTAGAATTTCCCTCAATTTGGGTTTGTTTGATGTTTCCTTACAATTGGATTTATCAAATGTTATTCTCAATGCTTCCTAACAGGAGGTACACAGTTTTGATTTGACTCATTACTGATGATGCTGCTTTACTTCACTTGAGTAAAGTGTCATCTGCCAGGCACTAGATAATTACTCTTTCCCCTTTTTAGCTAATAAGTATTTTGTGGAGTAGGTACTTAGAGACTATGCAAATGTCTTGTTCAGCATTAAATGTTAAATTTATTTATTCATTTATATTAGTATGGACTCATACTCCCCACATAGCCCAGATTTGGGCAATGGGCGCCTCTTCAACTTGTTTCCTTTTGAAATGTCCCCACCATGCTTTAAGCACTTTCTTGCTTCCTGACACAAGAGGATATTCCAGGTTCCTCTTGTGTTTTCTCTGCCTTAGCTCTCAAATAATCTACTTTGCAAAAGACTTGGTTTCTTTCAGTGGAGATTGGTATTTAAAAGGCATTATGTGGGTGCCAATAGCTTGATGCTATTGGGTGGGTTGTTGCTCCAAAGTGTGTGTGTGTGTGTGTGTGTGTGTGTGTGTGTGTGTGTGTGCATGTTTGTGTAAGATATATACACCACATGCACATATAATATATGATATATATGCGGGATGTGTGTGTATGTGTATATATATGCATGTATACACACACACAACAAACGTTACCTTCATGTGGATACCCTCCGCATCCTGTTCTTGCTCTCAAACTCCTCACAGTGCTGTTTTCCATGTGGCTTACCTCCTCACCCTACTTCTATTCTGACACCTGTGCTGGGCAGCTCCCACTCAGGAAGGCCCTCTTTACCCCACACTGGCCCACTTCTGCACATGGAAGCACTTCTTAGCCCACATAAGCTCTGATACCCCACTCCAGACTGCTCACAGGCATGGATGCATGCTCAGTCTGCTCAGGAAATAGTCCTCCGTGCCACTTCCCCCTACATGGATACCCTTATCAATTTGCTTGCGTTCTGACTCCTCAGGCCAGAATATCCCTCATTACTAACCTAGCTTTCTCAAAAGCCACCCAATGGCTTCAGAACTAAATTAATCAATTAATCAGGAAAGTAAGGGGAAGGGAAAGGATAAATTGGTGATAGGATGAAGTAGAAGGGAAAGGCCTTTATTAATTTTCACTATTTGGTTGTATCTGTGAGTCTACTGCAAATATTTGAATGGTAGAAAGATCTGTAGCAGTCAAGAGGTGAAAACTAGAGTGCCGGTGATATCAGCAGCAATCAGCATATTATAGTAGCCATGAAAGATGTACATTATAGTATAATATATATAATACTATATTATAGATGTTCCTCCTTTGCTATTATTTGCTTCTAATACAAAAATGGGAAATATGGTCATTAATGAATTTATCATGTATTCATATATTTTTTCCTTTTTACAGTTGTCTATAACATTTTACAGCGAACATATTATTGAACATATTACTGACTTGAAGAAAAGTAAAGGGGTTTCCAACAGGGAAAAGTGTGAAAGGGGAGGGGGCTGTGAGCTGAAAATAAGAAAGTAGGATCTTTGTGCCCTCCATAAAGTGGAAGAGTGGAACCTGAGACTCCATAGTAGGGAAACATCTTCAAAGGAGAAAATGTCCCAGTTTGGTTTTGGCCTCTGAATCCACATTTTGTTCGTTGATATTTCTTTTGTTCCAAACACTGTGTATAATCTCATACACAAATATCACCCAAAACACAAGTAAAAAGCTGTAATGAGATAGAATCAGCAGAAACAATACATAACAGATTTAGACCTCCCCAAGGACTTAGTATATTGCAATCACCAAATGAAGAATTTTTGATGATCAAATGGAGAACTTTAAATAGCTTGTATTAAATATTTGAAAAATTAAGCACTAAAAAAAGAATGAGCACTGAGAGAATGTCAAATAATACCAGTCAAATATTTATAATAATAAAATGTAACTTATTCTAAATTTAAAAACCATTAAGTTATCAGCTCAAGAAGACATAAAATAATTCAAATATAGTCATTAGGGAAATTAAATAGTTTTTTTTCTTAAAGAAATCATCAATCTCAGATGTATAGGCAAATTATTCAACTTTCAATTAAAAGATAGTTGCAGTTTTCTATAAATTATATAGAAGATAAACAAATAAGATCCACTAATGCACTGATTCTATAAGACTTATATTGCATAAAGATAATAAAAATATATACAATTTAGTTATCTATTAAAAAATACTCAGTGTTCATTTTGAGTTAATACCAGTAACACAAGAGTTAACTGCATGTGCTCACTTTGTATCTCTGTGTCCCATTTTGATAAGTCTTGCAATATTTCAAACATTTTTATTATTGTTATATCTGTTATGCTGATCTGTGATCAGTGACCTTTGATGTTACTATTGGAACTGTGCCCATAATAAGATGGTGGAATTAATCGATAAATGTTTTGTATGTTCTGACTTTTCCACTGACCAGCCGTTCTCCCATCTCTTTCCCTTACCTGTGGCCTTGATATTCTCTGAGACACAACAATACTAAACTTAGGCCAGTTAATCCTACAATGGCCTCTAAGTACTCAAATGAAAGGAAGAGTTGCAAGTCTCTCACTTTAAATCGAAAGCTAGAAATTATTAAGTTTAATGAGGATGGCATGTCAAAAGCTGACGGTGGCCAAATGCTAGGCCTCTTGTGCCAAATAGGTAGCCAAGTTGTGAATGCAAAGGAAAAGTTCTTGAAATAAAAGTGCTACTCTGGTGAATACACAAATGATAAAAATGTGAAACAGCCTTATTACTGCTATGAAGGAAGTTTGAATGGTCTGGATAGCAGATTAAACCAACCACACATGAAGGAGAAATCTTTCACGAAAGGAACAGGCAATCAATGAGGCAAACTTCATTGTTGTCTTATTTTAAGAAATTGCCACAGCCACCCCAGTCTTCAGCAACCACCACCTTGGTCAGGAAACAGATATCCACATTGAGGTAAGACTCTACAATAAGCAAAAAATTGTAACTCACTGAAGGTTCAGATGATCATTCTCATTTTTAGCAATAAAGTATTTTAAATTAAGGTATTCATACTGATTTTTTTAGACATAATGCTATTGCACATTAAATAGACTACAGTATAGTTTAAACATAACTTTCTTTTTTTTTTTTTTTTTTTGAGACGGAGTCTCGCTCTGTCGCCCAGGCTGGAGTGCAATGGCATGTGCTGCTGTTTGATACCATTTTGCCCACAGTAGAAGTTCTTTAAAAATTAGAGTTAATCCTTTCACACCTTGCCACGGTTAATTAACCAAGTTTACGTCATATTCTAAATTCTTCGCTCTCATTTCAACAATGTTCACAGCATCTTTACCAAGAGTAGATTCCATCTCAAGAAACTATATTCTTTGCTAATCCATGAGAAATAACTCCCTATCCATTCTAGTTTTATCATGAGATTCTATCAGTTCAGTCACGCCTTCAGGCTCCACTTCTAATTCTAGTTCTCTTGCTCTTTCTACCACATCTGCAGGGACTTCCTCCACTGAAATTTTGAACTCCTCAAAATACTTTTAATGTATTTCATGAAGAAGCTTGTCAAATTTATAAGCAGAAGCAAAGGCCAAAGAATTGGCAACATATTATTGAAAACAAAGACTCATTGGCATTGGTATATGCTTTTGGCAATAAAGACAGTGTGGTAATTTTAAAGTTACATCAAATTGTTGTGTGAAGCAGAATGTAGATGCCAAAGATACTAGCAAGTGTGTATCCAAGTGTGTGTGTGTGACTCTCACAGGGAGAAAGAGAGAGAGAGAGACAGAGAAGCACAGGTACCAAGAAAGATCTGTGGAGAATAGCCTTTTAAAGTAATGGGACAATTAAATGCTCCATGTGAGAAACAAAAATAATTTCCACCTTATAATATACACAAAAATATTTAGATGGATTACTTTTTTAAATGTTAAAGTGAAACTTAAAATATTTAGAGGAAAATATAGGAGAATTATATAATTCAAGGCTGAAGAAAAATTTTCTGAACCATACTTAAAACAACACTACAACAGAAGAGATAAAATCTAATATGCTGGAATTAGGAACTTAGGTTTCTTAGAATATATCATAAGTAAAGTGAAAAGATAAATGGAGGATTCAATATTTATAACACTTTGATCAACAAAAATAGTAAAATCAATATGTCTCTCTGTTTTTCTCTTCATATAAAAAAGTAAAATTCACAGTATTAGAAAATGGCTAAATCTATAAAATCTATACAAGATATTATAAACTGTAATTTATGAGATCTATAAAAAAGGTATTTTAACAAAAACAAAATAAAAACAATGTGCTCAATTGCATTACAGAGCTTAAAATATCATAAAATATCATTTTATGTCAACTAGAACTAAGTTGTCAAAAATTCTGAGGTCAAAGAATCTTTTTCATACCCTCTCCTCCTAAAAGTCTACCCATTCCCCTGGGAACCCACATACAGGATGAGATTAGTCTTCTGAGCAGACAACTAACCTGTTACCTGGAGAAGCAATGTCTGTTCAACTCTGGTTAGTGCAGACAGCTTCAAAGATAGAGGCTCCTGATGCATTAATTGGATCCAAAAGAGGACAAACTTTCTTATTTGTCATCCTCCCCCCTTCAGGAGAAGTGAGTGTCTGGGATGCAGAGAATGGGAAAATGTTCCTTCTAATATATCACAGACTGTGGTCTGATTTTATGGTTTGAGTTATAAAAGACAGTAATCATTTTCCCTACATATGTCGTTTCATATTTATGTCTCTTTTTAAACATTTCTCCATTTTGTGCTCCAAGCAGATATAAGCCTTTAAGAGAATATGATTTTAAGGGATTAAGATACCATATGCATTCCATTCTATGTTCTAGTGGATACCAACAGGGGCTTTCTCAGGATTAAAATAGGCATTATAGAGAAAGAAGCCCAAATGGTTTTAGCCATGTGAGTAGTAGAGTTAAGTAAGCCAGCGAATAGTGAGAAATATATGTGCATATGAGTGTGTGATCAGTGAAATGTGAGGAAAAGGGCTTCTGCAACTTTCATATGGGTCAATTATTTGAAGGAGGTAATTCAAGGCAACTCTTTTGCTACCTTTTTAAAAATGAATCTCCTGAGATGATGCACATGATAAAATAACTCATTTTTTGGTTGATTGTTTTGATAGTGTTGAGTCACAGCCAAAAAGTTACAACTTAATGCAGGAATCATCAGGGGTTAGTAAATTTTAAAGAAAATTCTTCTCCTTTGGTATTTTTTTCCTTTGCTTTGCCATGCCAGCACCCTTGATTTCTTGTGCTTAGGTACTTAATATGGAATTATTTGAAGTGTTTAACTTCAACCTTCCCTTCTTCAGTCTTATAATTGAAGTTATTTTACTCTTAGAAAAACCATCTATTATAAAAAGGGATTGTATTTTAAATGAGGACTATAATGAAGAGGGGGTAAGTGGATGGATTGAATTAGGAAAGGAAGACTGATTGAGGCTTAAATTAAAAATGAAATATAAATGACATAAAAGTGATACATTTTCTAGATCTTGTACTTTATATTTGAAGAGAGCTGTTAGTGTTCTGTCTGCTTCTGTAATTGCTAAAAAGAATATATCCATTTGGAGGGCTAAAAGGGTAGGCAGCCTTTTCAATTTTCTTTTCAAACTTTGTTAATATCCATTTTATCTCTGTTAAATTGCTTTAGATGACTCTACTTCCAAGATATTTATTTTGGGTTCCTAGAAAATACCTGTATTCTAAATTACATTGCAATATTTATTTAGTTTTCCCAAGCAAAATACTCATTTATAACACACTAAGCATTCACTTACTGTATCAAGTGAATACGTGAATACATGTGGTTATGACTTTATTTGGAACAAGTGGAAAAAGTTATTCAGCTATGAATATATGGCAGATCGCGTTTTGCTAAAATGACTAGAATCTTGCTCCTTCCCCATCAAGAGACAAAGTATATTTCCCTCCCCTTGAGCTTGGTGCATGGTAAAGAGGCTTTGTGTCTGCCTCCATGAATAGAATGAAATGGAAATAATGCTGTGTCACTTCTAAAGCTAGGTCATAAAAGCAGATATGGCTTCTGCCAGGCACTCTTTCCCTTGGGACACAAGTCTCGGGAACCCTGAACTGACATGTAACAAATCTAGCTACCCTGAGGCTACCATGCTGGAGAGATCTTGTGGAGAGGCCATGTAGGCATGAATAAAGAAGCCAAAGGAGCTTCATCTGTTTCAGCCCTTAAATATTCTATTTTTCTAAGGCCAGGCACCAGATATATGGAGGGAATAAGCCTTCAGATGATTCTAGCTCCCAGCCTTTGAGTTGCCGCAGCTGATGCTGCATGGAACAGAAATAAGTTGTTCCTGTCAAGCCCGACCTACACTGTGGATTTGTGAGCAAACTAAATGTTGTTGTTTTAAGCAACTACGTGCTGGATTGGTCGAATATGTGCCAATTGATAACTGGAAAAACTCTTGAACTTCAGACGCATTAATTTATTGTTTGTATCTTAAAGACAAAGCCACAAGACCACTTTGCGAAGCTAATGACCCTCACAGAATATATAAATTTCGAAAAAAAAAGGCCCCTCAGCCCATTATGTGGGAAACTCATAGGGAAATGAAGAAGAAGGAACCGGAATATGCCTTTCTACAAACCGTTTCTCACTATTTCCCACCCAAATTATATCCTTAATATTTGCCATACTACATGACAAAGTTTGTTTCAGTCTGTATTTGTAAACCATGGCAAAATTGGCCAAAACAAATAATGAGAGGTTTTTTCCCCCTAGGAACATAAATGTAGGAACTGTACTAGACATCAAACTGTACAAAACTGCACTTATCAAAAATAGTTTATGCAAAATTATGTATAAACTGTGCATACCAAAAATAGTTTATGCAAAATTATGTACAAACTGTGCATGCCTGTACTAAACATCAAAATAGGGATATGTCAGTAGGCAGGAAGTCAGTCAGGTAGAGGACTCAAACCTCAGTTGCAGCTCGTGATTGTTAAGGACCCATCAAAGAGAGAGATACATCAAAAGAGATCCATAAGTATAAATCTTGGAAGGTAAAGCTACTAGGAGTTGTAAAGATTTTGAATAATATTCGAAGAAGGTGGAAACAGCCAAAGAAATTGAGATGAACTGGCCAGACAGGTTCAAGGAAAAGCACGATTGCATGATGTCATGGAAACCAGCATATATAAACAACTTAATACTGCTTCAATGTTGAGATCAGAGAAGTGTCTATTTGATTTTGTCAACTTGACCTTTACAAGAGCAATTTCAATAGAGTGATGAGGCTATAAGACAGAATGGAATTAATGGGACAAAATTAGTGACTGTAATATTGACAACTGAACAAAGAAAACCATTTGAGTTCTGGGGCAGTTAGATTAGAAATGTGGAAATGTCTTTCATTACTGTGACATCTTATTTCCCTCACACCTGTACTTCGGATTTGAAAATGAGTAAAGAGAGGAACTTAAAAATATGTGAGAGGAAAACAGAAGAGTAAAAGAAATGGGGAAAGGTACTGCTAATAGTTTATGCATTCTCAGAACTTGAGCAGATGAGAAGCCACTCTCCCCAAAATAGAAATACTAGCCTTTACTTTTGCTTTCATGCCTCTCAAGCACTAAATACTCCATACTGAAACTTTGCATTTATCAGCAGAGCATTTACTTAATCTTCTTAAGCAAATTTAGCTGGAGAGCTCTTTTCAAATTCACTTTAAGTCCTCCCAAAATTCAAGGGAAAAAATGTTTTTCAAAGGTCAGGCATCAATATTAGAATGCATATATACTTATTTAAAGAATCATAGAATGCCACTGTATAGCAAATGGCTTCATCTGTGATTCCAGAATGGCAATTGCCTTGTGTGAATATTTAAAAGTAAGGCATTCTGCTAGTTCATGCCAAAATATATAAATCGTTTTTTGATAAAATGTTGAATGGATTCAAACTTGATAGATTTAGGTGTATGTTTCTGATGGATTACTCAACCTAATCCTATTTAATCTAACTCCTAAATAGCATTTGAATGTGACTACAGGCTACCATTTCTAGAATATATCACATACCTCTTGTCAGCCCTACTCCCACTGCCCCCTGTACCTAAATGCCATCTCTACACAGTTGCAGATCCTTAACATGGTGTACCAAAGCCCCAAGGACCTTTCCAGTTTTATGTCCTGTCACCGCACACTTTATACTTTACAGTGCTTGCAGTCCTTTACTTGTATTCCCAGTGGTAAAGTGCAGCTTGCTTTTTTTGCAACATGTGCTACAGAGCCTCACTCTTAAAAACTGCTCCACAAGAGAACCAAAAAAAAGGTTATGTAATTTTAAAAAAAGAAATATTACTTATTATATCTTCTTCCTGAACATTCACACTGCATATCAGCAAATAAAGTTTCCAAAAAGCTTAAATTAACATGACGCAAAACTTTTAGACCATGAACATTTTACAGTACTCCTTAACTTTAGAAAATGCTGACTTAGCAGTCCCCTCACCCCTCTCCACCACAAAAAACATTAGAAACCAGTTCTCACGCATCAATATTTAAGTTGGAAAATGTCACTGAAAACAAGTCTTTCCAAGATTATTTTAGAAAGAATTGTTGGAAGGTTATTTTGTACAAGTCACAAATGTATACCAATGAAAAATGTTTTTTCTCTGTAATATTCAAATAGAACACCTTCAATAAAGATGTTTATTTTCAGTAAATTCAAAAATGTGTTGTGTCTCAAATAACTTAGACTGAAATGGTGAATATATGCTTTAGAAAATTGTGTTGGAGAATACAGAAAAGGGATCAAGGAGATGAGAGGACATTGATGTTGGAGTTAGAGTTGAAGCATTTTAAGATAAGTATGTCATTAAATGTGAGTGGAATACAGAAATATCTCAAAATTATTTATGATACCTAAATACATGCAACTTAATAAAATTAAAATATAAATATTTGACTTTTCTATCTTTAAGGTTTTACATTTAAATTGACTGAAATACTTATACATGAATGTATGCATGTGTGCGTGTTTTTCTCATTGAGATAATGGAGGACTGACTTATATTTGTACTTAAAGTATAATTCAATATTCACTACCATTGTGAAGCTCTCTCTTAACTCCTGTCCTCGTTTTCCTTATCTCTTTACCTGGTTCCCTGAGTTTATGTGGCTACAGGAATGAAGATCACCGAGTTTTGCAAATCTCTTCTCTACCTATTCAAATCCTTAGGTTTTATACATATTTAGATCTACCCACTGGGGAGCAAGCACAGTGTCTCACTGGATTATTTATTCCCAAGGATTATTACCATGTCTGGCATAATGCTCAAGGAATGCTTGTTAAATTTATTTATTTATTTATTTATTTATTTATTTATTTATTTATTTATTTATTTTGAGACGGAGTTTCACTCTTGTTGCCCAGGATGGAGTGCAATGGTGCAATCTCGGCTCACTGCAACCTCTGCCTCCTGGGTTCAAGTGATTCTCCTGCCTCAGCCTCCCCAGTAGCTGGGATTACAGGTGCATGCCACCACACCCAGCTAATTTTGTAGGATTGCTTGTTAAATTAAATAATAATGTTACTTTTCAAATTAACTAATTTATTAACCCCAGATTTCACTTTCTTCTTTTGTTTCAAATCTGGTTGAGTGCATACATTATTTATTCAGTAAGTTGATTTATATGCTAAAAACTATTCAGTAAGTTGATGCATATGCTAAAAACTATTATTTATTATGTCTTAATAATGGAAACATTATTTATTCAGTAAGTCGATTCATATGCTAAAAGCCCTAAGATGAAAGGTAGTATAAAACAGCCTTGTAGATGAGAATAATCATTTATCCTACAAATTTCCACTAGTTCTTTTGATACATCCCAGTTTCAGAGAAATAATATCAATAAATTTTTGTGATATCAGTAAAAGTCTGAACCTGTAAAGGATATTCATTTTTGTTTCATTTCTATGAAAATGTTTTTGCTACAAACTCAGTTTTGTGTACACATTACATTCTTTCAGATCCTCAGCAGAAATCATTCTGTGCCATTGCTATAAACTTGCAAATTTATTGTTCTTTATCATCAATATAGTAAATTTCAGAATAATTAAAAATTGGTTGGGGATAAAAAAACTGTTAGCCTTTCACTCTGTCAATTTACACATTACAAAAGTTATGATTAAGATTTTAGCATGTGGAAAGAGCTCTAGTAACTGTACTAACCATTAATTTATGTAATTTACGAGCTTGATTCAGCATTGAATTTAGTGACTATAAAGGGAAAATAAAGCTTCAGAGAAATATTGTAAATGGTCTGTTCATGGTCTGTATAAATCAGCCAGGTGTAAAGCATTATAAAAATTTAAACTTGTATAATGTAACTGGCTCTGTTATCTAAAAACATAATCATAAAATTGAATACATTGCTTGAACTCAAATATAAAATCCACTAAAATATTTATGATTTTTTGGGTAAATTGAGAAAGCAAATAACACAGCAATTTCTATAAATTTCACCATTAAAAGATACTATATTTTCAATTTAAATGCTTACTTTTACACAAGATATAATTTTGTTGCTTAAGCACAACTTTGCTGGATTTTAAATATCCTCATTGACTAATACTTTTTTAACACTAGAAACTTTGCCTTAAATCTTAAAATTATTTTATTTTAGTTCATCAATAGCATTATTATTGTTATTTAATATTTTAAACTATTTCTTTCCCAATAACTGATTTATACTTCAACTTATCATGTTTGATTATCTTGAAACAACAACTGCAAATAATTAGTATTCATAACCCTCAGCTAACAGTCAGGCAATAAAGACATTGAGGTTTCCATCAGAATTTAATTAAATTTAGCAAGTTATATCTTGGTGCTTCTCAGCATATAAAGAAAAGTTGACAAATATCATCTTAATTACTTCCTCTTTCTCCTCCATGATGGTTCAATAATTTGTTACAAAACCTCATTACCAAGTATCAGTCATTAATTTTGACATAAATTTATTAAAATGTGTATTGTTTTGTAATATTTTCTGTGTTATTGGTGCAGGAGAATGAGTGGGGCTAGGTACTCCTTGGTACCTCACTCCTTTGAAATTATATCATTTTCTTCTTTTGTAAAGTTATCTATATTTTTGTGTATGAGGCAACCCACATTTAATACACTGCCTTGACACCTGGCCTATGTTCTTCCAAAAACAAAACAAAATACTGTGCTTTACCAACAGATTGTAGTATCAATTTCATTAGACACATTCAGTTGACATCTGTGACATTGTGGAGAAAGAAAACAAAATTTTGTTCCGCAATGACATGTTAATAAGCCCTTAGTATTTCTTTTATATTTATGTAAAATAGACTTAAAATTGTCCACATCTAACTGAAGGCCAGGTCTTCAATGTTTAGTAGTGCAGCAGCTCCCTCTATAGGAGACTTGGAACTGTATGTTGCTGTGCTGATCCAGAGTAGCAAAGCAGGTTGTTGGGATTTTCTTTTTTTCCTAAGCATCTTAAGTGATCATTTTATTCAGCTATCTGTTGATTTGTTTTTCACCAATATATCTTTAATTTTCCTTTTAAAATAGAAGAAGGGAGGGAGGGAGAAAGAAATAGCAAAAGAGAATGAATAGTGTGTGTGCACCAATGGCAAAGCTTTTAAGAAAAAACATTCATATCTGTCATCCCTAAAAGAGAAATCTAAATAAAAAGTAGTGTCTGTGAAATGTAATTTTTGCCTTTCTAGTTTTCTTTTGTTAGTCAAAATTATATGCAAGTGTGCACTGACAACAGGCAAGCTATAACTTCATGTACATATATGTTCAGTTCAAAAGGCTATTCAGTAATGGTAGATACCAATGACTACAAATCTCTTATGAATGGATTTAGATGTCAGAATATTTTGGTAAATGTGACATACACATCTTAGATCAACTAAAAAATGAAATTGTGAATTAGAGGAAAGTTTAAATTAACACAAATAACTACTGTTAGACATATAATATTACATCCCCAGCTTACACATTTAAGAAACAAACTTTGATATTACTGGCAAGTTATCTTATTGGACACAATTAACAGACTAATTAGCATGTGTTTCTTATTTGACATTATGCCAATATAATATGGTTCTTCCTTTATAGAAGTCAGTTATTCTGAACTCTTGCATGGTGATTTTACTATCTCGATAAATAGCGCAGAAGCCCAGCTCAATTTGGTACAGCATAATTCAAAATATCGTTAATTTCCAATGACTGAGGTTCTAATGAATTGGGATTTTGTTGTAATAATATTATGCTGTGGTACTCACAGTAAGTTTACATTACCAGAAAATCAAAGTATTTTATAAAATAATACTGGTAACCTGAATTATGTATTCAGCTTCTTAATCCAACCTAAGTACTTTATGAATACCCATGCATGATATTATTTAGAATTACCTCAATTCAGATACCAATTACTTATTCTTTCATTATCTTAAGAAGTAAAGAGATGATGAGTTAGTCTCACCTCAGTTTGAGTATGTGGTTCGAATACAGTATGTATAAAAATGTAATATGCATGAATCAATGTCAATTTGCCTTGATAAGCCTGTGTCATGATCATTGGCTGCCCATTATTTGCAAACATTCATGGCAGTAATAAGATATGAAGAGAAAGTGTGTCATCTCTATGGTGGTTTACCCAATTTTTCTTCTTAAATGTGTATGTGTGTATGGATATGGATTAACAAATATTTCTTATTGTCAAACATGTTGATATCTCAAAAACCCTTCTGAATGGGCTTTTCTGTGAGAAACAATAAAATAACTCTTCAAATTATACCAGGTTATGCTGTATGAAACATTTCTACAAAGGTAACACTAGTGACAGAAGGGAATGGCCATGTTCCCCTGGCAGCAAAGGGTTATTACACATAGGAGCTCACCAGCAGAGTGGAATAATTTTGAAGTCACATGTCTCATCAAAAACACTTTTATTCAATAATACATTGATATATAACATGTTTTAATTTAAAATAAATATAAAATTATTTGCAATTAAGTTACTTGATTTTCTTCTCTTCATAGCTTTAAGTAGAATGGAATTGACAGAAGATGCGTCATACTTATCTTGAACTTTTTATCCATTTGGTACTCCCTGAGATATACCTTCAGACCTCCAATTTGAGAAGGATAGCCAAAATAAAATAAATAATTCTTCTATAAACCTCACATCTATGCCCTAATAAGGGGACTCATAAAGTAGATTAAAGCCTGTGATCAACTTTTAGAATGCCTTTCTGAAGTCCTCCATATTCTGCTCTTAGAAATTGTATATTCTGAAATATATAGTAAAGCTTTTGCCTCTAAATAGGAAGAAACTTGACCCAAATAGCTTACAGTATGATTCACAGTTTCTTATTACTTGCTATGTACTGCAGAAGGATAATCCTATATCATTCATGGAATCATTTACTCGTTTTTAAAAAGTAGGGGCAGGGGATAAAGTATTCTATTAAACTGTCTCTTTTGTGGAAAAACAATGACAAAAAGTTCTCCTAACAGACCTTTTCAGAAAACTCTTAACCAAGAATATCATGTTGGTCCAAAGCAATGTGACCATTTAGATAATTCTATCTTCACCATGTACACCAGCCAGTTCTTCAGGAGCATATACAGATCATGTGGATGTTTCAGCATTGGAAGAGACAGTCAAAATCAATCTTAAAGCAAATACTGAGAGTGCTGATATTAATGAAAATATCAAGTTAATCAGATATTCCTAAGGTTTATTATAACCTTTCAGTGTTACAATAAGAATTACATCACTTTGCTAACACTCCATCACCAGTCACATAGCCATTATTTGGGCGCTTTAAGTCTGTTCCTCACCTAAGCTAAATGGCACAAATAAAAGAAAGACGATAGAGTTGTAGGAAATGAAGACTCTGAGAACTCTTCTGCAGCAAGAAAGGGAGGATGATTTTCTTCAACCACATTGAGATATAGATGGCCATATCCTTAGAATTGCAAACTTAGAGTAAGATGGATGACATGGAAACTTTTCACATTCTCTCAGAACAGACTGTTTTTAACCAAGATTTTTAGTCAAGTAAACATGAAACAAATTAAATACCCGAAGAAAGCAATTAAATAAAACACATGTAAATAAACCGGGCAGTAACTTGGATTTAAAACCAATGAAAAGCTAAGTATCCATTCCCCAAAGCCTGCAGTTACACAGATGGGGATAATAGTGGGAAAGGAAATAAGTATGGAGTGAAGCAATTTGAACATATGGCATTCTTAAAAGTTCATATGAATTAGAGAGCAGGGAGCATTTGGGCTGTAAAGGAGGCTAACAGATCACCAACATAATTGGCTGGCTAATGGGGTATCTTTGAACAAAGGAACTGTGATCATTATACCTACAGGATGTTATGCATGATAAATAATTCTTTAATGCACAAAGATGCCTGTACCTGTTTTAGAAGAGGAGAATGGAGTAAGTGCCTACTAGCTCTTATAATAGAGGACGTTATTATTCAGTGCTGAGAGAAAGTGTCATAGCAGACCTCACTCTGGTGGCTGGACTCTACCAGAAAGAAGATTGTGATCAGAAAGAAGCTTGCGTGTTACCAGAAAGAAGCTTGTGGGTTATATACAACATGGTTTGCTTTACCACAGATGTTCAAAGTTCACAACTACTTGCAAGTGTGGATAGGGATGAAGCTAGTATTTATTGACTGTTTACTAAGTACTAGGTTTTCTAGATATGAAAATCTCATTTAAGCCTGAAAATCTCCTTACAGTGGAATATTATTGCTGAAATTTTGTAGATAAAACAACTGAGATTTAAAGAGAGATTATAACTTACCTCAGGATCCTCATCTAATAAGCGTGAAAACATGGATTTGAACTCTCTCAAGTCTCTCCTCTTTCTTTTATATCCTGATCCTTAACAAGTAAAATTTGTGGGCTAATATGTTCACTCATCGCTCATGCGCACATGACTTTCACCTGATGCAATGCTTTTTTTTAACCAAGTCAAAATATGGCCTTAGGTTCCTCTTTTGAGTGTGCCAGTCAGTCACCTCTGCTGGAACTGAGAGTTTTTTGCTACATGAAATTAATTTATCAAGTAGAGAGTAAACACACTTAAATATAGAAGTTTTAGACAACGATGTGAAATTTTAAAGGAAAAAAATCTTAGATACCAAACAGAATTTAGAATATTATTTCTTCTGGTCTCTATTATGTTACTCAAATGTTTGTTTCTAATTTATTAAAATTCAGTCAGTATTTGGCAGGTCTTTTACTTTCTTTCAAATTTGTATCTAACTTTGAGATTCTATGGTTTTACAATTAATGGTAATTAACTGTTTTGGCTCAACATGTTTCCTCTACACAGAGGCAAATAAATTTACCATGAAGGCCAGAAGGGTAAATAAAGGTTCAGAGACTGTCACTTGCATGGACTTTTCCCTAGGGGATGGATTCTTGATGTTGTAATATATGGGAGATTTTCTAAATTTGTTACTCTCTTTCTCATTTTAAATATTAACTTTTATATTTAAGTTTGTTTTGTTATTAAAGATACATTTTCTTAAAGGAGGGCTCCCAAAATTGTACAAGACTCAAGACCTACAAAACCCAAGTATCCCTTCCTCTACTAGCAATAAAGCAGTGGTTACCTTAATACCTGCATGATTTATTTTGAAAGCTCAGTTTCCATGTTTTTTGTATATTTTTGTCCATTTAAAATTTGTGATATCAAATGAGAACATTTTTGTCCTACTATGGCAGTTAAAATAACATCAGGTGAGCTTTGCATTTATTCTAACTATGATTGACATAATGTAAATATTAAAGTATATATTGCCACCTTTTTGACAGTGCAATGAAAATAAGATTAGAAAGATCAAGGTGTACTATTTAAAGTATGGAGAATATTTTATGAAACATACCATAATCTTCAACTGTACATACTGGTTTGAGATTTATTTATTTGCTGATTTTTAAATTTTCTTCATGAATACATAAACCCTACAAGGAGAGGGAACTCTGCCTGCTTGTTCTCCAGAATATCTCCACCATTTAGAACAGGGCCTGGCACATGGTAAATGTGAAATAAATATTTGATGAGTGACTAACTGACTGACTGAATAAATGAATGGCATGTGCTTAGAACCTCAAAATATACTAATTAGTGGAAGTCATCGCTAAAAAAGCACCCGATTGATCAAGCTGAGTCTTCCAGAAGTATTCATACATTCACAAAATTATACTAATTTTTACTCAACACTCATCATTTCTATACACCAAGTTTCAGCCAGATGTTATTTAAAGTATCTGAATTATAGACCCTTGAAAGCTGGGTTTGTAATGGAAATGCTGACAGCCACTTAACCAGATAATAGCCCCGGTTCACTTGGTGTGTATATATAGTGTCACTGCTAATATGGCTGTGCCATCTGTTCTATCTGAGAGTTGTAAAAGATTTGAGCTTCAAACAACTGATTTCAAAAGTGTACTGGATAAATTGGATCCTAAAAGGTGAAGTGATAAAATGATACTTCCATTACATTGCTTTAGCCACTACCTAAGCACAAACAGGGCGTCAAGATTGGAAAACGGCATGTCACCTTGAAAACTATCAGGTATTTCAGTTTACACTTCTGTTCTTGCTAAGCAAGGTAGGAGAACATTTTGCAATCCTTATGATTTTTTAACAGCCTAATACTGCAGGTGTGTGGTCAACAATGTATGGTGAAAATATGTTTTTTAACTGCCTAATGGCTCTGCCTCTGCCGACCCTTAACTTGAAGAGAAAGGTCAGAAAAGCTCCAGATGGCCATCACAAACTCTGCAGGAATGGCTTTCTCTAACTACTGACACTTGACAAGTTTTTTTTTTTTTTTCCCAGAATGGAGGCTTCACAGACACCAGAAATTATCAGAATTAATTCTTTAAATATGTATTATCAGGGACTGGCAGCCTGGGGAAAGTTCCCTTATGACTTTCAGCTAAATGTCTGGGAAAGCCATTCGTTTACCCTTCCAACCTCCTAGCTGTTTGATAACAAAAATAGGATGAGAAATATACTCACTGGAAAACCTCAGAGGCCACAAGGCAAGAATCCTCATTCTCTTAAAATAGCTGTGGAGTATGAGATAGCCATAGGCTTCTTCTGCTACAATAGTAACATTTGTCCAGTTGAGCTGACTAATATATGTAGCCAGACATGGGTTACTGGTTTTGAGTGAAAATTTCTGGTGGTCTCCTTAAAATCTGTTTATAGTTTCCTGGACAGCGTAAATTTGACGCTCACTAAAAACTTCTACACCTCCTGCTACAGGCATTCAACTCTTTTGTTTTACTGCTTGTTTTTAACAGTTTCTTAAAAACCAGTATCATGGCAAATTTTCAAGTGTCTTTTGTTCTCTCTTGCCTGTCATTAATTTCTTAATCTCCAAATTTTCACTCTAAAAATTGCAAAGATCATATAAATGCAAAGATCAAATAAATATGATCTTCAATTATATGATCATTGAAGATCATGTAAAGGCAGATGATACAGATGAAGGGAACAATTTTGAGGAACATATGCAATTTGAGCATTTTTATAGCATCATGTACCTTTTTCAAACACTTTCATAGAATATTAATATCTGTGGTAGAAAGAGGGAGATAGTATTAAATATCAGTGTTAATTAAAATACAAATTAAGGAAACAATCAGAAATATGTTTTATATCATATGAAGTCATTCATTTATATAATATTTATTTCACACTTACCACGTTCTAGGCTCTGTTCTAAGTGATGAAGATACTCTGGAGAGCAAGCAGATAGAGTTATTTCTCTTCATAAGGCTTACATATTTGTGAAGAAAATAGAAAACCAACAAAAAAATGGCACATAAACAAAGTACAAGCCAAAATGTATAGTTAGGGATTAGGACATGTTTCATAAATTATTCTCAATATTTTAAATAGTATATCTCAATGCTTCTCATCTATTTTCATCTTGCTGTCAATTGAAATTCATGTAATTAAATGAAATAGATAATATATGGTGGTGAAGAAGTATTTGGCAAAGTGGTTTGCTGTTATAGAAAAAGTATTGTTTGTGGGTTATGTATGGAGTCTGGTGTTCAACTTCTGGTTTACTGCTAATTCTGTAGGTTTGCGCAAATTACTTAACTTTGTCAGTGATTAGTTTTGTCACCTGAAAAATTATGCTAATAATAGTATCTCCTGTGGATTATTAAAAATAAATGAAGAAGTGCACATAGAATATTCAGAAAAGTGTCTGACGTGGAGCAAGCACTCAGTAACATGCAGATATTTTTATTGTGGTTTAAATTAAAAACAAGTAGAATGTCTTTACCTCAAAAATCTTTCACAAGGAATGTTTGATATTAAATAATTTCTGAAAATGTTTTACTGTCATAGTAATAATTATATTTAGGAATACTTTGAACTCAAACTTTTTTTCTTCAGTGACTTCAGTGGTGCAGTGAAGCTGACATCAACTAGCATTGATTGCAACTACAGTGTGTGGACTTTCTGCTCAAGCTCTAGCTATTTTTTTTTTTAAAGGCATCATCCCCTTGCTAGCACTTAAATCAAAGTCTGAAGGAATAATCTTATCAAGAATCTGCTCAAGAAGATTCTGGTTTGTAGTGCAGCAGCACATCAACCTTTGCTTTAACTTTGAAATACCTAATGGCTAAACTTAATGAACTTTCACATTTGACAATACACCATTATGGAGGGAGAGCTATTTATCCATGAATTTTAGCAATTGGAATTGTGGCTTTTGATATCTGCAGCAACTTTTAAGCCTCTTATTTCATAGCTGTTGGCTCTATTACCGGAAACAACTTGACCAGGTTCTCTGTTTAGGGTCTTGAATCCTTGAATTTGTTGCCACAGGAAACAATGGAAACTAAGGCATAATATCATTCGTGGGCAGCAGGTCTAATACCTGAACTCTCTTTCTTCCATTTGCCCAAACTGGATAAATTCCTCATCCAAACTCAGTACTGAGAAAGGCCCACTTATAATTTTTCTGTTTTCAGCTATTTCTTATTTATCTTCAGACCTTAGGATCATAATTATAAAGGAATAGCAAAAGGAATTGGCAATTAGAAAAGTACCGAACCAACCTCAGCTAACACAGAGAAAAAGAGAAAGAAGGTTGGAGAGTGCATGGAAAATGAAGAAATGCTACGTGAAATTTCAGCATCTCTGAGTATGCCATTCTTAGTGTAAATGTGCAAGAGTTTGGAAATTATTGCTAAAATAACTCAAACTATTAATACAAATTTTAGGATGCCCTGAGGCCACTGAACACATAGAATAATTGACAGTGAAGGACATAGTTTATGAGCTACTTAAAAAAAATAGAGTTTATTTTTAAAAACGGTTTTTTGGTTCACAGCAAAACACTCCCCCAACAAAGACACCAAGTTAACAGCTATCTACACACAAAAAACACTTTCATAGGAACCAAAAATCAGGTAAACTCTCATAGTTACCTAATTTTAACTTTGTATCACTAAAAGGGCACTAAAAAGATAGTGAGAACAGTCTTGAATTGCTGATGACACCTCTTCCCCACCCATAGCAGCAGTGGGGTGCACTGAGAGCATCTCTGGGTGCTGGGGGAGTAAGAGCACAACAATTGTGAGCCATTGAACTCAGTGTTGTCCTGTTAGAGCAGAAAGGAAAACCAGACCAAACTCACCTGATGCCTGCCCATGGAGGGAACATTTAAACCAGCCCGAGCCAGAGGGGAATTGGTGATTCTAGTGATCAGAACTTGAGTTCCTACAAACCTCACCACCAAGAGCTAAAATTCTCTGGGTTTCTAAGTAAACGTGAAAGGCAGTCTAGGCCATAAAGGTTGCAACTTTTGAATACTGGTTGTAAAACCCCCAGACTCAGCCTCACAGACAGCTACCTGCTTTCAGGGTCTTATCTCACAGCTGAGAACTTTCCTCCTGTTGGTCAATAAAATTCTTTTCTGCCTTATGATGTCTGCGTACCTTATTCCTCTTGATCGCAGGACAAGAACCCTGAACACACCAAGCTGCCAATGGCAAGAGGAAAAGAGCTGTAACCCTCCCGTTTGCTGAGCTGCAGGCAGTAGGAATAAAAGAGCTGTAACCCTCCTTCTCACTTGCCAAATTATGGGAGCAAAAAGGCTTCTGGGTGCCACTCCCTCCTGCTTGCCAAACTACAAAAGCCACAACAATCTCATGTACCCTATAAATATATATATATATATATATATACACCTACTATGTACCCACCAAAATTTAAAATTAAAAAATAGCATTCCATTGTTTCCTGGGTATCATATATTCTGCTGAAAATCAACTTTCGGTCTAATTATTTTTAGTTTGAAGGTAACTTATCTTTTCATTTGCCCTCTTTAATATTTCCTCTTTATATTTGACTTTAAGCAATTAGATGACAATGTGCTTTTCAAAGCCTTTTTTTATACCTGTCTTGCTTTGGGTTTAGATTTTGCTGAAGCTGTATTGTATTCACTTTTCTAGGTTTTCTCATCTCTAAACCTTAGACTTTTTTGTTTTAGCCAGTCCAGTTAAGACAGTGTCCATCTTTGATAGTCTTAACTCCAGTTTTCTTTTGTGCAGTTTTATTGCCTCCTGAAATATTTGAGCCACAATTTTCTGCTTAATCACTCTGTTTTTACCTTCTTAAGCATTGGCATATGCCCTGGGGTACCCTCAGTATTTGCTCTCCCCATTTCCCCATCTCACTTTTCTTGGACTCCTGCTTTTCAAACTCCCTAATAATCTTTCACCACAGGCTCTGTTTTCAAGTAAACACAGGATAGGGGACTTACAATCATGTTTAGCCAGCTTCTCTGGGGGTTTGTACTGATACTTTAGAAAATTTTTTTGAGTGCTAATGGCCAGGCAAAGCACTGATGTCATTTCCCCTGAGTGCTGTCATACCCATGGTCACAATTGAAGCAAAATTGTACTGAAAAACAATTGAGCAAAAGTCCTTCAGTGAGAATAACCCTCAAATGTCATATGCACAGAAATAAATAAATAACACTTAAAGCTAATTGGTATTTTCATAACTTAAATTTCCAGTGAAGAAGAATAGAATATCATTTTTAAAATATAGAATTTTAAAATTAAAGTATGAGGCCAGGCACAGTGTCTCACGCCTGTAATCCCAGCACTTTGGGAGGCTGAGGTGGGCAGATCCCTTGAGGTCAGGAGTTCGAGACCAGCCTGGCCAACGTGGTGAAACCCCATCTCTACTAAAAATACAAAAATTAGCCAGGTATGGTGGCACGTGCCTGTAATCCCAGCTACTTGGGAGGCTGAGGCGGGAGAATTTCTTGAACCCAGGAGGCAGAGGTTGCAGTGATCTGAGATTGCGCCATTGCACTCCAGCCTGGGCAACAAGAGCAAAACTCCATCTCAAAAAAAAAAAAAAAAAACTTAAAGTATGAATTTTATGTGTAGATGTTTAAGATTTGAATGCCAATTTTCCAGTTTGAACTTTCAAGGATATGAGAAAATTAAATGCAGATGAAGCTGGCTTTAGATATTGCCTCAGAAATGATTCATGTGAATGTAGCCAGATATTCACATTTGGATGGTAGTGGGATTAAATTCTTGGATATAAATATGTGTGTATGTTTTTGTATATATGCATATGTTTTGTATATGTTTTCGTAAGTATGCATAAGTCCATTGGGTGTGTGCTGACCTTTTTTTAAAAAATGTCCCTAATTATAATTTCAAGAGAAAAACCTGTAACTTCATTCCTTTCTTCAGTACCTTACACAATTACAATACTGTAATTGTGGTCGCTTTCCATAGTGACCACTTGCCAAGCCTCTGACATACCTAGATACGTGTAAATTTTATGAATGAAGACAAAGTAGTTAAAGTTTGGATTTCTGATATATTATTAACACTATTATTTCAAATCATTGCCTAAATGTTGCATTTTAAACTAAGCAAAATCTTGCATTAAGGGCCATATCTAGTCTGTTGTTCGACGTCGTTTCTCACAAACCTATGTCTTTCTTAAACTCTTAAAATTTTCAAGGGATTTAAAGTAGGGGTTCTGAAACTTTTAAAAGTCAGCAAATCTTTGGAAGTCTGGTGGTGCATATATATGCTATCTCAGAATAACATTATTGAATGCATAGATAACAGGATTATAAGGAACCACTTAAATTTAAATACATTTATAAAATATCAAATTTGTGATATAAGGATGCATATGTTTTCATTAATGTTTTGCATAACAATATTTATTGGCAAGTTTAATAACTACAGTAATTTTGAAGTCATTATAGTTATAAAGTACATTTTAAGGGGTCTACAACTGTAATATGATTATAATACTATCTAGCTGGCTTCTACTGATGAGAATAATTCGTGATAAAAGAAAAAGATACATTTTATTTAGACTTTAGTGAAAATGTTTTTTTTTTCCCCATTCAATATCATGGATTCCCTAAATTCTATCCACAGAGCCCTTGTGCTTCTGTGGACACCAGATTAACCCCTGGTTTAAAGGGAAGCTATTTCTAGGATCCTGATAATACAATAGAAGCATAATAAATGTTATTTACTAAAGGTAAAATATTAGAATATTCTTGAATCTATAATGCTCTAGCCTCCAAACACTATAGCCACTTGGTTTCTCCTTTGGGGCCTAGACCTCTGTCCCTGTCTATACTTGCTTGTTTGGTTTGGATAAAGTCTCTTCTAGTCTTTAGACTACAGTCGTTAATCTCTGTATAGTCAGATTCCCACTGACAAAACACTCTGTTCCATAGGATCTCCCATAAGAAGATACAGAGGAGGGGAGAAGGTTTCCACAAGTATAGATTGGTATACCATATGCTGAAATAAATTTGCCATATGTTGGATGTGATATCCATACTCCCAAAATGGTTATGACTGTATATTTGTGTCCAGGAACAATTCATGGTATTGCCTTCAGTTTATAAAGCCCTTATGAATTGAGTCGAGTCCTGGCTCTGTAGTTTTTGTTTGTTTTCTTCTGTTTTGTTTTACTATTTCCTGCTATCTTCCCCTTACAGTATCATGTCATCCATGGTTCCAATGAAAATTGCTTCAATTTTCAATTTAAAGAAAGCAAAAACAGTTTGCTTTTACTGTTGAAGATCTTGTAAATGTGCTTTAGAGTTTTATGTGCTGTTTTATTTTTACTTTTAATTGTATCATTGTATGTGTATAATAGTAGTTGTGAGTCTGTCAGCAGAGAGCACATCTTTTATAGGATGTCTTCTTTGGTCAGTCAGTATTTATTGAGGGGTCATTACCAGCTGTCTGAAATTAGATAGACTATTCAAAAAATAAAGTTAAGGCATTAAAACATTTTGATTATGAATATCAAACACATCAATTAAAATAGGGACCCATAATGTAGAGTGTGTATTTCATACATTTTGATAAATTAACAAAAGGCATTATTATCCTGAATCTAAATGCAGCTCCCACCAAAATACAGCACAATAATAAAAAGGTTTGTTCAGGTATATATTTTGAATGTGTTAGTAGCATGCAATGGTCATTGACATGAAAATTTTAATACCTTTTGGCTTGATATCTATTTAATTAATAATACCTTTAGTTCATTTTAAGTGAACCTCTGTTATTTATCTCCAACTCATGACTTGTTTATTTTAATTAAACTGCAACAGCTTTCTCCTTCTGAATACAATAAAGAGCCATTCCTCTCTAAGTAAACAACAGCTCTTATAAAGATATATTTACATTATCTTTTATGCATATCAGCATAAGCAACTACAACAGTTACTCACAAAAAACTGAGGCTGCGCTTCTTATCTTTCAGATGCTAGTTTTTAGATGGCCTTAAACGATATACTTTTAAAGAAGTTTTCCTTTTGTAAAATTTTCTTCAACAGCACACTAGCAGAAGATTACTAGCCCTCTAGCTTAAAGAAACCTTCAATTTTTTTTATTCCAATATATGTGTGTATCACTGTATTTGGGTGTAGAGAGGAAGGTGGTGGTTTTCAGAATAAGACAGTGTTTACGTATGTAGGAATCAAGAATGTTTTAGTTAAGTGCAGAAACAACACTAAGAAGATGAAAAGGTTCACTGAATGGCAGGACAGATTTTGTGGATTAATGGGCAGATGTTGACGCACAGAGTCTTGCAGCGTTCTTACAAGACAGTGGAGAAAGATCAAAGTGGTTGAGCCAATGTACAGACTTATTATGCACCTGGTTTACAAAATACAAAACTGAGCTCCATTATGTGAAGTTATTGACTTGAAGCATAGCCTGCAGACCTAAATCAAACATGAGAAGCCAAGAATATTTAAAGACAGCTTTTAGAAAATTGGAGAGGCTTCCAGGAATGGGCTGAAGGCTTTATTAAGGTTTATGTGAAAAATATTTATGCTAACAATGTACAAATTCCATGCTTGTATTTCTGCCTATAAGTGTGTATGTATTATTTTCCAGACATTTACAGCTCTTTGACAAACAACTTTTAAGTTCTCAGCCCCTTAGAAAGGTTCCATAAATATGAGTGAAGTATCTCCTCAAAGTCCAGAGCAATATGTACTTTTCAAAATCGGACTTTTATTTCATTTTTATTTTTTGCCAAATGGTAGTTCCATCATTTATTCCTATTTTAATGAGGTAATATTCAAAATAATGGCAGGATCAAAATTAATTATAGTGTCTAGAGTGCCTTGCTACAATAGTAACAAAGAGAAATATCTAAAAGGGTTTTTTTTTAATTTAAAAACCTGGGAAAATTACCTGTCCTATTAAATAAATATTGGAAGTCATAATTTCAAGCTTACAGACTCCTTTGTGGTGAAAACTTTCCCCTTTTCATCTTCTTCACCCCAGTATTAAATGATAGGATCAATGAATGAAAGAATTGCATCATTCTCTTCACTATAAAATATATATCCTATATCAAAGCATTGAGGTTTCATATAGCAGTTAAGCCTGAGCGACCTCTATAGTCACACTGTATTTGTATTCAGGGGGTGACATTTATGAGCTGTAAGCATAGGAAAGTTGCTTAATCTATCTCTCCTTCCTTCAGTTTCCTAATCTGTAAAATAGGAAAATATCTGAGCCTCCTATAAAAAGTTATGGTAAGACTTAGTGTTAAAAATATATGAGTGCTTGGTAAGTATGAGTTGTTTTTGGTATTACTGATACCCATTTTCTGTATCAATAGTTAAGGGTCATGGAAGGAAATCAAAACATTAATTGCAGTTTGTAAAACGTGACTTAAAACATGTTTTATTTTGATTCTTGAAAGCTGTTATTGTTTTATTTTCTTTGTTTAAGTTTTCTAGGCTAAAATAACAAAACTTGTTTTCAGTTGAAACTTGTATTGGTAAACCCGCATAAATACCATCAAAGTCTTGATTTATCCTCAAAAGTATTGTTAGGCCTTTTTATATAATCTAGAATAATCTTTTTCATAGATGTTTTAGTTTTTTTTTTCTGTGAAGTAAATGGTACAGTGAAAATCATTGTGGATTAAGAAAGAGAGGATTTGGCCTTAACTGTTAACTCAGCCGTGGCTGGCTAAAAAATTTTGGTCAGGTGATTCAGTCTCTCAGCTCACAGATAGTAAGTTTCAGGGCTAGCAAATGATGGTAGGATTAGCTCTTTTCAACTTCACAGGATTGTTGTGATGTAGATCCAGAAAATGAAAGCATTTAAAAATTTAACTTTTAATACACATACAAATATTTAGATTTAAATTATTTTAAAACTGTAACATGCTGTCATTATTCAGTCATATGTAGAATACTCTTGATATTGAAATTATTCAAGGTGTCTAAATCCTATGTTAGAATGTTAAGTTAGGCGTTTTGTAAATTGCTTTCCGATTGTTTTATAGTTCTTTTGTTCTATTCTTCCTCTCTTTTTATCTTCCTTTGCAATATTAAATTGATTTTCAATTTTTTTGTTTACAAAAGGAATGATGGGAGTGTGAATCAAGTGTATAGTTGGTATATCTTTGAAAGTAAACCTTAATGACAATTTACTGTGGGAGTTTTCACCAATAACTCATAAGGAGTTAAAAGAACTGCGTGATCTATCTGTCTGTCTATCTATCTATCTATCTATCTATCTATCTATCTATCTATCATCTACTTAAACTTCTGCCTTTTCATGTGAATAAGATTTTTCAGTGCTTACATTTTTAAAATTTAAAAATGGGAAGAAAAAAATGAATGTTAAATTTTAAGTATATTGATTCTATAAGACAAAGTGGGATCCAATGGCTTTCTTGTTTAAATATGATAGATAATGTAGATCAAGAATTTCCTAAAAATTAAACAATGGATTAGCTTCTCTTCTAATAATTGAATATTTCTTAGGTTCAAAAGTGGATATTAGCTGGCACCATTACATTAGTTTTGGTGAATGAAATTAGATTTCTTGCCATTCTTATTTTTAAATAATTGCCATTGGTTTTCAATTACATGGAAATACAATTCTTTGCTTATCTGCTAATAAAATGTACAGCGACCCACCTTACACATGAATAGCAATATGCTATGTTGAATTTTGGTAAATTATAATTAAACTTCCATTAACCTAGTACTTAAAGACAGAAATCTATTAGGTATGCCAGTTGACTTTGTTTTTTAAAATTCATTTTTGTTTTTAACTGACACATAATAATTGTACATATTTATGGTATACAATGTGATATTTTGAAATACGTGTACAGTATGTAATAATCAAAATTAAGGTAATTAGCATATCTATCAACTCAGACATTTATCTTTTTTGTTTTGTTTTGTTTTGAGATGGAGTTTCGCTCTTGTTGCCCAGGCCGGAGTGCAATGGCACAATCTCGGCTCACCACAACCTCCGCCTCCCAGTTTCAAGCAATTCTCCTGCCTCAGCCTCCTAAGTAGCTGGGATTACAGGCATGTGCCACCACGCCCGGCTAATTTTGTATTTTTAGTAGAGATGGGGTTTCTCCATGTTGGTCAGGCTGGTCTCGAACTCCCGACCTAAGGTGATCTGCCTGCCTTGGCCTCCCAAATTGCTGGAATTACAGGTGTGAGCCACCACACCTGTCCCAGACATTTATCTTTTCTTTGTGATGGAAACATTCCAAATCCTCTATCCTAGCTATTTTGAAATGCTGTCATCACTTGGTATCCATGGGGGACTGGTTCCAGTAGCCCCTGAGAATGCCAAAATCCATGGATGCTCAAGTCTCTTATATAAAATGGGATAGTATTTGCATATAATCTACACACATTCTCCTGTATACTTTTAAACATCCCTAGATTACTTATAACACCTAATACAATGTAAATGCTATATACATAGTTTTTATACTATACTTTTAAGGGAATAATGACAAGAAAAAATCTGTACTTGTTCAGCACAGACATGACCATCCATTACTTTCTGAATATATTTGATGTTCTGTTGGTTGAATCGAAAGATGCAGAACCAAAGTTATAGACGGTTGACTATGTAGCATATATTATTGTTAACTATAGTCACTCTACTGTGCAATACAACCAGAACTTAATACTCCTAACAGTAAATTTCATACCCATTGACCAACCTCTTCCCATTCCCCACTCCTTCAAAATATTATCTATTTATACTGTAATAATATATATTTCTTCTTTGGGCTTAAAATTTATCTTACCATTTAAGCAAGAGTTGTGATAATTTCAGATTTTAAAATATCTTTTACTTTTTTATAGGAACTTGACTTGTTCAAGCTAGAAAAGGATGTAGAGATAAATTGAAACCTGGAAACAAAACAAGACCCAAACAAGTTAAATGAATTGACTACAAAATAATTAATAAAAGAACCAGAAACAAAGATCTTGGAACTCCTGTTTTTTAATGATTGATATAAGCTGTAATTAAATTTTCTTTAATCCTCAATGATATCATATTCTTCGATTTGTATCTGGCCTATGTCTGTGTTGCTAGGAATTAGTTTAGAATGCAGAGACATCTAACCATGGCATAGATAAATTCATTCACTCTGTCTCTCAAGTCTGATTATTCAGGATTTATAATCCTGAATTTTATGAGCTTATAATCCTTATTTTATGAGCTTTGAAGGAAAGGAAAAAGATTGTATGTGCTTTGGAAAATTGATAGAATAATTGATCTTAAAATCTGGCCCTTAAACAAAGATTATCCGAACCAGTAATGCTGTATTACCCACTTCACATTTTTACTCTAATTTATATTTTTACTCTAATTCTCATAATTTCCTGGCAACTATTCTCAGCCATTTTATTATTAACAACAAAAGGAATTTTTAAAAATATATATTCAAGAGTCAATATGAAAGAAAATGATTTAGCTTTTTAATCCCATTCAGTAACAACTAGATTGCTTATAACTGTGAAAGTACGGCTACACTTGCTAAATTAGTTTCCTAGGGCTGCTATAAGAAAACACCACAAACTGAGTGGCTTAAAACAACATAAATGTATTCTTTTACAGTTCCAGAGTCTTTAAGTCTGATCATGATGTCGACAGAGCCACATCAGGCTCCAATGAAATAATATTTCCTCTGCTCTTCCAACGTGTGAAAGCATTTCTTCACGTGTGAAAGCATAACTCCAATCTCTGCTTACAACTTTGTGTGGACTTCTTTTCTCTGGGTCTGTGTTCTTTATATCTGCATGTCTCTCTGTGTTCAAATCTCCCTGTCCTGTCTCTTATAAAATCATCAGTCATTGCTCACCTAAATACAGGATGGTTGGATCTTGAGATTCTTAACTAATTACATCTGCAAAAACCTTTTCCTCAATAAGGTCACATTCTGAAGTTCTGGGAGAACATGAATTTTGGGGGGGACACTATTCAACTCACTACAGCTGATTTTATTATTATAACCTATGTTAAGTATTTTTACTTATTGTTGCATTATTACCTGGGGAATATTTCTTATGAATTCACATGTACAGGAAGAAAATATTACAAGACGAGATATGCAATTAGCTAATGGAAAGACTAATGAATAACACTCATTCCTCAGAACAGACTACAGCAAATATTAAATTCCCCACTGATTTTCCTGTATTGAAGTAAAAATTCCTTAATTATTAAATATAACAAATAGCTTGGATATCAAATTATAAGCATAAAACAAACTAAATTCAATGTAATCTGAGATCTATCATCCATTTTTGGATAATATACTCTCTTTGCTAATTCTAGGACAAAAATAACCATGGATAATTAAAAGTAGAAGCTGAATTTTGAATAGATGCAACACCATCTATCTTGGATGACTTTGAAAATGTAAAGGTAGTTCTGTTTTTAGTAACATATATATTTATTCAATTGAGAATTGAAGGCAACTCTTAAACTGGATTTATTCCACTTGAGCTAAGTTTTGAGGTGGAACTAACTGTTGGCTTATTTGCATCATCACTAAATAATTTAATCAGTAAATAATTTTAATAAAACTCTACTTCATTAAAAAAATCTAAAGCATGATCTAGGAAGTGGTTTCTAAACAAATGTACTCTTCGTGCTGTGTTTGAAATTACTGCATAGAATTTAACAATATGCCTTAATTTTTCAATATATTCTCTGATTTATCATAGTTAAGTTCCAAGCATTGCTTGCGTTCCTCTCGTGCAACAACATCAATATAGAGATAATTTATTTTTACATGATTCTTTTATTATTAATCTATTTTTTCTACAGCTTATTATTTCTCTCATTACTACAGTGCACTGAAGCTTAACATTCAGGTTATTTACAGTTGGTATAGGTCAAGGAGAAGAATGTTAGTTTGTAAATAGATACTTTTGACACAACATTAAACTGTTATTATTATTAATATTTTTTGAGAAAGAATCTCACTCTTTCACCCAGCCTTGAACTCCCAGACTCAAGCAACCCTCCCGCCTCAGCCTCCCTTGTAGCTGGGACCACGAGTGCACAACACCACACCTGGATAATTTTTTGTAGAGATGGGGTTTCGCCACCGTTGGCAAGACTGGTCTCGAACTCCTGAGCTCAAGTGGTCCACCTGCCTTGGCCTCCCAAACTGTTGGTATCACAGGCATGAGCCATCATGCCCGGCCTAAGCTTAAATCATTGAGACAGACTAGCAACTGTGGTAGTATATGAAACATATTGAATTCACTTAAGAATTTCTTATGAAAGATTGCCTTGTAATGTGTTACAGTGGTGTATACTACTAGATTATCATTTGGAATCAAGGTGCTGGTAAAAATCATTATCTGGAGGAATGCACTACTCTCAAGAAATCATATCACAAGGCTACAGTAACCAAAACAGCATGGTACTGGTACCAAAACAGAGATACAGACCAATGGAACAGAACGGAGCCCTCAGAAATAATGCCGCATATCTACAACTATCTGATCTTTGACAAACCTGACAAAAACAAGCAATGGGAAAAGGATTCCCTATTTAATAAATGGTGCTGGGAAAACTGGCTAGCCATATGTAGAAAGCTGAAACTGGATCCCTTCCTTACACCTTATACAAAAATTAATTCAAGATGGATTAAAGACTTACATGTTAGACCTAAAACCATAAAAACCCTAGAAGAAAACCTAGGCAATACCATTCAGAACATAGGCATGGGCAAGGATTTCATGTCTAAAATACCAAAAGCAATGGCAACAAAAGCCAAAATTGACAGATGGGATCTAATTAAACTAAAGAGCTTCTGCACAGCAAAAGAAACTACCATCAGAGTGAACAGGCAACCTACAGAATGGGAGAAAATTTTTGCAACCTACTCATCTGACAAAGGGCTAATATCCAGAATCTACAATGAACTCAAACAAATTTACAAGAAAAAAACAAACAACCCCATCAAAAAGTGGGCAAAGGACATGAACAGACACTTCTCAAAAGAAGACATTTATGCAGCCAAAAGACACATGAAAAAATGCTCATCATCACTGGCCATCAGAGAAATGCAAATCGAAACCACAATGAGATACCGTCTCACACCAGTTAGAATGGCGATCATTAAAAAGTCAGGAAACAACAGATGCTGGAGAGGATGTGGAGAAATAGGAACACTTTTACACTGTTGGTGGGACTGTAAACTAGTTCAACCATTGTGGAAGTCAGTGTGGCGATTCCTCAGGGATCTAGAACTAGAAATACCATTTGACCCAGCCATCCCATTACTGGGTATATACCCAAAGTATTATAAATCATGCTGCTATAAAGACACATGCACACGTATGTTTATAGTGGCACTATTCACAATAGCAAAGACTTGGAACCAACCTAAATGTCCAACAACAATAGACTGGATTAAGAAAATGTGGCACATATACACCATGGAATACTATGCAGCCATAAAAAATGATGAGTTCATGTCCTTTGTAGGGACATGGATGAAACTGGAAACCATCATTCTCAGCAAACTATCTCAAGGACAAAAAACCAAACACCGCATGTTCTCACTCATAGGTGGGAATTGAACAATGAGAACACATGGACACAGGAAGGGGAACATCACACACCGGGGACTGTTGTGGGGTGGGGGGAAGGGGGAGGGATAGCATTAGGAGATATACCTAATGCTAAATGACGAGTTAATGGGTGCAGCACACCAACATGGCACATGTATACATATGTAACAAATCTGCACGTTGTGCACATGTACCCTAAAACTTAAAGTATAATAATAATAAAATTTAAAAAAAGAAATCATATCAAACTTATGCTTACATATCTTCTAATTATTTAAATTATGCCACACAACCCTCCTTGACCTGAACAAAACAGTCTGATAGGTAATTTGTCTTTTTAATGCTGAACAGGATGATGATCACTGAGAAATGTAGTAATTTACATAGCTGCCTCCAATTAATTGGATGTTTTATATTAAAAATATAACAATAGTCATATTTAACTGAACATTTTAGTTTTAATTTCCAAATTAACACAATTCCATTAAAAAGAATCAATTCAAAATGTTGACATCTCTTTCATATGATTTCTTGAATAAATCATTTGTAAATTATGTAATTTTATAGGATCAGCCATTTTCTATCTAACAAAGATAAAAACTTGAAATAATAAAGAAAAATGTTATCAGGAAGAAAAAAATTTAAAAGAGATACATGAATCCTCTCTGAAGCCTATCTTTAAATATAAAACTTTGCCATACTAATGTTAGAGAAATGTCATTGCTTTGCTAGTTTTTAAAGTTTTTAAATTATTATTCAAGTTATATATGTTCATTATAAAAAATGAATAAAATAAAGATACACTCAAATAAAGATGAGAATATATAATAAATTAAAAATTAACTAAAATCTCAGTCATGCCATCTTTTTTTTGAATTTTTGAATCATCCTAATCTTTTTTTCTTTGGCAAAATATATGTGGTAAAAATATCTAGCTCTATAATTATACTCTATATACTTCTTTTAAAACTACTTTTTTTTTATACACCACCATTACAGTATTATTCTAAATTTGACTGTGTACTTTCTTTTACCAGTAAGTTTTATACTTTCAGATGTTTTTGTGTTATTCATTAGCATCATTCTCTTTTAGCTTGATGAACTCACTTTAGCATTTTTTTTTTATTATTATACTTTAAATTCTGGGATACATGTGCAGAATGTGCAGGTTTGTTGCATAGGTATACACGTTCCATGGTGGTTTGCTGCACCCATCAACCCGTCATCTACATGAAGTATTTCTCCTAATGCTATCCCTCCCCTAGCCCCTCATCCCCCCAAAAAGCCCCGGTGTGTGATGTTCCCCTCCCTGGGTCCATGTGTTCTCATTATTCGACTCCCACTTATGAGTGAGAACATGCAGTGTTTGGTTTTCTATTCCTGTGTCAGTTAGCTGAGAATGATGGTTTCCAGCTTCATCCATGTCCCTGCAAAGGACATGAACTCATTCTTTTTTATGGCTGCATAGTATTCCATGGTGTATATGTGCCACATTTTCTTTTTCCAGTCTATCATTGATGGGCATTTGGGTTGGTTCCAAGTCTTTGCTATTGTGAATAGTGCTGCAATAAGCATATGTGTGCATGTGTCTTTATAGCAGCATGATTTATAATCCTTTGGGTATATACCCAGTAATGGGATGGCTGGGTCAAATGGTATTTCTGGTTCTAGATCCTTGAGGAATTGCCACACTGTCTTCCACAATGGTTGAACTAATTTACAGTCCCACCAACAGTGTAAAAGTGTTCCTATTTCTCCACATCCTCTCCAGCACCTGTTGTTTCCTGACTTTTTAATGATCGCCATTCTACCTGGAGTGAGGTGATATCTCATTGTGGTTTTGTTTGTATTTCTCTAATGACCAGTGATGATGAGCTTTTTTTCATGTGTTTGTTGGCCGCATAAATGTCTTCTTTTGAGAAGTGTCTGTTCATAGCCTTCGCCCATTTTCAGTGGGGTTGTTTGATTTTTTTCTTGTAAATTTGTTTAAGTTCCTTGTAGATTATGGATATTAGCCCTTTGTCAGATGAGTAGGTTGCAGAAATTTTCTCCCATTCTGTAGGTTGCCTGTTCACTCTGATGATAGTTTCTTTTGCTGTGCAGAAGCTCTTTAGTTTAATTAGATCCAACTTGTCAATTTTGGCTTTTGTTACCATTGCTTTTGTTGTTTTAGTCACGAAGTCTTTGCCCATGCCCATGTCCTGAATGATGTTGCCTGGGGTTTCTTCTATGGTTTTTATGGTCTAGGGCAAGATGGCCAAATAGGAACAGCTCCAGTGTGCAGCTCTCAGCGAGATCAACGCAGAAGGTGGGTGATTTCTGCATTTCCAACTGAGGTACCCAGCTCATCTCAATGGTACTGGTTAGACAGCAGGTGCAGCCCACCGAGGGCGAGCAGAAGCAGGGTGGGGTGTTGCCTCACCTGGGAATCACAGGGGGTCAGGGAACTCCCTCCCCTAGCCAAGGGAAGCCATGAGGGACTGTGCCATGAGGAACAGTGCATTCTGGCCCAGATACTACTCTTTTCCCATGGTCTTCGCAACCCGCAGACAAGGAGATTCCTTCAGGTGCCTACAATGCCAGAGCCCTGGGTTTCAAGCAGAAAACTGGGCAGCCATTTGGGCAGACACCAAGCTAGCTGCAGGAGTTTATTTTTCATACTGTAGTGGCACCTGGAATGACAGTGAGACAGAACTGTTCACTCCCCTGGAAAGGGGGCTGAAGCCAGGGAGCCAAGTGGTCTAGCTCAGCAGATCCCACCCCCATGGAGACCAGCAAGCTAAGATGCACTGGATTGAAATTATTACTGCCAGCATAGCAATCTGAAGTCGACCTGGGTTGCTCGAGCTTGGTGGGGGTAGGGGCGTCCGCCATTACTGAGGCTTGAGTAGGCGATTTTCACCTCACAGTGTAAACAAAGCCGCTGGGAAGTTCAAACTGGGTGGAGCCCACCGCAGCTTGGCCAAGCCACAGTAGTCAGACTGCCTCTCTAGATTCCTCCTCTCTGGGCAGGGAATCTCTGACAGAAAGGCAGCAGCCCTAGTCAGGGGCTTATAGATAAAACTCCCATCTCACTGGGACAGAGCACCTGGGGGAAGGGGCGACTGTGGGTGCAGCTTCAGTGGACTTAAACATTCCTGCCTGCCAGCTCTGAAGAGAGCAGCAGCTCTCCCAGCACAGCACTCAAGCTCTGCTAAGGGACAGACCACCTCCTCAAGTGGGTCCCTGACCCTAGTGCCTCCTGACTGGTAGATACCTCCCAGCAGGGGTTGATAGAAACTTCATACAGGAGAGCTCCAGCTAGCATCTTGTGGGTGCCCCTTTAGGACAAAGCTTCCGGAGGAAAGAACAGGCAGCAATCTTTGCTGTTCTGCAGTCTCCACTGGTGATACCCAGGCAAACAGGGTCTGTAGTGGACCTCCAGCAAACTGCACCAGACCTGCGGCAGAGGGGCCTGACTGTTAGAATAAAAGCTAACAAACAGAAAGGAATAGCATCAACATCAACAAAAGGGACATCCACACAATAATCCCATCCGAAGGTCACCAACATAAAAGACAAAAGGTAGATAAATCCACAAAGATGAGGAAAAACCAGGGAAAAAGGCTAAAAATTCCCAAAACCAGAATGCCTCTTCTCCTCCAAAGGATCACAACTCCTCGTCAGCAAGGGAACAAAACTGGATGGAGAATGAGTTTGACGAATGGACAAAAGTAGGCTTCAGAAGGTGGGTAATAACAAACTCCTCCAAGCTAAAGGAGCATGTTCTAACCCAATGCAAGGAAGCTAAGAACCTTGAAAAAAAGTTAGATGAATTGCTAACTGGAATAACCAGTTTAGAGAACATAAATGACCTGATGGAGCTGAAAAACACAGAACGAGAACTTCGTGAACCATACACAAGTATCAATAGCTGAACTGATCAAGCAGAAGAAGAGATATCAGAGATTGAAGATCAACTTGATGAAATAAAGTGTAAGACAATATTAGAGAAAAAAAGAATGAAAAGAAATGAACAAAGCCTCCAAGAAAAATGGGGCTATGTGAAAAGACCAAACCTACATTTAATTGGTGTACCTGAAAGTGATGAGGAGAATAGAACCAAGTTGGAAAATGCTCTTCAGGATATTATCCAGGAGAACTTCCCCAACCTAGCAAGACAGGTCAACATTCAAATTCAGGAAATATAGAGAACACAACAAAGATACTCCTCGAGAAGAGCAACCCCAAGATACATAATCATCAGACTCACCAAGGTTGAAATGAAGGAAAAAATGTTAAGGGCAGCCAGAGAGAAAGGTCAGGTTACCCACAAAGGGAAGCCCATCAGACTAACAGCACATCTCTCTGCAGAAACCCTAAAAGCCAGAGAGAGTGGGTGCCAATATTCAACATTCTTAAAGAAAAGAATTTTCAACCCAGAATTTCATATCCAGCCAGACTAAGCTTCACAAGTGAAGGAGAAAGAAAATCCTTTACAGATAAGCAAATGCTGAGAGATTTTGTCACCACCAGGCCTGCCTTACAAGAGCTCCTGAAGGAAGCACTAAATATGAAAAGGAAAAACCTGTATCAGCTACTGCAAAAACATACCAAATTGTAAAGACCATCGACACTATGAAAAAACTGCATCAACAAACGGGCAAAAGAACCAGCTAGCATCATAATGACAGGACCAAATTCACACATAACAATATTAACCTTAAATGTAAATGGGCTAAATGCCCCAATTAAAAGACACAGACTGGGAAATTGGATAAAGAGTCAAGACTCAACTGCGTGCTGTATTCAGGAGACTCAACTCATGTGCAAAGACATACATAGGCTCAAAATAAAGGAATGGAGGAATATTTACCAAGCAAATGGAAAGCAAAAAAAAGCAGGTGTTGCAATCATAGTCTCTGACACAATTGACTTTAAACCAACAAAAATCAAAAAAGACAAAGAAGGGCATTACATAATGGTAAAGGGATGAATTCAAAAGGAAGAGCTAGCTATTCAAAATATATATGCACCCAATACAGGAGCACCCAGATTCATAAAGCAAGTTCTTAGAGACCTACAAAGAGACTTAGACTCTCACACAATAATAATGGGAGACTTTAATACTGTCAATATTAGACAGATCAACGAGACAGAAAATTAAGAAGGATATCCAGGACTTGAACTCAGCTCTGCACCAAGCCGACCTAACAGACATCTACAGAACTCTCAACCCCAAATCAACAGAATATACATTTATCTCAGCACCACGTCGCACTTTTTCTAAAATAGACCACATAATTGGAAGTAAAACACTCCTCAGAAAATACAAAAGAATGTAAATCATAACATTCTCCCAGACCACTGTGCAATCAAATTAGAACTCAGGATTAAGAAACTCACTCAAAACTGCACAACTACATGGAAACTGTATAACCTGCTCCTGAATGACTACTGGGTACATAATGAAATGAAGGCAGAAATAAAGAAATTTTTTAAAACCATGAGAACAAAGACACAACGTACCAGGATCTCTGGGACACAGCTAAAGCAGGGTTTAGAGGGAAATTTATAGCACTAAATGCCCATAGGAGAAAGCAGGAAAGATCTAAAATCAACACCCTAATATCACAATTAAAAGAACTAGAGAAACAAGAACAAACAAAATCAAAAGCTAGCAGAGACAAGAAATAACTAAGATCAGAGCAGAACTGAAGGAGACAGAGACACAAAAAACTTCCAAAAATCAATGAATCCAGGAGCTGGTTTTTTGAAAGATCAACAAAATAGATAGACCCCTAGCCAGACTAATAAAGAAGAAATGAGAGAAGAATCAAATAGACACAATAAAAAATGATAAAAGGGATATCACCACTGATCCCACAGAAATACAAACTACCGTCAGAGAATGCTATAAACACCTCTACACAAATAAACTAGAAAATCTAGAAGAAATGGATAAATTCCTGGACGTATACACCCTCCCAAGACTAAACCAGGAAGAAGTTGAAACACTGAATAGACTAATAACAAGTTCTGAAATTTAGGCAGTAATTACCAGCCTACCAACCAAAAAAAGCCCCGGACCAGGTGGATTCACAGCCAAATTCTACCAGAGGTAAAAAGAGTAGCTGATACCATTCCTTCTGAAACTATTCCAATCAACAGAAAAAGGGAGAATCCTCCCTAACTCATTTTATGAGGCCAGCATCATCCTGATACCAAAACCTGGCAGAGACACAGCACAAAAAGAAAATTTCAGGCCAATATCCCTGATGAACATCGATGTGAAAATCTTCAATAAAATACTGGCAATCCGAATCCAGGAGCACATCAAAAAGCTTATCCACCACGATCAAGTCAGCTTCATCCATGGGCTGTAAGGCTGGTTCAATATACACAAATCAATAAACATAATCCATCACATGAACAGAACCAATGAAAAAAACCACATGATTATCTCAATAGATGCAGAAAAGGCCTTTGAGTAAAACATTTTTAAGTTGAAATTTCTGTACATTGGAAACCTACAAGGTAGAGTTCAACAACTGACCACAGTAGTTCCTCTTTTGGAATAAGCAATAATATTTATTTCATATTTGTTAATAACTTTCAATATTGTTACTCAACAATTATGTTACTCAAAAAATAATGGATAAATATACCAAAATTTCAAAATACAGAAAAGAATCTAGTAGCTTATATTAAAAGTGACGTAAATGGAAGACAAAGTCTAAAATGAGGTCAGACTAAATCCCTGGTTGCATTGCAGCTAACATACTGTAGTATTTGGAATCATGATTGAGTTCATATGCAGTGAAATTAGTATTTGTTTGAATATTTAGTTAAAACCAACAAAAAAAGAACAGTTTCATTTGAAGATTAAACATTGGTCCTCTGCCTCAATTTCTCATTTTGTAGAAGATTGTAAAAATTATTTGTAAATATTGTAAATATTTTCTGATATTTCTGCAGATCTTGAAGATCTCTCTTCTTTTACTTTGTTCTCTTCCTTCTCTGATATGGGTGTCTCTATTTCTGTAATTAGATCTTCTCATTCCTCTTCTTTCTTCCATTTCTTGACTAAGGTTGTTATTCAGATATAATGACTTTTCTTTTTAAAATTTCTGTAAACTTTTCCCCTTACATTTTCCTTCAAAAAATGTGTTGATCCTCTTACTCTTTTAATGGCTTACTATAAATTGAAATCTTCACACCTACTTTTCTTTGAGTCCAAATTCTTACAGGGCATCATATTTGAATGTGGCCCTTTAATTCAAATAAGTCAGGATTTGTAAAGATTAATTAATAATTTCTTGTACAAAATCTGTCCCATCCCAAATCCTTATTCCTATCACAGACAGCATTATTCAGCCACTCACCAAACACTGATTTCAATTTCCCTTTTCCTCCATCTTCTCTAGCTAAATAATTCTGAAATTATTATTTCCTTTTTATTAAAAAATAAAATGTAGATCTTTCTCTTCTTTTTCATGCCCATTGCTAGGCTCTTAGTCAAATGATTTCTTACCTAACACATGAGAAACTGCAAAACACAAATGTCTGTCGTCTCTAATCTCTCTGTTTGAAGAGCTGTTCATTTTATGGTCCCCTGCTGATATGATTTGGCTCTGTGTTTCCACCCAAATCTCATCTCAAAGTGTAATCCCTATGTGTTGAGGGAGGGACCTGTTGAGAGGTGATTGGATCATGGGGGTGGTTTCCCCCATGCTGTTCTTGTGATTGTGAGGGAGTTCTCAGGAGATCTGATGGTTTAAAAGTGGCAATTTCCCCTGGGCTCGCTCTCTCTCTCCTGCCACCTTGTGAAGAAAGCGCTTGCTCCCCCTTCACCTTCCACCATGATTGTAAGGCCTCCCCAGCCATGCAGAACTGTGAGTCAGTTAAACCTCTTTTCTTTATAAATTACCCAGTTTCAGGGAATTCTTTATAGCAGAGTGAGAATGGACTAATATACCTGCTATATGATTTATTTTCCTAAAGAATGTTAATTTAGTAGCATTTCTACCATATTTAAACATTTTACTAGGACTTCACTGTGAGAGAATTAATCCAAGTACCTAAGCTTAGAATTTATGAAGTTTCAAATCATACTCTTTTTTATCTTTATGTTGATGTGCAGTTTATAAAGATCTTCTGTGTATTTTAATCATTTATTTTTATACCAACTTTGGTTTGTGTGTGAAAAAAATTAGAAAAGAATGTCTCAGAGATTCCATATAAGTGATAAGTCTTGATTGGGACCAGGTCTTCTTTTGGGAAAAAAAAAAAAAAAAAAAACAACTCTCTTTAGCATCTTCTTTATCTATTGCTCCCTATGTTTTCTAACAAAGAACCAAGTGCAACATTTGAGGAATATAAAATGTGTTTAATCATTGTTATTAGTCTTGTGAGGGCCTGGTTTCTTTGACTTTGCAGGAGATCTGTGAGTATGATTCTTGTCAAAAATACTTAAGAATTTATTGAAGTCATCAAATTTAATGTCTGGATACCAACTAGTCAAAAGCAAAATTCACTTGCTCTTCAGAAAGATGAAAACTGGACTAGGATGGAAAATCTCTGAGCAGCTAAGCAAACGCAACAGACCCTGGATTTCATCGACTCTGCATACTGGCTTTAGGCTTAAGCTCTCCACCTGGAACAAGGCTGCCAGCAGGCCACTCAGATGAAAGAGACAAACCTGAGATAGTTCAGGGTAAAGGATTAGGAGAGTGAAATTATTTTTATACTCTGTGTTCAGTGTGTAATTTATGTTCTCTCTTTAGCATTTGAGAAGAATTATTGTATCCCATGTGGAAACTCTCAGATTTATTCTCTTTTGCCTTAGCCTTTCTGAAAAAGTACAATCCCATCATTTTAAATAATTGTTGGCATATGTTTTATTTTTAATATGTTTTTCTTATAAAAGGATGATTCTAATTTATTCTTTAAAAATGTACTTAATTACCTCCCCCGCCGGATTAGTTTTGATTCCCCAGAAGAACTCTGACAAGGACAAGGTGGATTATTTGAGAGGTGAATCCCGAAAGCACAAGTAAAGAAGTGGGAAACTGAGATGGAAAAGGGAGAAAATCAAGACTATATTAAGAAGAGATTCCTGTTGGGGGTAACTGGAGCTCAGTCCCACTGGGGAAACTCTCAGATGCTGAGCCTATTCAGGGCTCAGAATTGTCCCATTGAAGAATAAGGAAGCTGGCACACTTATTTATTACTCCTGTTCATCACCAGTTGAGGGATATTCGTAGAGATGTTTAATACCTGGCATTTCTTAGCTGCCTTTGGTAGGGGCTGGTCAAGAGCTACCTGCCCCCCCCCCCCAAAAAAGCCTCAGGGTGAAAAAAAGAGACAAATACTGTGGGTGAAAATCATACAGTGTGTCCAGAAGCTGGCTACTGTGGCTGTAGTTGAACTCAAAGGAGGTTCTAGGAGAAATGTCTTAGTGAATCAGCAGTATCTGGTAATTTATTTATGCTTATTTTAAAGAAATATCTCTTTGGCACCTACTATGTGATAAGCATTGGCAAACATGTAAATTGACAAAGTAAATTGACCTGGTCTTCATTGTATCTGTCTTCCTCTCCTTCAGTCCCCGCATTAAATGATGTTCATCCATATAAATCTTATTTCAAAATACTTTTTATGCCTTTCCCTTCCTCTCTGTTTTCTTTTTCTGCCAATATTCTAGTTTAAGCTCTCATCATAATTATTCATATGGGTTACTGAAGGAATCTCTTAACTCATCACCCTGCTTTCAGTTTCACCCTGCTTAAAATCATTTAAAGTTTCTCTATGAGCTTCAGACTAATATTTAAACTCTGTCTCCATGCCTGGTTTGCTCATCTTCCCAGAATCAGTGGTCACTTTTCTTCCCTTCATCTCACATGCAATATATGGTTCATCCATGCCAAGATACTTTCTGTTTCTCGACTTCACCAGGTTATATAGTCTATGACTGTGCGCATTCTGACCTCCTTTTAAAAATGAGTCTCTACCCTTGAGTAGAAATTTCTGATATACTTTATTTTCTAGTTAATTTCTACTGTCAAATAAGGTGACCTCTTCGAATACCTTTCTCTCTCTTTCTTTATGTCTATGTAGTCCTTGCTTGTTTTCCATTAATTTATGTATCTTTAACATAATACTTTATTGCTTTGTATTGTAGATATTCTATTGTCTGTCTGTCTCTCCAAGTAGCCTGTGAATTCCTTGCAGACAAAGATTTGTGTACTTCATGTCTGTATCCATTACCCAAAGCCTGAAATTGTTTGTTTTCAATAATGTTAAGTGAACAAATATGCATTAATGAAAGACAACACCTGTAACGCCAAGAATTTCAGAGAATAAGGCATGATGTATGTGTTCCCTTAAGAAACTTGCAGTATGACGGCCTCTTAAGTTCTGGAAATTTAATTATATGCCAGAACAGTGTATGCAGTAACTGCAAGTGCCTCCCCTTGAGAGAGTGCATATAAACTCCCAAGTGAGTTTACATGACCTTAGAAAGCATGATCTAGTCTGAAAAAATCATGATAAAGCAAATTTCCTTGGTATTAGCTATAGGCTCTTTTCTGGGTAATTATGGTCCTAATTTCCTCCAATTATTCCTGCTGAGTCCCTCTACAACCTTCCATATCTCCAGGTCCCACATCCCCTGAATCTGATGAAAATCTAACATTTAACTCGAAGGAGCGACAACGGTTTAGTATTCTATGGTCTTCTCTCTCTTTGCCTCATTTTGTAGATGCTTATAATAAGAGCTTAAAAAGGCAATAAGACAGCTGGAAAAAGGTTTCTTTCTCTCTGCCTTTATTTAGCGGTTGCTTCGTAAAGCAGGAAAATAGCATCATTTTCATGATTCATCATCTTTTTTCTCTATATTAGCATCAAAAGGAAATAAGATGTCAGTGGATTTATAGCAATGAAAATTTGTGATTGGCAGTACTGTGTGCTCTTTTATTGGATTTGCAAATCCAAAAAGTTTTAAATGGGAAGACTATTCAAGTATGACAAATCTGCTAAGACTAAAACAGGAATTAGTGAGAGGGTCACTGTGCTGATAAAGACTTTTCTTGACCAGGCTTTAGACAGGCTTCTCCAAGTTTTCTTTGTAACTAGGCCTTGTCCTTGGGCCCTGTTTTTGGCCTGCCTAGTCTAGTTGTAGCAAGAATCCTGCTAAGTCAGTTTAATGTGAATCCTCCCACCCTTGATGTGTGATCACTGTGGCCTGCCTTTAGCAAGAAACCTGCTAAGTCAGTTTAGCAAGAATACTCCTCCCTTGATATCTTCTCTTAGTCATTTTCTGTTCAGTGAAACCCATGCCAACTCTGCTTTTTAACTCTAAATTCCTGTCTGGCTTTCCTGTATTCGGAGTTGAGCTCAATCTCTCTTCCTTATTGCTGTAGTGTTTATACCTATCACAATAATCCTGAGTAAAGCCTTTATTACCATTTTAACAAGTGTTGGAATAATTTTTAACAGTATTAAATAAATAGCCAGTGTGTATAAATATTTTAAACTACCCTAGTGTTTTCTGAAATAAATCAAAATTATTAAGCTTCTACTTTTTTTCTTCTAAAGTATATATGTAAATAGTGGTGTAGAAGCATGTGTGGTGAAATCTTCCCAGTTTATCCTAATAATATTGCTAATAATAAACTATCTAATGCCATCTTCCCCATCTGTGCCTTTCTTCACACTGTTTCTTCTTTCTTGAACATTGTTCCCCTCCCTTGTCACATGGCTGACTTTGTTTCTGAGATTCTGTCTCAGCTCAACTATCTCAGTTAAGAGTATTCTAACCAGCTTGTCTAAATAATGCCCACCCTTATTTCCTATCACTACATTTGTATAGAATTTAAAATAATTAATTGTTTTACATTTACATCCAAATTTAATAGCTGATTGCCTTTTTCCCATTTCAGTAAGTTATATTCATTAATCTATACCCAAATAGTAATGATACTAATCCTACAATTAATTTTTGTTGAATTAATGACCTTCTGACAAGTAACTATGGAATTATTATTGTTATATTTGGGTATAAGTAAGTTAATAAAATATTAACATATTTAACACTATATTGTGAAAATTACACATTAGCTCTAGTTTAAAACAAACAAACAAAAAACCTAAAAGGTATACATATATGATGTTAGGTCCAGTAAGCAGATTACAATACAAAGTTTCAAAAAGTTTGAGAAGCTTACAGAAAAGTATATGACTAATATGCTCTTTTAGTCATATGCTAAAATGACTAGAGCTGAGATTTAAGGGCGGATCATTTTGATTCAGACTATACATGGCCTGTTTGTTCATCTTGCGAGAATCAGTGACCACTCTTCTCTCCTTCATCTCACATAGGATATATTATTCAACCCATCCACAAGAGCATCTCTCCAGGAGAAATAAACAGGCGTTACTTTTGATGAACTAGAGCTATGTGAGTACCCATCTGTTTCTCTGCCATGCGTCCTACTCATATTTGCAGGCTGCAATTGACATGAGTGCAAAACAAAAATCTCGTGGAAGAGACATGACACGCAGACCATAAACAACGTTTTTTTTTTTCTTTTTTCTTTTTTTCTTTTTTCCAGTTTCGTTCCTCTAAGGCTGCCCAGGGAGATTACATAACTAACTGCCCTGATGGCTGGTTCTCACTGATAACAGGAACAGCTTTGTAAAGGCCAAATGAGGTTAGAAATACACAAACATGTACAGTTCAGGAATTAAAAGGAAACCAACATTTTCATGTTTGTCCTTTTATTCTAAATATTCTTATGCCAAAAATAAACATAGACTAGTCAAGAATAGCATAAAAGACTGCTAGACATTTCAGAAGAAAATAAAACATACAGAATTTTGAGATTTAAAGGAACCAAACATTCATAAGATATGATGACTTTCTTATCATCTGTTCACTCTAAAGGGTTGAAGGTGGAACTCAGAATCACTTATAGAGAATTGTCCACATCACTGTGCATGGACTATTTTGATGTGCTTGGTTTATTCAGTTTCTTCTTTATGAAAATAGCAAAGTGGTTTTAGATGCTTCCTTTTCCTTTTGATTATATAGTTAAATCAGCCCATGACATGAGTTTTCATCCACAACCTCTATCGTGCAAAGGTTAGAAGGAAAAATGACATGGAAAAAAATCCATTTTAATTTCTTCCACAACCATCATATTTATGTAGCAAGTTAAATCACAGCCACTTGAGATCTAAATTAGTCTATCATCATGAGGTGTCAATCTCCAATGGAAATGCGTAATGTATGCTTTATACTCTAAGGCCTTATGTGTTTCTAAATAAATTTAAAAATTGCTTTTACTGGTCGATATTTTTGCAAAAGTCATTCACCAATAAAAACATATGAAGTAAACCAATGTACTAGTGCCAATAGAATCCTACCTTTTAACTTATAATGATATTTTTTAAAATTTGTATGAGGTACAAGTGTAATTTTCCTACATGAATAGATTGTGTAGGGCTAAAGTAGGGTTTTTAGGATATACATCGCCTGAATAATGTACATTGTAACATATGATACTCTTTTTAATTTTTATTCTATTTTATTCATTTATTTTTTGAGATGGAGTCTCACTCTGTCATCCAGGCTAGAGTGCAGTGGTGCAATCTCAGCTCACCACAACCCTCTGCCTCCCAGGTTCAGCAATTCTCCTGCCTCAGCCTCCCAAGTAGCTGGGATTACAGGCACCTGCCACCACACGTGGCTAATTTTTGTATTTGTAATAGAGATGGGGTTTCGCCATGTTGGCCAGGGTGGTCTCAAACTCCTGACCTCAGGTGATCTGCCCACCTCGGCCTCCCAGAGTGCTGGGATTACAGGCGTGAGTCACCACGCCTGATACTCTTTTTTTTTTAAATCACTTTTAACAATGTTTTTTTAATTGTATAGTTTTATATCTCTTATGTACTTAACATTTTCTATTTTCAAAAAATTTTATGTATTAAATCAAACTAATGACATGGCATTTTGAATTTGATTTCACTTCTTGCTAGTGTCTTTTTCCCCCTTTAAGTGGAAAGTACTATTTATGAGTAAGATTGGAATGCACATTTCATAAAGTATTTTCTAATTTAACCAAGTTAGCTTGACTCTGACTTCAATCTATCATATCAGTAAAAGTATAGATATATAAGAATGTGAAATATTCTGGGGCTCAGAAGACAGGCTTCAGATATGGGGCAATATGCAAAACAGAACAGAGAAAGCTGGATGATCAGGTAAGCGACTAGTTTGTACCGAAAACTGCTTGGGCATATTATCTAACCTATCAGTTCTCAAATTCCAACCTCCAGACCAGCGTTATCACTATGATTTAAAGCTTATTAGAAATGCAAATTATTGAGCCACATCCCAGACCTACTAAATTAAAACTCTGGTGATGGGACTCAGCAACCCACATTTTCACAAACCCTCTGGGTCATTCAGATGCAAACTGAAATTTGAGAACCACTGCCCTAGCCCAGTCATTAGGTTGTTTATTCATTCATCCATCACATATTTCTGAGTTTTTACTATCTGCTAGGTGCTAGCTGAGTAGCAGGAGCAGAAATAAGGATTAATGATCAACAGCAAACATTTCTTGTGAGCTTATTCTTTGACAAGACATTTTCATAACTAAAATCATTTAGCCTTTATAACAACCTCAAAACTCAGATATTATTTGCATTGGAATGTTCAAAATTCCCACTTAAGAGAGCAATAGGAGCACATGGCAGCAACCTGCTTTGTTGAAAAAGTACCTGGCTCGGCCTGAGACAATCTAAGGTGGTTACCCAAAGATAATATCTGAATTGCCTCCAAATTTGAATTGAATTTCTGAAAAATAAGCAAGTTAAAGGAAAGTAAAGAAAAAGTAGGAGTAATTGTATATCAGGTAATTTTCGAGGCGATTCATATTCTGTAATTCGTTTAATCACAATAACTCCTTGGGGAAAGTATTAGCAATCCTCTTTTAAAAATTAACATAAAACTACATGGATAACTAATTACCTAAATTTACTCAATTTTGAAGTGGCAGAGTAGAGACTTGAGCCCTGGCCTAAACCCAGAGCTCCTACAAATCCTCTGAGGTGTGAAAGAATATAAGATGGTCAGGAAGATTAAGATGTTAAGAGAGATTGGAGTGTGGGGTCTGCGAAGGGTGACCTTAGGACTGGCTTTAGATGGGAGTGACTGGAAACAGATTCTGAAGAGTTCTGATTACTCACATGATGAGTTCAGATTTTTGTCCTTCCAAGTTAAGATCTCAGTGGAAGTATATACACAATAAAATGATATGACACCTGTGAATTAGTGTAAACGTCTTAGTTCTTGTGTTGGTCAACTTTTCTTGTAAAGGTCCAGATACTGCATATTTTCTGCTTATCAGGCCAATTCAGTCTTCATCACAACTACTCAACTCTGTGATTGTAGCACACATATCCATAGCCAATATGTACATGAGTGGACATGACTGTGTTCCAGCAAAACTCTATTTACAGACACTGAAATTTGAATTCCATGTAATTTCCACATGTCAAAATGGTATTACTTAATTTGTTTCAACCATTTAAAATGTAAAAACCTTTTTCTTATTTTTAGCTTCCAGAGCATACAAAAGCAAAAAACAAAAACGCGTGCCAGACTTAGGCCCACAACATTTTTTGCTGACCAGTATAGTAGTAGCTCATTACTTTAGAACTCTCAGTAACTCAGAGGAAGTTATGAGTCAAGGGGATTAAAAGTGGAAGAGAAGAAGACAAGAGAGATAAATGGGGAAAATACCATCCTAAATAATTGAGAGGATAGTTAAAATGTTTTAGTGCATTTATTGCTCTGGAAAAAAAAATAAACACAACAATCTGCCTCCTACAAACCAGGATATACCCTTATGGTATCTTAGAGAGATTTAGAAAAATGCCCATCTTTCCAGGTGGAAGCATGGACTCTAAAGCCTAAATCAAAGTGCATTTCAGCCTCACTTGCTCCAATGACAAACCCTTTTTGTCATTTTTGCACAATTGTTTATGGCAGCCCTGGATTCTTTATTATTCCATTACCTATTTTTTAACCTCTCATTTATGTTTGTAAATAAACTCTCTCACATAACAAGTATCCCATTAGCAGAATATAAAATATTAAGTAAATGACATCTTTATTTTCTATCTAGCAACAACCATTAGTCATTATCTATGAAGGCTTGGGCCCACTAAATATTAAAGCTATGTCTTCCGTCTTTCTTTTCAGTTCCGTAACTATTGCATAGTCCTCTCAAGAGAAAAAGTATGCTCAAGTCCTTTCCACTAAGCAGCTATGGAGAGTAATTTGAAGTCAGATTATAGTTAAAAGAATAAATGCTAGAGAAGGAGTTATAACTAAGAATATTGACATGCTCCCAAAAAATCAAATACAGCAAAAAAAATAAGTGAAGTAAAGAAAAGAGTGAATCTGAGGGGGAAGAACTGAGCTTCATATTTATGGGCTGAAAAAAGTAGAACTATAATATAGATGATTAGCAGAGAGAGATTGTTATCTTAAATTATTGCCCATAGTTGACGCTGGTTATCAAGATACCTTCTGAGCTTTTCCTTGGAATTTTGTTACACATAACATGTTCAATGAATGTATACACTCTTTACTCTCCATTTTGAAATACTCAAGCCAGATAAAATTAAATTATTTTATCTTTTATATAACATTACAATGTTTATTTCTTCAACAAAGCCAAATAAATTATTTTTTTTGAGAGATGGAGTCTTACTCTGTTACCCAGGCTGGAATGCAGTGGTGCAGTCACGGCTCACTGCAGCCTCAACCTCCCCAGGCTCAGGTGATTCTCCCACTTCAGCCTCCTGATTAGCTGGGACCACAGATGCGCACCACCACACCTGGCTAATTTTTTTGTAAAGACGGAGTTCTGACATGTTGCCCAGACTGGTCTCAAACTCCTGGGCTCAAGCAATCTGCCCACCTTGGCCTCCCAAAGTGCTGGTATTACAGGCGTGAGCCACAGCACTCGGCCCCAAAATGTTTTGATTTTTCTTGCTTCTTCCATTCTGGAGGCCCCATGACTGTATAACAAAAGTAGTCATCTCACATTAGTTCAGAGAAGCATCACGGAATTGCAGGTTCCAGTAGACATGCTTTCAAATTTTAGTTCTACCCTTATGATTATGTAACTTTGGGCAAGTTGCTTGTTTTTGTCAAGCAATAAATTCTTTATTCGTAAAACAGGAATCATAATTTTGATTTTACAGCTGTTTGAGGGAGGATCGAAAGTGGATATAATGAAGATAAAGATTAAATTATAGGTATTGTAATGAAGCTCACAAAGAAAAAGTAATTGTTGCACAAATATACTAAGAACTTTCAAATCATTATGAAAAGGGTAAGCATTTATCAGTATAAGTGAATCTTATTCGTTGCTTGAATTATTGATAATGTTTTTCCAGCTCTGATATGTGACATGCTTGACATTTATGTGCTTTGGAAACTCAAACACACTTCCATTTGCTTATGAAATTGAATGGCCTTTCCAAACATCAAAATACCTTGTATAATATAATTATATCATAAGATGTGCCAATAGAAGCACTAACAAAATTTCTATTTAGAAATTTACAATTACTTTTTCTTAAACCATTTTCATAACCTAACCTTAGGTATAGGCAAACCAGATATATGATAAAATAATTTGATATAATACCCTGTAACATATTCAGCCCAATGCATTTTCTCCCCAGTAACTGAAATTTCACCAAGGAGACTGAGTTATTGGAATTAAGCTTTTCTCTCTAACTCAGATTACTGGATTTTTCATAAATACAGCATACTAAGGCACAAATAACTGAATAAGAGTGATTTTATCAAATTGTTCAGAGATAGGAAATGGTTAGCATGAGGATGAAGGGTCATAAAAATTTGGAGAGTGAGGCAGAACTAAAGGTGGGTTTGAACCATAGCTCTAATGTGAATAAACATACTTCTCATGGAATTTTAGACTAATTAATCTCTCTTTGCTTCATTTGTAATATGAGAATGGCATTTCCTACCACAAACATTTGTTGTGAAAATTAAATGAGGTAATGACTCATTTAAAGAACTTGACTATTTAAAGAACTTAAGAGAGTACCTTCCCATAAAAATTACTCAATAAATGCCATCTGTGATTATGATTATTATAGCCACATGGATGTCCCACGAGAAATTTAATGCCATCTTAGAAAAAAAAATGTATCACCTTTCCCTCTTAACCTTGCTCCTTCTCCTTTATCATTATTTCTGGCCTCACTCTTTTCTTCATCACTCAAACCTAAAACCTGAGAGTCGTTTGGGGCTCTTTCTGCACCCATATCCTCCATATCTGATCAGTCATGATATTTGTGAATTCTACGATTCACACACACACACACACACACACACACACACAGTATTCCATCTTCTTTCTTTTTAATATGCTCTTTTTCCTTTTTGGAATATCCACATGAGCTTATTTTACCTGAATACTTCTCAACAAAAGTATTATCTTTACTCCACAGCCTTTCTGGATTTCCTCAGGTAAATGTTTGTCAATCAATCATTATACCCTTTTCTAAATAGGGCCCCTTTTCTTCACCCCCATTTCATGTGAGTAAGATTGTGAGTCAGAAAGTCATGATTTCTTATCTTGATTTTCACAAATACTTTATATCTGGTGTGGTTGCCTTGAGACTTGGACCTTTTCTCTGGTAACTGGCAGCCAGGATGGTTCCTGATGATTGTCATCTCTCTTATGCATCCTTTTGTGAAGGCTACTCCTATACAGAATCAGACTTGTTGTTTACCAATAGAATATGGTGGAAGTTATAGTGTGTGACTTCCTAGGCTGAGTTATAAAAGACATTATAGCTTCTGCCTTGGTCTGTTGGCCTATAGCCATAATGTTGTGAGGATGCACACAGTCTTACGGAGACTTAAGAACTACTTAAGGAAAAACTACTTAAGGAGAATTACTTAAGGAGAAACTGAGGTCTCTGGCCAACAGCCAGAAAGAATTTGCCAATCATGTGAGAGTGTCACCTGAATGTGTCTTTTCTAGTCTAAGTAAAGCCTTCAGATGAGTTCAGCACCAATCAACATTCTGAATGCAACCACGTGAGGACCCTGAGTCAGGTCCACTGAGTCAAGCTGCTTTGGAATTCCTGACCTACAGAAACCGTAAGTGATAATAAACCATTATTGGTTTTTCAAGCTATTGTGTTTGGGGGTGATTTGTTATGCAATGTCTCTCTTGGGACCACTAAACCAACAGACTAAATCGGAAAACAAATTCAGTCATGTTGCCTCTGTGAAAATCTTCAATAAGCCCTATTTGCCTACCAAATTAAAGTCAAAACTTTTAGTAATTATGAGGTCTTTAAGGATCTCCTTTTGTATATTTGTTCTTTCTTATCTCCATACAATTTATATTCCACACACACAGGCATACACACACACACACACACACACACACAAACATGCACACACAATATTCCAACATCATCCTTTTGAATATGTTATTTTTTCTCTTTGGAATATACACATGAGCTTATTCTTCCTGAATATTTCTTGTCCAAAGTATCTTTATTCCACAACCTTTCTGGATTTCCCCAGGCATATGTCCTTTAAGCTATTGTTATACCCTCAGTATATTCCCTAAAACAGTAATTACCATATTTAAAGTAATTTGCTTGTGTTTGTTAACACCATAAACCTCCCACCATTAAACTGTAAAATACTTTAAGGTCATGCCTAACACTTAATAAGTATCAATAAATAATTGCTGAATAGTTGAAATTTTAAATAAATTGTTTCTCATAAAAAGTTTTACTGAAGTAATATCCCCCTAAATTCCTGTTGGGACATGCTACCTGCATACTTGAACTAACCCTTCAGTTTCAATAATACATATCTCCACATGAGAATGAGAATAATTTTCTATGTGTTTAAGAATATGCTGAACAAAGACCTTGATGTTGGCCTCATTAACCTTTGGGTTCTAACAAATTTTCATTGAACAAGATTATATATAAATTTATGATCATATTACAATTTCATTTGTTTCTTTTATATATTGCCGTGGTTTGGAAGTTCTCATTAGTTTATTATATTTGATTATCCCTTAGGAACTTAGATGTTTTGATTTGGGCAGAGTTTTTTGTGAAGTTTCACAGCTAATTCTTGGTAGTCAATTTGTAAGCTTGAAAAGGGAATGTTACCCAGAATTTGAATCTCTTTCTTTTATTGCATTTTAATGATTTAAAATACTTAATCTTCTCTAATGTACTTGACATGAAAAAATTGTCAACAATTATGAACAGCAAAACTTATTAAGAAAAGTTAACTTGTGAAAGGAAAATATTTAAAAATGGACAATTACACTAATGTGAAAAAAGAAGTTGATTAGAACAAAAGTTGTTTCCAGATTAAATTAAGATTATTTTAGTCAGCTGCCAAGTATATATCTTAGATTAACTGAAAACTTTCATCTGTTTCAGTCAAGATACGAAAACATTCACAATCTCTCATTTAAAGACCCCAAACAACTTAGAAGTTTAACTTACTCATTAACACACTGCTTTTCATAAATATGTGAACTAAAGTATATGAATGAAAGTGGTTTTTCATGTAGGCAAAGAATATTTACTGGTTTTCAGCAGATGGAAGCAATACAAGTTCATATAACTAGAAAAAAGAGAGGTTTAGGGGTGGAATGATTTTGTACATATCATAGTACAAACAATTTTTTTCAAAATGCTGAAACATTAGTAGACATGTCTTATGAGCTCTCAGAACACTAAATAAATTCTAGTCAATAAAGAATTGAAATAGAAAAATATTACCTTCTGTAAATGCCATTTATTTCAGATTTCTTGTTATATGTGTTTACATGCTAATTTTTATCTGCAAAACACAGCCAGAGATCAATTCATTATTCAATTTTTCAAAATATGTGGGTGAAAATCCAGGATTAATGAAAGCTATTGCTATAAAGTTTGCATATCTAAAAGCAATGTTATGTTTCTAAATCACATGAAAAGAAAGGTGTGGAAAATATTTTTAAAAATCATTAAACAATTCTAAATTAGCTATTTTCAGGGTTAAGGAAAAATTACGTAGCAGAACTTACAGCACCCAAAAATACAATTATTTTCACATTGCTTTCACATATTAATATATTTAACAATTTAGTTTCTTCATTAAATCAAGCAGAACAATAAACATTGAGCAAATAAAATGCACCTGTTACTGTAACACTTCCTAATCTGTATTCAGAGCACTTACAAAATAGAAAGTTGAAATAGCATCAGTGTAACAACTGTGCTTCATTTAATTATTTTTCTGGACTTGGGGCTATTCAGGATGCTTATAACTTGTCAAAAGTCAACCTCTGGCTGTAAACTTTAGAGTAACCTACTGAATACAAATTCATTATGTAGTTATCTATAGTTCCACTTTGGTTACTCATATAGAAAAACTCGAGGAAACTTAGCTGTGATCTCAGTTCATTTTTGCTGCTGTAAGAGAATACTGGAGACTCGGTAATTTATATTGAACAGTGATATGGTTTGGCTCTGTGTCCGCACCCAAATCTCACCTTGAATTGTAATAATTCCCATGTGTCAAGGGTGGGACCGGGGGAGATAATTGAATCATGGGGGCGGTTCTCCCATACTATTCTCGTGATAGTGAGTGAGTTATCGGGAGATCTGATGGTTTTATGAGGGGTTTTCCCCTTCGCTCAACTCTCATTCTATCTCCTGCTGCCCTGTGAATAGGCACCTTCTGCCATGATTGTATGTTTCCTGAGGCCTCCCCAGTCATATGGAACTGTGAGTCAATTAAACCTGTTTTCTTTATCAATTAACCAGTCTCAAGAATTTCTTCATAGCAGCATGAGAATGGACTAATATAAACAGAAATTAATTGGCTCACAGTCATGGAGACTGAGAAGTCCAAGAAGGAAGAGCCAGCATCCGGTAATGGTCTTCTTCCTGTGTCATTCCATGGAATAAGGCAGAAGGGCAAGAGAGGGGAAGAGAGGGACCCATTCTCAGAAGCCATTTTTTAAAATAGTGGAGCCCTCATGGTCTAATTGCCTCTTAAAGCCCCCACCTCTTAATACTGTTACAATGCCAATTAAATTTCAACTTGAGTTTTGGAGGGGACAAACATTCAACCCATATTATTCTGCCCCCGACCCCCCCAAACTTATGTTTTTCTCACATACGAAATGCATTCATTTCATCTCAGTAGCCCCAAAAGTCTTAACTCATTCCAGTATCAACTGAAAGGTCCATAGTCCAGAGTATCATCTAAATCACATATAGTTGTGACTCAAGGCATTATTCATCCTGAGAAAAATTCCCCTCCAGCTGTGAGTCTATGAAATTAAACAAGTTACATGCTTATAAAATACAATGGTGAGACAGGTATAAGATAGACATTTCCATTCCAAAGGGAGAAATAGGAAGGAAGAAAGGAGTAACAAATCCCAAGCAAGTCTAAAACCCCAAAAGGCAATAATACTAAATCCTAAGCCTTGAGAATAATCTTCTTTGACTCCAGGTCCCACCTTCTATACACACTGGGGTGGGGGCTGGGCACCCAAGGCCTCAGACAGCCTCACTCCTATGGCTTTGTAAGGCTCAACCCATGCAGCAGCTCTCACAGGTTGGTGTGTCATGACTGTGCCTCTCCCTGGCTAGTGTTGTATACTGGTAGCTTTACAGTTGTGGGGTTTCAGGCATGACCCCACTCCCATGGCTGCACTAGGCATTGCCCTAGTGGAGACACTGTGCAGTGGCCTCACTCCCATAGCTTTGTTCCACATTGCCCTAGTGGGGACTGGCTGCAGTGGCTCCATATCAGTGAAAAGTTTCTGCCTGGACCCTTCAAGCAGTCCATGACATCATTTGAAATCTAGGTGGAGAAAGCCATGCATCCATAGCTCTTGCACTCTGTACACCTGCAGAATTAGCACCACATGGATGCCACCAAGCTTTATGGCTTGTACCTTCCAGAGTGGCAGGTCAAGCCACACCGGGGTTTGCTTGTGCCATGGCTGGAGCAGCCAAGGAGTGCTGCACTAGAGTGCAGGAAGCAGACACTTAAGGCTGCACAGGGGAATAAATACGTCTCATGGACACTCTAGGCCTCTCTTTTGGCACATTTCTGTACCCCCAAGCCTTGGTACTCTTGGCCTGTGATGGGAGGGGCAGCACTGGTATTCTCAAATGCCTTCAGGATTATTCTTTCATTGGTGAATAGCCTGATGAATAGCCTGTGGCTTTATTCTACTCATACTAATCTCCTTATCCAAGAGTTCCTTGGCCACAGCCTTGGTTTTCTCTTTTGAAAATGCTCTTTCATTCTCTACCACAGGGTCAGGCTAAGAATCCTTCAAATTCCCAAGTTCTGTTTCTCTTTTAATTACATATTCTCTTTAAATTATTTCTTCCTTCTCACATTTTACTACAGGCAGTTGAAAGAAGCCATGCAGCATACTGAAGGTTTTTCTGCTTAGATATTTCTTCTGCCAATATCCTAGTTCATTTCTCTTAAATTCTGCCTTCCACAAAAGCCCATGGGCATGGACACGATTCCACCAATTTTCTTGCCACTTTATAAAAAGGATGGTTTTTTACTCTAGTTTCCAATACCTTTTTCCTCATTTCTGTATGAGACCTCATCAGAATTGACTTTACTACCCATATTTCTACTAACATTCTGATCGTGAACACTGAAGTAATCTCTAAGAAGTTTCAGACATTTCCATCAGTTGTTTTTCTGATCCCTCACCAGAATTGTCTTTAATGCTCTATTTTTGGCAGTCTAGGCTTTTTCTACCCTGCTTGTCCAAACTCTTCCAGTCTCTACACATTACCCAGTTTCAAAGCTGCTTCCACATTTTTAGGTATTTGTTATAGCAACAGCCCCACGTCTCATTACCAATTTTCTGTCTTAGTCCATTTTTGCTGCTGTAACAGAATGCCTGAGATTGAATAATCTATAATGAACAGAAATGTATTTGCTCACAGTTCTGGAGGCTGGAAAGTCCAAGATCAAGGGGCCAGTATCTTTCAAGGGCCCTCTTGCTGTGCCATCCCATGGCAGAAGGCCATGAGATGGGAAGAGCAAAAGCCTCCTTCTGGAAGCCCTTTTTATAATATAAGGCACTAAACCCACCCATGACAGTGGAGCCCTCATGGCCTAAACACCTGGTAAGGGCCCCACCTTTTAATACTGTTACAGTGGCAATTAAATTTTAACATGAGTTTTGGAGGGGAAAAATGTCCAAACCATAACAGCTGTCATGAAGTACAGAATGTGAGATGGCTAAAACATGGTTAAAAACAGGATCAGTTGTAAAAATGTAAATTGGAGCCATTTGCTAATTAGCTATTTGCTTTCAGACTACTTGAAGAATATATAAAATATGGTGAGGAAAATGGCTCTCTTTTGTTCATTTATGCATTACAAATGCCCACAACAGTGCCTGGTACATGACTGATACCTAATAAGTATTTGATGAATTAATGGAATTAGGGGGTGAGCAGACAATTACTTAAACCTAACTTGGTTGCTTTATAATCAATGGCTTAGGGATTGTATGGCAAATGTTTAAATGACTAAATATTCACCAAGAGGCATACTTTAAAAGGGCAAATGCATGTTCTAATGTTGGGTGAGAGGATTTTCATTTAAATTGGTTTAGACATGAAAAAATACTTGTGTCCCTGCTATGTGCCAGGCAAAACCACAAGCCTATAATTTCTAAAAGATCCAATCCAGAATTAGGTTATGGTAATATCTCTAAAAACATCTACAACCAGAGACTGGATAGACTTTTTTGGATGGCTATATCCAAATATTTAACTGACTAGGAGCCAGCTCTTTCTTATTTAAGCCTATTTATCTCTTAATTACAGTGTATTTACCTAAGAATTATGAATTAGCTGTTTTAGAAATCTGGTTGGTGTATGTACTTTGACCTCTGTGATTATATATATTACAGAAATGAATGTATGGTTGAGCCAAGTTCTCTTGACATCTAAATTCAGACACTGTCAAGAGGAAATGCTAAAAATCTGACTTTAGTATCCTTCAACTGTTTTTTGTAGAGGCACCTTGGAAAGTTTGCCCTGAATCAAATAAAAGCCAAAAGACCTATATTCTACCTCAATGTACAGCAAAGCTGTGCTGGGGTTGTGGTGGAATTAATATTGCATAGAATTCCTCTAATCATTGGCCATTCACTGAATTAATTTGCACCTAGCTGGTTCAGCCTGCTGTCTCTTCTGTGTACACTTTAAAGGTCCTGAGCAAGAGTCCCCCTAAGTTATATGCAAAAGATTGGGACAAAAAATACCATCGTAGGTTGGCTTCAGGTCTTGTTCAGTTTTCCAAGAGGATAAAGGAGAGCCCTACTTACAGGTGTCACTTCCTCCCATCCTTCAGGTATCCAGGATCATATCCAAAAGACTTAACCTAGACACTCACCTATCCTCTTGGGAATTACTCTAATGGAGAATGGTCATATCAACCATTCTTACTTGTTTACTTTTATCAAAAGGGTTAAGTTACTTTCTAGAAAGAACCCTATGTTAAAAACAATAATTATTATATTAAAATAGATTATTTTAGAGTTCCTTAAATCCTGCTAATTGATGGAGGCACTGACAATACCCTGGGACCTTTAAACTCCTAGCTCAGTTTAATGTTCCAAAAACTAGAATTACATTTCACTGGTTTGTATTGACCAATCACACAATCTTTACCACCTTGTGATTATCAGTTTGAGATAGACTCACACAAATGCACAACTCCAAAAGTTCTCTTTCTTTATGGCTTTATTTGACAGCAAAATTGATGACACTTTATTCTCTTTGACATTTAGTTATTCTAGATATTGCTGCCAAAGCTGCAATCTTCAATCTAGATTGCCTTCCTCAAACATCTATTCTATCATCCTCATCAATATTTGTTCTCTTTACTGGCCTTGCTCTTTCCAGACTAAGATTACTGATTCTCTGTTCTCAGTGCAGATTTAGTTAAAAATTCAGCTTTAGTTGAGAATATTTAAAATTAACATAAATATTCATAGAGGAGCAATGAAGCAGGTAAAGTATTTCCACTATTTATTTGCAAACAACAATAAGTTTTTATGCTTCTGTGCTTTAGAGATATAAGAGAAAGGAGATGTTGGTATGAATTGTTACCCAAAATGTGTGTGTACAAATGTGTGTATACCTACATATATACTTACATATTTTGAGAAGTTTTAAAGTCTCTTATATAAAGAATTATACCAATGAATTTTTGAGGATTATTTTGTATTTACAGTTTATATCTGCTTGCTCTGGTTTAGGCATTAAAAGACTTGTGAAAATAGACTAAAATATCTCCTCAATTATCAGAAACTCTATCAAAATGTTCCAAAGCCAAGCTGTCAGGGAATCATAAATATTTATTATATTTCTTCTAACCTTCATAGACAAGTACGTAGGGCTTTGCCAACATATCCAAAGAATTTGAAATATTGCTGCATTCAAAACATGAATGGGCTCATCCACTGAAGACTGCATTTTTTAGTATTTGTTTTAGAAATGGAAAATCTCACTTGGCAACATTTAGGGAGCACGCATTTAACAAGCTAATATGCACAAGTAATACTGTTAAAAAGAAAAGTAAAACCCAAATATTCGTATCTTCTTTTAAAATAAGGATTTTATACAAGATTCTATATTCTCTTCCCTTGCTGCTCTAACAAAGAGCTGAGCCTAGGGGTACATTACCTATGCTCATTCTTGACAATCTTTACTGTCCAATTTTTGTTGATGAGTTTATTTTAATTCATTTCAGCAGTTTGGTAGCTGATCTATCTTTAAAATTGTTAAGCCTTTCCTTATGAATAGTTCAAACCTTTTCTGGTTATAAAATTGCATCTTTGGCACTCTCCACAGCCAACTGTTTCTTTCAAGTATCAGATTCCAATCTATGAGTTTGTATCATGGGTCTGACATCTGGGGGAAAAATAAAACCCAAGATTTGTTTTAAAAAACCTTTTATTTTCTCTTCACCCGGCACCAGGATTTGCTTTTTATTGTTGTTCATCAGAAAATAAAGTAGTTGATATTATATCCAGATTCTGTATTCTGGGCTTCTTTTTGTAGGCTCAAGTTTAAAAAAGGGACAAAACAGGAACTGAGAGCTGTAAATAAATTACTTAGAATTGAGAACATCTGCAAAATTTGGATGATAATATATTTATATTTTTGTCCCATGTGGAGAAAGAACTGCTAATTTTGACAAATAGTATTCTACTATTTTAAAATGTATTTGGAAAATTAATTTTGCATAGATGAGATACATTTCGTACTCTTAGGCACACTTTTTATTTGTAAACATTTTTAAAGATATTATTCAGATGAGCATTGGAACTTAGGTAAAATTTTCAAAATTGATATTTAACTGGTCCCAATATATTTTTTGAATTAGAGTATATATACATCACTGACTCTTAAAAAATGGTGTGCATACATTGTTCAGTATTTATATATTTTTCACTTGAATGAATACATGTAAAAGTCATTCCTTTTTTAAATAATATATATAATAGTTAAATTTTTATCAGCTTCTTTTAATGTTGGCTTAATGTCTAATTCAGTTTCAGTTTACTTAAAAAATAAATTTAAAAAGTTTTCAATTGCATACTTCATATATTCTTCTGTTTTTCCCATTGAATTCTTGTTTGTCACATAGACCAAGAGTTATCTTTAACCCATGAGGGAGACCAATATTGACTCAGGCGTCAAAAGAATTATGGGACAGCATGTTATATAATGGTACTGTCACTGTTAAACCTGCTAGGGATTGCTGTGTGTAGAATAGTCTTACTTATCTTAATTTTGCCTTTAACTGTTCATCAAAATTCCCTACATTTGTGTACCAATGAGAATAGGATATGGTTAGTAAAGAGATCCAATCTATACTGTGCTTTATGCTGGAATCAATTGTTTCTGACTATTATTGTAATATACATCTATTCAATTCTACCTTTAAAATATAAGATATTCCGATTATGGACAGTGCAAACATATTCCAAGTAGATTTATTAAGGGTAAGGCAATTAGGGCCAAAAGATACTTGAAAATACATTGTTTTCATTCTTATTCTGGATAAGGGAATTTTTTTTTTTGTTTTGGATTTTAGCACTTTGGTTACTATTCTATTTGATCCCATTTTTTTTTCACTGCTATATGTAGAACAGAACAGATTTACTTTCTCTGTACACAACTCAAATGCTCTTCTTTCCAGCATATCATTCTTAAAGCAAAGCTTTTGTGGCATGTTTGTAGAATGCAGTCAAGGAAATCATCCATGACATTAAGAGGTAATCATTATTGCTGGTCTTCTCTTGAGCCCCTCTAGATTAGTTCCTAATAGTGCTCTACATTGAATACTCCTTTATGACATACATTATGCTAAAATAGTATACAGGGGTCCCCAAAGTGTTAATATGTTGTATATGTGTGTATCTATGTTTCGTATGTCAAATAGTACAAAATCTGTTTTCTCCAATGGAAAATAAAACAAAATGAACAAACCCAAAACAATCCAAAACAAAACAAGCAAATCTTTTTAACATTTTCATTAGGGAGGAAGAGTCAGGTTTAAGGAGAAATCTGTGTGGTATTAATTCACACAGTGTATTGACTCTACTAGTTGGGAAAATAAAAACCACATTTTCAGGAGACTAAATCAGCCAATTGAGGCAGCACTTGGAGTGAGAAAATCAAACAGTTACATGTGTATAATTTCTATCAGGCAATAAAATTGAGGCACTTAATTATCTTATTTAGCTTAATTACCTTCACACCAGAATTTTTTAAAAAATAAAAACATAATTTTACTTCTTATTTCAAATAAATGGTAGCATCTTTTGCCTTCTCTCACCATGTCTTCTTGTGATAGTATTTTCCAACTCCCCCAGTGTCCATAGAGGTGAGGTCAATGATGAAAAGCATGCACGGGTTGTGGAGTTATATTGTGTGGGCATGTGTTGAAGTAGATGTTGTGTGGCACTGGTCAAGGTTCACACACTCAGAAAGCCTCAACCTTAGTTAGTGTTATCTATAAAAGAGGGAAAAGTTGCATTCCTCTCATGTTTTGTTTTGTATCTCCAAGAATTAACTGGGATAATGTATGTAAAACACACTAAACTCTTGGACATAAAGCAAATGTGCAATATCTGTGGGCTATTATTATTGACACCTCTTTATAACATGATTTCATTGTTGCAAGTCTAAAAGGCTTCTTCTCCACATGTACTTATGTTATATGAACTATTTGTTGCACAAGGAAAAAAGACTAAAATTGTTAAACAGCCTCTACTAGCAGCATTTTTTTTAAAACATAAGGTTTACTAAATGACAGGAGAGCTTGCATTATCTGTTCCCTCTGGGCATTAGGAATTAGCTGGAATTCTTGGTAAATTTTCTTATTTGGTTTGAACTATTAATTAAAGTATTAGCTCATTTTGGAAGACAATTTCAAGCATCTGGGATGGTCAAATTAGGAAAACCTTTTTTTTTTCCTAGTTGCTGCCTTTTTTTCTTAATTGTGGTGTTTATTTTGCATCTAGAGAGATATTGCTAGGGGGAAGTTCTAAATCCTTCTTCTGCCAATAATTAGATGATTGTAAACAAGATAATTAGTATTTGCTGTCTTTTCTACAGCATTGGAAGCAAAATGAATGTGAAAAATAGAAAGATGTTTCTACTTTTGTGTCCTTCACATCATGTTGCATTTGTGAGAAACTGGAACAACTAATAGTGAATTCAAAAACCAGTGCCAAAGAAAACATAATTAAATCGTTTGATACAAAATTTAAGTCAAGGTCTCTGGATAATTTAAATGTGAACCCATTGTTTGATAAAGATATTAACTCTATTCTTATCCTCTAAACCTAACCAACATCTACTTGGCCAACTCCCCTCCTCTATTATTATGTTTAATTAACCAGAAAAATCATAAAAATATTCTTTTGATTTTCTTTCAGATAACATAATAATAAGCAATGTGCGCCCTCTGCAAAAAGACCTATGGGAGTGAGCAGGCCTAGTGTGACAAAAAAGACATTTTGCAGTCTATTTTGTTACATGACAAATATATTTCCAACAATTGATTTACTCTATTGTTTCTATTTATAAACACAAGATAACAAATAGTTGTATTTTTTGTCCATATCCTTGTATCTGAAAATTTAATTAGTATTTTCATCTTATTTTTTCTGCTCCCTTCATTCACTTGGATAAAAATATATATATTGAACATTTACTATGTGGCAGAAATAGGTACTGGGGACTCAAAAATGCAAAGGAAGAAGTTCTCATTCTACAGGTGACTGCTGTCTAGACTAGGAGTCAGATGTTGATTGATTAAATGTTCTACAGGAATACCAGGATAGAGAGAAAGAGAAGCCACAATGATACCACAGAAAGAAAGCTAGACATCTTCATTCAGGTGAGAGAAAGAGTGGAAGAAGAGAAAACTAATCCAGGTAAAACAATTTCAACACAATGATTTCAAACTATGTATACTATAGAGAAAGTATTAATAGCTGGGTAAAATGCTGATTGTAAGCTAGATTGCTAGGGAATTATAATAGGGAATTATTTACCAAAATAAAAATTTTGAGTTGCAGTTCTAATTTTCTATCATTAATAGCAGGATTAATTTTATTTCAGCATATATTTAATTAATGGCCATTATACATAAGGCACTGGGCCAAGCATTAGGAATATGTGGGAGATAGGATGAATATGGCTCCAGCCTCCGTGAAGCCTATATTATTATTTATAAAAAATTTTTAAGTTATAATAGCTGCTCTTTATTGAGTAACTACTATGCTGCTGTTGATAGTATCATTAATTATAACAAGTTAGAGGCTTGTGATATTTAATATTAGGTGTCAACTTGATCGGATGGAAGGATGCCTAGATGGCTGGTAAAGTATTGTTTCTGGGTGTTTCTGTGAGGGTGTTGCCAGAGGAGATTGACATTTGAATCAGTGGACTGGGAGATGAAAACCCACCATCAATGTGGGCGGGCACCATCCAACTGGCTGCCAGCGCAGCTAGAATAAAGCAGGCGGAAGAAGGTGGCATACCCTTGCTCACTGAGTCTTCTGGTTTCCTTCTTTTTCCCCAGTGCTGGATGCTTCCTTCTGCTCCTCCTGCCCTTTGACATCAGATTCAAGGTTCTTTGGCCTCTGGACTTGGGACTTGCACCAGTGGCTTGCCAGGGGCTCTTGGGCCTTTGGCCACAGACTGAAGGCTGCACCGTCAGCTTCCTTGGTTTTGAGGCTTTCAGTCTTGGACTGAGCACTGGCTTCTCTCTTCCCTAGCTTACAGACAGCCTGTCGTGGGACTTTGGCTTGTAATTATGTGAGCCAATTTTCCCTAATAAACTCTCTTTCATGTATACATATATCCTATTAATTCTGTCCCTCTAGAGAACCTTGACTAATAAATGAGTTTTGGGTGGGGACCGTAAGATCCAAACCATATCAAAGCCTAAAGAAGGAAGGTAAATATAAGAATAAAGCATATACTTGAGATTGTTTTGGGGATTTATTTTCTGAGGATCCTCATGTCCCTAGTTGTATTGCATTTGCAGGGAAACTGCAGGACAGAGAAGGTCAATGCTGTCCCTAAGGCCGCACTGCTAAGGGTAAGTGACTCCAAATGCCCTGCTATTTCCATTACACTATATTATCTTCAGCAGTTTTCAAATAAATCTTAGTATTTATACGTTAGGATTTTGAAGCATTCACCAGTTTAAGGTTATAATAGATTTTAAAGCTGAAGGGAACTTTAACAAGCATCTGATCTCTCATTTTCTTCTCATATCCGAGGTCCAGTGATGTTAATGAATTGCTCTAGGGTTGGGCAATGGAGTACTTTGGCTCTCCAGTAAGAAACCTTTCTTGCACACCTTACAGTTTATACAAATCCAGTTATTTCAGCCCCAAGATATAAGGATACACTAGAAAGCAAAGCAGACATATACTTTGTCATCATGAAGCTTAGAGTCTAGTTGGAGAGACAAGATCATTCCTGGGGTAAAACAATGTTATGTTTTTCTATGAAACCTACTACCTGACATATTACACTCTAATTAGAGAGAGTAAGACAACCTTGAAGATGTTGCCATGAATATTGTCCTCTGAAACCTACTAATTGCCAGTGACCCTGAGTAATGTCTTTTTCTAATGAGGTCACCTATGTGTTATCTTTCCATAGAATCCATGTGAAATGACACATTCTTTGTTCCAGTCCTATGTCTTCTTCCAACTGCCAACTGTGCCCCCCCCAGTTTTATATTCAAAAGCTATAAAAAAAAGTACTCGATTTTAGTTGCTTTGATGGTATTAAAGTGTTACTTGAGAAAGTATGTCTCTCTGCATATGCAATAGAAAACATGCATTGATTTTCAATTGTTCTCAATATAATGCATGTAACATTGTCGAAGCACAGACTTTGGATTCGGATTGGTATAAAACTTAAGCCTTTTCAGTATTACTATTTACTATATTTTTACTAAAGATGAATAAAAGCTTGTGAGATAATTTAAGTATTAAACTCAAGAAAAATAATGTTTTCAATTTAAATTACTTAAACATCTGTCAGAAGATGAGTATTAGGCAGAGGGAGAAAGACAGAGCTAATTGGTGTTTTGCTGTCTTATTTGTCTTACTCTCTCTGATTAGAGTGTAATATGTCAGGTAGTATGTTTCATAGAAAAACATAACATTGTTTTACCCTAAGAAAGATCTTGTCTCTCCAACTAGACTCTGAGCTTCATGTTGACAAAGTATATGTCTGCTTTGCTTACTAGTGTATTTTTATATCTAGGGGCTTAAATAACTGTCTATAAGTATTCTTGAGGAAGTAATTTTAGGCCTGTAGAGGACTAGAGAACCAACGTATTTCACGTATTTTCTCCATTCATTGCTACACCCAACAGTCTAAGAGGCTCAAGATCAGAAAGATTGCCACTGACAAGCTGAAAAGCTCAGTGGCCTATGGATAACACATGTTGAGAGTTAGAATTTGCTGTAGAAGTGTGACATGCTGAGAAATTATTGGAAATATACAGTTAAGAATTTCCATCTCAAGGCACCAAATGTTATACAAGTTGAGTATCCCTTATATATATATATAGGTGTTTGGGACCAGAAGAGTTCTGGATTTCATATTATTCTTTGGATTTTAAAATATTTGCATATACATAATGAGATGTCTTGGGGATTGGATGCAAGCCTGAACATGAAATTTATTCATGTTTCATATACACCTTATACACAGTCTGCAGGTAATTTTAGACAATATTTTCAATAATATTTGTGCATAAAACAATGTGTGTGTATATTGAACAAACAGAAAGCAAAAGTGTCACTATCTCAGCCACCCATGTGGACAATCTGTGATTGTTTGGCATCACCATCATTTCTGACTCTGAATTTACATGCTACTGATAAGCAATTATTTTCTTACACTTATTTACAAATAAGTATGTAACAATAAAAAATGTGAAATGCCATTAATACAATGAAAAAATTATATGTTTAAGGTAACTAAGCAGCACAGTAACATCATCAGAATACCTGCATCAGCTGTTAGACAAAAGCAACAACAAACAATGGCATGCATGTCTTCAGTAACCACCTAAAATGCTGTGTTTTGAGTAAAAGGATATTATACAATGTATTCTTTTTAGGTGAGAAGAAATATTCGAAGCAGTTCAGGGACCAGGAAGTGGGTCCTCTAGGGGCATTCTGCTGAACGGTTTTTTAAAGATGTTTCCTCCAAGATTATCTGCCTCATTTACAATGGTTTTTGTCTTAGAAGTCTCTTTGATTTTATAAACTGACCATGCCTTATTCTGTTACGAATGCATGATACTGTACTTTAGTCCTTCAATAAGCCTATTACACATTTTCACTATGTTGTCTTCAGGCACTTTTCTGCAGTATTAACAATGTCATCTTTATCATTACTATTATCGTGATCATTTTATTTAGAACCATTTTGGCTTCTTCACCATCAGTCGATGAATGAACAACTGGAGCCTCATTATCAATGTTAAATACTTCTTCAATATCTAATCTAATTCTTTCAGTTTACTGAAGGACTCTGAAGGTATAGTTTTTGCATATGTAAGGAGATCAGACATCCTTTTTTTCTCACTTGACACATGAAATCCTTCAAAGTTACCACCTTGTTCATTATTAACATTGAACGTAATCCCAGGCCAGAGGTTGTGCCAGGCATGCACAACTGTGTCTTTAGTCATGGTCTTCTAAGCAATGGCAACAAAATACGTGGCATTCGTCATGCTAAACTCCTTCTGAAAACCTTCCACACCCGTGCCTCTGTTCACTACTGCTAGAATGCTGTTCTGCAAAGTATTTTTATATTTACTCTTCATTGATCTAAGGATTCCCTGTTTACATGGCTGAATTAATGAAATCACATTTGTGGGAAACTGCATGACATAAACATTATTTTTGATGAGAATTTCAGCTGGAGGATGAGCGTAAGAGCTGTGAAATAATAAAAAATTTTTGTAGTTATTATCCAGTTCATCCTTCTTGCAGTGAGCATGAGCCACTGGTACAAAATGTTTGTGAAACCAATCAGAAAAGATGTTCCTGGTGACCCATGCCCTTTTGTTAGCATAATAATGCACTGGTAAACAAAATTTGTTCCTTGAAAACATCAAGGATGCAAGAGTTTACCTATCACAGCAAGTTTGCACTTATGTGTGTCTGCTGTATCAGCACATCCCAGCACAGTTTAGTTCATCCTTGGCACCCTTGATTTCTGTAGGTGCTGGCTTATCAGCTGTAGCCAGTGTCTTTCTGGGACAATAACACCAAAATAGTTATGTTTCACCAACATTATAGACTTGCTTTGATGTCAGATTTTCATCAGCAATTACTTTGGCAAACTCATCAATGAATTTCTTCATGATCAGCAAACGCCTTATACACACAAATCTTTAAAAATGTTATGCCTTGTCTTTTAAATTTCTACCACCAGGCTGTTGTATATTCACAGTTCCCTTCCATTTTAAGTTCCTTGTGATAGATCTTTGCTTGTTTCAAGATCAGCATACGATTAAATGGCATGTGTTCACTTCAACACTGATGGATCCATTCTTTCAATACACAATCAAGATCTTCATTTTTAGCTTTATGCAGTGTTTTTCTATATTTTATTACCCTCTATTTGTCACTATCAGAACAGAACTTCAGTAGTTTATCTTTCAATTTCTTTGGGTCACATATGGTGACCATTTCATCACAATACCCTTCTATAAGACATTTTACACCTACACTGCTGTCCAGATTCTTCAATAGCTTGACTCTTTATGACATAAATAAACATAAACACTTCTTATTTTACTTATTACTATTACTCAGAGGGTTATCTGCAGGCCTCTTCATACTTTTAGCAATATCTTTACACCAGTGAAACAATATATCCACAGAAAACAGAGAATATGCCAGAAAACACAGTGAATAATGCATGTAGGTCTTGGGTCTGTGTGCAGCATCATGGGGAACCTGCTATTGGCACAACTACCTACACATTTGCCATTTTATTGCCCTTCATAGTCATACTTGAGTCAGGGAATCTGAGTGTTCATGGAAAAGTTATATTGCAGCAGGGCCTAGGAGGCATTATTTCCCCTTGAGTGCACTGAGTAAACTGTGTGTTATGTTGTGTCTGAGGTTTGACTGAGACCTGTCACATGAGGTCAGGTGCAGCATTTTCCACTTACAGCATCAAGTTGGTGCTCAAAAAGTTTTGGATTTTGGAGCATTGTGGATTTTTAATTTTCAAATAGGGGATGCTCAACCTCTATAGACACTTCAATGTAAATAATTAATGTCAAGATAGCAAAGAGGTTGCTGTTGGTGGATAGCTATGCCATGAAAATAACAAGGAAGATGCAAAAGTTTTAAACTTGCTGCAGCAAAACTAAACAGACTGAAAAATCTCTAAATTTGTGTGACAATTCAAATTAGATGTGATCTTTTCTTCTTGCTAAACAAGATTGTGTTCAGAGGCAGGTTTTCTGCTGCCTGGACAATGTATAAGTGACCAAGTAGCTGAATGAGATAAGATATTTAACATTTCCAATTTGCATATTATTTGTGTTCTTTTATGTTCTATGGGTTTGTTCCTTTTTAGATGGAAAGAGAGTCATCATTGTTTTAGATATTGGGAGAGTTCCAAATTTAATTAGTTTATGTATTTTCTGTTAGTATGGAAAAAACATACACTTAGCTATCAAATTTGATACTGCCACACATATATCCCTCACTTATAAACAAGAAAGGATGCTTATATTATTTATAATATTAATATAAATGTATGGATTACTTTTTCCAAATGTTGTGTTATTTCCATGATGTTATCAGCATAGCTCTTTAAAAATGTTAAGTTGATATAGGTTTAGGTTGCTTTGTTTACAACTTTCTCAAAGTCTTTCTCCGATGACCTTTACAATGTATGAATTAGTTATGTTTGTGCTGTTTTTCCTCTGTAAGGGATGTCCCCAGAAACTAGAAAAGAGTTATTCCTTTTCAGAATTTGAAATCTGGTCATAAATATTGTTGTATGTATAAGGACCAGCATACTTCCAAAACATCAGGATTATGAGGAGACTTTATTGTCACGTTAATATATATTACGCTTTGCTGTGGTCAACTTACCACAATGTTAAATCTACAGCTCTGAGCACAGTAAATGTAAACCATAGTCACTTAATAAGTATTTCTTAGATGAACGAATGCATTGGCAATTTATTTAGTCAATTCAATATAATTTTATCAATACAAAGTGAAACTATAATACTGGAAAAAATATGTGAAACAACTGTTTTGAGACGTTGGCAACAAAAAATATAGATTCAATAAAAATTTTTATTAATAGAACAATATAGCTTTTACAAATCTACACATATATTTATAAGGCCTATCTGATAAAATTTACCATAGATAAACATCCTCACCTTTGGCTTCAAAGTAATTATTAATAGGAGATTTTAAAAATTCCAAAGCCCAGGCCACAGCCCAGATCAACTAAATCAGGAAATTTCAGATAGGGCCTAGGCATCAGTACCTTTTAGAGCTCCCCAGGGGTTTCCAATGATGCAGCCATAGTTGAGATTCATGATCTTAGAGAGTACCACAAAACTTCACTTTGGCCTGGATAAAATTTATAATAAAAATTTTCCTTTTGGTTCTATCCTATAGCGCTTACTTTTAAGTCTTCCTTTTCTATAAATGTCACATTGCATTGATATTACTTTTATTTAGTCCATCTCTACTCCAGTAGACTGAAAGTTCCCTAAAGGCAGGGAAAGTTTCTCATTTATCTGTGTGTCTCCAGTGTTTACCGTTATAAATATCTGTTCAGGGAGATAATGAACTGATTTTAAAATGGAATGAAAGGTAACCAAGTTTCTGCATCCAGCCATGGTGGAGTGACTGGTAATGGAATAGCCCTCTTAACATAAAAAAAAAAACTATAAGATTTAACAAAATATCTAAAACTTCTGTTTACAGACATGGGATAATAGGCAAGGCAGGACTGACTTAACTGAGAAAAGGCAAACCAACAAAGTGATGGGATTTTTCCAGATTGTAGCATAGGGCTGGAGCCCAAACAGAGCATAAAGATCCTTTGCTGAGCTGGGGAGACAGAGATTGTTGTTAAGGGCTACTGAAGTAACTGGAATATGTGGAGCAGGGTATCAGATAATAAGACTTTGCAAAGAGAATGAACTCCAAAAATCTCCTCAGGGGTCTGCTTAAATCTTTGACTGAATAAAAAGATCTACATGTGCAAGGACAGAATTTTCTACATCACTCATAATTTTTCATAATTTCCATTTATCCATGAGATTCTTATGTTCACAATTTTTCTTTAAATTATTAAAAGTAAATATATTAGCTTTTTAAATGCCTCTTTCTATTAATACTATTTCTGCATCTTTTTGTGTTTATTAATTTTGTCTAGTTCTTTGTCACAATTGTGAGTATATTAGTCTGTTTTCACACTGCTATAACGAACTTCCCTGAGACTGGGTAATTTATAAAGGAAAGAGGTTTAATTGATCACAGTTAAGCATGGCTGGGGAGGCCTCAGGAAATTTACAGTCATGGAGGAAGGGGAAGCAGGCTCCTTCTTCACAAGGTGGAAAGAGAGAGAAGAGCAGGGGGAAATGCCACTTATGAAACCATCAGATCTCGTGATAACTCACTCAGTATAATGAGAACAGTATGGGGGAAACCACTCCCATGATCCAGTCACCTCCCACCAGGTCCCTCCCTTGACATGTGGAGATTGCAATTTGAGATGAGATTTGGGTGGGGACACAGAGCCAAACCATATAATTTCACCCCTGGTCCCTCCCAGATCTCATCCTTTTTACATTTCAAAACAATCATGGCTTCCAAACACTCCCCCAAACTCTTAACTCATTTCAGCATCAACTCAAAAGTCCACAGTCCAAAGTATCATCTGAAACAAGGCAAGTCCCTTCTGTCTATGAGCAAGTAAAATGAAAAAGTTCCGTTTTTCCAAGATACAATGGGGGTACAGGCGTTGGGTAAAATATGACTTTTCCAAATGGGAGAAATTGGCCAAAATGAAGGGGCTACCAGCCTCATGCAAGTCCAAAATCCAGCAGGGCAGTCATTAATTCTTAAAGCTCCAAAATGATTTCTTTTGCCCCATGTCTCACATCTGCAGCACAGTGATGCAAAAGATGGGTTCCCAAGACCTTGAGCAGCTCTGCCACTGTGGCTTTCCAGGGTTCAGCCCCTCTCCTGGCTGCTTTCACAGGCTGCTGTTGAGTGTCTGTAGCTTTTCAAGGCACACGGTGCAAGCTGTCAGAGGATCCACCATTCTGGGGTCTGGAGGATGGTAGCCCTCTTCTCACAGATTCACTAGGCAGTGCCCCAGTGGGGACTATGTGTGGGGGCTCCAACCCCACATTTCCCTTCCACATTGACCTAGCAGAGGTTCTCCATGAGGGCTCTGCCCCTGCAGCGGACTTCTTCCTGGATATCCAGGCATTTCCATACATCCTCTGAAATCTAAGTGGAGATTCCCAACCTTAATTCTTGACTTCTGTGCACCCGCAGGCCCAACACCACATGGAAGCCACCAAGGCTTGAACTCTGTAAACACTATCTCACCTCAGGACCTTTGCATCTGTTGTTGCCACTTCCTGTATTGATTTTCTTCAGATACACACATGCCTCATTCCCTCAGCTACTTTTCATTTTATTTAAATGTCACTCTCTAAATAAGGCCTTTCTTCCCCACCCTTTTTAAAACCATCAAATCTTCCTTGATACTCATTCCTCTTTCTTGGTTTATGTTTCTTTGACAAACTTACCACCATTTAACAACAGATGATGTTTTACTTATTTATTTTCTATATTGTCTCTTTTCTCTCAATAGATTGAAGTTCCATGAGAATAGGAAATTGATAGATACTAAAGACTTTATGTTTCTTTTCATTATTGCTATTAGCATATCTATCACAGTGTGTCACAAAGTATGTCCTAAATAAATATTATTTAAATGAATGTGGTTCAATCCCTCAATTTGAAGCAGTAATTTACTTAGGCTCTTTCTTTTGTAATAGTGTGTTTAAATTGATTTACTTTTCATTGAATCTTGGTATGAAAACACAGTGGAGTCAATTTAATTTACTGTGTTATTTTTATACATTAATATAATAAATTATATAGTACACTTCAGATGAAGTAAAAATAAGGGTCATTGGTTTATAGGAGAAAGCAATAACTTCCTCAATACTACAACAGATGTATCAATTGTACACTTTTAACCAAATTAATTTTAAAATATGATTGTAAACTGACAGTGTCTGTGAAATCACTATATCCAATTTTGTAAACTTGAAGCAATCCAAATTTAAACTGTAAATACTGAAAGCAATGTCTTACCTTAAGCAGCACAGATTGAACTGCTGTGATAATCACATTCATACTTAGCTCAGCAAATAGATGAAGCAAAAATAAGAATAGTGCAATTATTCACGATCTCTCTACAAGGAAAATTAAACCATACTTTAAACTGTAAATAAACATGTAAGATATTACATTTGTTTGCTTTTTCAACCATTAACATTCATGTCTTAATTCACACAAACTTAAAATTGAATAATATTTTTGGCATTCATTTAATAGAACAATAATAAAAGGGGGGTCATATATGTACACATGTATATTCATAAATAAATGTCAAAACTATACATTTTTAAATGTTTAGAGTTGTCCAACTAATTTAAGACTATTCTAAGGAGAGGAATCAATATTGAGTTAGTAATCAGAATGCCTACATTGTATTTTTTAACTCTGGCACTGTTTGAACTTAACCTATTACAACTAGAGCACATCGTAAAGTATCTTAGGTCTCCAGTCTTTTTATCTGTAAATATTAAACCAGCTGGTATCTTAAATCTAATCTAACTGCTATATAAGTGTTATTTTTACCACATTCACAAATTTTTCATCTCTGAAATAAAATTGCACATTTTCCAAGTAATCATTTATTTATTTTTTGTTATCTCAATGACATATCTAATAAACTAGAAGTTCGTAATGTTTCATGAGAAAAAAAGTACGTTCCTTATTTTTCCCAGAACTTCTCTTCACCTGGTTAATTCTTGCTCATCTTTTGGTTCTTAATTGCCACTTCCTACTGGAAGCTTTCTCTGATCTCATTTTATATTATTATTCTATATCAGTGCTATCCAAGATAACTTTCTTCAATGATAGAAATGTTCCATATTTTGCAATCCAATATGGTAGCCAGTAGTCACATGTAGAAAGCAATAACTTCTTCAATATTACAACATATGTGAGTATCAATTTTACACATGTAGCTATTGAGGATTTGAAATGTGGCTAGTGTGACTGAAGAATTAAATTTTTAACTTTATTCAGTTTTATTAAATTCAAGTTTAACCATTCTTATATCATTTACTTATATAATATACATTTAATAAATCACATTTTTATATATTATATAAATTTAATCAATCTTATATAGCTAATGGCTACCATATTGGATAGCACACTTCTGAACTGTGGACATCTCCTTCATTGCATTTGTCATCTATTTCTTTGTGTAATTACGTGACTAGTATCACACTCCACAATTAGATTTTAATCTTCACAATTAATTGGGGCTATGTATGAATATTTTTGATCATCTTTGAATCTTCAGGACCTAGTCAAATGTGTGGGCAAAAGTAAGTGCTTAATAAACAAAGGATCATGGTGGGGTTGCTGCATTGTGCAAGTTAAGGGGTGACATCAATATTTTAATCTATATGAATGACACTTTAGTGGAATTGTTCAATGCCTTGTGACCTATGTAGTGACACAATGAAGTGACTTTGCACCAGGGTAGAGAAGAGGGGAGTTTCCTCATAATAGAACTTACAACAGAAAACAGTCATTGTGCATCCTCAGCTTTGTCAGGGAGTCAGTGACTAACAATGATGCATTAATTTAAATTTTGTACTTTATGGCTACTTTTAGTTACTATAATGCTGAAATATTGCCTGTTTTTACTCTCAGAAACACCCTTTGTTCTCTTTCCAGTTTTAAAAACTACTAAATATCATTTTATCTGCAGTTTGATTTACTAATTAAGAATCTAAGATTATTTAGAGTTTGGTTGTGAATTACCCATTCATTGACTTATATAGACAAATTCTTTTGTATACTGACAGTCAACAATTCTAGGACATGTTTTGATTTAGGAATTTTCATTAGACATCGACTGAAAAACTCAGGAGATGAGTTAGGGCTTTCATTAGCATATTGTGTGTAGCAGCCAATCATAAACTGTATTTGGCTTGTCTCCTTTGTGTTTGTACACAGTTTCCATTAGATAAAACTAGATTATTGAAATAGAACATCCAAAGGAATTTCCATATAGGTAAACAAATATTATTAAAAGATGAGAAGCTGTATTACTTAAACCTTAAGTATACATATGTCCACATATAAAATGCATTAGATTTTTTTTCTGCTCTTAATAAATTCTCTTTAATTCAATAAACACGTTTTTCATTTAGAATAAAAATTAAGTTAACTGAATAGATGCCCTTTTCAGTGACTATTAATTTTCCAAGAGGTAAGAGGTAAGCATCTTTTTTTCCTCTTTAGGCTACTAGTAGCAAATCAATTGGTTCCAACTTTCTCCTTTTTGACCCTTCTCTCTGACTCATTCTACCATCACCCACCAGATCTGTCAAGAAGGGAAAGTTAATAACAAGGTTTCAAGAATGAGATTAGATTCACACTCAAGCAAGGGAAGGTGAGTTTTGAATTTTGAAAAGAAGACCTTCAAGGGCCATATAATTACTAGGGTGTTATCAAAAAATTATTACTGCTGTATATTCCTCATTTGGGAGGCAGTTGCCACAATGCCACAGGGCAGTCGAAAGTTATAAATGGTGACATGCAAATGAGTCAGGAAAGCACATACATTGGTGTTCTGCTGCCCCACTTACTAATGGAAAATGCAACATCAGAAAGCGTGCTTTTCATGGAGAATGACATATCTAGGACACTGGCTGGGATTGATAGTCAGCCATCTTTCTGCTGCTTCATTGGCTTTTACAATTCATTTCAATTTCCACTTATATAAAAAAATCGTGGTGCATAGATTAGCATATATCCCTGTCATGCTTCTTTTCGCTGCTTCTTTTACTTGTGATTAATTTTTAAAATTCAGCTAATTTATTTATGTGATAGTTCATGAGAATCATGACTTGGAAAATAATTTTGCATTCATCAACACTTGTCTTCATAACAATACTCTTATGTGCTGGTGCTAAGCAATTGCTCTGCTCTTTAAATTCTATCTTGACTTAAACACCTACTCTTTTTATTTTTTAACTAAAGAGTCCAATTTCAATTTTTTTATTGCCTAGAGAAAGGGAAAAATAATAAATTAAAAAATGACGTGCTTCAGGGCTAATATATAAAAGGCTGAAAATTACAAACCATTTAGTGCTTTCTATATTAGAGTGTTAATTCCTAGGAAAAAGTTTTATTCAGTTTTAATCAGCACCTTAGAGATGTCATCTAAATCTTTTGAGGTTTTTGAACCCTTATTGTGACCCAGTTTTTAGATTCTTCAGGTGTTAATGAACTACTACTTTCTGCCTGTAAATAGAAAATCAAAACCACTTGGGTCAGGTTATCTCTTGTTATCTATTTGACTGGTAGATTTAAACATTTTATTTTACTTTTACCTGAAGTAACGACAATGTCACAAATTATATGTCCTGAGACCAAAAGATGAAAATGTGAAGAGACTAATTTCACTTACAGGGGCTTTTTACAAAGCTCTATGAATATATAAATATAAAATTATTAAAATATAATTTAATGCAAATATGATGCCAAATTTCATTAATAGCTATACAGTGCAAGCCACTGACAATGTAAATATTGTATTTTGATAGCTACTTTTAATAAATGTAATGCTGAAATATTGCCTATTTTCACTCTAAAAAACGCACTATTCTCTTTCCAGTTTTAAAACCTACTAAACATCATTTGTCTATAGTTTATAAAGCTTACAAAATCTTTCATTACAGTCATCAAACATTTCTTCTAGGACCAAATATAAAACCAGAGAGCATTTTCCTATGCCACAGATCAGGTGGGGAGTCTGTGAGTGTGTGTATATTATCACTCAATACAAGAACCCATTTGTTTTGTTGTTGTTGTTGTTGTTGTTTTGAGACAAGGTCTCACTCTGTCACCCAGGCTGGAGTGCAGTGGTGCAATCTGGGCTCACTGCAGCTTCTGCCTCCTGGAAGAACCCATTTGTATTTGTCTCTATATAGTGTTAGGCTTTTACACCAAAACAGCAGTGTTCCTTTAATGCGGTGATTATCAAACTTTAAAATGGAGAGTTTGTTCAGACAGATTGCTGCCCTCCCTCTTTAGAGTTTCTGAGTCTGTGGATTTGAGTGGATGTGTTACAGGAAAGAGGTCCCAATACAGGCCCCAAGAGATGGTTCTTGGACCTTGCACAAGAAAGAATTCGAAGCAAATCCATGAAGTGAACGCAAGTCTATAAGGACCCATGCATGCGTATGTTTATTGCGGCATTATTCACAATAGCAGAGACTTGGAACTAACCCAAATGCCCATCAATGATAGACTGGATTAAGAAAATGTGGCACATATACACCATGGAATACTATGCAGCCATAAAAAAGGATGAGTTCATGTCCTTTGTAGGGACATGGATGAAGCTGGAAACCATCATTCTGAGCAAACTATTGCAAGGACAGAAAACCAAACACTGAATGCTCTCATTCATAGGTGGGAATTGAACAATGAGAATACCTGGACACAGGGTGGGGAACATCACATACCGGGCCCTGTCATGGGGAGTGGGGAGAGGGGAGGGATAGCATTAGGAGATATACCTAATGTAAATGACAAGTTAATGGGTGCAGCACACCAACATGGCCCATGTATACATATGTAACAAACCTGCAGGTTGTGCACATGTACTCTAGAACTTAAAGTATAATTAAAAAAAAAAAGAAACGAAAGAATGGTTATTCCACAGGCAGAGCAGCCCAGAGGGCTGCTGGTTGGCTATTTTTGTGGTTACTTCTTGATTATATGCTAAACAAGGGGTGGATTATTCATGAGTTTCCAAAAAAGGAGTGGGCAATTCCCAGATCTGAGGGCTTCTCCCCGTTTTAGACCATTTGAGTTAACTTCCTGACACTGCCATGGCATTTGTAAACTCTCATGGGACTGGTAGGAGTGTGTTTTAGCATGCTAATGCATTATAATTAGCATATAATGAGCAATGACGATAACCAGAGGTCACTTTCATCGCCATCTTGGTTTTGGTGGGTTTTGGCCATCTTCTTTACCACCACCTGTTTTATCAGCAAGGTGTTTGTGACCTGTATCTTGTGCTGACCTCTTATCTCATCCTGTGACTAAGAATGCCTAACTTCCAGGGAATGTAGCCCAGTAGGTCTCAGCCTCATTTTACTCAGCCCCTATTCAAGATGGAGTCACTCTGGTGCAAAAGCCTCTGACAGATTGGCCCTGGGAATCTGCGTTTCTAAATTTACAGGTGATTCTGATGCTGCTGAACCACACATTGAGATAAATTGATGAAAGTAAAATGGTAAGAGATGTTGGTAACTACATCTTTAATCAATAGTGCACATGGAACAAAGAGGTTTTAGAGACCTTTTGTCTTTGAGATTTCCACCTGAAAGCATCAAGAAATATTTATATTAGACAGCATGTATATTTTATTTATAATATAGTAAATAGCTGGAAATAGTGAAAAGGACAATTTGAAGTACAACCTGGGTAAAAAGAGTTCCAGTGGGGAGAAGAGAAATAACTGGGCAACACAGCTAGGTTTTCTTTTTTTTTTTTTTTTTAGTATTTTTTTAGTATTTATTGATACAGCTAGGTTTTCTCTCTTACTTGCTCTGATTTTACTGACTGGCCGTGTGTGTGTGTGTGTGTGTGTGTGTGTGTGTGTGTGTGTGTATTTTGTGTTTGTGGTTTTTGTCTTTGTGATTTTCTGTTCTGGTTTGTCTGTGTGTGAGCTCAAATTTCTTTTAATTGTTTTTCTTAAGACAGTTTTGCCTTTTTGCCTTTCCACATTTCTTTTCAAACAGAAGTACTCATTAAAGGGAACTAGGCTATTTAGGAATTTTATTTCCAATGGAAAACCATTAAGTAAACATTCTGGTTCCAGTATTATGTAAATACAAGCAGCTGGAGATTGTTTTCCCAACACTGGAGAAAAATGGTTGGAGTAGATTGCTTGCTTTCTACTCGTTCCCCTTGAAATGTGAATTTGTAACTCCTCCTATTTCTACTCCATGAATGTGGAATGACCTTTTGAATTGCTTTGACCAACAGAACACTGCAAAAAAGGTATTGTACCAGTTCCGAGCGTAGGCATCAAGAGATCTTGTACTCTTTTGCTGGTTTTCTTGGACTTTGCTTAGCAGCTGTGTGATAAAATGCAGGCTAGTCTCCTAGGTGAGACAATTCAGTCATTCCCTTCACTGAAGTAGAGAGCCAGCCAGTCCCACAGTAGCAAAGCTTAGATGTGACTGGCAGCTGATTTCAGACTTCTAAATAAGCTCGGATAAATCCAGAGGAATTGCCCAGCTGAGCAAATAAAGGGTCGCTATTTTAAATATATAAGTTTTGGATTTAATAGGATGCAAAAGTAAACTGAAAAGTGGCCTCTAAAGAGGCAAATATAAAATGCTTAGAATCAATCCTACGTTAGGTGCGGAGAGAGACGACTTAAGATTGTTTTTCAATCTAATTACTGCTAATTCCTATAGGATCTACAAACTTTTTTTTTTATCCCAGAAAGGTTTAAAATAACTTCATGCAAAATATACAAAGTGAACTTACTTTATAATTAGCAACTTTTAAAATATTTTTGCTTTCATAAAAACAAAGTGAAACACATTTAAAAAGAATGAAATCATCCTTGTGTGAACCTTTACTCTTTAATCATATAAATCAGCTAAGATAGAATATTACAATAATATTAGAAATTATTGGCACAATATATTGTTTCTTGGGTACCAATTTTCACGGCAATATTATACTGTTACAGCAACCCTATGGGCGTCAGATGTGTTTAAACCAGAGCAACTCCATCTTGAATAGGAGCTGGGTAAAATAAGGCTGAGACCTACTGGGCTGCATTCCCAAGAGGTTAGGCATTCTAAGTCACAGGATTAGATAGGAGGTTGGCACAAGGTACAGTTTACAAAGACTTTGCTGATAAAGCAGGTGTAGTGAAACTGGCCAAAACCCACCAAAACCAAGATGGCAATGAAAGTGATCTCTGGTCGTACTCACTACTCATTATATGCTAATTATAATGCATTAGCATGCTAAAATATACTCCTACCAGTGCCATGACAATTTACAATGCCATAACAATGTTAGGAAGTTACCCCATATGGTCTAAAAGGGGGACGAGCCCTCAGTTCTGGGAATTGCCCACCCCATTCCTGGAAAACTCATGAATAATCTACCTGTTGTTTAGCATACAATAAAGAAATAGCCATAAAAATAGCCAAATGGCAGCCCTCAGAGCTGCTCTGCCTATGGAGTAGCCAGTCTTTATTCCTTTACTTTCTTAATAAACTTGCTTTCACTTTATGGATTTGCCTTTAATTATTTCTTGTGTGAGGTCCAAGAATCCTGTCTTGGGGTCAGGATCAGGACCCCTTTCTGGTAACATCTTCCTGGCTGGCCATGAAGGGATGATACTGAGGAGACCCCCGACAAAGGAAATAGACTGCAGCACTGATTTGCTGACTTTGGGTAAGTAATGGGGTACCGGGGTAAAGGATGGGATTGGGTTAGAGGCCCAACTTAAGGGAGTTAGAGTCTCCCCTAAGACAGAGTGGGTTAAAGGCCCCTCTTCATAAAAGGCAAGGAACTTGACCGAACGTGGGATTAAGGCCCAATTTAGGAAGGTCAGAGTCCCTTCTAAGATTTAGAGAGTTAGAGGCCCCTCTCAGTAAAGTCCCTCTCAGCTAAGAACGGATTTGGCATTATGGGACATTAACCACTATTCTCTTTGGATTAATCTGTCTTATACTCTTTGCGGATGACTGTGGGTGACAGGATTAGGCATGTACAGGATTATGGGACATGAGAACTTCTTTCTCCCCAAAGGGGGACACTTGAGAGCTGATGGGACTGCTGGAAAAAATCCCTTTGCAACTGACAAGAGGCTGCCTGAACTTTCAATTCAGTGTGGGTGCAATGGGTGGGTCTTTCTCTGGCATCTCTGAGCTCTTCACCCTTCCCACCCCACCACAGGCAACGCTTTTCTCCTTATATCTTCTTTCTCTTTTCTATCTTTTCTGTTACTCAGGGCGACCATCTTGCCCACAGACAACATGTTGAATCTCCTGGTTGGAGGTTGGATTAAACATGATGGGGCCCCATCTCAGGGCAAGTTTGAGCCTTACCAGTTCAATATTGGGTGTTAAGTGGAGTGGCTACTCTAGTGAATCCGGTATACTTTGTGCTATAAATTTGTCTTTCTGTATTACTCTGTCATGAAGATGAATGCCTTAGGATAGTGAGACAGCCAAATACCTAGGCAGATAAAAAGGGGTCTCCGGAGAATCTCTGACCCACCCCATAAGTATTTACGTCAGATGCTTTTGTGTAGACGAGGAAACCTGCCCAGGGCTTGTCTGGGCATGCCCACAGCAGAATGGAGCCTGACTTGCGCACTGGGGGAAATGGGTGGAGCCATGGGGAATTTGCACCTTACACAGGGGAGGAGCCTGCTCTCTTCAGCTCATGTGGTGACCTAGAAATCAGTCAGTGAAGTGAAGGGCCTGTTAGCAGTACTCCATCTCACTTTGCTGAGTTTTTTCTTTTTTTTCCTTTTCACCCGATAAATTCTGCTCCTCACTTTTTTATGCTCCTGCGAGCCTAATCTTTCTTGGCCGCGTGACAAGAGCCCAGGTTTACCTGAACTAAGGAGAAAGTTCTGCAACAATAGAACATGGGCTTAGGACCCCATAAACCCACTGTTTTGCTGGCCCAGAAAACTGGTCAGTCACAAACTTTGTTGCAGGTCCCCAGCCCCACAAAAAAACAACTGGAAGAAGTTTCCCTCTTGTTGTATTCTATGTCCTTGGAAGCTTGATCTTGTAACCACAAGGTCCTTTTGTCGGAACTCAGAGTTGTGAATGACCCATAGCCTACTGATGCCTTCTGAGTGAGCTCCTCTCTACCACAAATACAAGAGACCCTAATAGTTAGGCAGGAATATCATCACCCCTATTCAGCCTGAAGAAGTTACAGAAGATGGACCTTTGTCCCTCTACAACCCTTAGGATTAAGGGTTCCCTTGTAAAAGGGAGGGGTGAATATGTCAGATGTGTTCAAACCAGAGCAACTCCATCTTGAATAGGGGCTGGGTAAAATAAGGCTGAGACCTACTGGGCTACATTCCCTGGAGGTTAGGCATTCTAAGTCACAAGATGAGATGGAAGGTTGGCACAAGATACAGATCACAAAGACCTTGCTGAAAAAACAGGTTGTGGTAAAGAAGATGGCCAAAACCCGCCAAAACCAAGAAGGCAATGAAAGTAACCTTTGATCATCCTCATTGCTCATTGTATGCCAATTATAACGCATTAGCATGCTGAAAGACACTCCCACCAGTGCCATAATGGTTTACAAATGCCATGGCAATGTCAGGAAGTTACCCTATATGGTCAAAAAGGGGGAGGAACCCTCAGTTCTGGGAATCGCCCACCCCTTTCATGGAAAACACATGAATAATCCACCCCTTGTTTAGCATATAATCAAGAAATAACCATAAAAATAGCCAACCAGCATCACTCAGGGCTGTTCTGCCTGTGGGGTAGCCGTTCTTTATTCCTTTACTTTCTTAATAAAGTTTCTTTTACTTTATGTATTTGCCTTGAATTCTTTATTGAGTGAGGTCCAAGAACCCTCTTTTGGGGTCTGGATTGGGACCTTTTCTGGTAACATTGATATAAAATCAGCTTCAAGTATATACATTATAATACTGATGTTTAGTTTAAATAATACTTTCAAGAACTACATCCATTAAGTAGCAGCGGTAGAAACCATACCCATGTGTATTTGACTCCAGAGCTTACACTCTTAACCACTCTCTTATATCAAGGTCTCCATTTTTGCTTTGGATCAAGAGCTCAGCATGATTCAATAATTTAAGAGGCTGACAGCTGTATCATAGCAGCTCTATCATAGCATTTTTGTATTGCTGAAATTAGGTTGTCACAGTAGAGCATTTTGGAGGCTCGTCATACGAGTTGCTGAAAGTGATTCTGTTTCATAGATGTTAGACCAGTGGTATAACTTTTATAAAGAGAAATATTTCAAGAAAAAGTAAGGAATACCCAAGACTTAAGGAATAGAACGATACTTGAGAGCAGTGACAAATGCAGATATGAGATCATTCCCAGTCTTCTAAAAGGGAACTTCCATTCTTAGTGTCAGTTCGGTCCAACAAATATCTGGCCATATTTCTTATGGCTTCGTATAAGCCTTGGTCCATCAGTAATTCTCCTTCTCTAGTGCCTTTAATTGTTCTTACAAAACAAACACTCTCCCATAACCACAATATGCTCAAATATCCCCAGGCCTAGAAATTTATTTTTGAGCCTGTGCCACCATATATTGTTTTCTATTAAATAGTAGGTTCTTAAAAATAGTTATTGATTCTTGCAATTTATTCCTCAATCTACTGCAATTAGGGAGAAACCCCAGCACTTTATGCTGCAAAATCTATCCAGACAGAAATCTAATAACTTTCAATCTAATTTCATTCCCAACTTCTGCCCTACCATCTCATTTATTATATATGTTCATAAGGAATTTCATATCATTGAGCATTACATTATACAACTTATTTAATGAAAGCAGAGTGCTAACAAGAGTTTTGACTCAAATGAAAATCTTTTCCCTATAAAGATTTTAAATAATACATGTTTGCTTTAATTGTATGTATATAGCTATAAAATCTAAACATCATTGTATAAATCCAAAACTTTTGTAATTTAGAGGTTGCTTATAAAAATTAAACAAAACAAACAGACAGACAAAAAATAAGAAAGGCAAACTAATTTAGCCAATATCACTCAGTGTTAGATCCAGGATTCAAACTAATGAAATCTTAACTGTAGTTTGATCTAGTTGTTCATTAAGATGTCATTTATTTTCGTATCGACACTATGACATTAATAATTCTTTTCTGCACACTGTAATCATACTTATAATCACCCATTGTATTTATACATCTCTAGACATTGTTTTTGTTTCACTCGTGTAGTTTTTTCCAAGCCATAATTTAGACACTGATGTTAATTCATAATGGTCAACTTATTTCAAATTTTACTGTTTCATTTGTTAATTATGTTTTTGCCCAGCTCTTATTGGGACAACACCTAATGAAGAAAAATTCTTATATGGTACCTCTGTGATATACTATTGTTTATCACATTTCTCCACTTGAATCATTTCTGTCCCTTGCTTTGCCTAACATTACTCCCTACTAATTATCTTCATAAAGTCAAACTCCTCTTGGCCAATCTTGTTCAATGCCTTATTTTCCTAAGATAGCACTTAAACTCAAGTGATTGTCAAATTAATTTTCTTTATCCTCTTAAGCAAGCTTGCTGCAGTCAAAAGGGGTGGAATGTATAGCAAAATAATTTGGATATAAAATCTATCTATGCTAATAACTAACTGAGCTTCCTTGAACTAGTCAGACCTCTCAATATCAGTTTCTTAATCAAAAATTTGAGATACTATTAACCTATCTCATAGGATGGCTGGGAATCTCAAAAGAGATGATGCATACCAGAGTACATTGCATATAATGAAGATCTGTATGAGCGCTATTATTACTTTGAATCTATAACCCCCTTGGGTAACCTAGTATTTCAGCCCTTTAACTACCTATTTACTATATACTTTTCACTTGAGATACCCATAAGTCATCTCCACCACAAGCACTCCAAATGAGGAAAAACAAAACAAACAAACAAACAAAAACTCCTAAAGTACAACAGGGTGAAAGGACACTGTGCAAGTGTCAGGGGCTATTGGTAGGAGGAAGAGTTGTAATTGGAGCCAACAAAATTTTTTGAACATAATTGTTATATGACTAATTTGGTTTTAAAATGATGTCTAAAAAATGCAAAGAGAAAGAGACTAGAATTTGTCTCCAGAAAAGAAATACTATGATTTAATCTGTACCCATCATTGAATATATAGGAAAGGAAGTTGAAGAGAAAAATCTTGCATTATGTTGACTTGATGAACCAAAATACAAGAAGAAACTCTAACTATAGAATGACTTTCAAGCTCCAGTACTGAGTGACAAGATGATAGTGATTCTATTAAGCTGGATTGTGTGTTGATGTTACAAGTTGAATTGTGATCTTCGAAAAGCTGTGTTTAGGTCCTAACCCTCAGTACCTGTGAATATGACCTTATTGGAAATAGGGACTTTGCAGATGTAATCAAATTTAAATGAGTTCATTAGACTGAACCTTAATCTACTATGACTGTTGTCCTTATAAGAAGAAAAAAACAACATGTGAAGACAGAGACACATAGGCACATTGTCATGTGACAGCAAATGCAGAGATTAGAGTGATGCAGCTGCAAGCCAATGAATGCCAAGGATTGATAATTACCACCCAAACCTAGGAATAAGAAAAGAATTATACTCCCCTACAGATTTCAGAGGGAGAATGGGCTTGCCAACACCTTTATTTTAGATTTCTAGCCTCCAGAACTGTGAGACAATAAATTTCTGTTGTTGTAAGCCACCCAGTTTGTGGGAGTTTGTTATAGTAGCCATAGGAAACTAGTAAAGTTGATAACCTCAGTTTCTATTTGGTAAATGCTAGGTTTGAGAGGCCTTGTAATACCCATGGAGGGATGTACAATAGAGAGTAAGAAATGCAAATCTAATACTCAGGGAAAAGGTCAAAGATAGAGACATTGCTATAAGAGTCTTCAATATAATAACCAGAGTTAAAGTCATCCTATATATATATAAAATGTATATGTTACATTAATCAAAGTCATTAGTGCTAGCTGATATAACAATAATCTAAAAATCTATAATAATATAGTCAAATTTTCTAATTTACTTCACATTTGAAATAGGTTGCTTGCAAGAAGCCTTCTGTATAGTAATGCAGGCATCTCAGTCCTTGCATCTTATGGCTTCACTATCTTACAAGGACTCCTTAGATTCTTCATTGAATTTTCTGTAGTCAGTAGTACAATGAATGAAAAAAGAGAAAGATCAATGAAAATTACCTTATGAACCAAGCCTGTCCTCATTTTACCAACTAGAACCCAGTCATTTGTCACAAACCTAACTTCAAAGGAATCTGAGAAATGTAGTCTCACAGTTTAGTCAGATGAACATCTCTTTAGATTCTATCACAGATGTGCACAGAAATAAATGCATGCAAAATGGAAAATCATCTATATGCTCAAGGAAGTGCAGATGAAATTTTATTATTTCCAGAGGAGAGAAAGATAAAGACCGTTTTTCATGATATAAAATCAGAAAGTATAGCAATATTTGTCTAGACTTTAAAAACTATGGCTGGGAATGGTGGCTCACACCTTTAATTCCAGCACCTTGGGAGGCTGAGGTGGGCAGATCACCTGAGGTCAGGAGTTTGAGACCAGCCTTGTAGGAGATCGGTCAGGGTGGTGGGAAAAATTATAGGGAAAGACGCAAACCTTCTTGGAAGGCTGAGAGGGTTTGCAAAAGCTTCGGGAGAGAATGAAGCTGAAGGCAGCTGATTATCTTATCTGGAGACTGAGGACAAAGGGTAGATAACAAGGTAATGAAAGGAACTTATCTAGATAAACTGGTTTACTTATGTCTCCAGAAACCAAACTTTGATCATTCCCATGCAGGACTGCTCTCTACTTGGGGGGTCAACAATGTTAATTACCCACAAGTTGTGTTTGCTCCAAGCCCTTGTCATTAAATCTGTACTAAATAAATATAAATGGCTTAGCTTGGCCAATATGGTGAAACCCCCATCTCTACTAAAAATACAAACATTAGCCAGTTGTGGTGGCATGCACCTGTAGTTCCAGCTACTCAGGAGACAAGGCATGAGAATCACTTGAATCCAGGATGCGGAGGTTGCAGTGAGCCAAGATCACGCCACTGTACTCCAGCCTGGGTGACAGAGCGAGACTCTGTCTCAAACAAACAAACAAACAAACAAATATAACAATGAAACTAGATAATTTGGAGAATGATAAAAGAAAAATGCCCTTAGAAAAGAGAATCAAATAAGTAGAATCACAGAGTCAGAGAATTCCAAAATTTCTTCTGAAAATAGCATTTTGCCAGTTTGGTCAAGGTGTGTGAAAAGAAACAGAAAATACAATACTAAAATTCATATGGCACTGCAGAAGACCTCCAACAGCCAAAGCAATATTGAGCAAGAATAACATAACTGGATGCACCACACTTTCTGATTTCAAATTATATTAATTACAAAGCTATGATAATGAAAACAGCATGATACTGACATAAAAACAGACACAATGTAACAGATTAGAGAGCCCAGAAATAAACCCATACTTACACAATCAATTAATTTTTGACAAAAGGCACCAAGAATACACAATGGGAAAGGATAGTCTCTTCAATAAATGGTATTGGCAAAACTGGATATACACATGCAAAAGAATGAAATTGGACACTTGCCTTATACTATAACCCCCAAATCGACTCAAAATGGATTATAAAGATTTAAACATAAGACCTATAACCATAAAAGTCCTGGAAAAAAACACAGGGAAAAAACTCCTTCACATTGGCAACTCCTAGTCTTGGCAATGACACTTTGCATATGACCCCCAAAACACAGGCAACAAAAGCAAGAATAAACAAGTGAGATTACATCAAACTAAACAGATTCTGCACAGCAAAGGAAACAACAAAATAAAAAGGCAACCTATGGAATGGGAGACTATATTTTCAAATCATATATCTAAAAAGAGATTAGCCTTTAAAATATACAAGGAACTCATACAACTAAACAGTAAAAAAACAAGTGATCCAATTAAAAAATGACCTAAGGACCTGAGTAGACATTTCTCCAAAGAAGGCATACAAATGACCAACAAGTATATGAAAAGGTGCTCAGCGTCACTAATCAAGAAAATGCAAATCAAAACTACAATGAGATATCACCTCACACCTGTTAGAATGGCTACTATCAAAACAATGAAAGATAACTAGGGTTGGTGAGTATATGGAGAACAGGGAACTTTGGTACAGGGAACTTCGGTACACTATTGGTGGGGATGCAAATTGGTAAAGCCATTATGAAAAACAGTGTAGAGGTTCTCCATAAAATTAAAAACAGAACTACTATATAATCCAACAATTTTTCTTCTAGATGTATATGCAAAATAATTGAAACCAGGATCTTGAAATACATCTCCACTCCCATGTTCATTGCAGCATTATTATTCATTACAGGCAAGATGTAGAAACAGCTAAATGTCCATGGGTAGATGAATGGATAAAGAAAATGTGGTATATACATAAAATGGTATATCATTCAGCCTTAAAAAAGAAGGAAATCCCACAATGAGGTACCATCTCATGCCAGTCAGAATGGGTATTACTAAAAAGTCAAAAAATAGCAGATGCTGGCAAGGTTGTACAGAAAGGGGAACACTTATACACTGCTGGTGGGAATATAAATTAGTTCAGCCATTGTGGAAAGCAGTTTGGCAATTTATCAAAGTACTTCAAACAGAATTACCATTCCATCCAGCAATCCCATTATTGGATATATACCTAAAGGAATATAAATCACTGTACCATAAAGACATATGCATGGATACATTCCTTGCAGCACTATTCACAATAGCAAAGACGTGGAATCAACCCAGGTGCCTACCAAAGGTAAACTAGATTAAAAACTGTGGTACATATACACAATGGAGTACTCTGCAGCCATAAAAATGAGAGTGAGATCATGTCCTTTGCAGCAACATGGATTAAGCTGGAGGCCATTATCCTGAGCAAACTAACACAGAAACAGAAAACCAAATACCACATGTTCTCACTTATAAATGGGTATTACCTGAGTGACAAAACTGTACACCAAACCCCCGTGACACACGATACCTAGTAACAAACCTGTACATGTACCCCTGAACCTAAAATATATGTTAAAAAATAAACTAAAATAAAAAGAAGGAAATCCCACTGTTTTTGACAATATAGATGGACCTAGAGGGTATTGTGCTAAGTCAAATAAGCCAGACACAGAAAGACAATACCAATTGATCTCACTCATATGTAAAATATAAAATAGTCAGACTCATAGAAATGGAGAGGAGATTGGCAGTTGTTGGAGCCTAGTGAATGGGGAAATGGGGAAGTAATGGCTAAAGGATACAAAATTTCCATTATGTAAGAAAAATATATTCTGGAGATCTACTATACAACATAGTGCCTATAGCTAACAATGCTGTATTGTATACTTAAAATGCCAAGGCAGTAGATCTTATGTTAACTGTTCTTACCATAATGAAATAATAATAATAATAGAGGCAGGAGGAATCTTTAGGAAGTGATACATATGTTTATTGTCTTGACGGTGGTGATGATTTCATGTGTGTATACTTATCCCCCAACTCATTGAGATGTATATATTAAATATGTAGAGATTTTATATTTCAATTACATCTCAGTAAAGTGGTTTTTAATAAACCATATAATCCAGTTCACATAGAAGCAGAATATTTATGTATCTCTAGTTCACACTCAAATCAGTAATAGACTTGCCATTTCACTTTATCTTTGCCAAGTGGATTTAAAACTCTGTAGACTAATTTATTAAAATTTACTACTGAAGTGAGAATGACAGTTATTTCTTTCCACTTCTCAGTACAGGACCACAGTTTTATTAGAATGCTTGCCCTCTGAGCTCAGCAAGGAGCGTGTTATAATTAGATGAGTATTACAATAGAGATTGTGTTAATGGGATTTTTGAGAAATAATAAAAAAGAAAACCTACAAGAGTGTCTCCATTAGACTGTATAAGTAAGGAAAACCTATCAGGGGATCACTAAAAAAATCAGCATGAGTTAGTTAACCAAAGGTCAAACAAAATGACATGATAAGCCTTGGGGGATACCGTTAAAGTAATCATTGCAGATAAGGGACTGACTGATTGTCAGAGGTACCTATGCATATTTCTAATGTGAAAATGAAGATGGGAATTAAAACAGTAGTGATGACCTCTTTATTTTTGTATAAACTTAAATACCACCAATCAGTAAACACTATTAAAATATATGTTTTGTGTATGTTGAAAGTGTAAAATCGCAGGGCATCCTATAATGGAAACATTCCCGTATATAGTATTTAAAATGATTCTCCCTTGAGGTCAAGTAAACTCTGTCTACTTCTTTAAGTATATATTTTTTTCTGAATTTGTATAAAAACATACTAGTTGTTTAAAAACTTAGAAAATAAAGGAAATATAAGAAGGTAAAGCACATATAATGCCACAATTCAGAAAAACTCACTAACATTTTTAATGTTTTTCCATTTCATATTTATAGATTATATTAATATATTATTATAATAATGTATATCTCTTTTGCTATCCAGTACTTCTCACTGGATATTGTAGATTGATGTGTCTTTTTTTTAACTTACATTTTTCGTTATCTTGGAAAGATCATGTAAAGGAGCCTTAGAAATAATTACAGCAACTTTCAATTAATCGGTCTGAATTCCCTCGATGGGAAGTTAAAGAAAATGAAGTCAATTATTTCTTACTTATTCACCCTAAGTCTGTACTGTCCTTGTTAGGATAAAGAAAATAATATTCTCAAAGAAGAGGAAGCACAGTTAACGATGGGGGCAGTGTTACATTGCTTGAAGCCTTCCTTCTCAATGGGCTGGCCTTTTGGTATTGTGGTTCCTTATGAATAAAGATTACTTTAAATATTCTTCAGTTACATGAGGGCAGGGCAAGAAAGAGCAGGGAATGAGTAGGAACTTTACCACTTCTTCACTTTGTGAATTTCTGCCTCAGAGACTAGACTTACTGAAGTGAGGTTCGCTGCTGATAAATGCAGACCTTTCCAAATATTCAACTCCCATCCCCAAGATAAAAAGGGTTCTATATGGCTTTGCTCATTCCCTAGTATTTACCTTTGAGAAAACACAGGCAACTGATACTGGTATTCAGATTGATATGACTTTATAATTTTACACTATCCAATGTTTGTTATAATTCACAGCACCAGGAAAAAAAAAACAACAGCATTGCCACAGCACAAGCGTGCTTTTTTCTGTTTGACCTGGAAAGTAGCTAGCAACTCAACAAGGAGAAAGGACAGCTAGGTATTATGAAGGTGAGGAAATATTGTTCTAGTAAGTTTATCCCAATGACAGAAGACTGTGGGCTGTTAGTCCTGTTAGACTATAGTCTATATTTCTACAGTACTCCTCCTTTCTCTACCCCATTTGAGACTGATGTTGGCTAGGGTGTTGTTTGCATAGAATTGATACATGAAGGACTAACAAAAACTCAAAACATATTTGTATTATTTCTTAATGCCTTTATAGACATAAATAAAGCATGTATAAAACATAAATATTTCCTGATGAAACCCCATCTCTACTAAAAATACAAAAATTAGCTGGGTGTGGTGGCAGGCACCTGTAATCCCAGCTACTCTGGAGGTTGAGACAGGAGAATCGCTTGAACCTGAGAGGCAGAGGTTGCCTTGAGCCGAGATCGCGCCATTGCACTCCAGCCTGGGCAACGAGAGCGAAAGTCCATCTCAAAAAACAAAAAAACAAAACAAAACAAAAAAACAAAAAACAGAAAACAAAAAAACTCATAAATATTTCCATATATGTTGTCTTGAACTATAAACAGTTTTGAAACTTAGCCTTACTTTCAATAAGCAATTGTTTGTATGGCCCCAGGAGATTTTTTTTGCCAGTTTTAAAAGTAAAAGTTTAAGCAATGAATTTAGAAATCTTTCTTACCTATTTTGAATGAATAAATTCATATGTGTTTATATATCCTGGTTGGAGAGTTTTTTAAAAATCACAATGTTTCCCATGTTTGCAATGATAGCATCAAATCAGATGATGAAATTCTTGTTATAAAAAAGCAACTGATAATATTACATACTTGTATATGAACAGGATTAAAAATTTAAAATTATTTACATGTGCAATATTGATAGAGACAAGAGGCAGGGAAATTCTGGTCATAAGAGGGCAGGTCCCCAGCGAGACCCCCATCCCAAAGCCGAAAAGCCTAAAGTGAGAACTTTACATCCCTGTTTGCATTATAGTTGATCAAAGTTTGAACTATGATTGTTGTCAGGTTTTGTTTTCAGTCGCAAATTACCTCTGTTGGCCATTTTTAGAATTTTTTTTTTTCTGTTTTATTTACACTTTTCTCACTAAAGTATTTTTTTGTTGTTTGTTTTGATGTTGTTTTATTTATTCATTTCAATAAACAAATAAGCAAGTCCTTTGATGGTCAAATTGATCGCTTCCTCAAAAGGAACATAAGGAAGGAGAACCAAGGATGTGTAAGGGAAGGAAGGATGGAGAAAATTCGAGGGGAGACTAAAAAGCTATTAATAAAATCTTCCTTTGACCCTTTTTCTTTTTTCTTTTGGTGTCCTGAGATCCTCCATAGCTAAATGGCACTATATGCCATTCTTAACAATTTTTAGGGTTGTACCTTATAGAATTTACAAAGAAACTTTAATTCTAGCCTCTGGACTAATAACCACAACAATTTCTCCTCTGGCAAATTATAAACTTCCTATTGTAGAAGACAGAATAAAATGAGTAAATTTAAATAAATACATAAACATTTTTTAAATAAATGGCATAATATTTAGTGAAAAAAGTGACATTTCTCAGCTTCAGTTTCCAAGTCCACATCTTGAGATCTCTGCCTCTAAAATATCTGTTGAAAAATTTCACCACAACTACACCATTTAGAAAACAGCAGGATATTTCTCTTCCACCCAAAGCTTTGTATATTTTACCTTCTGTCACCATTATGGCCAAAGTTACAGATTTCATTCATTCTGCCACTCCCTGATTTTGTAGATAGGTTTTTTAAATTTTATTTTTATTCTTTACTAATTTTTGTGTACTTCTGGATTTTTTTCTAGTAGTATTAAATTTACAAAGTGAAATATTTGAGAAAATGTATCAAGTTTTAAAAAGTCATAGAGGCAATTAATGTGGAAGACTGAGCTAAATATTGCAAAGCAAAGAACATGTTTAATACACTTATTTTAAGAGATTTACTAAATACTATCTGTGTACTAGCTTGAAAATCTTGATGGATTCCATGAGATTAGAGTTACTACCCACTTTCTCATGACAAGCAATCATCTCTGACTACAGAAAGTAGCAACTCATAAGACAGAGTTGTCATTTCTTGTTTTAGAAAAATAAAACTGTATAGCTAATTTTGTGTTCAGTGATAGAACAAGTGACATCACAAAAGAATGATCACTTTTACTATCTAAAAGAGAATGCTTTGTTTATTGATTTTGCTTCCATTGGCCTCTCGTCATATTACCCTACTAACCACATATCTCCCATCCGTCTATTGTGTTCACTGATAATATTCCTAGTGCTCAACAAATATTTTTGAACTAAGTAATTTTAAGAAAATCTAGATCTACCTCTCTGGATAGTTTCTAGTTTATTTCCTTCTATTTCAAAACTAAAGTGAATGTTAAAGAACACTAAATGTTTATTATCTCTTCTTCCTCATGGTAATTACTAGTAAGCCCATGAAAAATAATTGTCTATGTGCACCATTAAAATAAAACTGAACTAGGCTTTACCATGTAACAGCCAATTCCAAAGCCGCCTCTTCCAAGTTGACCTTCTCATGGCAGCTGACCATCTGAAGTTTCTTTTGTTTTGAAAATCTTCCCAGAATTATAAAAGTATGAAATGAAATAGGATCTCTATTTCTCTCCCCATCTTCTCTCATAATTCCATAGTGACTAGTGCCTTCTGAGAGTCTATTTAATAATTAGTTTAGGGAACGATTCAAAATATGGATTCTGGAATCTGATTGCCTGATTCAAACTCTGGCTCCCCTACTTACAAACTGTTCTGAGCAAACTTCTAAACTTTGCTGTGGTTAACAGAGACCAATAAAAACCTCTGTAAAATGAAAGAAATAATTTTACCTACTTCATAAGGTTTTCATGAGTACAAAATAAGGTAAAACATACAGATTCTACGAAAGTACTTAGTTAATCATAAACACTCAGTATGTATTAATTATTATGAGATATTAAAGAGCAACATTTAAACGTGGTTCATTTTCACATTCTCTAATTCCCATTTAGGATCTCACTGTCCATACTGCTAGCACAGCTGGGCAATTAGCCATGTCCGATTCCATATTTTTCCTCATCTCATTTAACCATCCTTAAAATACTGTCTAAATCTGTTCTAAATGCTATTCTCTAAATCTAAACATCATTGGCTCTTACCTACAGTTTTCCATACGTGGTCATGCTTGTGTAGAACTGTGTTAGATATTCTTAAGAGGCAGAAGGTAACGTGTTGAATATCAGTGGTTGTTATCAAAGTATTTCATTTCATTTTTCAAGCAGTCATGTGAGGTAAGTATTACTTTTTTCTAACTCAACAGAAGAAACACCTAGAACTTTTTTTTTTTTTTTTGTCTCGCTCTGTTGCCCAGGCTGGAGTGCAGTGGTGCGATCTCGGCTCACTGCAACCTCTGCCTCCCGGGTTCAAGCGATTCTTCAGCCTCAGACTGCTGAGTAGCTGAGATTACAGGTGCATGCCACCACGCCCAGCTAATTCTTGTATTTTTAAGTAGAGATGGGGTTTCACCATGTTGGCCAGGCTGGTCTTGAACTCCTGACCTCAGGTGATATGCCCACCTCGGTCTCCCAGAGTGCTGGGATTACAGTCGTGAGCCAACGCACCCGGCCAGAAACAGCTAAAACTTAGATGAGCCAACTATCTTGTCCCAGGTTACACAGTTAATAAGTACAATAGATGCCAGAACAGGAATGTCCCTTTAATATCAGGTTACACACACTTTGTTTTTTGAGCGCTCTAGCAATTAAAACCTCTTAGGAGGAAAAAAGAAAAAAAAACCCTCATAGAGGGTTTTTTCTTCAGGAAAACCAGTTATAAATATGTCCTGAAAGGTAGTAGGCATTGGCATCTTACAAACTTCATGAAATCTAAAGAAGATGATGGTAGCTGGATTAGATAATGAGATTGTAAGATTGTAAATCTCCCTCAGTTACACTAGTCTTCATATAAAAATATTTCAGTGTACACTAGCTTGTGAAAACCTCTGGTTCATATACATTATGCTATACAGTGTTTCAACTAATTCCCTTACTAAATTTAACCAATAAAATCCTGCGAAGTAAATAGATCATCTTATGCAGCAGACTATCTTATGCCAGGCACTAATGACTGGCACGTAGAGATATATTTAACCTGATATACGCAGTGAGGTATTGGCATCTATCTGCTGTATTTCTTGAGCTCTAAAGCAGGCGGCCAAGAAGCAATCAAATAGTTAATTCTCAAATAACTGAGTAAATTAAGACCAGATCCTAAACTGTAACCTCATCAGTAATGAGATGGTATAGCTCAATCTAGGAATTGACCACAAAGCCCTTAGACATGCTTTTAATATAAATTGTGACTCTATTTCATAAATAGCCTTTCATGATATTACTTCAGATTAGACTACCACAGTTTTTTTTCCAAATAATTTTTTAATATCTTTAAACTGAGCTATTTTCAGGCTCTGCTGCACGTAAAGCGGGAGAAATAGACGCTTTTTGATACAATGCTCAGTATCAATTTAAATAGAATATTCACTATTTGAATTTATTGCAACAGATGTCCTCAGCTACCCAATTATTTTAGTGCAATTTGGCACATATATAATTTTAAAAGATCTTGTATCTAGGCAAAGCATTTAATTTCCTACCAAATTAATCCCTTTGGAACATTACATTGGATGCCATGGTGATTTTACAAAAAAGACTCTTTCATAACAGCAAGATGCACCAGTAAATATCCAGCACTGCACAAATGGAAGATCTGCATTTATTTCCTCTGTTACATAGGGTGCAGGCTTCCTTATTACTAATTATGTGCTCTTTCTCAGCACAGACAGTTTTAATAACCATGTGTATTGTGCCTATTCCTCTCTAATTCTGGGTTTTTCTGTTACCCTGTTTGAAAGAGAAGACATGCTTTTCTTGACCCCCAAAGGACAATAGATGTGGATTAATCCATAATTCTTTAACAGGGTGGTCAGGAACAGGGATGATCAAAGAACCTTCTCTCAAATTTTGCTTATTTAAATGGCAGATAACTTAATATGTGTTTTTAGTAATTATTTAATGAAAATTAATGTACCTTAGTTAATATTGTTGTGTAACAAACCACCCCAAAACTTTTGGAGTAAAGCAACCATTTTATTATGTGCGCAGATTCTGTGGACCAGAAATTTAGACATGGCAGAGCAGGGATGGATTGACGCTGCTCCATGATGTCTGGAGCCTCAGCTGGGAAGACTCAGACACTAGGGATGACTTAATGGCACAGGGCTTTAATAATCTGGAAGCTCCTTCATGTACATACCTGACACATAGCCTGGAATTCCTAGAAGGCTGGGGACTCAGCTAGGTCTACTGACTGAAGCACCTGTTTGGATTATTTCCTTTTGGTTTTCACTTCTCATAGCATAGTGGCAGCTTTTTAAGAAGTATCCCAAAAGGGAGCATGGAGAGAACAAACATTCCAAGAGAATCAGATAAAAGTTGCGTGTTATTTTCTAACCTAATGTCAAAATTTCTGTGGCAACATTACTTCTGACTAGTTATTGGCAAATCATTAATGTCAATGTAGCTTCAAAGAAAGAAGACATAGACCCCACCATTTAATAAGAGAAATGTCAAAGAATCTGTAGACATATTATAAAATCACTACAAACAGATCACCTAATATATATTTATTTAATTATTTTGTGTATGTTGGATATTTTCATAGCCTAAGTGTACCGTTACACATCTCTCAGCTATGCACTGAAGTTTAAACAGAAGAGACATCAAAGACATCCACCACAGAGTGTTGCAGCTCAACTTTGAATTCTGTTCTGAAATTTTTATTACATGCCGGCAATCTTTTTCACAGCATATAAAGGTCTACTAACCTTAGTTTTTAAATGGTCAGTTATAGAAGTAGAGTTCTTTAATTGCTACAAGGCAATAGCAATAGCAAGCATAAAATAAACAATGATCACACAAAGATAAAAAAGAGGCATATAAACAGGCATTCTTAACAAACATCTCCTAGATATCTCTCTTAGTTTAGGTTTAGCCAAAATTAGATATCAAAGAAAAGACTTGGGTGCATGTAGTTTATTTAGGAGGTGTTCCCAAGAAGAATAAGTAAGAAAGAGGGAAAAGAGAAAGGCCAACAGAGCATGTTAATAGGTGAGTTATTATTGAGAAACCATGAGAAACATGCCTCAGAATCATTTTTCTCTAGAAGAACAAAAGGCTGGAACATTGAACCGCCTACAACCATATCCATAGTATGAGAGTTGGGATCAAACTATTAAAAACTACACACCTATCCATTGCTCTTGTTTGTAGTAAGCATGATCCCCTCCTGTCAAGAAAGCCCTCAGGCAGAGAAGAGAGAACCCACTGAGGCAGGAAACTGTCAAACCGTGTGGGAATCATCAACCACAGCTGCTGGTGGACTCAGTGTGGGTCATGGGAATATTCAGTGGGGTATCAACAACACTTGCTTCATTTTATTTTTTCTTTGATGATTATCATTGTATTCTATTGTACTGCAAGCACATAGTTTAAGACAAGCAAATGATAGAAAAAACTTACAAAAATAAAAATGTAGTTGCTTGTTTCACCTTTTCCCACCCTCTAGAGGCAATCATTTACAACTCTTAGCATTGTCTTCATCTTTTAACTTCCATATTTCTAAATATATGCAATATGTGATTTATCTTAGTTTATCAGTTTTATAATCTGTATATTGCTTTCCTATTATGGCAATTGAGAGGTTAACATTTCACACCATCCTACCTCCCTTCAACTATCTCTTCCTTCATTTTTCCAATATGATCACATCACAATTTGGGGATAACTAGATATTCATATTATGTTGACATCGTAGGATTTTTCTATTACTAAGATAAGTAATAGATAATGATCATAGATAGTTGCTGGTAAATTTTTTTCTGAAAAAAAGTATTTCATTTCTTATCTGCTTTTTTGTTTTATGTTTTTATGTTTTTTATTGCTAATTCTTCCTAATTGTCCCACAAACTCCATAAAATGTATTTCAGCCATATTGTTTACATGATTTAATACAACATTTCTATTTTCATATGAAATTTTTCTGATTGGTGACCTCTGCCCTCCTCAATTTTGATGAGCTTATTATGCAATAGTCATCCTGGGATCTCTCTTTGCCTTCATTATGGAGCTTCTCTTTTCTTTTCACTGAAGTTAGATCATTTGCTTCTTGGCTCCGGGAACTCATGTTTTCTCTTAGTTTGTTGCCTCCCTTTAGAGGATTGCATCCTCTAGTAGCTTCCTGAGAGTTTTCATGGATGGTAAACTGTTTTGAGTTTAAATTGCTTATACAAGTGGGAAAATGTCATTATTTTGCCCTCACATTTGTCAGTTTAAGTAATTATAATATTTTAGCTTGAATATCATTGTTTTTCAGAATTTTGAAGGTATACTCAAATTGTCTTCTAGTTTCTAAATGTTAGTATTGGGAATTCCTGTGTTATTATAATTCTTAACCCTTTGTAAGTAACCTGTTTTATATGCATTTGTTCTTCATTTATTTTTATTTTTCTTCCTGAAAGCTTTCATGGTGTTCCTTTATACCTTGTGTACTAATATTACATGATGATGATGATACTCGGTGTGGTCTTTAATATTCTCTTTTCTGGCTCTGTTGGCCTATAATTATTAATATACATGCCTATTGAAAGGGCTTGGCTTTGTGTCACCACCCAAATCTCATCTTGAATTATAATCCCATACTCCCCATGTGTTGGAGGAACCTGGTGGGAGGTAATTGAATCATGGGAGTGGTTACCCTCATGCTGTTCTCATGATAGTGTGTGAGTTCTCACAAGATCTGGAGGCTTTATAAAGGGCTTTTCCCACTTGGCACAGCATTTATCTTACCTGCTGCCATATGAAGAACTACATGTTTGCTTCCCCTTCCACCATGATTGTAAGCTTCCTGAGTCCTCCCACGCCACGTGGAACTGTAAGTCAACTAAACCTCTTTCCTTTATAAGTTACCCAGCCTCAGGCAGTTCTTTATAGCAGCATGAGAATGGACTAATACACCTATAATTTCTGTGAAATATATTTGTCTCTGTCATTTGTTTCTTATGATTGTTGGGAGAATACTTTTCCAACAATTTTTTTCTTTTTATTTTCTTTCCTTAACTTTTATGAATGGGATATTTACCTTTTGGTTTAACCCTTTCATAGTCTTACGTGTTCTTTCCTACCTTCCACCACTTTGATGATTTTTCCTACTTTTGGGAGATTTTATTGACGTTTGTTGAATTTTAACTTTGATGCTGATATTTTTAATTTCTTAAAAATATTTTACTTCATATGCATTTTTTTCTATTTCCATTTCTACAATACGTCCAATGAATGTTATTTCATCAACATTTTAACTTATTTCTATGAATATATTAACTATATTTATTTGAAGCTTTTTTCTTTTGCCTGTATGATCTTGCTTCCTGCAATATCGTTTTTAACTAGTTCAGTTTTTGTCTCTTCCTTTCATGTTGCAAGCTTTCCTAAAGTATTTGTTACTTTTGACTCTCTATTCATATTAAGAATGAGGGATTAATTGCATGCCTTAAGTGCATCAGAAAAAGAAAAGTTTCCCCTAAGGATAACCAGAGTGTTGGTGAGAGATCAGAGAACTAATACTGTGCTCCACAACTGTCAAATGCCAGAGAAAAACTTTTCCAGTTAGGATTTCCTTTTTTTTCTGAGACAGAGTCTCACTCTGTTGCCCAGGCTGGAGTGCAGTGGTGTGATCTTGGCTCATTGCAACCTCCGCCTCCCGGGTTCAAGCAGTTCTCCATGCCTCAGCCTCCCAAGTAGCTGGGATTATAAGCACCCACTACCACACCTGGCTAATTTTTGTATTTTTAGTAGAGACGGGGTTTCACCATGTTGGCCAGACTGGTCTTGAACTCCTGACCTCAGGTGATCTGCCTGCCTCGGCCTCCCAAAGTGTTGGGAATACAGGCGTGAGAGGGTATGTTTTTAAACTTCCAAAGGTCCTTGAACTCTTTGACATTTAATACAAAATTTACACTTTAACACTTTTTTATTTGTAATTATTATGGATACATATTAGTACATATTCAGGGGTACGTGTGAAATTTTGATACAAGCATACAATATGTAATGATCAAATTAGGGTAATTCGGGTATCCATCACCTCAAGCATTTATCATTTAGTACATATTTTTCCGGAGAAAGGTCCATAGAGTTAATCAGCTCTTAAAAGGTAACATCACTTCAAAAATTAACTAGCCTTGTGTTAAAAGATAGTAGAGGTTTAGCTCAGCTGATGAAACGACAATTGTCTTTATTTGAGTAATGCATTGGTATAAAATGTATGAGAAAAAAACCACAATTACAGGGATTAATTCTAATCTTGAGGCACGAAAAAATGGCTTAGTGTCTTTCTTTTTGCCTTTTTATTTTAACAATTTATTGTTTAAAGTTTTATTTTGTTTTTAATTGACACATAATAATTATACATATTTATCTGGTACAGTGTTTACTAGAAGCTAGGAATTTTAGGACCAAGAAGGAATATCGAGACGCTGGTCCATGGGTACAAAGTTACAGTTAAATATGTTCCAGTTTAACATTCTTTGAAATGTTTATTAGATACTCTGAAACTTTTACTTCTCTTTAAGATGATATATTACGGACTGAATTTATTCTCTTACCAGAAAAAAAAAAAAAACCTCACAAAAGAAACAAAGAATCAATGATTGTGAAGATATTGGACATCAGGGAAAAAAGTACGGTGAACCCTGAGGAATGGAAAACAAACAAGGTATGTTCTGTTAATCCCAGGTTATTGCTGTGAGTTTCTAAGCCATAGTACAGAAAGGGGGAACCCAGGGAGAGCCTGCTAGGTTCCCTGAGGTTTGGAGATGGACCCAAGAGTAGAAGGAGGATAAGGCAGCTTGAGTTTGCAGGACAGAGTAGTGGAGAGAGAGTTGGTGCATAGAGAATCAAGGAGATCTGCAGATGGCCCCTTCGAGTGTTTCTCAGAGTACTGATCAGTACTTGCATGTGTGATCAGTATTTGCACTGTTCAAGTACATAGAAAGAACCATATGAAAGGATTAGAGGGAATTGTGTTCAGATCTCACACAGGAGCCTGCCAGCCAGGCTGAATAAAGTCATAATTCATAGGACAAAGGTATATTACTCAGAAGGATTTGCCTCAGCAGTGGGGAAAATTGGCCCTAGATTAGAAGTTTCTCTGATATGGCTTAGCAAAGCTAACCTTTGTGGAGGAGGAAAGGCTTGATTATTAGGAGAAGGCACAAAGGAACGTCTGATGTGCTCAGCAACATTCTATTTATTGACCCGGTATATAACTACAAGAGTTGTGATATTAGCAAACTCAATATTTTTATTTTTAAGCTGAAGATCAATGAGCTAAAACATGCATCTTAAGGAGTTGAAGAAATAGGAACAAAACAAACCCAAAAAAACTGCAGAAAAAATAAAAAAGATAATTAATGGTAGAGAAAGCACACATAAAATAGAGAATCAACAAAGCTGAAAGAGAGACAGAGAGACACATAGAGAGAGTAGGCACATAATTGATATCAGCAATGCAAAACGTATGTAACCACAGCTGACGAAAAGATTAACAAGATAATAAAAGTATATTTTGACTTAATTTGAAAATTGAAATTAAAAAATCTAAAAAAAAAACTTGACAAGTTTAATGATTTGAATTTTACATGCTCCAAATAATTTTCAGCATCGAATTAAATGTAAGATTTTAGGTTGATATCAGATTAAAGAAGAAGAAAAAAGTTTAATTCTTTTTTAAAAATTACAATCACAAGTGGCCTCCAGGCATTTCATTAGGAGGTAAAGAATTTGTGAGACCATGAAAAAATGGTGTGGTATGCAACTTCTAAATACCCCCCAATGATCTCTGCCTCCTGGTATCCACTCCATGTGTAGTCCCTTTTTTGTGTGTGGGCTGTACCTAGTTACTTGCTTCTAACAAACAGGATCTGGCAGAAGTGATGGGATGATGTTACTTCCAAGATTAGGTTACAAAAGACTCTGGCTTCTGTCTTGCTTGCAGTCTCTCCTGTATTTTCTTGCTCTATTGGAGCCAGATACCATGCTGTGAGCTGCCTCAGGGGAGACCTAAGTGGCAAGAAACTAAGGAAGACCCACAGCCAACGGTCAAAGAGGAACTGATACCTGAAAACAACAATGTAAGTGAACTTGAAAGCAGATCCTTTTCTATCCAAGCCTTGAGATAATTACAGCCATAGCTGACACTTTGTAGCCTTCTGAGAGTCCCCGAGCTAGGACTACCCAGCTAAGCTGTGCCTGGACTCCTGTTCCACAGAAACTGTGAGACAATATATGTTGTTTTAAGAGATTACGGGTTAGGGTAAATTTTTGTGCAGTAATGGAAAACAAATTTAGAAGGAAAGATCTGAAAGTTGCTGAAGGGGCCATGATATAGTTTTGCTGTCTCCCTACCCAAATCTCATCTTAAATTGTAGCTCCCATAATCCCCACGTGTCATGGGAGGGACCCTGGTGGATGGTAATTGAATCATGGGGGTGGGGTTTTCCCCTGCTGTTCTCATGATAGTGAATAAGTCTCAGAAGATCTAATCATTTTATGAAGAGTAGTTCCTATGCACATGCTCTCTTGCCTGCTGCCCTGTAAGGTGTGACTTTGCTCCTCCTTTGCCTTCCACCATGATTGTGAAGCCTCCCCAGCCATGTGGGACTGTGAGTCAATTAAATCTCTTTTTCTTTATAAATTACCCAGTCTCAAGCCAGGTGTGGTGGCTCATACCTGTAATCCCAGCACTTTGGGAGGCTGAGGCAGGCAGATCACCTGAGGTCAGGAGTTCAAGACCAGCCTGACCAACATGGAGAAACCCCATCTATACTAAACATACAAAATTAGCTGGATGTGGTGGTGCATGCCTGTAACCCCAGCTACTCAGGAGGCTGAGGCAGAATTTCTTGAACCCAGGAGGTGGAGGTTGCGATGAGCCAAGATCGTGCCATTGCACTCCAGCCTGGGCAACAAGAGTGAAACTCTGTCTCAAAAAAAAAAATTACCCAGTCTCAGGAGTGGGATACTGCTATTAAGATACCTGAAAATGTGGAAATGACTTTGGAACTGGGTAACAGGTAGAGGTTGGAACAGTTTGGAGGGCTCAGAAAAAGATAGGAAAATGTGGGAAAGTCTGGAGCTTCCTAGAGACTTGTTGAATGGTTTTGACCAAAAAGTCCAGGCTGAGGTGGTCTCAGATAGAAATGAGGAATTTACTGGGAACTGGAGCAAAGGTGATTCTTGCTATGCTTTAGCAAAGAAACTGGTGGCATTTTGCCCCTGCCCTAGAGACCTGTGGAATTTTGAACTTGAGAAAGATGATTTATGGTATCTGGCAGAAGAAATTTCTAAGCAGCAAAGCATTCAAGAGGTGACTGGGTGCTATTAAAAGCATTCAGTTTTATGTATTCACAAATATATGGTTTGGAATTTGAATAAATATTTAAAAGAGAAGCAGAGCATAACAGTTCAGAAAATTTGCAGCCTAACCATGCAATAGAAAAGAAAAACCCATTTTCTGAGGAGAAATTCAAGCTGGCTGCAGAAATTTGCACAAGTAATGAAGTGCCCAATGTTAATCACCAAGACAATGGGGAAAATGTCTCAAGGGCATGTCATAGGTTTTCATGGCTGTCCCTCCCATCACAAGCCTCCTAGGAAGAAAAAATGGACTAAGGGTCTGGGCCCAGGGCCTTGCTACTTTGTGCAGTCTTGGGATTTGGTGTCCTGCATCTCACCTGTGGCTAAAAGGGGCCAATGTACATCTCAGGCTGTTGTTGCCTCAGAGGATGCCAGCCCCAAGCCTTGGCAGCTTACATGTGGTGTTGGGCCTGCGAGTGCACAGAAGACAAGAACTGAGGTTTGGGAACCTCTGCCTAGATTTCAGAGGATGTATGGAAACGCTTAGATGTCCAGGCAGAGGTGTACTGCAGAAGTGTGCTGCAGGGGTGGAAGGGAAATGTGGGGTGGGAGTCCCCACACAGAGTCCTCACTGGGGAACTGCCTACTGGATCTGTGAGAAGAGGGCCACCATCCTCCTGACCCCAGGATGGTCAATCCACCAACAGCTTGCACCATGCACCTGGAAAAGCCATAGACACTCAATGCCAGCCCATGAAAGCAAACAGGACTAGGGCTGTACCTTGCAAAGCCAGAGGGGCAGAGCTGCTCAAGACCATAGGAACCTACCTCTTGCATCAGTGTGACCTGGATGTGAGACATGGAGTCAAAGGAGGTCATTTTGGAGCTTTAAGATTTGACTGCCCCACTGCATTTTGGACTTGCATGGGGCCTGTAGCCCCTTTGCTTTGGCCAATTTCTGCCATTTGAAACAGGTATGTTTACCAAATGCCTGGACCCCATTGTATCTAAGAAGTAACTAGCTTGCTTTTGATTTTACAGGCTCGTAAGTGGAAGAGACTTGCCTTGTCTCAGATGAGACTTGCCTTGTCTCAGATGAGACTTTGGACTGTGTACTTTTGAATTAATCCTGAAATGAGTTAAGACTTTGGGGGACTGTTGGGAAGGCATGATTGGTTTTGAAATGTGAGGACATGAGATTTGGGAGGGGCCAGGGGCGGAATGATATGGTTTGGCTTTGTCCCCATCCAAATCTCATCTTGAATTGTAGTTCCATAATCCCCACGTGTCATGGGAGGGACCTGGTGGGAGATAATTGAATCATGAGGGCAGGTTTTTCTCATGCTGCTCTTGTGATAGTGAACAAGTCTCACAAGATCTGATGATTTTATAAAGGGCAGTTCTCCTGCACATGCTCTATTGCCTGCTGCCATGTAAGATGTGCTTTTGCGCCTTCTTTGCCTTCCACCGTGATTGTGAGGCCTCTCTAGCCATGTGAAACTGTGAGTCTACTAAATCTCTTTTTCTTTATAAATTACCCGGTCTTGGGTATTTCTTCATAGCAATATGAAAATGGACTGGTACAAGCCATCTTTGAGAGAAACAAAGTTTCTAAATACTGCAGAGACAAGAAATTGGTAGAATTAGGAGGCATCATGGAGAACTTCAGAGATTTGTGATTGTTCTTGTTCCACTGCTTGTTGGCATCTGCCATAAACTATTGTCACTAAGTTCCTATGCATCATAAAATACCAATGTCCAAACGAATTTTCTTAAGTCTTGCTATAAAACCACTCTATGGAAGTCAGTAACAGAAGCAGCAGCTGATCAACATGGCATATAGCAATCAGAAATTGCTTGTCTCATTTTTAGCAAATTCCACATGTAGCCCAAGAGATAATAGATTGCGTCCTATCCTTCCAAAAATGCTGCTGGCTGTTCATGAAGACAATATCATTCCTGTCTTCTGACTGAAAGGATAGAAGCTTTAAATTTATGCAGATTGAGATAAAATCATCAAATATAACAAACATAACTGTGTGTGTATGTATACATCTGTTGGTGTAAACATGAAGAGATACATAACAGACATTTACCAGACTGCTAGTTTTTATTCCTTAGGAAACAGGAAAAGTGAAAGTGATTATTAAATCATTCCATTTATGTCGCCTCATTAAATAAATATTAATGTTTTCTAGCTTATTTATAAATATGTAAGTAATAAAACAACATTTTAAATGTGAATAAAGATAAAATTACTGTGATTCTGCATTATTTTTGAGGTTTTTATTCATACTTACTTTTGACACGGACTTTAAATATCCTAACTCTTTAGACACTTAGCAATATAGGTGGTAGAAAAAGCATGTAGCAGGTTTAGGGAGGGCTTACAGTCAGGGGAGTTATCCAAAGAAAAGCAGTCTCTGTCTATAGTATGACTGATTTTATTCTATTTGAAATATCAAAAATCATCCTCCCTTAAACCATTTCTTTCAGAAAATGTACTGGAGGAGTCAATTAGAAGCATGATAATAAAACTAACGCAACATATTCTCATTACATTTCAATTTATTCACTGATGTAAGAGATTAATTAAACTTTTTCCTACTTTCTGTTTTTTTTTTTTTAAATTAGGGTTGTGTCCTATGGTATTTTTAAAAAGCCATGAAATCGAGGTTTATAAGCAACTGCACTGGGTATTGGGTTCTAATACAGCACAAAATAGCCTGAAAGGAAATTCGGGCAGTGGACACCAGAGTACTAACTCTGCTGTTTTATTTAATATTAAATAACTAAAATTGATTATACTGAAACCCAACTAAGAGCTTTAAAGTTGTCCATGATTCTTTTTTTCTTAAGAATTTTGATCTTATGGTTCTTTTTCTGGTGGTTATGTTTTCATTTGCTTTATTTTTTCTACTATTGAATAATTTAAATGATTGTTTTAAAATAAATGTTATCAAATGGAAAGCATTTTATAATTATTTGCAAAAGACTATATAATTTATTTACTAAGAAAATATCTCTTATAGTGTTAGATATGTCTAGAGTGTTTAAGAAAAATTTTCTTAATGATCTAGAGCAAAAGTCCATTTTTATTTCATTTCATGATGTTTCTGAAATGTTTTGATAAATATGTTTAAAAGGTATAACAATATTTCTGTGATTTCAGGAATATTTCGCTTTTGCATGTAAACTTCAGTCTCAATAACTATATTTTCATAGTGTAATTTCTTTCTATTGTTACATAACGAATACCCCCAAACTTAGTGGCTTAAAACAACAGATGTTTATTATCTCACAATTTCTGATATTCAGAAATTTGGAAGTGACTTAGTTGTGTGGTTGTGGCTCAGCGTCTCTTATGAGATTGTAATTAAGATGTTCCTTGGAGCTGCAGTCAATTAAGTCTTGATGGGGCCTGGAGAATCTGCTTCGAACCTTGCTCACATGGCTGTTGTCAGAAGACCTCTGTTTCTTGAAATGTGACCATCTCCCTAGGATTGCTACAATATGCAGCAGCCTTTCCCCCAGAATGAGTAAACCCACAGAGAGAGAGAAAGTGGGAGGCGGGGGGAGAGAGAGAGCGAGCGAGCAAGTACAGGAAGCCACAGTAACTTTTATTGCTTATAGATTCCAAAAGCATGCAGTATCACTTCTATTTTATTCTGTATGGTAGACAAATTGATTCTGAAGCAACATGGAAGGGGAATACATAGGGTGTGACTACCAAGAGGTGAGTGCCATTGGGGACCATCTTAGAAGCTAGTGACCACACATAATGTATGAGTCAAAGCTTAATCAGACAAGCAGAACCCCTAGGAGTGTTGTGGCACAAGGGATCTATTCTGGTCTTATGTGTTCTGCAAGTGTGGAAGCTGGTTAAACAGTCTGTGTAAGACTCCTGCTTCTGGTGATGTGCCTAAAGTTAGCAAGACCAATAGTCAAGAAGGAAAGATGGGCTTGAAATGGGAGGGAACAAAGGCAAACCGGAACTTATAAGAAAAACTACAATTCACAAGGAAAAACTGAAACCTGTGAGGACAATTTGGAAGAAATGAAGACAAACTAGAATGTGTGTTTGTCTCTCATCAGCTCCATTTTTAATTATATGAGTGGCTGTAGGACCAGCTAGGCCCCTTCACCACAGAGCTGCTCCAAAACCTGGCCCGGGATTCAAAGAAGGATGTGGCAGAAAATTTTTGTTAAATAAATGTTTAACAAAATATGTAGATATAATGTGTGTCAAAGGGTATGGCCTCCATTATATGCTTTTTTACCCTGATGGTAGCAGTTAAGGACATTTTAAGTTAACATTACAGGAGTGTGCGTAACTATTGGAAAACAAGCAAGAAAGAGAGAAAAGGGGAACTGAGTGTGTTCAAAGAAGCAGCTGAATTCATCTGGTGGGAAAATACTGGTCTAGGGCAGCTGTTCTCAGTAACAGAGTTAGTGATCGCTAGATATGTGAAAGAGAACAGCTGAACTCAAGTTAGTATTGGAAATTGCACACAATCTAGAACCTAGCTTTTTCCTACTGACGAGAAGCCAAAACAAATTGCGCATGAAAACATGTTGATCAGGTGTGCTGTGGCACAAGGATCCTGGCAAGAGATTTTGTCCAGATTGTAAAATAGAAAATATCATTTTGAAATTGCACAGTTTACAAGTGCATTATTTTGTCATCTAGTCATCACCACAAATGTGCCTGTTTAATAGGCCAGACATTGATATCCTCTGCATTTTCTGAGTATTAGCTAAGTATGAAAAAGCTTAAGATAAGTATTTAGGGCCAAAAGATTGTAAAGCTAGAAACAGACAGAACCACATATTAAATATGTTTTTTGGACATATTCCTTTTTTAGTGTATTAAAGTCCATTTCATTAACTAAGACCCACAAGACACTCATGGTAAGTTTTCACTCTTGCCACATACCAGGAAAAGGATAAAGAACTCACATTAATTTAATGTTTAATGTTACTACCACAGGAAGTAGCCAAATACACTCACTCTATTTTTTTAATTGTATGGGTTTTGTTCTGATGGTTAGTTATTGTACATGGATATAACTGTAAAGGAAAGACTTCTCTAAAATATCAACTCTCACTTTTCAATCTTCATGCCCTGTCCCTGTGCATATGAGTTCATATAAAGTTGTAACCCAATGCTGATTACACTTTATATTCTACTTCTGTTTCTTACTATATCATGAAATAATTTCTAGATTTCCACATTTTCTATCAGATCCTTCTAATGGCTGCTAATATACCATGATATACTCATGAACATATTTCTCATTCTCTGATAGGTAGTCACAATCAAAAAAGGAACAATTTTATTTTTGTTGCTGACTACTTACATTTTTAATATACTCAAAATTATAGCCAAAACACCATTAGGTAATTAGTTTGAATTCATTACCATACCTTCATTTTTCCATGTGCAATGTAAAGATTAAGTAAATGCAGTGCATGTTTACTAAAGGTATCCCCTTATTTTTATTTTTAATGTTGAGAGCATTTAGCCATTAACTGTAGCAGAATCTCAACCCAACCACCTTCAGAGAATGAAAGTTCTCTCTAGACAATAGAAGCACAAATCCTAATTCCAAACAATTATGGCATAACTTGGTAAAATATCCAGTCTTCCTTCTTGACAAGTGCACTGAAGGGCAAGTATTGTTTTTTCTTCTCCATTGTTAGGAAAAGTATATGCAAATCATGTAACAATTCTACAGCCACAAAGCCTTCAGTTTGCCAAACAGGTCCTCCTTTAAGAGGTAAAATAAACACATTCCCTCTTTGTTTTCTACTTGCAGCAGATTCCACATGTTTACTTTCAGGATTTGAGAAATGTCTTTTTGTAAGTATCACTGAGTCTGATAAGGAACATTTGAGTGTCTACCCAAGGATCAATGTCCTGGACCTTTGTGTCACCTAGGGATGGCTGGAACAGAAACAAGTCGAGGTTCTCCCTCAGACTGACAAAGATTAGTGTGTTAATCACAATGTTTTTTTTTTTTTTTTTTTTTTTTTTTGAGACGGAGTCTCGCTCTGTCGCCCAGGCTGGAGTGCAGTGGCGCGATCTCGGCTCACTGCAAGCTCCGCCTCCCGGGTTCACGCCATTCTCCTGCCTCAGCCTCCCGAGTAGCTGGGACTACAGGCGCCCGCTACCACGCCCGGCTAATTTTTTGTATTTTTAGTAGAGACGGGGTTTCACCGTGTTAGCCAGGATGGTCTCGATCTCCTGACCTCGTGATCCGCCCGCCTCGGCCTCCCAAAGTGCTGGGATTACAGGCGTGAGCCACCGAATCACAATGTTTATTTCATGAAATAGCACACCTGCAGAAGTCAGTGTAGTGTGGCCTCAGAGAGTGATTCTGCTTGTCATCATAAACCTCTTTCAAAGCAGCCTTCCTTTTTCAAAGCAGGAATTTTGTGGAAAGCTGTCTGTTGGGTGCAGTTTTATAATAAGAGTAGTTTCAGAAAGGTCCATTTCCCTTATGTTTTTTGATACATGTTTTTATCCAATTCATTGTCTAGGAATCACATAGAATCAGGATTCTCACAGAATGTTTTCATTGTAAATGTACCTATTACAAAATCAGGGGACTTTATTTTCCTTGCCAACTGTTTTTGCAAGCTCTCAAATGTGCTGGTACTTCTATTGCTCCATTACTAACATAATAGATTTTAAAAATATTTTTATTTGCATTTTTCAGAGTGCTCCAAAGAATCTATATAGTTCATTAAGTTAGTCCTTTTGTTGGTTTTCTTCAATACTGTAGTCCCCTACCAAAAACAGTGCCTGGCATGTGGTAGGCAACTGCTACTGTGGGTTGGCTTGGCTCACCTGGGTGGTTCATCTGCTTCACAAGGTGTTTATTCCCACGGGTACTCACCTAGGACTGGAATATCTAAGATGGGGTAGCTGGAATGATTGGGGGCTGGCAAGGCCTCTTTCTCTAGCTGTCTAGTTGGACTCCTCAGATGGTGTCTCTAATCTATAAAATTATCTAACAAAGTTAATGAATGCTTTCCAAGTTGGTACTTATAGAATTATAGGTTAAATTGATGTAAAATTGAAAATATATAGGCATGTAATTGTATCATATAAGATGCAATAATTAAAAAAAAACCCAGCCTTCTCACAAGTGGCTTGTGAGTGCATTTCCTATTCCTCAACTTTCCTTAACTTTTTTGGTCTGGTTCCCTCTTTGATTTGAGCCAGAGGAACAACAGATAATTACAAACCCATATAAGGACTGGATCTCTCTATGGGCCTATAGGTAGCTATGGCAGAAGAGAGAAGACCCAAGATGGCTGACTTAATCATCTTAATAGATGTGGAAAAGGCTTTTGATAATATTCAGCATCCTTTCATGCTAAAAAACCCTCAACAAACTAGACGTTAAAGGAACATATCTCAAAATAGTAAGAGCCATCTATGACAAACCCATAGACAACATCATACTGAACTGGCAAAAGCTAGAACCATTCCCCTTGAGAACCAGAAGAAGACAAGGATGCCCACTCTCACCACTCCTATTCAATATTGTAGGAAGTCTTAGCCAGAGCAATCAGTTAAGAGAAGGAAATAAAAGACATCCAAACTGTCTGTCTTTCCAGACAATATGAATCTATACGTAGAAAATTGCATATTCTCTCCCCAAAGGCTCCTAGATCTGATAAACAACTGCAGCAAACTTCCAGGATACAAAATCAATGTACAAAAGTCAGTAGCATTTCTATACACAAATAACATACAAGCTGAGAGCCAAGTTAAGAATGTAATCCCATTCACAATAGCCACAAAAAAATAAAATACCTAGGAATACAGTAAACCAGGGATGTGAAAGATCTTTACAATGAGAATTGCAAAACACTGCTGAAAGAAATCAGAGATGATACGAATAAGAAAACATTCCTTACTCATGAATAGAATCAATATTCTTAACATTGTCATATTGTCCAAAGCAATTTACAGATTCAATGCTATACCTAGCAAACTACTGATGACATTTTCACAGAACTAGAAAAAACTATTCTAAATTTCATATGGAACCATAAACAGTCCACATAGCCAAAGCAATCATGAGAAAAAAGAACAAAGCCAGAGACATCATGCTACCTAACTTCAAACTATACTACAAGGCTACATTAACCAAAACAGCATGGTACTGGCACAATGACAGATACACAGACCAAAGGAGCAGATTAGAGAACCCAGAAATAAAGCTGCACAACTATCTGATCTGTGGTAACTGTCAAGCTACATGCAGAAGATTGAAACTAGACCTTTTTATTTCACCATATCAAAAATCAAATCAATATGAATTAAAGACTTAAATGGGAAACCTAAAACTATCAAAACCCCTTTAAAAAAAACTAAGAAATACTGTTTTAGAGATAGGTCCTGGCAAAGATTTCATGGCAAAGATGCCAAAAACAATTGGAACAAAAACAAAAGTTGATAAGTGTGACCTAATTAAACTAAAAAGTGTCATCCCAGCCAAGTAAACTATCAACAGAGTCAATTGGCAACCTACAGAATGGGAGAATATATTTGCAAACTGAATCCAACAAAGGTCTAATATAGATAATCTGTAAGGAACTTAAGCAAAGTAACAAGCAAAAACCAAACAACCCCATTAAAATGTGGGCAAAGGACATGAACAGACACTTCATAAAGGAAGACATACATGTGGCCAACAAGCATATAAAAATGTTCAAGATCAATAATTATTCGAGAATTACAAATCAAAACCACAATGAGATACCATCTCACACCAGTCAGAATGGCGGTTATTAAAAAGTCAAAAACAAACAGATGCTGGTGAGGTTGCAAGGTTGCAGAGATCAGTGAACACTTAATACACTGCTGGTGAGAATATAAATTAGTTCAGCCACTGTGGAAAGCAGTTTGGAGATTTCTCAAGGAACTTAAAACAAAGCTACCATTCAACCCATGTTCGTCACAACACTATTCATAATAGCAAAGACATGGAATCAACCTAGGTGCTCATCAATGGGGGACTGGATAAAGAAAATGTACATATTTACCATGGAATACTTACACAGCCACAAAAAAAGTATGAAATAATGTCCTTTCTAGCAACATGTATGAAGCTGCAGGCCATTATCCTAAGAGAATTAACACTGGAACAGGACACCAAATACTGCATGTTCTCACTTATAAAGGGGAGCTAAACATTGAGTACACATGGACACAAAGAAGGGAACAATATACACTGGGCCCACTTGAGGGTGGTGGGGGGAGGAGGGTGAGGATCAAAAAGCTACCTATTGGGTACATTATTTGAATGAAGAAATAATCTGTACACCAAATCCCCACCCCTTGAACCTAAAATAAAAGATGGAATAAAAAAATAATACAATAAAATTCCCCTTACGCTAAAAAAAAAACAATAAAGCCAAATACACTAATATTGTATGATATTTCTCTATTAACAAGTCTGAACTGCAATAGTAGATTGATATAAAGTTAAATATTGCAGCTTTTCATTTAGGACGTTGGGGTTGTGAATGACATGAATTTGTTATGTGATATGAAGCTTGTTTTGAATTAATGAAGGTAGAATATTTAATCTTAAAAAGCATCTAATCACAATTTTTGAGTTTGTCATCAATTTTTATTTTTCAGAAGCCATTAACACAGAAGTGCTAGCAAAGACAGAGTTGGTTCTGAACCTTTCCTCTCAATACATTATTCCATTAAATATATTGCTTCCCCTTAGAACATCTCAACTGCAAAAGTAAAACAAAATATTTATTCTAAATTATAACAATTTGAGAACAAACCACTGTCTATGGCTGCAAAATAATTGGAATATTATTCATTTACAGGGAGATTGTGAAACCAACATTAGCAGCTAGAACACTAATAAAATTATGTTTAGGAGCACTGAGAAAATGCAGAAAATTACAGTGATTGCTATTTTCCTTGTTTATAAAATTATAACAAAGTAGAACAAAATATTCCAAGACATAATTTCATTGACTTTTCCCCACATTTTGGTTTTACATTTTTGATAAAAGCGTTTTTTAAAATACATTATTCTCTTAACATTGACAATCAATGTAGCTTATGTTTAGATTTAGCTAGATCCATTTCCCCTCACCACCACCAACCCCAGGATCTAGGTATTAATATGGTTGGGTTGACTTTAGGTTATAGTTCTAAAAGTAATACTTCAGTGTTCTATATCTGTAGCCAACATAGTACACCTATTATTAGACCAATCATAATCCAAATATAAAATTTAAAAGTATATTTAAGTTATTGAAATTATATTTCCTTAAAAATATGAAAATATTTGATTTTTAAGCTATAAAGATTTTGTTATGAAGCTTCAATTAAATAACTAAGTCATATGTATATACACCATATATAAACTTCAAAAGGTTTTTAGGACTCTGTTTCAGCAAATATTTCTTGGATTTCTGCTTGAATAGAACACAAAATAATTGCTGAGTTATTTTTAGTTATATTTAAAAGGATAAACATTCCCATTGCATTAAAACATTTGAATGCAACTTTAAGATTTTTAAATGAATGAAATTGCTTTACAGCAAAGTCTACTTTAGGTGCAACATTATGTGTTTCATTGTGCAGGAATATTAAAACACAGTTATTTAAAATCCATATTAAAGTTTTAAATAATCCAAATACATAAAAATATTTCCTGACATTCCATCAGTCATAGTACTTGTTAAATAAAAGACTATGAATCTTACTCACTACTACTTGTTAAACATTTTAACATTCTGAGCATGTTAAGATTTTTTAGATAATAACCACTCTTGAAATGTGGATCGGACACTGTTGGTGGGAATATCAATTGAGGCAATTTCTGGGAAGTAAGAGAGCGAATGAGCAAGATCTAGAAAAATGAAATAAAGTAAACACAACTTAAAGTGAGCTTTTTTACTTCTAGAAATCTATCTTTCAGAAGTAATAGCTTGAAGATATACAATTAGATGCAGTTTCTTTACTTTACCATTTTTAAGTGAAAATATGAAATTAAGTTGTTCAAATGAGAGTGATCAAATAAATTATGATAAATTTACACAATGAAATACTCTAAACATTTAAAGAAATAAGGTATATTTGTAAGCCCTGATCTGAAAAAAATTCATATATTATGAGAAAAAGAGGCAAGAAAAATATAGCATAATTTGATTTTTCTCTTTATTTCATATTCTAAAGTATATACACTTATGTTCATACCTTTATATAAATAAGTGTATTTATATAAGTGTAAATAAATATAGAAAATAAATGTTATTGATATACAGTGAACTATAATAACTATAATATTGACTATTTGAAAAAATAGAGGGCATTATTTTCTTCTTAATTTCATTTACTTTTAAAATATTCCACAGCATTATGAGTTATTTTAAAGTTTGTTTTATATTTTTCAAATCATAAAAAAATTGGCATTTGTTTGTGAAGACTTTAAAGTTTCATTTTATAAAATCTTCTGCTAAACTGTACAAAATCAAATAGAAGAATAAAATTGTGAATTATAATTATAAACTGAAAAACATCTGAGAACTACAGTTAAACAGATCTTATTTAATTAGAGTTTTAATGTATGTAACATGTCTACCCAGCAGATAAGTGTTATTTCATGTACTAGTTAAAGGAGTACAGTGATCTTGACATTTGTCTATTGTAGATCTCCTTCTGACTGGTCACTCCAGTACTTCTTTATATATATAATTACTATACGTTAAGTTCTAGGGTACATGTGCACAATGTGCAGGTTTGTTACATATGTATACATATGCCATGTTGGTTTGTTGCACTCATTAACTCGTCATTTACATTAGGTATTTCTCCTAATGCTATCCCTACCCCATCCTCCCACCCCAGGACAGGCCCTGGTGTGCGATGTTCCCCGCCCTGTGTCCAAGTGTTCTCATTGTTCAATTCCCACCTATGAGTGAGAACATGTGGTGTTTGGTTTTCTGTCCTTGCGATACTTTGCTCAGAATGATGGTTTCCAGCTTCATCCATGTCCCTACAAAGGACATCAACTCATCCTTTTTTATGACTGCACAGCATTCCATGGTGTATATGTGCCACATTTTCTTAATCCAGTCTATCACTGATGGGCATTTGGATTGGTTCCAAGTCTTTGCTGTTGTGAATAGTGCTGCAATAAACATACCTGTGTGTGTGTCTTTATAGCAGCATGATTTATAATCCTTTGGGTATATACCCAGTAATGGGATGGCTGGGTCAAATGGTATTTCTAGTTCTAGATCCTTGAGGAATTGCCACACTATCTTCCACAATGGTTGAACTAGTTTACACTCCCACCAACAGTGTAAAAGCGTTCCTATTTCTCCACATCCTCTCCAGCACCTGTCGTTTCCTGACTTTTTAATGATCGCCATTCTAACTGGTGTGAGATGGTATCTCATTGTGGTTTTGATTTTCATTTGTCTGATGACCAGTGATGATGAGCATTTTTTCACGTGTCTGTTGGCTGCATAAATGTCTTCTTTCGAAAAGTGTGTGTTCATATGCTTTGCCCACTTTTTGATGGGGTTGTTTGATTTTTTCTTGTAAATTTGTTTAAGTTCTTTGTAGATTCTGGATATTAGCCCTTTGTCAGAGGGGTAGATTGCAAAATTTTTCTCCCATTCTGTAGGTTGACTGTTCACTCTGATAGCAGTTTCTTTTGCTGATCCCATTTGTCTATTTTGGCTTTTGTTGCCATTGCTTTTAGTGTTTTAGACATGAAGTCCTTGCCCATGCCTATGTCCTGAATGGTAATGCCTAGGTTTTCTTCTAGGGTTTTTATGGTTTTAGGTCTAACGTTTAAGTCTTTATTCCATCTTGAATTAATTTTTGTAAAAGGTGTAAGGAAGAAATCCAGTTTCAGCTTTGTACGTATGGCTAGCCAGTTTTCCCAGCACCATTAATTAAATAGGGAATCCTTTCCCCATTTCTTGTTTTTGTCAGGTTTGTCAAAGATCAGATGGTTGTAGATGTGTGGTGTTATTTCTGAGGCCTCTGTTCTGTTCCATTGGTCTATATCTCTGTTTTGGTACCAGTAGCATGCTGTCTTGATTACTGTAGCCTTGTAAGTATAGTTTGAAGTCAGGGAGCGTGATGCCTCCAGCTTTGTTCTTTTTGCTTAGGATTGTCTTTGCAATGCTGGTTCTTTTTTGGTTCCATATGAACTTTAAAGTAGTTTTTTCCAATTCTGTGAAGGAAGTCATTGGTAGCTTGATGGGGATGGCATTGAATCTATAAATTACCTTGGGCAGTATGGCCATTTTCACAATATTGATTCTTCCTATCCATGAGCGTGGAATGTTCTTCCATTTGTTTGTGTCCTCTTTTATTTTGTTGAGCAGTGGTTTGTAGCTCTCCTTGAAAAGGTCCTTCCCATCCCATCTAAGTTGGATTCCTAGGTACTTTTTTCTCTTTGTAGCAATTGTGAATGGGAGTTCACTCATGATTTGGCTCTCTGTCTGTTATTGGTGTATGGGAACGCTTGTCATTTTTGCACATTGATTTCGTATCCTGAGACTTTGCTGAAGTTGTTTATCAGCTTAAGGAGATTTTGAGCTGAGACGATGGGGTTTTCTAAATATATAATCATGTTATCTGCAAACAGGGACAATTTGACTTCCTCTTTTCCTGACTGAATACCCTTTATTTCTTTCTCTTGCCTGATTGCCCTGGCCAGAACTTCCAACACTACGTTGGATAGGAGTGGTGAGAGAGGGCATCCCTGTCTTGTGCCAGTTTTCAAAGAGAATGCTTCCAGTTTTTGCCCATTCAGTATGATATTGGCTGTGGGTTTGTCATAAATAGCTCTTATTATTCTGAGATACATTCCATCAATACCTAGTTTATTGAGAGTTTTTAGCATGAAGGGCTGTTGAATTTTGTCAAAGGCCTTTTCTGCATGTATTGAGATAGTCATGTGGTTTTTCTCAATGGTTCTGCTTATATGCTGGGTTACGTTTATTGATTTGTGTATGTTGAACCTGCCTTGCATCCCAGGGATGAAGTCAGCTTGATCTTGGTGGATAAGCTTTTTGATGTGCTGCTAGATTCGGTTTGCCAGTATTGTATTGAGGATTTTCACATCAATGTTCATCAGGGATATTGGGCTAAAATTCTCTTTTTTTTTGTTGTGTCTCTGCCAGGCTTTGGTATCAGGATGATGCTGGCTTCATAAAATGAGTTAGGGAGGATTCCCTCTTTTTCTATCAATTGGAATAGTTTCAGAAGGAATGGTACCAGCTCCTCTTTGTACCTCTGGTAGAATTCGGCTGTGAATCCATATGGTCCTGGACTTTTTTGTTGGTAGGCTATTAATTATTGCCTCAATTTCAGAGCCTGTTATTGGTCTATTCAGGGATTCAACTTCTTCCTAGTTTAGTCTTGGGAGGGTGTATGTGTCCAGGAATTTATCCATTTCTTCTAGATTTTCTAGTTTATTTGCATAGAGGTGTTTATTGTATTCTTTGATGGTAGTTTGTATTTCTGTGGGATCCGTGGTGATATCCCCTTTATCATTTTTTATTGCATCTATTTGATACTTTTCTCTTTTCTTCTTTATTAGTCTTGCTAGCGGTCTATCAATTTTGTTGATCTTTTCAAAAAACCAGCTCCTGGATTCATTGATTTTTTGAAGGGTTTTTTGTGTCTCTATCTCCCTCAGTTCTGCTCTGATATTATTTATATCTTGCCTTCTGCTAGCTTTTGAATTTGTTTGTTCTTGCTTCTCTAGTTCTTTTAATTGTGATGACAGAGTGTTGATTTTAGATCTTTCCTGCTTTCTCTTGTGGGCATTTAGTGCTATAAATTTCCCTCTACACACTGCTTTACATGTGTCCAAGAGATTCTGGTACGTCGTGTCTTTGTACTCATTGGTTTCAAAGAACATCTTTATTTCTGCCTTCATTTCATTATTTGCCCAGTAGTCATTCAGGAGCAGGTTGTTCAGTTTCCATGTAGTTGTGCAGTTTTGATCTAATTTGATTGCACTGTGGTCTGAGAGACAGTTTGTTGTGATTTCTGTTCTTTTACATTTGCTGAGGAGTGCTTTACTTCCAACTATGTGGTCAATTTTGGAATAAGTGCTATGTGGTGCTGAGAAGAATGTCTATTCTATTGATTTGGGGTGAAGAGTTCTGTAGATGTCTATTAAGTTGGCTTGGTGCAGAGCTGAATTCAAGTCCTGGATATCCTTTTTAAACTTCTGTCTCTTTGATCTGTCTAATATTGACAGTGGGTTGTTAAAGTCTCCCATTATCATTGTGTGGGAGTCTAAGTCTCTTTGTAGGTCTCTAAGGACTTGCTTTATGAATCTGGGTGCTCCTGTATTGGGTGCATATATATTTAGGATAGTTAGCTCTTCTTGTTGAATTGATCCCTTTACCATTATGTAATGGCCTTCTTTGTCTCTTATGATCTGTGTTGGTTTAAAGTCTGTTTTATCAGAGACTAGGATTGCAACCCCTGCATTTTTTTTTCTTTGCTTTCCATTTGCTTTGTTCATCTGCCTCCATCCCTTTATTTTGAGCCTATGTGTGTCTCTGCAAGTGAGATGGGTCTCCTGAATACAGCACCCTGATGGGTCTTGACTCTTTATCCAATTTGCCAGTCTGTGTCTTTTAATTGGGATATTTAGCCCATTAACATTTAAGGTTAATATTGTTATGTGTGAATTTGATCCTGCCATTATAATGTTAGCTAGTTATTTTGCCCGTTAGTTGATGTAGTTTCTTCCTAGCATCAGTGGTCTTTACAATTTGCCATGTTTTTGCAGTGGCTGGTACTTGTTGTTCCTTTCCATGTTTAGTGCTTCCTTCAGGAGCTCTTGTAAGGCAGGCTTGGTGGTGACAAAATCTCTCAGCATTTGCTTATCTGTAAAGGATTTTATTTCTCCTTCACTTATGAAGCTTAGTTTGGCAGGATATGAAATTCTGGGTAGAAAATTCTTTTCTTTAAGAATGTTGAATATTGGCCCCCACTCTCTTCTGGCTTGTAGAGTTTCTGCCGAGAGATCTGTTGTTAGTCTGATGGACTTCCCTTTGTGGGTAACCCGACCTTTCTCTCTGGCTGCCTTTAACATTTTTTCCTTCATTTCAACCTTGGTGAATCTGACAATTATGTGTCATGGGGTTGCTCTTCTTGAGGAGTATCTTTGTTGTGTTCTCTATATTTCCTGAATTTGAATATTGGCCTGTCTTGCTAGGTTGGGGAAGTTCTCCTGGATAATATCCTGAAGAGTGTTTTCCAGCTTGGTTCCATTCTCCCCGTCACTTTCAGGTACACCAATCAAACGTGGATTTGGTCTTTTCACATAGTCCCATATTTCTTGGAGGCTTTGTTAGTTTCTTTTTACTCTTTTTTCTGTAAACTTCTCTTCTCACTTCATTTCATTAATTCGATCTTCAATCACTGATACCCTTTCTTCCACTTGATCAAATCAGCTACTGAAGCTTGTGCATGCATCACGTAGTTCCCGTGCCATGGTTTTCAGCTCCTTCAGGTCATTTAAGGTCTTGTTTACACTCTTTATTCCAGTTAGCCGTTCGTCTAATCTTTTTTTAAGGTTTTTAGCTTCCTTGTGATGGGTTGAAACATCCTCCTTTAGCTCACAGAAGTTTGTTATTACTGATCTTCTGGAGCCTACTTCTGTCCATTCATCAAATTCATGCTCCATCCAGCTTTGTTCTGTTGCTGGCAAGGAGCTGCGATCCTTTGGAGGAGAAGAGGTGTTCTGGTTTTTAGAATTTTCAGCTTTTCTGCTCTGGTTTCTCTTCATCTTTGTGGTTTTATCTACCTTTGATCTTTGATGATGGTGACCTACAGATGGGGTTTTGGTGTGGATGTCCTTTTTGTTGATGTTGATGCTATTCATTTCTGTTTGTTAGTTTTTCTTCTAACAGTCAGATCCCTCAGCTGCAGGTCTGTTGGAGTTTGCTGGAGGTCCACTCCAGACCCTGTTTGCCTGGGTATCACCATTGAAGGCTGCAGAACAGCAAATATTGCTGCCTGATCCTTCCTCTGGAAGCTTCATCTCAGAGGGGCACCTGGCTGTATGAGGTGTCAGTCAGCTGCTACTGGGAGGTGTCTCCCAGTTAGGTTACATGGGGGTCAGGGACCCACTTGCGGAGGCAGTCTGTCCATTCTCAGAGCTCAAACAGTGTGGTGGGAGAACCATTGCTTTCTTCAGAGCTGTCAAACAGGGACATTTAAGTCTTCAGAAGTTTCTACTGCCTTTTGTTCAGCTATGCCCTACCCCCAGAAGTGGAGTCTACAGAGGCGGGCAGGCCTCGTTGAGCTGCAGTGGGCTCCATCCAGTTTGAGCTTCCCAGCTGCTTTGTTTGCCTACTCAAGCCTCAGCAATGGCGGGCCCCCCTCCCCGAGCCTGGCTGTCGCCTTGCTGTTCGATTTGGGACTGCTGTACTAGCAGTGAACAAGGCTCCGTGGGTGTGGGACCCCCCGAGCCAGGTGTGGGATATAATCTCCTGGTGTGCTGTTTGCTAAGATTGTTGGAAAAGTGCAGTATTAAGGTGGGAGTGTCCCAATTTTCCCAGTATAGTCTGTCATGGCTTCCCTTGGCTAGGAAAGGGAAATCCCCCGACCCCTTGCCCTTCCCGGGTGAGGCGATGCCCCGCCCTGCTTCGGCTCACCCTCCGTGGGCTGCATCCACTGTCCAACCAGTCCCATTGAGATGAACCACATACCTCAGTTGGAAATGCAGAAATCACCCATCTTCTGTGTCAGTCATGCTGGGAGCTGCAGACCATAGCTGTTCCTATTTGGCCATCTTGGAACTGTACTTCTTTATATATTAGGCTGTGGCAGTTTATCAATGCCCTTCCCTTCGAGAAGTGGGGTTCATTTCCCCTTTTCTGTATCTGTGCACTGCTTTAATCAATAGAATGCAGAGGAAATAATGTGACTTCCAACACTAGGCCATTAAGAAGCCAACTATCCTGTAAAATGTATTACTATCCCAAGACCACCATGCTAGAGAGGCCACTTTAGGTGTTCTAGTTGACTACCCTAACTAAGCTCCCAGCCAACTAACAACATCAACTACCAGCCTTGTGAATGAGCCATTTTGGGTGGATGCCTACCCCAGTTGATTCTTCATATGACAGGAGCCTCAGCTGACACATGAAGGTCCTCAAGAAAAAATCACTTAAGAAGCATTTCCAAAATTCCTGACTGATAGATTCATGAGCAAAATAAAATAGCTGTTTCATTCTATAACTTTTGGAAGTAATTTGTTGTAAAGTAATAAACAAACAGAACATAAATTTATTTAAGTTTCTAAACCAAATAAATACTTGGTGAGATTTTATCCTTTAGGACCTGCCTTTTTAAAGATCAATTGAAATGAAAATCTTAATCTTTTCCAATTTCTTGATTTTCATTATTTATGTGGGAGAGGGCTCAATCTAGTCCAATTAATTTTTATAAGAGACAGTCTACTTTGGATTATATGGATAATATTCTATATGAAGATCGGGTTGGCTTAGGCAAAGTTATTTCAGTACTCACCTTTATTTTATTCTGTACTACACCACAGAGAAATCTACTAGGCACTGAATATTTTAATGTTTCGTGTTCTTTACAAGTTTTTTTTTTCACTTTCTGTGAAGGTTATACTGTAGTAATTCAACATTGGCCCCCAGCTATTTATGCTTATATCAATTTCTGCAAAAGTCAAAATGATTGAGAAGTACTCTTTTGTCAGGCCCTAGTGCTAATTCATAATGGAATAAAACCATGTATTCTGCCTTCCTCTCTTCTTTGTCACATATTTGTTATTGACTGAAAACCACTTCTGAATGTGTTCGTTGTATTTCCTATCCATTGTGATGGATAACAGAATGGATATTGCTCTGCCTGCTTTATAATTATCGGAAACAATGACTTATACCTAGCTCTTCTAAAACAAAAATCATTTTAACACCCATTCTCAAGCATAATTTATATCTAACAACTTTCTACAGTAGGTCAAATATTTTTATTTAGGAGTATAATCTGTAACCAGATTGTCTTGGGAGATTCACTAGATATTACAATACTTAAAACTAGATAGATGATTGATGGATATTTTTATGTTTCATAGACCGCAATTAATTGGTTACATCTGGGTTAGCTATTTTCCAAACTAAAATTATTGTGACTATGCTTTATACCATACAATTCTGGTACCCTAAATACTCATCTGTCCTGGTATGAAATGAGACTCAGTGTTTTGTGTAAAGGAAAATGTGGATTCTGACTGGCTACAGTTATTGCTGGGCCAGCTTTTATGTCTAAGTAGAATTGCCATATGCACAGGCAGATTTTCAGTTTAGCATACTCAATTTTTATATAAGGTGTAACACCTACATTTCACATATTTACAAAATATATAGACTTGTTTTTATTCACCTACAAAGAATATCTTCATGCTGTATTCTTGCTAGTGTGAAATAAGATGTGTTATACGTGTCAAATATCTATTGGATTTCAAAGTCTTAGTACGAAAAGGTAAATATTAATACATAATATTTTATATTGAGTACATGGTGAAATGATATTTTGGGAACATTGGATTTTAAAAGATATATTGTTTAAATCAATTTCATATATTGTCTAAGTCTGTTTTCTGCTGCTATAACAGAATACCACAGACTAGGTAATTTATAAAGAAAACAAGTTTATTTGGTTCATGGTTCTGGAGTCTAGTAAGTCCAATATCATAGTGATATCATAGTGTCAGCATCTGGTGAGGGTGTTTGTGCTGCATCTTAATATGGCAGAAGGGCAAGTGAGCATGTGAGACGGAGAAATGATAGGAGCTGGAATTTATGCTTTTATGAGGAGCCTACTCTCCTGATAACTAACCCACTCCCCTGATAATGGCATTCATTCATTCACGAGGTCAGATCCCTCAGAATCTAATCACCTCTTAAAGGCCTCACCTCTTAATACTGCTACAACGGGGATTAAGTTTCTAACACTTAAAATTTGGTGAACACGTTGAAATCACAGCACATATGTTACTCTTATTTGTTTTTAATTATGTATCTACTATATAGCACTGCTCTAAATGTTAATTATTAGATTAAATCATGAGACAATTGAGTGCAGGGGACACAGAATTTTGATCCCCCAGGCAATCATCATTATATTGTTATTGATTTTATTTATAACACTAGACTGCCTTAAGGAATAGTGGAAGAAATATTCTTTTTTTTAAATATTGCATTTTATAGGGTTGTTGTTGAGGACATAGATTATACGCATGAGGGTTTTATCAGTCAGCATAGGAGAGGTTGTACTGCAGTAAGAAACAACCTCCAAAATCTCAGTGGCTTAAAATAAAAAATGTGCATTTCTCCCTTAGGCTCTAGGCTCATCACAGATTGAATGGAGGTTGCTCTGTTCATTGTAGTCATACAAAGACTAAGACAGGTGAAGCATCCACCCATCTCAAATATTGCTGATTTCAGAGCCAAAGGGGAACAAAAAAAAATCTATACAGTTTCATGCTGACAATTAAATACTATAGCCCAGAAGTAGCTCATGTTACCTACACTAAAAACATTGATAATAATTAGTTACATCATCCCACCTAATGTTATGCAGTCCAGGAGATTCAAGCTTCCATGTATTCAGAAGAAGAGAAACAAATAGCAAAGAATAGCATTAATGATTATCACAATGGCCTTTCAAATTAATTTCTCTCATGTATCAGTATTTTTAAAAAATCTTGAAATTTTTCAGTTGTTTCTTGATATCTATTTGTTTAAAAATAACAAGAGTATTTTACTTTATAATATTTATTACTGATCATGTTTCTCTATTTGTTTTGATTGATATTAAATTGATCTTTAATAAATGTCCAGAACATTTAAACTTTGTATTGCTCTATCTTTAGTTTCATTTCTTCCATGTTTTCTCGTTTATTTATTTTAATATTTTTTGGTTTCTACATGTCTGTAAAATACTTGACTTTTTTTAGAATAAAACAATTGTGTGCACACTTACCTATACATGAGAGAGATAATTTATTCTTTAAGAATCACTAATAAATTATTGATATGTTATACCTTATAAAATTATACTAAATAACACAAGTATATTTTTAATATTAACAGTTAAAGCATCAGTTTATAATGCTCAGTGCTTTAAGTGTATATTGGTAGTGACTTTACCTGTATACTCTAAAATAAATTATTTTCTTTCTCAATAGTTATCTCTTCACTATTCCCTCTGCTATCCCATGGGAGTGACTAAATTGCTCACTTTTCTGTTTAAAGATATTTTAGTTCTTGTTTCACTTAATGTATATATACACTGCTCGAGAATGATAATTCAATTATTTTATGAATGAATAGAAATAAATTGAATGTTAAGGAATCAGGATAATTTTACTTAAGTGGTTCATGCAAATAAAGTTAAAGCTGGTTTTAATTCTAATTTTGAGGTGAAAACCCATACCTACCTGTGTTAACAGTTGTATTCAAAAATATGACATATAATTTTCACCTGCTATACATGTAAATTAGGATGACATGTTTCATTCAAATCTTAGTGTTAATCTCTAAGTAGTCTTAAGTAACATATATCACATTGGATTAGTGTATGTAAAAATAGTTCTAAAATGTCCCTCTGCCCTATGAGCATGGATCAATGGCAGCTGAAGACACAACATGTACTTTTAAGTGACTAATTTTGGTTTATAAAATTGTTTTATTGAAATTAGTAAATGCATTGGACATTCTAAAAGAAAACTTACAGACAGTATAATGTTTCCCATCATTCAAAGGATATTGGCTACACCTACAAATATAGGAACTTCAGTTCCCTAAATGTGTGCTAACTCCCACAATATGGATGACATTTCCCATATGGTATCTCCTCTGTAATGATTAAAAAAAACCATGACCAGTTATCAAATAGAATTTTTCATTTTTTATCTTACCTAATGGCTCATCATCCTGTATATTATATAACATTCTACATAATCTCATTTGTACTAGTAAAACATCAATAATTACTTGTATAATACTACAGCTCAGTTGACAATTTAGGGCTGGAGAAATAAATTTGAAATGATGAGTGTATTCTTGTAGCAGTCAATTTATATCATATCATGCTACAGTCCCAAACAACTCCAACATTCCAATGGTTTACTACAACAAAATAGTTTATTTCCTGCGGGAAGAGAGACAACAGTGGTTCTGCTTGGCGTTGTTAAGCCCTGCTCCACATGTTTTCTTCATTCTCAGAATCAGGCTGAAAGAACAGCTAATAATGGGGAATTCCAACTTTATAGCAGAGAGAAAATAGGGAAGAGACTTGGTGGAAACACACAGTCACTCTTTATGTGTCTACTCCTAATTGGCATTCATCACTCCTATTCATATTTCCTTAGTCAATGCAAGTTGTATGGAATAGCAGAGTATACTCTGCCCACAGGGTAGCACTACATGCCACGTATCAATGGTCAGAAGTAAATAATCCTCTTAGAGGCAATGGAGAAGTGAACATTTGGGAGCGATTATTCAGTCCACATCATACAAGGATGTAATAAAGTTGGAGAATAAAGAAAGGCAGAGTACTGACCCTGGTGCATTCCAACATGAAGGTCAAGTATAAAAAACGAGATGGCAAAAGAAAGAATAACAGATTAGGAAAAGCTGGGTAAGTCAGTTCTGATCAAAGCCCAGAGGGTTATGCAAATAGGAGAATGTGGTCAAATAAATGTGACACCTCAGAATAGTTCAATATCACGTGATAGACATAATTTTCCACTGTATTTCTCAATAGGAACAAGGCTGGTGTCCTTGAAAAGCACATTTTAAGTATTATTTTTAAAGTGAGACTAGAGTAAGTTCAGGAGTGAATGGGGATTTTTTTGTTGTTGTTGTTCTGACATAAGGCAGCCTGGATTAACATTAAACTTCTGTGCTATGAACTCCTAGAAATCCTGGATAAAGTACAACAATAGCAAAATATATTGCTGATCTTGCAAGAAAGAAAAGAAAATCCCCAAGTGACAGAAACAATGAGGGAATGAAAAGATAGGGCTACAGAACTGAGCTTGTTGTTATGGATGTGATAGAGAGCAGGAAAAGAGCTTTATAGAACCCACAATGTCATTTTTAGGCTAGGGCTTGGATTTCAAAGAATACCAAGATACAGAAAAAAATGCCCTGCACAAACATGAGGTTAGAAGTTAGAAAAGGTGCCCCTAAATCAGCACAGAATCTCTGGCTAGAAACAAAATATCCATGTAAAAAATAAAAACCATAGCTATGGCAAAATGTTATGGTTTATTAGTTCTGGCTAATGAGTACCTGGATGCTATGTTATTCTCTGAACTCTTCTGCATGTTTGAAATACTTCATATTTAACATGATGCGAATTTGGAAGTGTTGACAGAGATGTTGAAATACAAAAGTTATGAGACAACAAAGCGAAGTGTGAGAGACACAATATTCAAGTTGTCAAGAGAAACATAAAGAATGTCTAAAATATATTTGTAAATACCTAAAAATATCCAAGAATAAGTTTCATGACTTACGAAAAAACCAAAACCAACAAACAAATCCTCCTTCCTCTTCAGTAGAATATATAAGGATGGAGAAAGAACAAATAGGTAAGGATCTGTGAAGAGATTTCTCTGAATAGAGCTGTTGCAGATTTGGGAGTCCATATCTCCTTCTGCCACAACAGGAAAGGGGTAAGGGTATCATCTTCCAATTGCAAACTTGTTGAGACATGGATGTAAGGAGAATTCTCCAAAAGCTTAATAGGTATCGCCTGTACTTGGCGAACATGGGCTGGTGTTTGGTACAGCCTGGAGAATCTTCAGACAAAAGTCTATCAACTGAAAGCAGCAGAGCAGAGAAGGATGGTAGAAAATAATTTGGGGCAAAGAATGAATTAAGTTTCTCCTGGTTAGATCCATTTTAAATGAGTATCATCCCTATTGGGACTCCTACAGAGTCTTGTGGAGTAAATCTCCTAAGTAAAAAGATATTGAGGGAGATAGAGGCAACAGGAAGCAAGCGATTGGCTGTCAGAAGAGTCCTCTAGGGGAGACTCCAGAGATCTCTGGAAACATGAGAAAGCATGTTTCCAAAGGGAAAGTCAGTAGTCTTATGCCTATCTACCAGGGGGAGCTGGTGCCAGATGACAACTACACTTATTTAAGACTGCTTTTTACCATAATTCCCTCTTCTCCTAGTCATTAATTTGAAGGTTTAAAATAAATGTACACATATATACACACCCTTAGCAAGTCAAGGAAGGAAGTTATGTGCAAAGTAAGAAAAAAGGATTAGAAGCCCCAAAACCTTTTCCTACTACTAGCTGTGCACACAAATCAAATTTTGACTGAATAAGGGGAGAAGATTCTATGGTTAAATCAATTTCAGTGTTTTTATTATTGCCAAGGATAGGACATATTAAGACCTAGACATAGACCTAGTTGTAAATATGAGAGTCTGAACGATGATGGTGATGATTTGAGTCCTGTTGAAAGTAGAGAAAGATGAATAATCAGTTCAAGTTTAGTCTTCTCTTCTTAGGTCAATATGTTGGGAATCTTGAGGATGTCTGTTCTTTGGCAGCTTCCTATTAGGAGCATAAAACTGGGCGATGAACTCTATTTGGATGCCAGATAAATTGTTGACCCACTGAAGGCTAGCCATTATAGGCACAAATATATTGGCATAAAAATGGAGTTGATAGGTGATGGGAATAATAAAAAAACAAACTTGAAACCAGATAATGAGTTTGATAAAAACAAGTCTGATTTCATAAGGTTCCCTTTAGTATGATGGCTATCATTAAGAGTCATGCTTATTTTTAAGACAACAAAAATCACCATTTATATTTAACTGAAGTGACTACGGAGTGAAGTACAAAAAGGAGACATCCGTAAAAGAATTCTCAAGCATGTACCTTTAAAAGGACATATAAAGTATGTATATACATACAAATGAATATTATTCAACCATAAAAAGAAATGAAATACTGATATATAACACAATGTGGCTGACTTGAAAACATTGTGCTAAGTGAAAAGCCAGCCACAAAAAGGCATATATTGTATAATTCTATTTATAGAAAATATCCAGAAGAGATAAATCACCAGAGACAGAACAGAGATTGTATGTGCCAGGGACTGTGGGGGATGGGGAATGGGAATGGAAAAGAACTACTTAATCAATACAGAGCTTCCTTCTGGGGTGATGAAAATGTTTTGGAACTAGATAGAAGTGATTGTGTAACATCGTGAGTGTACAAAATGCCACTGAATTGTTTAAAGAGAATAAATTTATGTTATGTGAATTTCATCTAAATCTTAAAAAGACATAGTAACAATCATTTTACATGGTTTAAAATCTAATACCAGTGTTGGAAAGCTTTGAGGAAATAAGCACTCTCATGTGCTATGGGAATATGATTTAGTGTGAAATTTTAAGAGCAATATATAAATATATTTCAAAAATAAATTGTCCCATAACTCTTTCACTGGCATTCCCAATTTTAGGTACTAATCCTAAAAATGTATCCAGTAGTTTTAGTCCAGATATTCCATACTCCATAGAGAACTTGAAAACGCCATTCCCCACCCTTTACACTCCATAGAAACAGGATGTATGATTTTAAGTTTTTAGAATCTCAAAGTTTGAGGAAATCTTACCTACTGCCAGAGTACTCTCCTCAACATCTTTAATAAGATCTTTCAGACATTCTGAAAACAAACAAACAAACAAACAAACAAACAAACAAACAAACATTAAGGACACAAGAATTAGTACTTTCTAAGGCAGCCGTTCCTGGACAAAGTTACTTGTAAGAATATTTTCCCTCTGCTGTTCGAACTGTTTTCTTGTTGCCTTAAAACACATTTTAATTGTGTCCATACAGAGCAAATCTACTTGTTGAACCTGAAATTCCTTGGAAGACAGTTGTACTCTAGATTGAGCATTCCTGGATCTTTGATTCATGCATAATTGACACATAGATTTTTTGAAACAATAAACAAATTGTACACTGCCCTTCTTTATCTGCAATTTATAGAAATATATATATTTCCATAAATATATATAATAGTTTTTATATATAGCATATATATATTTCCATAAATATAATAGTTTATATATATATATATATATATATATATATACTATTACAATTTAAAAGACCAATAACAAGGCACTTAGTTAATTACATATACCAAAGATTGCAATAGCTACTAGGGTGAAAAATAATAGCAAAAGCAATTTTTTTTGCTTGGCAAAAACATGTCAATGTGAGAGAGCTACACTATGACATTTCTTTAAAAAAAATCAAAATTTCCTTTAAGATTAAAATAAAACTCTTGCATCCTGTGAATTTGTGAGCCAAGTTTCATATGGGGAATGATTATTATGTTGAATTACGAATCCCTGAAAATAAAGCTTTACAAAAGAAATGCTGGAACAACCTTAATTGCAATTCAAAATGTTGACACTTTAATTTATAGAAATACTCTAATAATATGCTCTTTTCTGTGTATGTAAGCTGGTGGAGCTATTTAAAGGCTTTGATATTTATATATTGTAGGTTTGTAGGACCCTTGTGAGAGAAATCCTTGTCAGAACAATATCGTTCATTTAGGCTGACTAGATGAAAAGCAAGAGCAAACAAGTACTCCAGTCCAGCTGGTTGCTCCCTCAACATCATGATTATATGCGTTTTATAAACTCCGGTTCCAGGGGGAGCTAGAATAGCGCTTTTAGACCTGCTGGTGTTTGGATATATTCCCTGCTACCCACTTCTGTGACTAAAGACACCTTTATTTGCATTTTCTGCTAAAACTTTTACTTAATTCTGTGCATATGCAAACCACACACATTCTCATTGAATTCTGCTTTTATGTCTGCTTTTAATTAAAGCAGTAGTGTTAATTTCTTCATTCAAAAGAAAATCCAAGGAATAGTATAACCCAGTGGATTAGCTAACACTTTGAACGTCCAGGCAAATCCCTGTGAAGCCCACCACGACTATATCCTTCCCTGGCATCAGATATTTGGAAATGAAATTTTAAAAAAGATATAGGCTTCCAATTACTCCTGCAATTGACTGTTGTATAAGCAAAATTTTAGGAAACAACAAATAACATGTGAGAGTTTCTTAAAAGTATATGATCTATAAATTTTAAAGAGTTTAGCTGAAGGGGGCATTATTAATGTTATATGATGACACTGAATAGCCTCATAATATTTAGTGGTTGTCTTTACTGAATAATGACCTTAAATAATAATGTAGAAAAGGGATATCATAATACACATATTTGAAGCTTCTGGGTCAGTATCTGGGGCTTTCCAGGTCTTGTGTACCATGATAATTCTAAATTTTTGGATCTCAACTTTTTAAAATATTAAGTTCAATAATTTGTCTTTATTAAAGAAGTTTTACTCTTTAATACTTTGTTTGAATTTTGGTGTTCTAATTTTTCATATTTTTAAATCATTTTATATTATCTTGAAGCAAATATTACATAGACAAAATGCAAAAATCATAAAAGTAAAACTCAATAATTTCTTAATTTTAAAAATTAACATATTTTTTGGAACAGTTTTAGATTTACAGAAAAATTGAGCAGATAGTAATAGAGAGTTCCCATATATACCACATTCCCCTGCACATGCTATTTCTTATTATGATGTTGCATTAGTGTTGTATATTTTTAATAATTAATGATCCAGTATTGACATATTACTATTAATGAAAGTCCATAGTTTATGTTAAGATCTATTCTTTATTTTTATGCACTCTTATGGGTTCTGACAAATAATGCCATATATCCACCATTACGGTGTCGTACAGCATAATTTCACTGCTCTAAAATCCTCTGGCAACTATTGACCTTTGCCTTTTCAAACTAGCTTCTTTTACCACTTAGCAATATGCATATAAGGTTCCTCCAGTCTTTCAACTTATCAATTTTATTTCTTTAATGAATCAACCTTTTGGCATTGTATCTAAAAATGTATGGCCAAACACAACACCACCTATATTTTCTCTTATGTTATCTTCTGGAAGTTTTTTTTATATTTTGCATTTAGTATTTAGGTCTATAATCCACTTTAAGTTAATTTTTGTGAAATGTGAAAGGTTTGTGTATATATCTCCTTCCTCTGTATGTGTATCTCATTTTTCACATATACATATCCTATCATTCCAGCTGCTACTTCAGCTTTATTTTGATTAATGTTAGCATGGAATATCTTTCATCATACCTTTATTTCGTCCATGTCTGTGTCTTTGCATCTAAAATGATTTTCTTGTAGAAGAAAGATAGTAGACTCTTTTTTATATCTATTCTGGTAATCTCTGTATTTCAATTGGTGTATTTATAACATTTATAGCTAAACTAGTTATTTATGTAGTTTGATTAATATCTACTATATTTGCATGTTTTCTAATTTTTCACTTTTTCTTTGTTTCTTTTTTATCACCCCCTCTTTTTCTGCTTTCTAGTTATTTAAGCATTTATTATTATTTCATTTTCTGTTCTCTTCAAGCATATCAAGTATACTTCTTATTTTTAATTGCTTTTTAGATTGTGCAATATATACTTATAATTCATCTAACTATATATTCAAATGGCACTCTATCGTTCAATTGATAGTGCAGATATTTTATAAGAGTGTTTCCAATTCTTCCCTCTCATCCCTTATAACACTGCTATCATTCATTTCATTTGCCCATTACTATAATCACCCAATAGATTACTGCTAATATTACTTTAGCAAACAGTTGTCTATTAGATCAATCCTTGTCTTGTTCTAGATCTTAAAGGAAAGATTTTCAGTTTTTCCTGTTCAATACAATGTTAGCTATAGGTTTGTCATTTATGACCTTTATTATTTTGAGGCTTGTGCCTTCTATACCCAGTTTGTTGACAGTGTTTATTATAAAGGCATATTGAATTTATCAAATGTTTCTTCAGTATCTATTGAAATGATCATATGGCTTTTGTCCTTGGTTCTCTAAATATGATTTATCATGTTTATTTTATTATTTTATTTTTTATTATACTTTAAGTTCTGAGATACATGTGCAGAACGTGCACATACATAGGTATATATGTGCCATAGTGGTTTGCTGCACCCATCAACCTGTCATCTAGGTTTTAAGCCCCGCATGCATTAGGTATTTCTCCTAATGCAGTACCATGCTTATTGATTTGCATGTGTTGAAACAACCTTTCATTCCTGGGATCAATCCTGCTTGATGCTGGTAAATGATCTTTTCAATGTGTTGTTGAATTTGGTCTGATACCATTTTGTTGAAGATTTTTGCATCTATGTTCATCAGTAACATTGGCCTATAATTTTCTTTTTTTTGTCATGTACTTGTCTGGTTTTGGTGTCAGGGTATTGCTGGCTTCATGCAATGTGTTTGGAAGTATTTTCTCCTCTTCAGTTTTTGGAAGAGTTTGAATAGAATTGGTATTACTTTTTCTTTGAATGTTTGATAGGATTCAGCAGGGAAGCCATCAGGTCCTGGGCTTTTCTTTGTTGAGAGACTTTTTATTATGGTTTGATCTTGTTACTCATTATGGGTTTGTTGAAATATTTTATTTCTTCATTATTCAATCATGGTAGGTTACATGTGTCCAGGAATTTATTCATTTCTTTTATTTTTTTCCAATTTGTTGGGATATAGTTGTTCCTTATAGTTTCTGGTGATTCTTTGTATTTCTGTGATATCAGTTGTAATCTCTCCTGTTCATTACTGAGAGTGGGCTGTTGAAGTTCCCTACTGTTACTGTATTGTGGTCTATCTCTCCCTTTAAATCCATTAATGTTTGCTTTATATAGGTACTCAAGAGTCAGGTGCATAAATATTAATAATTATTACATCTTCTTGCTGAATTGACCCCTTTGACATTATATAGTGACCTTTGTCTCTTTTTACAGTTTTTGATTTGTAGTCTATTTTATTAGATATAAGTATAGCTACTCCTGCTTTTTTTGGGGGGGTTTCCCTTTGCATGGAATATCTTTTCCCATCCCTTCACTTTTCAGTCTATGTGTCTTTATAGATTAAGTGGCTTTCTTGTAGGTAGCATATGGTTTGGGTCTTGTTTCATTATTCATGCAGCTGCTTTATACTTTTTAATTGGAGAATTGAGTCCATTTACATTCACTGTTATTATTGATCAGTAAGTACTTACTACTGCCATTTTGTTTCTTGCTTTCTGGTTGTTTTATAACTCATTTCTTTCTTACTGTATGCTTTCATGGTTAAATGATTTTCTCTAGTAGTATGTTTGAACTTGTTACTTTGTGTTTTTAGTGAATCTACTATAGGTTTTTGCATTCTGGTTACCATGAGACTTACAGAAAACATCTTATGGATATAACAAGTTATTTTAAGATATGACAACTTATCTTAGTTTACCAAAAAACAAAAAGTAGAAACAAAGAAAAAAATTTTTTAAATGTCTACATATTCCAAGAAAAAAATTCAACATGTTTTTCAGGGGCTTTTGGCAGAAATAAGTTCCTATTGCTCACAATAGTGGTCATCATTACTCACTCTGATATCAATTTTTTTTTTCTCTCTTTCTTTTACCTCTTCCTACTCCCTCACTTCTCCTTCTTGGCTACATATCCCAAGTACACTCCCTATACTAAATCTTTAAGTCCCTGCTTTTGGGGAAAACAAAAATGAGGTAGATTTTTTTCTAAGTAATCATTTTATTTCACTAGAGAAACACTGAGTCATAGTAAGTTGCTGAGAGTCACTTTGGAACCCTGGGTGTACCTAAGAATATTTCATACTTAGGCAGAAAGTTAAATGACTTGCTCATCTTTTTACACCTTGATAGAGCTAGTGAGGAATAAATTAAGGCCAAGAACTCAGGTCATCAGATTTTAAGTCTAGTTCACTGTTTTCTTTGTGTGGTATATTTCTGTGCATTGTTTTATTCACCTTTCAGATTAAGCATCCTATAGTTAGAAAAATGGTATTTGAAAAATTTGACATTAAGTTATTCAAGAATTGATAAAGTTATAAATAATTTTATGTCATTTTAAAATTGATGTTACACTAAAATTGTTATACAGAGTCTAAATACTTTGCATAGAGAAGTTGTAAATAAGTCTGTCTGAACCAAACCTTTCTGGATGAATGTAGTATTTATTCAGTTCAGTTATCACTTGTAGTTTTAAAATTTTTGAATCACTGTCAGTATAGGGAATCTGGGTAATCTTTACTAAGTTCACTATTTGGCTCATCCAGTCAGTATGGTGGCCTAATTAACATGAAAATGTAATTTAGCCCTTTAAAATGTCTACTTGACTTTAGTGTTAGAAGCAGGGAGGAGCCAAGATGGCCGAATAGGAACAGCTCCGGTCTACAGCTCCCAGCGTGAGCGACGCAGAAGACGGGTGATTTCTGCATTTCCATCTGAGGTACCGGGTTCATCTCACTAGGGAGTGCCAGACAGTGGGCGCAGGCCAGTGTGTGTGCGCACTGTGCGCGAGCCGAAGCAGGGCGAGGCATTGCCTCACCTGGGAAGCGCAAGGGGTCAGGGAGTTCCCTTTCCGAGTCAAAGAAAGGGGTGACGGATGCACCTGGAAAATCGGGTCACTCCCACCCGAATATTGCGCTTTTCAGACCGGCTTAAGAAACGGCGCACCACGAGACTATACCCCACACCTGGCTCAGAGGGTCCTACGCCCACGGAATCTCGCTGATTGCTAGCACAGCAGTCTGAGATCAAACTGCAAGGCGGCAACGAGGCTGGGGGAGGGGCGCCCGCCATTGCCCAGGCTTGCTTAGGTAAACAAAGCAGCCGGGAAGCTCGAACTGGGTGGAGCCCACCACAGCTCAAGGAGGCCTGCCTGCCTCTGTAGGCTCCACCTCTGGGGGCAGGGCACAGACAAACAAAAAGACAGCAGTAACCTCTGCAGACTTAAGTGTCCCTGTCTGACAGCTTTGAAGAGAGCAGTGGTTCTCCCAGCACGCAGCTGGAGATCTGAGAACGGGCAGACTGCCTCCTCAAGTGGGTCCCTGACCCCTGACCCCCGAGCAGCCTAACTGGGAGGCACCCCCCAGCAGGGGCACACTGACACCTCACACGGCAGGGTATTCCAACAGACCTGCAGCTGAGGGTCCTGTCTGTTAGAAGGAAAACTAACAACCAGAAAGGACATCTACACCGAAAACCCATCTGTACATCACCATCATCAAAGACCAAAAGTAGATAAAACCACAAAGATGGGGAAAAAACAGAACAGAAAAACTGGAAACTCTAAAACGCAGAGCGCCTCTCCTCCTTCAAAGGAACGCAGTTCCTCACCAGCAACAGAACAAAGCTGGATGGAGAATGATTTTGACGAGCTGAGAGAAGAAGGCTTCAGACGATCAAATTACTCTGAGCTACGGGAGGACATTCAAACCAAAGGCAAAGAAGTTGAAAACTTTGAAAAAAATTTAGAAGAATGTATAACTAGAATAACCAATACAGAGAAGTGCTTAAAGGAGCTGATGGAGCTGAAAACCAAGGCTCGAGAACTACGTGAAGAATGCAGAAGCCTCAGGAGCCGATGCGATCAACTGGAAGAAAGGGTATCAGCAATGGAAGATGAAATGAATGAAATGAAGCGAGAAGGGAAGTTTAGAGAAAAAAGAATAAAAAGAAATGAGCAAAGCCTCCAAGAAATATGGGACTATGTGAAAAGACCAAATCTACGTCTGATTGGTGTACCTGAAAGTGATGTGGAGAATGGAACCAAGTTGGAAAACACTCTGCAGGATATTATCCAGGAGAACTTCCCCAATCTAGCAAGGCAGGCCAACGTTCAGATTCAGGAAATACAGAGAACGCCACAAAGATACTCCTCGAGAAGAGCAACTCCAAGACACATAATTGTCAGATTCACCAAAGTTGAAATGAAGGAAAAAATGTTAAGGGCAGCCAGAGAGAAAGGTCGGGTTACCCTCAAAGGAAAGCCCATCAGACTAACAGCGGATCTCTCGGCAGAAACCCTACAAGCCAGAAGAGAGTGGGGGCCAATATTCAACATTCTTAAAGAAAAGAATTTTCAACCCAGAATTTCATATCCAGCCAAACTAAGCTTCATAAGTGAAGGAGAAATAAAATACTTTATAGACAAGCAAATGCTGAGAGATTTTGTCACCACCAGGCCTGCCCTAAAAGAGCTCGTGAAGGAAGCGCTAAACATGGAAAGGAACAACCGGTACCAGACGCTGCAAAATCATGCCAAAATGTAAAGACCATTGAGACTAGGAAGAAACTGCATCAACTAATGAGCAAAATCACCAGCTAACATCATAATGACAGGATCAAATTCACACATAACAATATTAACTTTAAATATAAATGGACTAAATTCTGCAATTAAAAGACACAGACTGGCAAGTTGGATAAAGAGTCAAGACCCAACAGTGTGCTGTATTCAGGAAACCCATCTCACGTGCAGAGACACACATAGGCTCAAAATAAAAGGATGGAGGAAGATCTACCAAGCAAATGGAAAACAAAAAAAGGCAGGGGTTGCAATCCTAGTCTCTGATAAAACAGACTTTAAACCAACAAAGATCAAAAGAGACAAAGAAGGCCATTACATAATGGTAAAGGGATCAATTCAACAAGAGGAGCTAACTATCCTAAATATTTATGCACCCAATACAGGAGCACCCAGATTCATAAGGCAAGTCCTGAGTGACCTACAAAGAGACTTAGACTCCCACACATTAATAATGGGAGACTTTAACACCCCACTGTCAACATTAGACAGATCAACGAGACAGAAAGTTAACAAGGATACCCAGGAATTGAACTCAGCTCTGCACCAAGCAGACCTAATAGACATCTACAGAACTCTCCACCCCAAATCAACAGAATATACATTTTTTTCAGCACCACACCACACCTATTCCAAAATTGACCACATAGTTGGAAGTAAAGCTCTCCTCAGCAAATGTAAAAGAACAGAAATTATAACAAACTATCTCTCAGACCACAGTGCAATCAAACTAGAACTCAGGATTAAGAATCTCACTCAAAGCCGCTCAACTACATGGAAACTGAACAACCTGCTCCTGAATGACTACTGGGTACATAACGAAATGAAGGCAGAAATAAAGATGTTCTTTGAAACCAACGAGAACAAAGACACCACATACCAGAATCTCTGGGACGCATTCAAAGCAGTGTGTAGAGGGAAATTTATAGCACTAAATGCCCACAAGAGAAAGCAGGAAAGATCCAAAATTGACACCCTAACATCACAATTAAAAGAACTAGAAAAGCAAGAGCAAACACATTCAAAAGCTAGCAGAAGGCAAGAAATAACTAAAATCAGAGCAGAACTGAAGGAAATAGAGACACAAAAAACCCTTCAAAAAATCAATGAATCCAGGAGCTGGTTTTTTGAAAGGATCAACAAAATTGATAGACCACTAGCAAGACTAATAAAGAAAAAAAGAGAGAAGAATCAAATAGACACAATAAAAAATGATAAAGGGGATATCACCACCGATCCCACAGAAATACAAACTACCATCAGAGAATACTACAAACACCTCTACGCAAATAAACTAGAAAATCTAGAAGAAATGGATACATTCCTCGACACGTACACTCTCCCAAGACTAAACCAGGAAGAAGTTGAATCTCTGAATAGACCAATAACAGGCTCTGAAATTGTGGCAATAATCAATAGCTTACCAACCAAAAAGAGTCCAGGACCAGATGGATTCACAGCCGAATTCTACCAGAGGTACAAGGAGGAACTGGTACCATTCCTTCTGAAACTATTCCAATCAATAGAAAAAGAGGGAATCCTCCCTAACTCATTTTATGAGGCCAGCATCATTCTGATACCAAAGCCGGGCAGAGACACAACCAAAAAAGAGAATTTTAGACCAATATCCTTGATGAACATTGATGCAAAAATCCTCAATAAAATACTGGCAAACCGAATCCAGCAGCACATCAAAAAGCTTATCCACCATGATCAAGTGGGCTTCATCCCTGGGATGCAAGGCTGGTTCAATATACGCAAATCAATAAATGTAATCCAGCATATAAACAGAGCCAAAGACAAAAACCACATGATTATCTCAATAGATGCAGAAAAAGCCTTTGACAAAATTCAACAACCCTTCATGCTAAAAACTCTCAATAAATTAGGTATTGATGGGACGTATTTCAAAATAATAAGAGCTATCTATGACAAACCCACAGCCAATATCATACTGAATGGGCAAAAACTGGAAGCATTCCCTTTGAAAACTGGCACAAGACAGGGATGCCCTCTCTCACCGCTCCTATTCAACATAGTGTTGGAAGTTCTGGCCAGGGCAATCAGGCAGGAGAAGGAAATAAAGGGTATTCAATTAGGAAAAGAGGAAGTCAAATTGTCCCTGTTTGCAGACGACATGATTGTTTATCTAGAAAACCCCATAGTCTCAGCCCAAAATCTCCTTAAGCTGATAAGCAACTTCAGCAAAGTCTCAGGATACAAAATCAATGTACAAAAATCACAAGCATTCTTATACACCAACAACAGACAAACAGAGAGCCAAATCATGAGTGAACTCCCATTCACAATTGCTTCAAAGAGAATAAAATACCTAGGAATCCAACTTACAAGGGATGTGAAGGACCTCTTCAAGGAGAACTACAAACCACTGCTCAAGGAAATAAAAGAGGACACAAACAAATGGAAGAACATTCCATGCTCATGGGTAGGAAGAATCAATATCGTGAAAATGGCCATACTGCCCAAGGTAATTTACAGGTTCAATGCCATCCCCATCAAGCTACCAATGACTTTCTTCACAGAATTGGAAAAAACTACTTTCAAGTTCATATAGAACCAAAAAAGAACCCGCATCGCCAAGTCAATCCTAAGCCAAAAGAACAAAGCTGGAGGCATCACACTACCTGACTTCAAACTATACTGCAAGGCTACAGTAACCAAAACAGCATGGTACTGGTACCAAAACAGAGATATAGATCAATGGAACAGAACAGAGCCCTCAGAAATAATGCCGCATATCTACAACTATCTGATCTTTGACAAACCTGAGAAAAACAAGCAATGGGGAAAGGATTCCCTACTTAATAAATGGTGCTGGGAAAACTGGCTAGCCATATGTAGAAAGCTGAAACTGGATCCCTTCCTTACACCTTATACAAAAATCAATTCAAGATGGATTAAAGATTTAAACGTTAGACCTAAAACCATAAAAACCCTAGAAGAAAACCTAGGCATTACCATTCAGGACATAGGCGTGGGCAAGGACTTCATGTCCAAAACACCAAAAGCAATGGCAACAAAAGCCAAAATTGACAAATGGGATCTAATTAAACTAAAGAGCTTCTGCACAGCAAAAGAAACTACCATCAGAGTGAACAGGCAACCTACAACATGGGAGAAAATTTTCGCAACCTACTCATCTGACAAAGGGCTAATATCCAGAATCTACAATGAACTCAAACAAATTTACAAGAAAAAAACAAACAACCCCATCAAAAAGTGGGCGAAGGACATGAACAGACACTTCTCAAAAGAAGACATTTATGCAGCCAAAAAACACATGAAGAAATGCTCATCATCACTGGCCATCAGAGAAATGCAAATCAAAACCACTATGAGATATCATCTCACACCAGTTAGAATGGCAATCATTAAAAAGTCAGGAAACAACAGGTGCTGGAGAGGATGTGGAGAAATAGGAACACTTTTACACTGTTGGTGGGACTGTAAACTAGTTCAACCATTGTGGAAGTCAGTGTGGCGATTCCTCAGGGATCTAGAACTAGAAATACCATTTGACCCAGCCATCCCATTACTGGGTATATACCCAAAGGACTATAAATCATGCTGCTATAAAGACACATGCACACATATGTTTATTGCGGCACTATTCACAATAGCAAAGACTTGGAACCAACCCAAATGTCCAACAATGATAGACTGGATTAAGAAAATGTGGCACATATACACCATGGAATACTATGCAGCCATAAAAAATGATGAGTTCATGTCCTTTGTAGGGACATGGATGAAATTGGAAACCATCATTCTCAGTAAACTATCGCAAGAACAAAAAACCAAACACCGCATATTCTCACTCATAGGTGGGAATTGAACAATGAGATCACATGGATACAGGAAGGGGAATATCACACTCTGGGGACTGTGGTGGGGTCGGGGGAGGGGGGAGGGATAGCATTGGGAGATATACCTGATGCTAGATGACACGTTAGTGGGTGCAGCGCACCAGCATGGCACATGTATACATATGTAACTAACCTGCACAATGTGCACATGTACCCTAAAACTTAGAGTATAATAAAAAAAAAAAATTAAAAAAAAAATTCACACAGCTGTACAAACAAACAAAAAAAAAGATAACAAGTATTGACAAGGATGTGAAGAAAAGGGGATTCTTACATTCTGTTGGTAGGAATGTAAATTAATATAGCCATTATAGAAAACAGTGTAGAGGTTCCTCGTAAAACTAAAAATAGAACTACCATATGATCTGGAAATCCCACTACTGGATATATATCCAAAGGAAAGGAAATCAATATGTTGAAGAGATATCTGTACTTCCATGTTAACTGCAGCACTATTAACAGTAGCCAAGTTATGGAATCATTCTTAGTGTGCATCAATGGATGAATGAATAAAGAAAATGTGGTATATATACACAACGGAATACTATTCAGCCATTAAAAAGAATGAAATCCTCTTTTGTGACAACATGGATGAATCTGGAGGACATTGTGTTAAGTGAAAAAAGCCAGACACAGAAAGACAAATACTGCATAATCTCACTCATACGTGGAATCTTAAAAAGTTGATCCCATAGAAATAGAGAATAGAATAGTAGTTCTTAGAGGTTGGGAAGGGTAGGAATAGAGGGGAGACAGAGAGGTTTATCAATAAGTACAAAGCTACAATTAAATAGGAGGAATAAGTTCTGGTGTTCTATTGCACAGTAGGGTGACTATAGTTAACAATAATGTATTATTGCGCATTTCAAAATAGCTAGAAGCGAGGATTCTGAATGTTCTCACCACAGAGAAATAATGTGTTTGAGATAATGGATTTGCTAATTACCATAATTTTGATTATTACACAATGTATACATGTATTCAAACATCCCATTGTACCCCATAAATATGTACAACTATTATGTGTCAATTAAAAATAAGATAAAACTTTAAAAAAAAAAAAAAAGAAGCAAAACCTCCTGCATACTCATATTTAAGTATAAATTAAATAAAAAAAGTTTACCTAATGGAGATAACATTAGACTTTCTCAAAGCCACTCATTAAAAATCACCAGGTATATCCAAGATTCTATGAATGGAGTTTTGATATCTTGTCTCAGTATGGATTTTGTGTAGAAATAAGTACAGGTACAGTAGGAACAATTTTTTTTTCACTTTATTGTAGCTTTTATTATAGTCTTCTTGAAACATTTTATTTAAAGTTTATAGTGAGATAATTGTAGATTCACATGTAGTTGTAAGAAATAATAAGATAGATCTCTGCACTCTTTATGTAGTTTCTCCCAATGGTGATATCTTGTGAAATATGGTACACCATCACAAGCAGCATATTGACACTGATATAATAAATCAATCTTATTCAGATTTCCCATTTTATTTGTACTAATGTGTGTGTATGTATTTAGTTCTATACAGTTTTGTCACATGTACAAGTTTGTGTAACCGCCATCGCAGACAATATACAGAACAGTTTCATCAACACAAAGTTCCCTCACATTTCCCTTTTATAACCACACCCACCTCCTTCTTGCCTCCCTTTCTTTCACTCCCTTCCATTATTGTAGTCTCTGGCATCCACTAATCTGTTCTATAATTTTTGTCATATCAAAATTGTTATAATAAACATAATCGTATTGTATATAACCTTGTGGAACTAGCTTTTTTCACTTAGCATAATTCTCTGGAGAGTCATGCAAGTTGTTACATGTATCAATAATGCTCCTTTTATTGTTCCTTTATATTGCCAAGTGACATTATATGGATGGTTTGCTTAACCATCTACCTGCTGAAGAATATCTGGGCTGTTTTCAATTTGGGGTTATCACAAATAAGGCTGCCATGAACATTTGTGTACAAAATTTTGTGTTAATTTACGTTTTCATTTCTTTGAGTAAAGGGCCCTAGATGACAATTTCTGTATTTATATGGTAATTCAATGTTTTGTTTTATGAGAAACCACCAAAATGTTTTCCAAAGTTGCTGTAATAGAGATACTTTCATAGCGATTCTTGCATATTGGCAACTTGATTTCCACAGATTTCAGAATTTATCATTTTAATAGATACTACATATTACTTTTCAAGTTACAATAATTCACACTCCCATGGCAACATATGAGAGTAGGTATTGCTCCACTTACTTGATAACAAAAAAGTCTTCTTAATTTTATTCTAAAATTTTATTTTTTACATTAATATATTTAAATTCATTTAGAACTTACTTGGGAATACAGTGTAGAAATGGGATCTAACTGCATTTTTTTCATTTTGTTCCAGTTAACTAATACTGAATCACAAGCTACTCCAAAAGTTAGTGACCCCAAACACCAATTCATTATTTTTTCTCTCATGATTCTTTGGATTAAGGATTCAAACAGGACTATAAGCGAACTTTTTTTTTTTTTTTTTTTTTTTTTTGCTCCTTGTTGTTTAGAAACTCAGTTGGGATGACTTAAACAGCTGGGGGCTGAAAGAATTCTGGACTAGCCAAGTGTTTCCCTCTCTCTCTATCCTCTGTGGCCTCTCCACAGGCCTAGTATAGGCTTTCTCACAATGTGGCAGCCTCAGGATAATCAAATTTCTTATATGGTAGCTCAGGGCTCCAAGAGGGAGGAAGTAGAAACTGTCACCCTGTTATAGCCTGGCCTGAAAATAACACGATATCATTTCCACCATACTCTACTAGTCACAGCAGTTAACATCCAGCCCAGATTCAATGGAAGGAGGCAGAAGCCCACATCTCAATGGGAAGTGTATCACTGAGTTGGTTTTAATTCAAATTTTCTCCTGCTGAATTTCTATATATCATTTTACACCACTATGCTTAAGTTTCTTCATTTGAAAAATGGATAAGTCCTACCTTGTTTCACACTTCATTGGAGTTATTTTGTGTTGATGAGAATTTCATAATGAAAAAACTTTTCATTCTCTGATAGACAAGCAATAATAATATTTTTGATATATGAGGAAGCTGTTATAATTACATAATTAAAAAGTTGTAGATATGTATGTACTAAGACCAACGTTTATAAAATGAGAAATATCAAATCATCAGATTTTATTGGTGTTCACAAAAGTTGTTTTATATTCTGCTATGAGATCGTCAGTCAGGTTGTGGCCACAAGAGGAAACACAGGAGCAGCTCAATAAAAAATAAAGTTTATTACACTCACAGGTCCTAGACACAGAGGCATGGCACGCTACATGGGACCACAGAGGAAAGACGCCAGGGGTGGTCAAGAGGCAGAAGACAAGGGAGAGGGGAAAGCATGAGTCCAGAGCTTTTACTGGGGATGCCACGGGAAAAGCCAGGCAGGGCAGAGAGATCAATTTAGGACTGGTTAATTTGAATAATACTGGAAGACTCTAAGCTATTGGGGTGTTTCCTAGTTGCCTGATACCTGGCCTTCATATGATTAAAGCAAAGTAATATTGTCTACTGTGGTGTACTGACCAGATTGACAAGGTAAAACCCTAAATTTGTTAGTTTGCATATCAGGGCCTGCTGTTGGCTGGGCCCTTTGTTATCTTTGATGTCTTTATGAGTTGCCTATTTCAGGGAAGGGCAGTCTTTCCCCATCCAGAAAGGATTTTTTTAAATGCCAAAACATCATAATATATGGAAATTAAAAACTATGTAAAACAGTTTTCATAGAAAAGGAATAGTCTAATATTGAGCACAAGTTATGTGACAAATATGCGTATATTAAAACAATTTGATTTGTGAGTGAAAGAGTCAACATGAGCATAACTAACTCTTGAAAGTTGTAACAAACTATATTCTGGTTATGTCTAAATCTCTTGCATGTAAATGTATTTATGGACTAAATATATGCTTTTATGAATAAATATATACAATATATGGTTCTATGCTCCGAAGTCAGTTGTTCTCAATTTTGTCTCTCACCAGGGGCATTTGGCAATATCTAGAGTTGTTTTTGATTGTTATAACATGGAAGTGCTAAACATTTTACAGTGCATACAACAGTCACCTACATAAAAATAAAATTGTCTCACTCAAATATTAATAGTGCTAAGGTGAGAAATCCTGCTCTAAAATAAGGTATTAAGAGGTAAAATGTTTCCATAGTGAAACCACCTTTGCAAAATTATAACTGAGGAAATTATGACAGTGAAAGAAATCAGACCTAACTGACTCTATCTTGCTTCTAAACCTTTAAGCTGTCCTTGTTCATTCCTGGGCATAGGCTGAACTAACTTTGGAAAGGAATTCAGTTAATGGTTTGACTCTGAAACAAAACTGATAACAGCCCTTTCCCGAAAATTTCCCCTCTTGCCTAGGGTCCAGTCAGAGTTTGCAGGACTAACATTAGCTAAAAGATTAGAAATTACAATTTAGGGGTCATGCAACCTCTGGCTCCAAGAGTTTGAACCTCCCCAAATTACTCCCGGGATAACATCACTTTTGTAAAACCTAAGATCTGTACTTGAGATATTTTGCAGACCCTGCCCTCAATGGATCAGGGGACACAACCCAGACCAGTAATCTGCCCTAATCAGTTCTGCCATCACACCCAGGAACAGAAGACATTAAGAAAACCTCATTTTGACCCCCTACGATTCCATCTCCAACCTAACCAATCAGCACTCCTCACTTCCCAAGCCCCTACCTGCCAAATTATTGTTAAAAACTCTGATCCCCTAATGCTCAGGAAGACTAATTTGTGTAACAATAAAACTCTTGCCCTTTCGCCATTGCTATTCCGCTGTCTTGATAAATCAGTTCTGTCTAGGCTGTGGGCAAGGTAAACTCATTGGGTGGTTAAAACAATAGCTTACTTCTAAACATATATATATATAATATGTATATATATGTCATTATAGATAATGACATATCTATATAATGACTTATGAAAGATGGAGTAAAATATGCAAATATATATATGAAGCATGAAAAAGAGCATAGGTCTGAAAGAGAGGAGGGAATGGTTAATGGGTATGAAAAAAATAAAAAGAATGAATAAGACCTACTATTTGATTGTGCAATAGTGTGATTATAGTCAGTAATAACTTAATTGTACTTTTAAAATAACTTAAAGAGTGTAATTGAATTGCTAGTAACTCAAAGATAAATGCTTGAGGGGATGGATACCCCATTCTCCATGATGTGCTTATTTCACATTGCATGCCTGTATCAGAACATCTCATGTACCCCACAAATATATACACCTGTTATGTACCTACAAAAATTAAAAATAAAAGTAACATGACAGTTCATGAATAAAAATCTTTCAAAAGTTAAGTGCAAATTGCTAATAAACATATAGAGAGTCTACATCACTAAGAAAAGTAATAAAATAAAAAATGGTAATAAACTTTCCTGGTGAAGCTGGCAAGCATAAAATTAGAATGATGATGCCCTTTAGTGATACCAAAGTTATAATGAAGAGGAACTCTTATCTAAAGCCGCCTAATGTATGCATTGTTACCACTTCTGAAGAGTAGTATAGAAGTACATATCAGAAGCCAAAGCAATATCTACCATTCCACTGATCACCCTACTTTGATGGATTTATCTAAGAAAATAGTTAGAGATGTGGGCAATATTTAAATACAGAGATATTTATTGATAACAGTGAAAATGAAGATAATCCAAAGTAAAATTGTGAAATAATCTATTATGGATTCCCATATATCTGGATTGTGGACACTAAGATATGTAATGATGTGGAAAAAGGTTAATTGTAGCATTTTATTCATGTTATACGCTGAATTCTATCTCCCCAAAATTCAGAAGTTGAAGTTCCTATCCCCCGTACCTTAGAATGTGACTATATTTGAAGATAGTCTTTCAAGTGGTAATTAAGTAAAAAGGATGTCCTTAGCATGGGCCCTAATTCAATATGACTGGTGTCCTTATAGGAAGAGGAAATTTGGATACAGATATATACTGAGGGAAGACCATGTGAAGACACAGGGAGAAGACAGCCATCTAAAAGCCAAGGGGAAAAGCCTCAGAAGAAACCAATCCTGTTGACACTTTGGTCTTGGACTTCCAGCATCCAGAATTGTGAGAAATAAAATTTCTGTTGTTGAAGCCACCATCTCTGATACTCTGTTATGGCAGCCCAAGCAAACTAATACAAATGTGGGAAATATTTTTTAAACTGCATATATGTGGATGTGCATACTTGCAACTTCTTTATTAATTAACAACAGAAATTTTATTTCTATGTGGGTTAAGAATTAAAGTCTACATTTGATCATGTAAGAAAAGTATTATCCTGATAAAATTAATCATCTAAGCACAATCTTAAGGAATATGTGTATTTATCTAAAATAACAATACATTTGAAAATTAGAAGCCTAGAATTGATTTGAGATAATTTAGTCTTAGTAGCAAACTCATTCTTATATATTAAATGTGAAAGTTTTTTCATGTGAGCTTATGTAATCTTTTACAGTATTATAGTGTTAATGAAATATAAAATGGAGATTTATTGCTTTGTAAACACGTCCTTTATTATGTTGGACTGGATGTTTCTCTTCTGTCATCCAGAAACTAAGATTTATCAAGGAGCTTTAAAGTATCCTATCTAATTGAAAAGACAAAGCAGGAGTCTTCCTGAACACTTTAATATTAATTTTAAAGGGTCAGATAATTTCTACCAAGGGCAGTAAATTGCCTTCTGCAAGTCCAAAGTAATTAAGACTTCAATTGAGGATACATATCCCAAATAAAATAGTCAACTCTTCCATTAAAGGATCCAAATCTTGCGTTATATGATTTAGGCTTGTGGATTTCAAATGAAAGTGACATTCCAGAAAGGTTCTGGGATATTACTAATTTGCAGCTGTTTTCAGCCTAAATAAAAGTCATTTCCTATGCCTTGTAGTGAATGATCTAAACTAAACTACCTGACATTTCCACTCAGCCTGAAGAACAGACTGAAAATGCTGAATTGTCAGCAAAGCTTTGATATAAATCAGTAGTCACAGGAGACTACAAAGAAGAACACAATGTAATTGTCAGCACATCAAAGGGAAGCTTTCTTCTTTTAAAGAAAAAAGCATCTGACATGCTTCCTGTGGATTAAAGGATCACTTGGCCTCATTATTTTAAGGTATAATTTACTCCCTAATAAATATCAAGATAATCAACACTGAAAAGCAATTGGTGTTTTCCAATGATTCAACAGAATTATAAAAATGCTAGTCAGAAAAAATGTTATTTGGTTTGTGAGACCTTTTAAAAAAATTTTAGCAATGTTTAAGCTTATGATTATCGCCCATGCATCAAAGTAAGAAAAATAAAAGCAAAAACAAACTTGAGCATACTTTTGAAGTCGTATCTTAAAAAAAAAAAGCTTATTTTTTTCTGTTCTGAAAAACTGTTTTTAACAGACTATGTCTACATGTTTTCTACAAAAACATGGTCTTCACAATAAGCAACATTGAAATCACTTCTAAGCTTGCCAGAAAATGCAGATTTTCAGACTTCACCTCTGACCAACTGAATCAGAATCTCCATTTTGATAAGATTCCTGGGTGCTTTGTATGGACATTAAATATTGAGACACGCTAGTCTGTATAATAACAACTCAAAATTTTCACAAGTAATGATTAATTGTATTTTAGTATTTTGTTCAAATATTGCAGTTCTAAGCATGGGAAAACAGCAATTTGTAAACCAGGTTTACTTTGCATGTGATCTTTCCATTCACTAGAGCTGTGTCCCAGGTATCTTAATATCCAAGATTTATGTTTTCCTAGCTGAAAAAAAAGTAATGATGATTCAGTTCAACTCTTCAGACAAGGCAAGGTACTTTTTTGCATAGGAGATACTGTGTCAGTTAAAGGTGCATTCAGTTGCAAATAATAAAACACTCAAATGAAAAATAACTTAAACAAGAAGTTTATTATCTTAAACAATGTCCTGCACTAGGAAGATCATAGATTGGCAAACTCTGTGGCTTAACATCATCATTAAGAACCGAAACTCTTCTGATATACTCAAGGCATTGACTTTGCCTTCAGCCAGTCCCTTTCATAGTCACAAAATGGCTTCTAATATCCTAGATAGTACCAAACCAAGAGAAAAAGAGATATTTCAGAGCTCTCCAGGCTGGCTTCCCTCTATATTTTATTAACCAGATTAGAGTTACATGACACATCTAAGCCAATTGGTGGCAAGGGATAGGAATCATCATGATTGGTGTCAGACTAATCAGGATTTATGCCTGAATCATTTTGCACAAGGGAATATGGTAGGAAGCGTCTAAGATTGGCTCCAATGATTCCAACTCCTGATATTCATACCCTTATGTAATTCCTGCCTCCTTTGATTGTCAGCTAGATTTAGTGATTGCCTTCTAAAAAATAGATATGGTAAAAGTAATAGGGTGTTATGTCCAATACTGAATTACAAAAAGTATTTGATTTCTGTCTTGCTCCCCTCTCTCCTTCTCTCTTGCTTGCTGACACTAATAGATGTAGCTGCCATATTGTGAGTATGCCCACACAGCAAGGAATTGAGGGAGGCCTCCAGTCAACAAACAGTGAGGAATTGAGACTCTCAGTCTAGTGGCCCATGAGGAATTGAGCTTTGTCAACAATCATATGAGTGAGCTTGGAAATGGATCTTTCCAATCAAGTCTGGAGATGATTGCAAACATTTCATTTTCAGACTTGTGAGAAACCATGGGCTAGAGGTCCCAGCTTAGTCATGCCCAGATATTTGCCCTATAGGAACTGTGAGATAATAATTTTTTTTTTGCCACCAATTTTGTTGTTCAGCAATAAATGACTAATACAAGGAGACACTAGACAAAATTGGGGCTCCGACTGAAAACAAGGAAAATGCAGTTGGGGTAGTGTAGCAGATTCTAAGGTGGCTTCCCAGGGATCCTTGCCTCCTGGTGTTTATGCCCTTGTGTAATCCCCACCCCTTAGTGTAGGTGGGGCCTGTGATTTGATTCTAACCAATAGAATATGGCAAAGGTGGTACAATGTCATTCCTATGTTGATGAAAAAGGCCAAACTCTGTAAAATATTTGAAGACATTTATTCCGAGCCAAATGTAGGACCATGATTTGTGGCACAGCCTCAGGAGGTTCTGAGATAATGTGCCCAAGGTGGTTGGGTTACGGCTTGGTTGTATACATGTTAGGGAGACAGAAGTTACAGGCAAAAACAAAAATTTAATACATGAAAGGTTTACATTCGTTCAGCCCAGAAAGGTGGGACATCTTAAAGTGTGGGCTTATAGGTCGTAGGTGGATTCAAAGATTTTCTGATTGACAATTGGTTGAAAGAGTTAAGTTATTATCTAAAGACCTGGAATCAATAGAGGAATGTCTAGGTTAAAATAAAGCGTTGCAGAGACCAAAGTTCTTATTATGTAGATGAAGTCTTATAAGTAGCTGACCTTAAAGGCAATAGATGGCAAATGTTTCTGATTCAGACCTTTAAGAGGTACTAGACTCTCCATTAATCTCTTCAGGATCAAAAAAATGCCTGGAAACAGAATGTAAATTTCCCCCACAAGAGACAGTTTTTCAGGGCCATTTCAAAATATGTCAATTAAATATATTTTGGGGTAAAATAATTTCTTTCAGTGTCTGCTATCTGTCTTGTGATGCTATACTAGAGTCAGGTTGGAATTTGTCATCTTATTGCTACAAACGGTCTGTTTTGTCAGTCTTAAAATCTCTGTTTTGATGTTAATACTGGTCAGTTGTGCCTGACTTTTAAAGGGAGGTGGGTATAATGAGGCATGTCCAATCTCCTCTTCCCATCATGGCCTGAGTTAAGTTTTTTAGGTTTCTGCGGAATGCCCTTGGCTAAGAGAAGGGGTCCATTCAGTTGACTGGGGTTGCTTAGAATTTCATTTTTTGTCTATACCTGCGATTATATTACATTATATAGGATTTCATATTTCTAGCACACTCACTTTAGAGATTCTCCTTGCTAACTTGATAAAATAAATGGATAAATGGCCATATTGGGAAAGCACACATAACAAGGAGACAAAGTGGTCTCTAGCAATTGTGGGTGACTTCTAGGAGTTGAGGACAGCCTCTAGGAGCTAAAAATGGTCTCCAGCCAATAATCAGCAAGAACCTAGGACACTTTAGTCCTACAACCACAAGTAAATTAGCTGTTCCAAAAACTTAAGTGAGCCTGGAATTGGATCCTTTCTTAGGCCTCCAGATAAGAACACAGTCTGGCCTATACTTTGATTATAGCTCTTGAGACCACAAACAGAGGACCCAATAGCTGTACTTGGACTCCTAACCCACAGAAACAGAGATAATAAATGTGTACTGTTGTAAATGAAGTTAGTATTAGTTTGTGATACTGCAATAAAAAGCTAATTTAAATAGGTAAATGGAGAATATTCTACACAGTTAACAGTGTCTTTTACAGAAACACATGACTACATCCAGGTACTGAGAACCCTCTACCAGTTGATGTTCACCATTTCCTAGTTACAAGGTTTGACTTGAGAGAAAATTGTTTCTCATGGTGAGTTAATTATGCTGTGCAAGTAGAAACATTAGGTTAAACCATATAGAACTGGTAAGTTCTGCAGGTCCAAAATGGTTGAAACTAAAGATTTTCTTAAGTAAATGCAGAATTAATTATTGGCTGATTTTAAGACCAAAAAGACCTCTTGCTCCTAAATTCCTCAAATATGTTCCAAATATATTTGAAAGTTTTTCAACATTTTATGTAGTAGTTACATCCTTTGAATATATTTTGTGCCTTTGTTAAAATGTATTTTTTGGTAGAAATGTAATTCAAGCAAGTATCAGTCATCTTGTATCTCAGTGTGAAAGAATTTTTGCATCTTTCTTGATCCTTTGAGTCCTTTCTTAAAGTTTAATAGGGAATAAACTCTGCTGTAAAACTTAACTCGAGCCTTTGTTTACAGATAAATAGCAAATATAAAAAAATAGAGATCTTTCTTAAAATGTTAAGATGTGTGATGTGCATTTAACTTACTCTAATATAACTGTTAAATGGCCCTTGTGAATTATAAAAACAGAAACATTAAATTACTTCAGTACATTCTCTAAAGCTGGACATCCCTGCTGGAAACCCTACTACTTACCTTTAAACAAATAAAACAATGTAATAATTGTTTTAATATATGCATTAAGTACTTTTAAATAGGTGCCTGTTTTCCCCTCATAACAGATATTAAAATCACCACTTCCTTATGGGTCTCTTATTTTAAAGCAATATTTCTCAACTGGGGACCTAGGACACATTGAACTTGGAAGTGGAAATAGATCTTAAGGAAATCAAGCCTCATTTCTGAGAGAATTGATTTAGTTCTCTGTGGACATACATTTACTCTAGATTCTTCTCACCTGCTCACCTAGTGTACATTTGATGACAATTAAATACATTTGATGACAACAGAACAAAGGAACTTCTCTAAAGTGTTACCAAGAATTAACATAAGCTTTAAAAGTTTGCACAAATGAAGAAGCTTCTGATTTATAAAGATGTTAAGTGGCAAAAAGTAGCCCTAGGCAATTAGAAAACCAGGAAAAGATTTCTCACTGCACTTTCCACTGTTTTTTTTTTTTAATCTTAAAAGGTACTTATCTTAGTAGTGAATTTTTGTCTTTAACCTGCATCGATTATACCCCTTCCTAAATGAACTTTGAAAAATGACTGATATTTAGAAAAGACAGTTTCTTGGATAAACGGCATTGGCAATGCTGGAGATCCACATGCAGAAGAATGAAATTGGACTATTACGTCACATTATATACAAAAATCAACTCAAAATGGATTAAAAACTTAAATATAAAACCTGAAACTGTAAAAACTACTAGCAACATTGATCTCGGCAATGAGTTTTTGGATGTAACCCCCAAAACACAGGCAATAAAAGCAAATATAGACAAATGTGATTGTATCAAACTAGCAAGCTATACACAGCAAAGGATATGATTGACAGAGTGAAGAGACAACCTATGGAATGAGAGAAAATATTTACAAACCATGTATCTGATAAGGAGTTAATATCCAAAATATGGGTTTGGATACTCTGTTTTCTCTTCCAATTGTATAAATCTTTCTCCTTTTGCAAAATATAGGTTTGGATCATAATTCCAAAAGACATAGTGCTGAATGTCATAATCTCAAATGTCAAAATCCTGAAAGATCAAAATCCTTAGTGTAAAATCTCAAATGTCTAAAATTCCAAAAGTCACAATCACAGAATAGTTACATCATGTTGGGCAGAACTATGACCTTGTTATTGTTTTTATGCAGGAGAAAATGGATTTCGATTGAATCTCCAAACCATAATGACAGATTTGGAATTAAGTGTGATCAAGGTTTATAAAAGTGAATTTCAAGGTGTTACCAATGAAGTTTGTTTTATCCATTCAGCCCAATGCATTTGGTGGTAAATTCAGATGAGTGGATTGGTCATACAATATGGCAATGACCAAAACTTCTATTTAAAAATATATCATTTGTCTGCATTGGCATTTCTTTCAGCTGATAACATTCCATGAGCTTTGTAGGAATTAAGGCCATATTTGTCTGAAGAAGCCAGAGGAGTTACTGACTGGTTCAAAAATAATTATATGCATGATAGGAGAAGATGACACATATGCAACAGAGTTGCTGTTTGATCATGAGTATTGTTTCTACCAAATTTGTGAACTGTATATAAGTGCATGTGGAATGAATTTCCACATACCCAAAACAACACAGAAGCATTGTACAGAAGATGAAAAAATTTAATAGGGAATACTCATTTATATCAAATGAGGTGTATATCAAATTATACAGTTTCAAAAAGAGCAGTGCCAAGTAGAAAATGAATGTGAAGGTATTCTCCAAGGAGAGCCATGTTTTAAAAGAAGAAAAAGGAGCTACTCATTATGATGAAAGACTTCAAAATATAGTTAATGATCGTTAATGACTGTGACAGTTGGCCAGCTCTTATGGATTATCTCCATCATGCATCTACCCATAATCTGTCCATATAATACACTTTTTTCATATGCCTAATTTTCTTTTTAGTTTTTTCTTTTTTTCAATTTTTTTAAACTGTTTTAAATTTCAGCATTATTTTTGCAATTCTCTATATTATGTATTTCATCTTTACATCATTTCCAATACTGGAGGTATGAACTGTATGAAGACTTTTAAAGACTTCTAATTCATTTGATACATTTTTTTTTTGCAAATGTGACTCCTCCACGAAAGTGCCTTATTATAATGTTGGCCTTGTGTGTAAACACTGTGCATGTATGTAAAAATTTTGAAACTTCCTCAAGCACTGAAGCAATTTCCTTTTTGTATATACAAATTGGTGAAAGGTAAAATGTCTTGAGATATTGGCTGTTTGGATGACTAGTGTGGTGGTGATCCATCATGGTTTTTTACCCATATGGTCAGAAGATCGATTGTCAGGATATTTCAGATGACTGCAGTTATAAAGATGGATTCACTTTTTAGATTTCACTTTTTGACATATTTCTTCATGAATACTGTTCATCTGCTTATAACTTATAGTCATGTAATTATCTTTAGAATACCTGAGTATATATGCTTGCACAAATCTGTTATTATTGCCTACTGTATGTGTAAAGTGACTTATGAAGTATTCTGTCACGTTTTTTATGTTTCTCAAATATATTTCCTGTCAAAAATATAAATAAATATCTTTTAAATAATCTTAATTATTTTTTCCAGAATTATATTTTCATGATTTTTATCTTTTGGAATTTCAACATTAAAGATTATGGCATTCAGGATTATGTCTTTTTGGATTATGATCAGCTCCTCCAAATTTATTCAAAGAACTCAAAGAACTCAATAGCAATGAAACAAGTAACCCAATCTAAAAATGTGCAAAGGATCTGAACAGACATTTCTCAAAAGGAAACTTAAAAATGGCCAACAGGTTCATTAAAAAATGATCAACATCACAAATTATTAGGAAAATGCAAATTAAAAACACAATGATATATCATTTCATACCTGTTAGAATAGCTATTATAAAAAAAGATGCAAGGTAAGAGTTGGTGAGGATGTAGTGAAAAGAGAATACTTGCACACTGTTGAAGAGAATGTAAATTCATACAGCCATTATGGAAAACAGTGTGGAGGGTTCTCAATAAACTAAAAATAGAACTACCACATGAACCAGTAATTGCACTTTTGGGTATATATTCAAAAGAATTGAAATCAATATGCCAAAGAGATATTTATACACCCATATTAATTGCAGTATTGTTCACAATAGCCAAGATGTGGAATCAACATAAGGGTTCATCAATATATGCATGGATAAAGAAAATGTGGTATATATACACAATGGAATACTATTCAACCTTAAAAATGAAGTAAGTTCTGTCATTTTCAACAATGTAGATAAACCTGAAGGGCAATATGCTAAGTGAAAAAAGTGGCACAGAAAAACAAATCCAAATACCGCGTGATCTCACTTGTATGTTGAATCTAAAAACTTCCAACTCATGGGAGTAAAGAGTAGAGTGGTGATTATGATAGGCTGGGTGGGAAGTGGGGAGGAAATAGGGAGATGTTGGTCAGGAGTCCAAAATTTCAGTTAGACAGGAAGAATAAGTTTGTAAGATTTATTGCACAGCAGGGTGATTATAGGTAATCAGTTAATACAGATAATCATAATGTATTATATAGTTCACAATTGCAAAGAGAGTAAATTTCTGATGTCATACCACAAAAATTACAATTGATATGATGGATATATTAATTAGGTTGACTTAATCATTCCACATTGTATATATTTATCAAAACATCATGTTTTAACCCATAAATACATAACTGTTATCTTTCAATTAAAAATAATAGTATGCTATGTGAATGATATCTTGATATAGGTCTTTAAAAATAAAATAAAAATATTAAAATAAATTTTAAAAAATTAAAAACTAGAGCAAAACAATTTAAAAATTGCATTACCTAAAGTATTGTTTGTATTCATAAAGGAGTATAGCAAAAAAATGTTGTTTTACTTTTACATTTTTTCCCATAATCCAAGTATTTTTTTTTAATGGTGCCAAACTCTTTTTTTAAATTATTATTATTATTATTATTATTATCATTATACTTTCAGTTCTAGGGTACATGTGCACAACCTGCAGGTTTGTTACATATGTATACATGTGCCATGTTGGTGTGCTGCACCCATTAACTCATCATTTACATTAGGTATATCTCCTAATGCTATCCCTCCCCCCTCCCCCCACCCCACGACAGGCCCTGGTGTGTGATGTTCCCCTTCCTGTGTCCAAGTGTTCTCATTGTTCAATTCCCACCTATGAGTGAGAACATGCGGTGTTTGGTTTTTTGTCCTCGCGATAGTTTGCTGAGAATGATGGTTTCCAGCTTCATCCATGTCCCTACAAAGGACATGAACTCATTCTTTTTTATGGCTGCATAGTATTCCATGGTGTATACGTGCCACATTTTCTTAATCCAGTCTATCATTGATGGACATTTGGGTTGGTTCCAAGTCTTTGCTATTGTGAATAATGCCACAATAAACATGCGTGTGCATGTGTCTTTATAGCAGCATGATTTATAATCCTTTGGGTATATACCCAGTAATGGGATGGCTGAGTCAAATGGTATTTCTGGTTCTAGATCCTTGAGGAATCGCCACACTGTCTTCCACAATGGTAAGTATTGAGTATATGAATAGTATAAGAATCTTAGCTTTATAAGAATGAAAAAAATTTAGTCTGGGAGTGAGTTGATATTTCTTGGGGTTTGTTGCTAAATTTGCTTTTTAAATTATTTTTCTTTTAGATTCAGGGGATACATATGCTTGTTTGTTACATGGCTATATTGTGTAATGGTGGGGATTGGGTTTCTAGTATATCCATCCCTTAAATATTGAGCATTGTACCAAATAGGCAATTTTCAACCCTCATCCTTCTCCCTCTCTCCCCACTTTTGGAGTCCTCAGAGTCTATTATTTCCATCTTTATGTTCATGTGTACCCATTGTTTAGTTCTCACTTACAATTGAGAACATAAGATATTTCATTTTCTGCTTCTCAGTTAGCTCACTAAGGATAACGGTCTCTAGCTCCAATCCTATTACTGCAAAGGACATAATTTCAAAGGGATAATAATTCGACCCCTCTGTTTTAATCTAGGATGTAGGTAGATTCTGTCTTTAGCACCCATCAGAATGAATCTTAAACAGGAGAGCAATATGCTAAGCATGTAAATGTGGACCATTTTTGTTTGAAGCAGAAATGGATGATGTCCCAGGAAAAACTGCTTAAATAAACACTTCATGCCTCCGCTCTCCTTAGCACATGTTAGTCTTGAGGGGCAAGAAATCATTGTAACTGAGGTAAAATTTACATAAAGTGAAATGCACTATTTTTGGGCAATTCAATAAGTTTTGACAAATATTTACACCACCACAATCAAGATTAGAATATTTTCTCACCAGAGAATCATAGTCTGCTGCCCACCTCCAGTCAATCCCCATACGAAAAAGCAACAAGTGTTCTGATTTTTATGAACATTGATTATTTTCACTTGTTTATAAATTTAAACACATAGGATTAGACAGAATGTACTTTTCTGTATGAGCATAATGGTTTTAAAATTGATCCATATTGTTTTATGAATCAGTAGTTTATTTTTGGCTAGTATCCCATTGCATGTATGTACCAAAACTGGTTGATTAGTTCACCTGTTCTTGGATATTTGAATTGTTTAGTTTTAGGCCACTATGAATATTACAAATATTTCTGTGGAAATACATTTTCATTTCTCTTGGGTAAATACCTAAAAGTAGAATTACCTAGTTGTATGATAAAGTGTATTTAACCTTATTAACATAAACTAATATATAGTGAATGAAAGCGGAACCTGTGGATGGAGAGAGGTACTACAGAGATAGATTACAAAGGGGCAAAATCAATCTTTTGGGGGTGATGAACATGTTCATAGCTTAATTGGGGTGATGGTTTCACAAGTACAAAAGGACTTCAAGAAGTTCAAGGAAATGGAATTAAAAGATAAAAATTATAAATATAAACATATTTCTCAGCATAAGCTCCATCAGGTTCAAGGCACTTTTGTAAGTGTTGATACCAGCCATTTAGTCCATCCCTAAGGAACTGAGGATCCTGGGGATTTAACCAGGTGAATGCAGTCTTTTTTTACATTATTAACTGAAGAAAAATGGGTGACCTTTACAGATTTTATTTTTAAGATTAGAAAACAAAAAGAAGTCAAACGGATCCAAATTAGGACTGCAAGGTGGATGCCTAATGATTTTCCATCAAACCCTTCACAAAATTGCTCTTGTTTGATGAGAGGAATGATCAGGAGCTTGTTTTGGTGGTGAAGGACTCTGTAGTGAAGCTTTCCTGGGTGTTTTTCTGCTGAAGCTGTGGCTAACTTTCACAACACTCTCTCATAATAAGCAGATGTGATCATTCTTTAGCCCTCCAGAAAATCAATAAACAAAATGCCTTGAAGGTCTGAAAAAAACTGTTGCCATGACCTTTGTTCTTGACTGGTATGCTTTTGCATTGACTAGACCACTTTCACCTCTTTGTTACTGTTGTGCTATGTCTTCAGCAACGTACTGGTAAAGCTATGTTTCATCTCTTTTACAAGTCTTTGAAGAAATGTTTCACAATCTTGATCCCACTTGTTTAAAATTTCCATTGAAAGCTCTGCTCTTGTCAGCAGCTGATCTGGGTGCAATAGCTTTGGCACCTATTGAGTGACAAGTTAGTACAACTTTAATCTTTCAGTCGGAATTGTGTAATCTGAACTGACTGAGATGTCTATGGTGGTGGCTATTGTTTCTGCTGTTTGGTCCTTTTCATTTACGGCATGAACAAGATGAATTTTTCCTTGCAATCTGATGTGGATGATGAGCTCCTGTGGGCTTCATCTTCAACATCGTCTTATTGCTTCTTAAAGTAAGTTGTCTATTTGGAAACTGTTGATTTCTTGGGGACGTTGTCCTCATAAACTTTTTGTAAAGCATTAATGATTTCACTATTCTTCCACCCAAATTTCACCATAAATCTGATGTTTGTTCTTGCTTCAATTTTAGCAGAATTCATGTTGCTCTAATAGGGGCTCCTTTCAAACTGGTGTCTTATACTTCTTAGTGCCTCAAATTAGATCTTGTTCAAACATATCATAACAAGTCAGTACGAGTTTATTTTGGAGCAAAAATAATTTTGAAATCCATACATAGTTTTTTCATAATGTGCATTTTCCATGAACTTTTTGAAGTTTCCTTGTATATGCGTGACAAACTTATCAAATTATATAGCTTAAATATATACACATAATTTTATGTGAACTTTAACTCAATAAAGTTACTGCAAAATTAAAATGATTCGGTGAAACTATTCATTCCTGATTTCTGAGATATTTTATTTCAGTGTGTAATAGTATAGTCTAAATTAAAGTTCAGAAGTAGATTAAGAAGAAAAATGAAAACCTTCATTAGAGAAAAGATGACAAAATAATGCCTACAGTTTTCCAAACAAATTAATCACAGTTATATTTCCTTCGTCACTTAATTTAATCTTATATTCTTGTTTGACTGGAACTTGGGCACTTAGTCTGCAACCACAACCTCATCTGCTTCTGGTCTACAAAGTGTACTGGAAATCTTGCCTTTCATTTCTCCTACATTCTCATAGTTCTCTATACAATGTCAGCTCAGAAGCCTGTAGCCAAAAATTATTTAAGTATCTATAGTTAAGAGCACCTGGTAGAGTACTTTTTATAAGACTACCCTTCTTTGTTGATGATGTAATATCTAGCCTGCAGTTTATAGCTGTCTTCAAATAAGCAGGAGATTAAAACAGAAACCACAAGTTGACAATAAGACTGATAAGGCAGATAAGGCTGTTACGGCAGATAAGACTTACTGGTTAATTCATTACAGTAACAGTGAACAAAAAAAAAAAACACTATCAGAATAAAGGAGATGAAAATTCTCTACTGGGTGTAGTACATAACTATTTCACAAGAATTTAATTGTTGTTTTCCCTGACATTAAGAATGGGTATATGATAGGCAGGGAAGGCACTGACAAAGCTCCACGGGCTTCTTGTCCATATTGAAAATATACGATTTCTGTAATAGATCTTAACTAAAAATACTTTATCTGAACAAAATGAACATAAAGAAATTTGAACTTCTAAAAACTCCCCCTAATATTTGTTCTCTGGTACTGAGCTATTCAAGAAATATGGAGCTTTCCAAATTAACCTAATTATGTTAGTGGTCTCTTACCGTAAGGTAAACAATCATTGTAGTTGATGAGGAAACTTTTGAGAAACTCCAAAGATATTACTAATTTCATCTTGAAAATTGTATTATTTGAAATTAGGGTCTTACCCTGAGAAGTAAAAACTTAAAAAAATGAGATAATTTTGTCACATAATTGAAACAGAAACATAAGTACCTGAGACCAAGGGGAAGATAGAGCCTAGAAACCTATAAATCAAAGACAAAATTCAAATATTTAAAAATAAAACCTAGTAGAAGCTGGTATACTTGTAAAAAACAAACTTAGCTCTTTCAGAAGAACGTATTTGTGTGGTGGTTTTTGCTTCATCAGAAATATAAAAATCAATATAAAGCACAGAAAGCTATTCTGTTGAGATTACAAATCTCCATTATCTGGGCAAATTACACAAGTTAGGGATAACTTTCGACTTTCTTTTGTTTGTAGCCCACTAAGGTACTTCAAAACTAATGTGCTATTTTGACAGTGAGTAAATTATATTCAAAACTTGTATTATTATGATATTTGGCAGTAGAGTAATTGTCTTCTTTGCTATTTTTGTTTCTAGCTGAGTTTCAAACATATATTAAATAAAACATTTAAACAAAGTTACTAAATTCTCTTTCACAGAGAAAACTGGAGCCTAGATAATTGAGAAATCTTATTATGACTTAGTATTTGAACAGATCCACTATTTTCACCAATATATATCTATACTTATGTCTGTGTGTATGAACCTATTGTAAACCAAAAAGTATCTGAGACATGCCTCAATTAATTTAGAAGTTTCTTTTTCCAAGGTTAAGGACATGTCCAGGAGATAAAAATGCAGAATCACAGAAAGTTTATGGTCTTTGGCTTTCTCCAAAGATGATTTTGAGAGCTTCAATATTTAAAGAGAAAAGTGGACTGGAGGGGAAAGAGGGAGGGTATGGTAATACACATGTTGGGAGAGAAAAGGAGCAGGTAGGGGAATAGTCAATTATATATTCATCTTGTACTCAGTAAACTGGCACTTTACATAAAGTAGCTACCTGTGGATACATTTAATCTTTTACCTGTAGCTCTCTGCTTAGCAACAAAAGGGAAAGCAGTTTCTTGCATGACTCTGCTTTCAGCTTAATTTTTTTCCCTTTGGCATAGTGAATTGGGGTCCCAATTTTAAATTTAATCTGTCTATCTATCTATCTATCTATCTATCTATCTATCTATCTATCTGTTCTATCCTTTATAGCTACAACTGTCATTCTTGGACCAGAGTAACTACAGTTCACAACAATTTGATATTTCTTATATTAAATAAAATTTTTTTCTAATGGAAGTGAGATGTGTTCTCACAGAAATAGAAAAAGAGACAAGAAGAAACAAACAAAATAACTCTGACAAATAACATCCTCCTTTTTTCTTCTCACTCAAAAGAAATAGATCCCCATGCCTATCTGTCAGAGATTATCAAATGATCAGACAGATAATAAAACCAAACTGACAATTTTTACTGCCTCTATTGGAGGATAATTTAATGAACAGCTCAAACCAGATAAAGAACCAAACTTGGACAAAACCCAGAAACACATACAAAAAATACAGAATCAGGAGAAAACAAAACCTGAGTCACAGAGAATACAATACTTTTATCACTGTAGAGTCACACAAAGAGCTGACAAAAGATGTATCTGAACTTAAAGAACCCATGTGTGGCATTTCCAAAGAAATCCAGTTTAATTGTCCATGTAGAGGAACTTCCAAACTGTCAAAGAATAATTTTCAAAGGTGAAAAGCATGACTCTCAAAGAAATATGAAGTGAGTATGTACTAAATATTTAATTTGTACATTAATGGAGGAACCAGAATAATGGTAAGGATGGTCATACTGTTAGTTTTAAATGCTCACTCTGTCTTGTGTATTTGCTAAATTTGACTGGTAGTGTTAGTAGTTGTTTTCTTGATTGTAGATTGCTAAATATTGCAATTAACAAGAAAGTAATTATAATAATGTAATTATTTTAATAACATAATGTTAATACTATAAATTATTACATTGTATTTTTAATTGAGACAATTTTACTTTTTCCTTTCCAATCCAAGTTACTTTTATTTTTCTTGCCACATGCCCTGGTAGAACCTTTCATATATTTTTCAATGCAGTAATGAGAGAAGACATACTTGCCATGTTCCTAATCTTAAAGAAAGGGCATTACATATATTAGCACTAAGTAGGGAGATATAATCTTTTTGGTTATAGACACTCCTTATCAGACTGAGCAAGTTTGCTGAGAACCTTCATCATGAATGGATATTGAATTGTTAATTGTTTTTTCTTCATCTTCTGAGACTGAGATAGTACGTTTTTTCTCTCACTTTGCTAGTAGTAATTATTTTCTAAATTTTAATCCAACCTTTCATTTCTTAGATAAACCTCAGGGGTTGTGATGAATTTTCCCTTTTTATATGTTGCTAATTATTTTGCAAATCCTTCATTGAAATTATATCATGAGATATATGTCTATAATTTTCTTCTTGTATCTTAGGTATTGGTATAAATGATGTCTTCATCCATTTAATGAAATAAGAATCTGTCTATATCTGAAATACATTATGTAAATATTATTCTTTCTTCCTTAAATGTTTACTTAAATTCTCCTTTGAAACCATATGGGTCTGGAGATTTTTATTTTTTTTATTATTTATTTTTTTCAGACGGATTCTCGCTCTGTTGCCAGGCTGGAGTGCAGTGGCACAATCTCGGCTCACTGCAACTTCCACCTCCTCGGTTCAAGCAATTCTTCTGCCTCAGCCTTCTGAGTAGCTGGGATTACAGGCATGTGCCACCACACCCAGCTAATTTTTGTCTTTTTAGTAGAGACGGGGTTTCACCATGTTGGACACGATGGTCTCAATCTCTTGACCTCATGATCTGCCTGCCTCGGCCTCCGAAAGTCCTGGGATTACAGGTGTGAGCCACCACGCCCAGCCTTGGGTCTGGAGATTTTTATATTGACACGTTCATGACAATGAAGTCAACTTTGATAAAGAATTCAGTAATGTTATTCAGATGTCCTAATCCTCTTTTATATGTTTTATTAGCTTTGTTTTTCAAAGAATTCATCCATTTTATTTGAGTTAGTGAGTGTATTAGTATAAAATTACTCAAAATATTTTCTTATACTTCCTGTTGATTTTCTTTATACATGATTTTATAATTTATGAAATTGTGCCTACGTATTTTTTTTTTTTTGAGACAGGGTCTGGGTCTCTTGCCCAGGTTGGAGTGCAGTGCACAATGATGGCTCACTGCAACCTCCACCTCCTGGGCTCAAGCCATCCTCCCACCTCAGCCTTCCAAGTAGCCAGTACTATAGGCATGTGCCATCACATCTGGCTAATTTTTGTGTTTTTTGTAGAGATGTGGTTTGGCCATGTTGCCCAGGATGGTCTGGAACCCCTGGGCTCAAGCCATCTTCCTGCCTTGGCCTCCCAAAGTGCTAGGATTACAGGCATGAGCCACCACACCCAGCCATGTCTATCTATCTATCTGTCTGTCTATCTATCTATCTACCTATCTATCTAATTTCTCCTGTTCTACACTTTGACTGGTGGCTACTCTATAGCCCTTTCCACATGTCAAATAATCACATGCTACTCATGTGTTTAAAATCTTTCTCTAAGTCTGAAGAATTCTTTCTGATAGAGATTGTAAAGATATAATTACATTTATCAAATCCAATATTGTAATAACCTATTCAACAATTTAGGGTTCAAATAATGGGATACATGAATTGATCTTACTTCACAATGATAAAGTAGTTGATAGTGTTCCTCTTTCTAGGTGAGCACAAACTTGTCAACTAAATGAAAGATACAAGTGCATACTGGGAAGCAAAACGCATTTATTTTGCTGAGCAATGTCCACATATCCTTGCGTATTTTCTATCTATCCTTCTCTAACTTGCTCTGGGCTTGAAGGGTGAACTATACGGACTGCATCAATGGGCCGCTTGTCTTCTGCATTTCAATTGCATGTACTCTAGGCCCCAATGGCAAGTCATATTGCCAATTAGTAGCTGCTACATGACTTCTTCTGGGTTGTGATAACAGCTTCCTCCTCTTGCCCCTTCTCACCTTCTTAAGCCTAAGTATAATGGTATCCAGATAGTAATAGTCACAGGAACAGCCGTGTCCCTTCCTTCTACACCTTGCCCACATCTTCGTATACTGTTTCTTTATTAAACTCTCCCTGAATTAATACATTTAAAATGTCACATCTTTTCTGTAGGGATTTCCATAGATATAATATGGAAAAAACAACAACCACAACAGCAAAATAAGAAGGGCCAGATAAATTATAAACATGAAAATCATTTTAAAGCTGAATAACTAAACACAATGTAGCACTGTTTCATAAATACACAAACATAAATCAGTGCATATGTATATGAAAATAAATGTATACATGTTTATATAAAATTTTCCTATATTATGAAGTTGACTAAAACACTAGGAAAAATATATTTTTAAAATTGGAAATTTACATCATTCTGTACAGCAGAATAAATTCCAAAGAAACAAAAATATACATGTAAAAAAGTAAACAATAAAATATTCAAAGAAACAGTAAGAATTTGATTTTCCTGATCCAAGGTAAAGCTTTTCTAAGTATAACACAAATTTTAGAATGTATAAATTAATCTCATTATTTTTGCTCTGATCTTTGTTATTTAGTTCCTCTGCTAGCTGTGGGTTTAATTTGTTCTAGAAAGGATCAACAAAATAAAAAGTTGGTTTTTTGAAAAGATAAAACAATCAACAGACCACTGGTTAGTTTAACCAAGAAAAGGAGAAAGAAGATTCAAATAAGCACAATCAGAAATGATAAAGGTGACGTTACAACTGATAACACAGAAATACAAAAGGTCATCAGAGATTACAAAGAACATCTCTATGCACACAAACTGGAAAACCTGGAGGAAATGGATATATTCCTGGAAACATACACCCTCCCAGGAATGAACCATGAAAAAATAGGAATCCTAAACAGATCAATAATTAGTAACGAAATTGGATCAGTAATTAAAAAAAATCTTCCAACAAAAACAGAAGCCCAGGACCACAAAAAATCGAAGCCAAATTTTACCAGACATACAAAGAAGGGCTGATACCAATCTTACAGACACTTTTCCAGAAAATCAAGGAGGAAGGTTTTCTCCCTAATTCATTCTATGAAACCAGTAATACCCTGATACCAAAATCAGGCAAAGGCACAACAAATAAAGAAAGCTACAGGCCAATATTCCTGATGAATATATAGATGCAAAAACCCTCAACAAAATACTAGCAAACTGAATCCAACAGCATATCAAAAAGTTAATTCATCATAATCAAGTGGGTTTTACTCCAAGGATACAAGGATGGTTCAACATTCTCAACTCAATAAAGGCGATTCACCACATAAACAGAATTAATAGTAAATACAATATGATCATCTCATATGCATAAAATCCAATATCTCTTCATGATAAAAACCTTCAACAAACTAGACATTAAAGGAACATACCTCAAAATATCATATATGACATATTATTACTGAAATCATATGACATGTTGATATTATTTTGAGGTATGTTTATATCATATATGACAAATCCATAGCCAACATCATACTGAATGGGGAAAAGTTGAAAGCATTCACCTTAAGAACTCAAACTAGACAAGGAAGCCCACTCTGATCACTCCTATTCAACATAGTATTGAAAGTCCAAGCCAGAGCAATCAGGCAAGAGGAAGAAATAAAAGACATCACAATTGGAAAACAGGGAGTCAAATTATCTCTGTTTGCTGGTGACACGATCTTATACCTAGAAAACACTAAGGGATACTCCCAAAGACTCTTGGATTTGATAAACAACTTCAGTAAAGTTTCAGGATACAAAATCAACACATGAAAATCAGTAACATTCCTATAGAGCCAAAAATCAAATCAAGAACTCAATTTCATTTACAATGGCCATACACATAAAAAATACCTAGTAATACATTTAATCAAGGAGGTGAAACATCTCTTCAAGGAAACTGCAAAACACTGATGAAAGAAATCATAGATGACACAAACAAATGAAAACACACCCCATGCTCATGGATTAGAAGAATCAATATTGTTAAAATTACCATACTGCCCAAAGCAATCTACAGATTTAATGCAATTCCTATGAGAGTATCAATGTCATTCTTCACAGAATTAGAAAAAAAAAAAGCTAAAGTCCATATGGAAGCAAAAGAACAAAGCTAAAAACATCAGATTACCTGATTATTATACTCCAAGTCTATAGTAACTGAAACAGCATAGTACTGGTACAAAAATTGACATATGGATAAACGGATAAACGGAACAAAATAAAGAACTTACAAATAAAGCCACATACATACAACCATCTGGTCTTTGACAAAGTTCACAAAAAATTAAAAACAGGTGCATCTGTTGGTAAGGTCATAAAAAATTAATTTCAATAAATGATGCTGGGAATATTAGATCACCATATGCAGAAGAATGAAGCTGGATGCCTATCTCTCACCGTATAAAAATTTAACTTAAGATGGATTAAAGACCTAAATGTAAGATCTAAAACTATAAAAAACTCTTCTGGAAGTTGGCCTAGGCAAAGAATTTCTAAGACCCCAAAAGCAAATGCAACAAAAATAAAAATAGCCAAATAGTACTTAGTTAAACTAAAGAACTTATGCACAGTAAAGTACAATTCCATTGAAAAGTGGATGAAGGACATGAACAGATATTCCTCAAAAGAAGACATACATGTGACCAATAAACATGAAAAATGCTCAATATCACTAATCATAAGAGAAATGTAAAGTAAAATCACAATGAGATACCATCTTACTCCAGTCAGAATGACTATTACTAAAAAGTTGGAAAACAACAGATGTTGGCATGCATGAGGACAAAAGGGAACACTTATACACTATTGGTGGGAATATAAATTTGTGCAACTTCTATGGAAAACAGTATAGAGATTTATCACAGAATGCAAAATAGAATTATCATTTGACCCAGCAATCCTGTGACTGGGCATCTACCCAAAGAGAAAAAAATTATTATATAAAAAAGCCACCTGGCTGGGCGCGGTAGCTCATTCCTGTAATCCCAGCACTTTGGGAGGCCTAGGCAGGCAGATCACCTGAGGTCAGGAGTTGGAGACCAGACTGGCTAACATGGGGAAACCTCGTCTCTACTAAGACTACAAAATTAGCTGGGCATAGTGGCATGCACCTGTAATCCCAGCTATTCCAGAGGCTGAGGCAGGAGAATTTCTTGAACCTGGGAGGCAGAGGTTGCAGTGAGCCAAGAACATGCCATTGCACTCCAGCCTGGCCAACAGTGTGAGACTCTGTCTCCAAAAAAAAAAAAAAAAAAAGCCATCTGCACTTGTATGTTTATTGCAACACTATTCACAATAGCAAAGTCATGGAATCAACCAAAGTGTCCATCAATGGTTGATTGGATAAAGAAAATGTGATATATAGACACCATGAAATCCTACACAGATACGAAAAAGAATAAAATCCTGTCCTTTGCAGCAACATGGATAAATCTGGAGGCCATTACCCTAAGTGAAACAAATCAGAAACAGAAAATCAATCATATCATGTTCTCATTTGTAAGTGGGATCTAAACAATGCATAAATATGGACATAAAGATGGAAATGGTACACACTGGGGATCCCGAAAAGAGGAGGGGTGGGAGAGGAGATGAGGATTTAAAAATTACCTATTGGAATGCCTGGCTCCATTCCAAGATAGCCAAATAGGAACAGCTCCAGTCTGCAGCTCCCAGCATGATTGATGCAAAAGACGGGCAATTTCTGCATTTCCAACTGAGGTACCTGGTTCATTTCATTGGGACTGGTTGGACAGTGGGTGCAGCCCACTGAGGGAGAGTCAAAACAGGGCAGGGCATTGCCTCACCCAGTAAGCACAAGACCTGGAAAATCAGGACACTTCCACCCAAATACTGTGCCTTTCTGAAGGTCTTAGCAAACTGCAAACCAGGAGATTATATCCCGCACCTGGCTCAGCAAGTTTCATGCACACGGAGTCATGCTCACTCCTAGCGCAGCAGTCTGAGATCGAACTGCGAGGCGGCATCCTGGCTGGAGCAGGGGCGTCCGCAATTGCTGAGGCATGAGTAGGTAAACAAAGCAGCCAGGGAAGCTTGAACTAGGTGGAGCCAACCACACCTCAGCAAGGCCTGTTGCCTCTGTACATTCCACCTCTAGGGGCAGGGCACAGCTGAACAAAAGGCAGCAGAAATTTCTGCAGACTTAAACGTCCCTGTCTGACAGCTCTGAAGAGAGCAGTGGTTCTCCCAGCATGGTGTTTGAGCTCTGAGAACGGACAGACTGCCTCCTCAAGTGGGTCCCTGACCCCCGTGTAGCCTAACTGGGAGACACCTCTGAGTAGGGACCGACTGACACCTCATACGGGTGGGTGCCTCTCTGGGACGAAGCTTCCAGAGGAAGGAACAGGCAGTAATATTTGCTGTTCTGCAATATTTGCTGTTCTACAGCCTCCAATGGTGATACCCAGGCAAACAGGGTCTGGAGTGGACCTCCAGCAAACTCCAACAGACCTGCAGCTGAGGGACCTGACTGTTAGAAGGAAAACTAACAAACAGAAAGGAATAGCATCAACATCAACAAAAAGGACATCCACGCCAAAACCCCATTGGTAGGTCACCAACATCAAAGACCAAAGGTAGATAAAACCACAAAGATGGGAAGAAACCAGAGAAGAAAATTTGAAAATTTTAAAAACCAGAGTGCCTCTTCCTCCAAAGGATCGCAGCTCCTCATCAGCAACCCAAGAAAGCTGGATGGAGAATGACTTTGACGAGCTAACAGAAGTAGGCTTCAGAAGGTTGGTAATAACAAACTTCTCTGAGCTAACGGAGCATGTTCTAACCCACCACAAGGAAGCTAAAAACCTTGAAAAAAGATTAGATGAATGGCTAACTAGAATAAACAGTGTAGAGAAGACCTTATATGACCTGATGGAGCTGAAAACCATGGCACGAGAACTACGTGACGCATGCACAAGCTTCAATAGCTGATTCGATCAAGTGGAAGAAAGGTTATCAGTGATTGCAGATCAAATTAATGAAATAAAGTGAGAAGAGAAGTTTAGAGAAAGAAAGAGTAAAAAGAAAGGAACAAAGCCTCCAAGAAATATGGGACTGTGTGAAAAGACCAAATCTACATCTGATTGGTGTACCTGAAAGTGACAGGGAGAATGGAACCAAGTTGGAAATCACTCTTCAGGATATTATCCAGGAGAACTTCCCCAACCTAGCAAGGCAGGCCAACATTCAAATTCAGGAAATACAGAGAACACCACAAAGATACTCCTCGAGAAGAGCAACCCCAAGACACATAATTGTCAGATACACCAAGGTTGAAATGAAGGAAAAAATATTAAGGGCAGCCAGAGAGAAAGGTCAGGTTACCCACAAAGGGAAGCCCATCAGACTAACAACAGATGTCTCGGCAGAAACTCTACAAGCCAGAAGAGAGTGGGGGTGAATATTCAACGTTCTTAAAGAAAAGAATTTTCAACCCAGAATTTCATTTCCAGCCAAACTAAGCTTCATAAGTGAAGGAGAAATAAAATCCTTTACAGACAAGCAAATGCTGAGAGATTTTGTCACCACCAGGCCTGCCCTACAAGAGCTCCTGAAGGAAGCACTAAACATGGAAAGGAACAACCAGTACCAGTCACTGCAAAAACATTTCAAACTGTAAAGACCATCGATGCTAGGAAGAAACTGCATCAACTAATGGGCAAAATAACCAGCTAACATCATAATGACAGGATCAAATTCACACATAACAATATTAACCTTAAATGTTAATGGGCTAAATGCCCCAATTAAAAGACACAGACTGGCAAATTGGATAAAGAGTCAAGACCCATCAGGGTGCTGTATTCAGGAGACCCATCTCACTTGCAGAGACACACATAGGCTCAAAATAAAGGGATAGAGGAAGATCTACCAAGCAAATAGAAAGCAAAAAGAGGAAGGGGTTGCAATCCTAGTCTCTGATAAAACAGATTTTAAACCAACAAAGATCAAAAGAGACAAAGTAGGCCAGTACATAATGGTAAATGGATCAATTCAACAAGAAGAGCTGACTGTCCTAAATATATGTGCACCTATACAGGAGCACCCAGATTCATAAAACAAGTCCTTAGAGACCTACAAAGAGAGTTAGACTCCCACACAATAATAATGGGAGACTTTAACACCCCACTGTCAATATTGAACAGATCAACAAGACAGAAGGTTAACAAGGATATCCAGGACTTGAACTCAGCTCTGCACCAAGCAGACCTAATAGACATCTACAGAACTCTCCACCCCAGATCAACAAAATATACATTCTTCTCAGCACCACATCACACTTTTTCCAAAATTGACCACATAGTTGGAAGTAAAGCACTCTTCAGCAAATGTAAAAGAACAGAAATCACAACAAATAGTCTCTCAGACCACAGTGCAATTCAAATTAGAACTCAGGATTAAGAAACTCACTCAAAACCACACAAATACATGGAAACTGAACAACCTGCTCCTGAATGACTACTGGGTAAATAATGAAATGAAGGCAGAAATAAAAATGTTCTTTGAAACCAAAGAGAACAAAGACATGATGTACCAGAATCTCTGGGACACATTTAAAGCAGTGTGTAGAGAGAAATTTATAGCACTAAATGCCCACAAGAGAAAGCAGGAAAGATCTAAAATTGACACCCTAACATCACAATGAAAAGAACTAGAGAGGCAAGAGCAAACAAATTCAAAAGCTAGCAGAAAGCAAGAAATAACTAAGGTCAGAGCAGAACTGAGGGAGATAGAGACACAAAAAACCCTTCAAAAAATCAATGAATCCAGGAGCTGGTTTTTTGAAAAGATCAACAAAATTGATAGACTGCTAGCAAGACTAATAAAGTAGAAAAGAGAGAATAATCAAATAGATGCAATAAAAGATGATAAAGGGGATATTGCCACCAATCCCACAGAAATACAAACTACCATCACAGAATACTACAAACACCTCTATGCAAATAAACTAGAAAATCTAGAAGAAATGGATAAATTCCTGGACACATACACCCTCCCAAGACTAAACCAGGAAGAAGTTGAATCCCTGAACAGAGCAATAATAGGCTCTGAAGTTGAGGCAATAATTCATAGCCTACCAACCAAAAAAAGTCCAGGACCAGACAGATTCACAGCTGAATTCTACCAGAGGTACAAAGAGGAGCTGGTACCATTCCTTCTGAAACTATTCCAATTGATAGAAAAAGAGGGAATCCTCTCTAACTCATTTTATGAGGTCAGCATCATCCTAATACAAAAGCCTGGCAGAGATACAACAGAAAAAGAAAATTTTAGCCCAATATCCCTGATGAACATCAGTGTGAAAATCCTCAATAAAATGCTGGCAAAACGAATCCAGCAGCACATCAAAAATCTTATCCACACGATCGAGTCGGCTTCATCCCTGGAATGCAAGACTGGTTCAACATATGCAAATCAATAAATGTAATACATCACATAAACAGAACCATTTACAAAAACCACATGACTATCTCAATACATGCAGAAAAGGCCTTTGACAAAATTCAACAGCCCTTCATGCTAAAAACTCTCAATAAACTAGGTATTGATGGAATGTATCTCAGAATAATAAGAGCTATTTTTGACAAACCCACAGCCAATATCATACTGAATGGGCAAAAACTGGAAGCATTCCCTTTGAAAACTGGCACAAGACAACGATGTCCTCTCTCACCACTCCTATTCAACATAGTGTTGGAAGTTCTGGCCAGGGCAATCAGGCAAGAGAAAGAAATAAAGAGTATTCAATTAGGAAAAGAGGAAGTCAAATTGTCCCTGTTTGCAGATGACATGATTGTATATTTAGAAAACCGCATTGACTCAGCCCAAAATCTCCTTAAGCTGATAAGCAACTTCAGCAAAGTCTCAGGATACCAAATCAATGCAAAAATCACAAGCATTCCTATACACCAATAACAGACAAACAGAAAGCCAAATCATGAGTGAACTCCCATTCACAATTGCTTCAAAACGAATAAAATACCTACGAATCCAACTTAGATGGAATGTGAAGGACCTCTTCAAGGAGAACTACAAACCACTGCTCAATGAAATAAAAGAGGACACAAACAAATGGAAGAACATTCCATGCTCATAGATAGGAAGAATCAATATTGTGAAAATGGCCACACTGCCCAAGGTAATTTATAGATTCAGTGCCATCCCCATCAAACTACCAATGACTTTCTTCACAGAATTGGGAAAAACTACTTTAAAGTTCATACGGAACCAAAAGAGCCTGCATTGCTAAGATAATCCTAAGCCAAAAGAACAAAGCTGGAGGCATCACGCTCCCTGACTTCAAACTATACTACAAGGCTACAGTAACCAAAACAGCATGGTACTGGTACCAAAACAGAGATATAGATCAATGGAACAGAACAGAGGCCTCAGAAATAACACCACATATCTACAACCATCTGATTTTTGACAACCCTGACAAAAACAAGAAATGGGGAAAGGATTCCCTATTTAATAAATGGTGCTGGGAAAACTGGCTAGTCATATGTAGAAAGCTGAAACTGGATCCCTTCCTTATACCTTATACAAAATTTAATTCAAGATGGATTAAAGACTTAAATGTTAGACCTAAAACCATAAAAACCCTAGAAGAAAACCTAGGCAATACCATTCAGGACATAGGCATGGGCAAGGACTTCATGACTAAAACACCAAAAGCAATGGCAACAAAAGCCAAAATAGACTAGTGCGATCTAATTAAACTAAAGAGCTTCTGCACAGCAAAAGAAACTACCATCAGAGTGAACAGGCAACCTACAGAATGGGAGAAAATTTTTGCAATCTACCCATCTGACAAAGGGCTAATTTCCAGAATCTACAAAGAACTTAAACAAATTTACAAGAAATAAACAAACAACCCAATCAAAAAGTGGGCAAAGGATATGAACAGACATTTGTCAAAAGAAGACATTTATGCAGAAACACATGAAAAAATGCTCATCATCACTGGTCATCAGAGAAATGCAAATCAAAACCACAATGAGATACCATCTCACACCAGTTAGAATGGTGATCATTAAAAAGTCAGAAAACGACAGGTGCTGGAGAGGATGTGGAGAAATAGGAACACTTTTAAACTGTTGGTGGGAGTGTAAACTAGTTTAACCATTATGGAAGACAGTGTGGCGATTCCCCAGGGATCTAGAGCTAGAAATACGATTTGACCCAGCAATCCCATTACTGGGTATATACCCAAAGGATTATAAATTATGCTACTATAAAGACACATGCACATGTATGTTTATAGCGGCACTATTCACAATAGCAAAGTCTTGGAACCAACCCAAATGTCCATCAATGATAGACTGGATTAAGAAAATGTGGCACATATACACCGTGGAATACTATACAGCCATAAAAAAGGATGAGTTCATGTCCTTTGTAGGGACATGGATGAAGCTGGAAACCATCATTCTGAGCAAACTATCACAAGGACAGAAAACCAAACACCATATTTTCTCACTCATAGGTGGGAATTGAACAATGAGAACACTTGGTCACAGGAAGGGGAACATCACACACCAGGGCCTGTGGTGGGGTGGGGGCGGGGGGAGGGATAGCATTGGGAGAAAAGCCTAATGTAAATGACGGGTTGATGGATGCAGCAGGCAAGCATGGCACATGTATACCTATGTAATGAGCCTGCACATTGTACACATGTACCCTAGAACTTAAAGTATAATACAAATAAATAAAAAAAATTTTAAAATTAAAAATTTCCTATGGTCTACAATGTTCACTATTTGGGTGCTGTGTACATTAGAAGCCCAAACCCCTCCATTACACAGTGTATCCATGTAACAAATATTCACATGTAAACCCTGAATGTAAAATTTAAATCATTTATGTGAAAGAAACAAATGAGAAGAATGTATACATGAAAAAAGCATTACATTTCACCACTTAAAGTCTAAATGCATACTGCAGCTAGAAAAGCCTTTGTCATGCTGGTGTACAGCCAAAGTACGGACCCAGAAGGGAAATAGACACAAAAAAATGTGGTTCCTCAATTTGTTAAACACCAGCCCAGTGACAGTGAGAAGTAGAATGAATCTGACCTCCTTAGTTTGCTGGACATGGCTACAATATCCAAGTAGCTGCAACAATCCACAGAAATATTTAGATGCAAAGTTGTTGCTGTCATCAGCACCCAGTCCTGAGATCCTATTTCCTCTTGGTGACACTCCGTGGCTCATATGCTGTCTTCTGAGTGCCACAGATTTGATTCAGTTCGCAAACATTGTGTAGAATTCTCAGACTATTATTTATTTTTCCCTTCACCCCACTTAAATCATGACAATTTTATGGTTAATCCTGCCATCTATGTTAAATGAGGTAGATCAAACAAATTTTTGTGAATGAGAATGACAACTGCAAATCAGCTTAAGTTACTTTAATTTAATATCAAATAGTCAAAGAGGCAGTGAAAAAATATATGTAATGAGGGGGACCAGGAGACATGACCCTTCAGTAACTCTCCTTTTTCCCCATGGAGATACCCCAAACTTCTGTGGTTTTTCAAAGTAATGCAGAATAAGGGGCACACCTAGTCACATAAGAACCATGGTTTTTTGCTTTTTATCCAATTTTACATTAAGTAAGAGATATCATTATTAAAGAGTTAGCCTTATTAGCATAAAAGCCAATTAGTTCTGGGTCCCCATCACCAAACCCTTTTACTTAAAAAATGGGAGTAAATGTAATCAAAATAAAAGTATGTGTCCAAGGCAATAGTTAATTCTTCACGTATATGGGAAATTAGCAACAATAAAGCTGTATCAAAACAAGATGCTATAAAAAGGCAAAGATGATAGAATAAATTGGGTCCATAGTGGTTAAGAATATGATTGCTAAAATAAAATAAGCAAAGAGATAAAAAATCAGGTTGAGAATATCTCCTAGAAAATAGCTTTAAAAATAAAGCTTTGAAAAGTATGAGAAATATATAATTTGTAGAGTATCTATTCAAGTTGTAGAATACCCACTAGTTATTTCTCTAGAAAGAGAAAACCAAGAAATTAGATGGAAAAATACTAGAAGAATATTTTCCTTTAGCAGAAAAACAACTTCAGAATAAAAGGGTTTATTGCTTACTGAGCCCAACACAACAGAAGTAAGGAAAGATCCACACATAAACATATCATGATTTTATAACAGTAAGGATGAAATGTTACTAACAATTTCAAGAGGAGAAAAGAGAAGTCATAGCACTTGTTAATGGACAATACTGAATGCCAGAATGCATTGGCGCAATGTTTTAAAAGTTCTGAGAGAAACATTTAGAATCTAGGATTCTCTAACCAGGAAAGCAAATATATTTTCAGAATGCAATGAATCAACTAGCTTACTTCTGAAACACTCTTTCTGACAATTTACTCACTGTTTTACTTCAGCAAAATGAGGATATAACAAATAAAAGGCATGAGATTCAGAAAACTGTACATGAATCACAGTTTATTAGGTCTGAAAATCCTCTTTAACAACCTGCACAAGGCCTAAAACATGCAGTTTTTTTGAAGCAGGTGGACAAAGGCATCCAGAATAGATGTCTTTGTGGAAAAAAAGAAGGCACCATCCAGTAGGTTGTATAATTCATAGGATATAATCAAATGCAAAAATAATTCTTTCCTTCAGTCAGTATACATTTCTTGAGTGCCTACCTTATTCTACACACTTCTGTAGGCACCAAAGTCACAGCAGTGAGTGAAGTAGTTCAAGGGAGTGGGGAAGGGAACCTACTTTTTGTTTTGTTTTGTTTTGAGACGGAGTTTTGCTCTGGTCGCCCAGGCTGGAGTGCAATGGCATGATCTCGGCTCACTGCAACCTCCGCCTCCCAGGTTCAAGCCATTCTCCTGCCTCAGCCTCCCGAGTAGCTGGGATTACAGGCGCCCACCACCATGCCCGGCTAATTTTCTTGTATTTTCAGTAGAGACGGGGTTTCACCATGTCTGCCAGCTGGTCTCGAACTTCTGACCTCAGATGATCCACCCGCCTCAGCCTCCCAAAGTTCTGGGACCACAGGCATGAGCCACCGCGCCCGGCCTAAGAGAACCTACTTTTAAGGAACATATATTCTAGTGGTAGAAGAAAAAATGTAAGCAAACATATTATTTTCATTGGTGTTAGATAAGACATGAAAGGTAAAGAATGTATGGTTTAAGAGCGAATGGTAGCAGGTGTTATCTTTAGCAGATTGCACAGAGAAGTTCTCTCTCCTAAGGCTAATTTGGGCTGAAACCTAATGTTTTTGGAAAATGAAAGAGTAGAGTGCAGCTGTAAGTGGAGAGAATAAGAGGACGAGCTGAATAAGAAGAAAATAGAAACCTAATGGGATGTCTTGGGGGACCTTAAGGCTGTAAAAGAGGCTGCATCTAATTCTGAGTAAGAAGATTTAATAACTTTGATAGGGTCATTGTGTTTTATGTAAAATATATTGGTAGTGAGAAAGAATAGAAAAAAAACAGTGAAGGGAATATTAAAGTAATTCAGAGGAAAGATGATGGTTACTTGCAACAGGATTTTAATGATAAAAATGACAAGAGATAGTCAGGTTTGAGATGCCATTTAAAGGTATAGCTGATAGGAATTTTGGCTAGATTGGAAGCATATGAAAGAAAAACAGAAGAGCCAAGATTGACAAAAATTTTTGGAATGAGGAACTGAAACAACAGAGTTTCTATTTATCGGGACAAGAAGAGTGAAAGAAAAACACGTTGGAGGGGGAGGAGACAGGTAATTAGTTGGGTATAGTCAACTAATTTGATGAAAAATATTTGGGATAGAAATGCACTGCTCTTTTTTTCTTAGTAAGGAAAAGTGAAATCAATTAGAATATTCAGAAAAAATAAAATGATGTTACAAAGCAGTCGTAGTTTAAATGTGTAAGAAACTAAAATGAAATATGACTTTAAGTGTTTCTGGGACTCCAGAACAAGGGGCAGGCAAGATGGCCAAAGAGAAGGCTTCAACCATCATGCCCACCATAGGAACACCAAATTTGACAACTACCTACAAACAAAAAAGCACCCTCATAAGAACCAAAAATCAGGTGAATCAGGTGGGCATTTACAGTAACTGGTTTTAACTTCATACCACCGAAAGAGGAACTGAAGAGGGTAGGAAAAACAGTCTTGAATTGCCAATGCCACCCTTTCCCATCCCCCAGCAGTGACAGTGTGACATAGGGAATCTGTGCAGTTAGGAGAGGGAGAGAACAGCAATTATAAAACTTTGCATTGAACTTAGTTCTGCTCTGTCACAGTGGAAAGCAAAACCTGGCTGAACTCAGCTGACACTTACCCATAGAGGAGCATTTAAATCAGCCCTAGACAAATGAGAATTGCCCATCAAGCAGTCAGAATATAAGTTTTGGCAAGCCGCATCACCAGAGGCTAAAGTGCTTGGGGCTCTAAATAAACTTGAAAGTCTAGGCCACAAGGACTGCAATTCCTAGGCAAGTCCCAGTGCTGGGCTGGGCTCAGAGCCAGTGCACTTGGGGGCATATTATCTACTAAGACACTAGCCTAGGTGGCTAAGGGAGTGCTTGTGCCACTACTTCCCCATTGCCAGGCTGCACAGCCCTCAGCTCCAAAAGAGAACCCTTCTTTCTGAGGAGAAGCATCTTTTCTGACCACAATGGTATAAACCTAGATAGAAATCATTAACAGGAGGAATTTTGGAAACTATACAAACACACGGAAATTAAACAATATGCTCCTGAATGACCAGTGGATCAAGGAAGAAATTAAGAAGAAAATTAAAAAATTTCAGGAAACATATGACTTTGGAAACACAACATACCAAAACCTGTGAGATACAGCAAAAGCAGTACTAAGAATTAAGTTTATAGCTATAAGGGTTTATATCAAAAAATTAGAAAAACTACAAATAAACAACCTAATGATGCATGATAAAGCACTAGAAAAGCAAGAGAAAATCTAACCCAAAATAGTGGAAGAAAAGAAATAATGAAGGTCAGAGCAGAAATAGATGAATTTGAAATGAAGAAAATTATTGTGCAATGAAATAAGTTGTTTTATTTATAAAGGTAAACAAAATTGACAAATCTTTAGCCAGACTAATGAAGGAAACAAAGAAAGAAGCCTCAAGTAAATAATTTCAGAGATGAAAAAGCAGATGTTACATCTGATACCACAGAAATTCAAATGATCATTAACAGCTAGCATGAAAAACTACATGCCAATAAATTGGAAAATCTAGAAAAAAAATCAATAAATGTCTAGACACATACAACCTACCAAGATTGAACCAGGAAGAAATCCAAAATCCGAACAGACTAATAACAAGTAACAAGATCAAAGACACAACAGCCAGGTGCGATGGCTCATGCCTGTAATCCCAGCACTTTGGGAGGCTGAGGTGGGCTGATCACCCGAGGCCAGGAGTTTGAGACCAGCCTGGGCAACATGGTGAAGCCCCCATCTCTACTAAAAATACAAAAATTAGTCCAGCGTGGTGGCGAATGCCTGTAATCCTAGCTACAGGGGAGGCTGAGGCAGGAGAATTGCTTGAACCCGAGAAGCGGAGGTTGTATTGTAGTGAGCCAAGATCACACCACCGCACTCCAGTCTGGGCAACAGAGTGAAACTCCGTCTTAAAAAAAAAAAAAAAAAAAAAAGACACAACAGAAAGTCTAGCAAGGAAAAGCCCAGGACCTCACGGCTTCACTGCTGAATTCTACCAAACATTTAAAGAACTAATACCAATCTTACTCAAACTATTCCAAAAAATAAAGGAGAAAGGAACACTTACAAATCCTTTCTGTAAATCCAGTATTTCCATGATATCTAAACTAGACAAAGGCACATCAAAAAAAAAGAAAAGAAAACTACAGGCCAATAACACTGATGAATATTGATGCAAAATTCCTCTACAAAATAATAGCAAACCAAATTCAACAACACATTAAAAAGATTTTTAATTGTGACCAAGTGGGATTTATCCCAGGGATGCAAGGAGGGTTCAACATAGACAAATCAACCAATATGATACATCCTATTAACAGAATGAAGGATAAAAACCAAATGATTATTTCACCTGATGCTGAGAAAGCATTTGATAAAATTCAACATCACTTCACGATAAAATCCTTCAAAACACTGGGCATATAAGGAACATGCCTCAACATAATAAAAGCCACATACAATAGACCCACAGGTAGCATCATACTGAATGGGGAAAAACTGAAAGCCTTTCCTCTAAGATCTGGAACACGGCAGGGATGCCCACTTTCACCACTGTTATTCTATATAGTACTGAAGGACCTAGCTAGAGCAGTCAGACAAGAGAAAGAAACAAAAGACATCCAAATTGCAAGGCAAGAAATCAAATTATCCCGTTTGCAGATGATATGATTTTATATTTGGAAAAAGCTAAAGACTACATCAAAAAACTATTAGAACTGATAAACAAACTCATTAAAATTGCAGGATACAAAATCAACACACAAAAATCATTAGAATTTCTATATGACAACAGTGAACAATCTGAAATAGAAATCAAGAATGCAATTCCATTTACGGTAGCTGCAAATAAAATAAAATACCTAGAAATTAACATAACCAGAGAAGTAAAGGATCTGTACAATGAAAACTATAAAACAGTGACGCAGAAATTGAAGAGGACACAACAAAATGGAAAGACATTTCATGTTCTTGGATAGGAAGAATCAATATTTTTTAAATGTCCATACTATCCAAAGCAATCTACAGATTCAATGCTATCCTTATAAAACTATCAATGACATTCTTCACAGAAATAGAAAAAAAATGCTTAAATTTATATGGAACCACAAAAGACCCAGAGTAGTAAAAGCTATCCTAAGTGAAAAGAACAAAACTGGAGGAATCACATTACCTGAGTTCAAATTATACTACAGAGATATAGTAACCAAAATAACATGGTACTGGCATAAAAACGGACAGATAGATCAGTGAAACAAAATAGAGAACCCATAAATAAACCCATACATCCACAGTAAACTCATTTTTGAACTAAAGTGCCAAGAACATACATTGGGAAAGGGACAGTCTCTTCAATAAATAATGCTGGGAAAACTGGATATCCGTATGCAAAAGAATGAAACTAGACCCCCATCTCTTGTAATATACAAAAATCAAATCAACATAGATTAAAGACTTAAATGTAAGACCTCAAACTATGAAACTACTAAATGAAACCATTGGAGAAACTCCCCAGGTTGTTGGACTGTCAAATTTCTTGCATAATACCTCACAAGCACAGGCAAACAAAGCAAAAATGGACAAATGGGATCACATCAAGTTAAAAAGCTTCTGCACAGTAAAAGAAACAATCAACAAAATGAAGAGACAATAGTCAATGTTTGGGAGCAACTTTAGTGTTCATCAACAGATGAATGGATAAAGAAAATGTGATAAGGCCAGTGGCTCATGCCTGTAATCCCAGCACTATGACAGGCTGAGGCGGGTGGATCACTTGAGGTCAGGAGTTCAAGACCAGCTGGCCAACTTGGTGAAACCCCATCTCTACTAAAAATACAAAAATTAGCCAGGTGTGGTGGTAGGCACCTGTAATTCCAGCTTCTTGGGAGGCTGAGGCAGGAGGATCGCTTGAACCCAGGAGGTGGAGGTTGCAGTGAGCCTAGATTGCACCACTGCACTCCAGCCTGGGAGACAGAGCGAGACTCTGTCTCAATAAAAAAAGAAAGAAAAATAAACAATCAACAAACTGAAGAGACAAAAAGGTACAGTAAAAGTAAGATATTATAATCTTATGGAACCACCATTGTATATGCAGGCCATCATCGACCAAAATGTTGTTATACAGTACATAATGATGATTCCTGAAATGGTTTACTTCAAATAATGTAGGGTGAATATATTGAATCCAAAAGAAATCATTGTAATTCTGGTAAACTGACTGATTTATTTATTGACCAATAAACATTATTAACATTGTCGTAGTATTTGCACTGTATTTTACTTGTGCAAATTTACTTTTAGGTTATGTAAATTTTCAAGCAAGGCAAAAATGTTGTCATATGATTGAAGATGAAAATGTAAGATTTAACAACCCTGATAAATGTAAATCTGTAGGTGGCAGATGGTGGGAGATGAGAGAGGAGAGGAATGTGAGGAATATATAGAGACACTGATATCCTCATCCTGTACAGTAAGGAATCAAGATATGTAAGTAATTTTGTAGAAAAAGAAGTTGAAATATGAAGATATTAATGATTATGAAGGTGCCCAACAAAGTAACATGTAAAGGACATCAACTATTTGGAGACAGTTGAATGTAGATAATGAAATGAGTTAAAACTTTTAATGTCCTATTAAGGAGCTAATATGTTCTTTTCTAAAGTTAAACAAGATGTGGAGTTATGATAATATATATATATTTAATTTTGGAAATCACTTCAAGGATAATTATATTGGGACTTTAACATGGGCTAAGAAAAGTGATAAAGGAGATTTTCTAAATATTTTCAGAATAAGTCCTATTGTATTATTTGATTTCTAATATTGCTACAAATATTTAAAAATTGATTAGAAAGGTATTTACACTCTAAAAAAATTATAAAAGTCCTTATTAAATACTGAGAAGAAGAAAGTGGAATTTTAACAATACAAGTAATTTTTAAAGTTTCAACTTAATAAATACAAATTTCTATCCTTTCTGTATCTAAATGTTTCCTAGGACTGTCAAGATTTGTCTCATTTCAGTTTAATATCCCATATCCATTTAATAACCTAGAAAAGAAGCATCAGTGCACTGAGCCATCAGAAATTATAAGCTGTAAACTTTGACCAACTGTCATTTTAAAATTGGAAGGTAAAATTGTGTTTGACATAAAGCCTTGTAAAAATAGAAATACTCTTACAGCTCTAAGTACTTGAAAATGCTAAATGCTATGCTGAAATTGTCCTCCTCATCATGATAAGGAAGATGAGGTTGTATAATGTTTACGTTCCTGTAATCATAGACCGAGGGCACTGTTCATACTATCTGCTTGGAGCCATGCCACTCAAGATAAAACTTTACATACACCCTCTGTGCATTGTTATCATGCTTAAAATTGTATAGAGAGCTATGTTCAATTTTATTAAGTTAAAGCAAAGAGTGCTCAGAGAAGTAATTTGCCTTTTAACCTTAAGGCTTATAATAGTTTAACCACTTAAGATAATAATAGTGATAATGATAATAACAAAAATATGGAGTGACTAGTCTCCTGTAATTAATTTCTCCATTAAAATACTGGGTGACTTCATTGTTGAACAGACAGCAATGTATTCTACTTAGTCTCTGACCCTCCCTCTGTGGTTGCAAGAATTTTGTCAGTTAGAGCTGCCTCTGACAGTTGTGGCACTTTACCCCATTTATGCATAGCGTTCCATTATTACTTTATCTGCCCTGCTAGAACCAAACCCGCTTTGGGCATTTTGAATATGTTAAAGACATTATAAAGGAGATTTAAACAACCAAAATCGAAAATCTGTGTCTTCCCTTTAAGAAAACTAGGCTTAGGTTATAAAACATGAATCAGATTTTAGCTCAGCCTCTTAATATACCCTCTGCTCTGTGTTATTAGAATCACATATGAGCCCCTATTTCTCATTTTACTATATTTAAATACTAAAAATTGAACCCCCAAATACCACTTTGTTATTCTGAAAAGGAATTTCAGTTACATTCCATGTCTTTCGATCATCAAGGTAGGTCTTAGTTATGCCTAAGAGTTAAAAGGTACATGGGCCACTATTTTTAAAAATGCTTAATACCCACCATTGATTCTTTTGACTAATTTCAAACACCTCTTCCCTCCTATAGGCCTAACTGGAAATTATATATACGCTTTGGAATTCCTGTAATGGCCTATTTCTTTTTTCTAAGATATATGCCACCCTTTACATTATTAAGTCATATTACAAATCATAATGTTTCTTGCTCTTTGATTAAAATTATTTGAGAATAAGAATTCTTTCTTATTCACCTATGTATCCCAATCACCAGTGAACCAAATTTATAATGTTAGATGAATGTTGATGTGAACTTAAACGTTCACTTTTCCTTCTCAAATTCGTATGCATTTTTTGGGGGTAGCTTAACCAATATATCAGCTCAAAAAATGCTCCCTTTTAAAAAATATTATCTATGATTATTATGATTCTTTGACTAAGCCAATAAAAATTATAAACCAACATAAGAATTAGCTCATGTCACTGTATTATTTTTCATCTGCAAAAAACAGCATTTGAAACAGAATTCCTAATTAAGATTTTATAAATATGTGTAAGAATGTCAAGAAAAATGTGTTTGTTCATTTTATATAAAATTTCTTAGCTTATCTCTAAAATTAGAATATAAATTATTAACAATTTATCTAAGGAACATTAAATTTCTATCTTTCTAATTTATTAGGTGTGTTGTTATAACCTTTCATACGTTGATATATGAGCAGAAAGTAGCATAAGGTTCAACGTAATGTAATGACAAATCTAGTTCAAGTCACTGTAAAACTGCCAATATTTCAAAACAAACTATTGTCATTTGAGTATTTTGTTAACTATTCCTTAACCTATAATATAATTACATTTTTAGTATCATGATAAACCAGCATCAACTCAAACAACAGATTCACTGACTATTCACAACCTGAATTTGATATTTTATTTCTTCCTAAAGTATAAGTACATAAAATACAGGTAGGAAAACTTCCTTAAATAGCATTCATCCAAAATATGACATATAATTCAAGGTAATTCAAAATGTTAAATATAATATGGTATCAATATCGTTAAGCCAAGTTTACTTATTAAACCATTTGTTTATTCAGTAAACACTTGTTTTGTAATTATTTTGGGCCATGAACTTATCAGATATAGCTCTTGCATTTGTGGAGACCATACCTCAGCAGAGAAAAAGGATATTGTACTAGTAATAACAAATATGATAAACGTTAACAAAGGGGATTCCTGTTCATTAATTATACATATAAATGGGCATAGTTTACCTTTTCTATTATGTTAAACATATGTTGAAGGCATTCATGGATTTCCAAAGCATTCTCAAATTCATGTTCTCAAATTTTATTAGAAATAGAATAAGAACAAAATCAGATTTCTAAAGAAAGAGTGCAAAATCAGATTTTCAAATAAAGAGTACAAGACTTAGAATAGAAGTCTTTCCAAAAAGTGACAGTAGTCAAATATAATTTATTTCCACATGAAGTTGTCAAATCCTTTTCATATATCTTTGAAAATAAGATAGGAGTTTCATCTGCTCAGGATGCTTTAATTGTCTCTACATTATGCCATAACATCTGCTAGTTCCAGTCAATAGTGAAAACTCCATATTGTCAATTCAAAGAATAAAATCAGCTCAATCATTTTCTGGCATCATGTGGCTCAAACAAACCTGTTGATTGACATTTGTATTTTTTTCTTTATTATTTATTTTTCATTTAATGGAAATCCCAAAGTCTTGTAGTTCTATCTAAAGGGGCTGTATTAATGAAGTAAACTTGCTAAATGCCTCTTCAGCAGTATTTGGATAAAACTGTTTTATTCATGATGTATGCATACAAAATATAAAATATATATAAACTTCATATACTTTGAATGAAGCATATTTTAAGTACACTTGAAAATATTAAAAATAAGAAAAGGACAATGTCCATATTTAAATTAAAATGCAATTTGCGCCAGGTGTGGTGGCTCATGCCTGTAATCCCAGCACTTTGGGAGGCCGAGGTGGGCAGATCACCTGAGGTCAGGAGTTCAGGATCAGCCTGGCCAACATGGTGAAACCCCATTTCTACAAAAATACAAAAATTAGCCGGGCGTGGTGGCACATGCCTGTAGTCCCAGCTACTTGGGAGGCTGAGGCAGGAGAATTGCTTGGACCTGGGAGGCAGAGGTTGCAGTGAGCCGAGATCGCACCATTGCACTCCAGCCTGGGCGACAGAGCGAGACTCGTCTCAAAAAAGAAAAGAAAAAAAAATGCAATTTGCTAGAACTCAAGAAGTTGTAGTAAATATTCAAAGGTGAGTATAGTTTTATATGTTTCATTTGTATGTTCATTATAAATAGTGATGTAGAAAAAATCTTTGGAAAAAATAACAGTTACACTAGAGGTAAGAGTCATGAGAAGGAAATTACTTTTTAAAAATTTCTGGTGAAAATAAAAGCTTGCTTGATGCTCAATGAATAGCTGTTGGATAGATTAATTGGTTGGATGCTTTATATATTGAGACACTGAGCTGAAGTGTGAATGGTAAGCAGTGGTACAGTTAATCTGTTATTTCAATGAGCTTAAAACAATACTTGACTACGGGATTTTCCAATGAGAATAGTAAATTGAACAATAATGGTGCATGAGGAAGAAAATAGTCACGTGTTGCATGCTCTACTTGAGTTTTTGTCTATTTTTGTTTATAAAGTGATGATTTCTAGTGAGCCAAATAAATTGGCTCCTTTTTTGTGTACCTTTATATGTGTATAAATAACCAATATTTATTTTTTGCACAATATTTATAATTTTAATAATAATAGACATTAATGAAAAGTTTTCTTGTTTCTATAACATTAGTCTAAGTGCTTTAAATTTCTTTCTTAGTAGTTACATCAGTCACATGAGGCAGGTACCCATTTTACGGATGTGGTAGTTAATGTAAGAAACGGTCAGTGGTTCTAAAACTAACTGTTTAAAAACAACTGATTCCATGATCACTAATGGTACTTATTCTTATAAAATAATAGGGTGCACAATTTTGATTATAACTGATCACTCAGTGTTACTTTGAAACATATAAATAAAGGTATCACTAGTAGCTGTAAAAAGTAAGCTTCAAAACTTAACCTTATAAAAGATCATTTGTCATTCACATAAAGTAAAAAATAGGTGTTCCAAACTTGCAAGTGGTTCTGCTTTAAGTAATATTTAAGGACCCACACTTTTTCTAGTTTATAGCACTGCCGTTTTCAAAAATGTCCCCCAAGTCAGTGTTCTTTTGCTTTTAGTCAGAGGGGGAAAATGGTGCCTGAAGGATGAGTGGAGTTTCTTACAGGCCAGAACTGGAAGTGGCACAGTTCATTTCCACTCATATTTCATTGTTAAGAACTCAGACACACCTAATTGCAAAGGAAGTTTTGAAATGTGTTATTCTAGCTGTGGGCTCAGGAAGAAAAACTGAGTTTCGTGGGTGGCTATTCAGACTGTGACAGCCCACTCTTTTGGTCATCAAATATCTTATACAGAGAATATGCCCAAAAGTGAAAACCCAAAACCTCAACCAGCCATTGTATCTAAATCAAAATCAAGCATTTCCAGGAGATGTGCAGTAATTATTGTCCAGTCTGCCTGTAGCTTCTCTTTATCTGGAGATATATGAACTAAGAAGACAAGTTGATCACTGAAGAAGGCAGACTAATACCCTGCCCCCACCCCTCCTCCAGAGATATCCATGTCCTCAGCCCCAGAACCGGTGAGTATGTTAGGTCCCATGGCAAAAATAATTAAGGTTTCAGATAGAACTAAGCTTTCTAATCAGCTGACTTTAAGGTAAGAAACTGATCGTGGATTGTCTGAGGGGCCCAAGGTAGTTATGAGAGCTCTTAAAAGTGGAAGAGAGGGCCAGAATAGTTGTCTGAGTCAGAGAAGGAGCTGTAATGATGAAAGGAGGTCAAGGGATGTAATGTGAAGATTCGACCAGCCATCAGGTGGCTTTGAAAATGGAGGAAGGGGCCATGAGTGAAGCATGTGGACAGCCTCTAGAAGCTGGAAAAGGGCAAGAAAATAGATTCTCACCAGAATCTCCAGAAAGAAGTGCCACCCTGCTAGAATTTGATTTGATCTGAGTGTTACCCAAATTGAATTTCTGCCCTCCTAAATGGTTAGATAATACATTTATGTATTGCAATTTGTTACAGCAGCAATAGGAAAGGAATACAATTCCTTCCCTCCCTAAATGTGCAGTATACAATGATAGTGCTGGAACAGGAGAACTACAAAAACATCCCCATTTAGAAAAAGAAAAAATGAGAAAGAACCAGAAGTACTGGCGCACAGTAATGACATAAGCTCAAGAGGAAGGCATTGCGAGCTGTCCCCTCACCCCCTGGTAATTAGGACAGTTCCTTGATTACAGCTGATTTTGGTTTGGGGGAGCAAATGTCTTATTTTTTAGTAGGTGACGCTCCCAGCTCTGACTTCTGCAAGGTTCCTTCTCTTTCATTATTCTTTACCCAAAATGGACTTTGGGAATTACGCTTTCTTTAGGTACTGCATAGTTGTTATAACCTGCCTCTTGCTCGTGCAAATCAAGAACCATGGTATTTTTGGTTAATTACCAGAAAAAGAAAACGCTAGCAGTTTTATTTTCTAGATTCCAGTTCTAGTGTTTTTAACCACATCAAAGCTGTTCTAATGTCTTTAACCACATAGAATTTTTTTTTTTTTGAGACAGAGCCTTGCTCTGTCGCCCAGGCCAGAGTGCAGTGGCGCCATCTGCCTCAGCCTCCTGAGTAGCTGGGACTACAGGTGGGCACCACCACACCCAGCTAATTGTTTTTGGGTTTTTAGTAGAGACAGGGTTTCGCCGTGTTGTGTTGGCCAGGGTGGTCTCCAACTCCTGGCCTCAAGCAATCTGCCCGCCTGCGCCTCCCAAAGCGTATGGATTGCAGGCATGAGCCACCGCACCCGGCAGGAGTTGTTTGCAAGACAGCTAAAATATGACGTATTCTTGGTTTCACACCTGTGGTGTGCCTTAATCAGCCAGTACTGGCTTTCAAGAACTGATTATTAAATTTTTGGAATTTTGGGAGCCAGTTGACATCACACTGGTAGCTTGAAATTGGAAGAATATTTGCAAATATTATAAATACTTTATTATTTATGTACTTTTTGAGATCCAGCACAGCAGTGTCTATGTCTTTATTTCTCAACTTAATGTAGGTTAACTTGACTCCTTCTGATAAAATAAGTGAGAATGCTGGATAACATATCTTGACTGCCAAACTGAATTATGTTGCTCAGTTGAGAAGTCTTATTGGGCTTTTCATTCAATGCCTTTTAAATTCATACCTCTTAGTCCTTGATGCTTAGAATAAGTTGGCTTTTCTAGCCCTTAAGGTCCTGAATTTCTGAACTTTCTCTACTTGCTAAACATTTCTGCTTACACACCAACCAATTATTTCCTGATCTTATCTTCTAATAATATCTTATAAAAAGCAGAACATAAATGTCAACCCATCATTATCATTGCCATTCAAGTTATTGCAGGTGACATTTTCACCAAATGTTTTCTTACTTCACCAGATGGATCTCACTGCAATATTGATTTAACTGCCCAACCACTGTCCAACAACTAAGCCACTTCTTTTATTGCAACATTTTGTTAAAATAGCACCCTGCTTCAAATGATCAATTTCTGTATTAATTAGTTCAGGTGGCATTATCCACTATAATTGATGAATCCCCAAATCTTATTGTCATAATATACTAGAGATTTATCTCACACATATATCCAAAACTAATGTCTGTGATTTGCTGGTGGCTCTTTTTCAAGTGTTGATTCAGGGATTCAGGCTCCTTCTCTCTTAAGGCTCCTCTACATTCAAGATATTGTTTCCTCAGTCACTGTACTCTTCTGCTACCAGCTGGCTGAAAGCAAAAGAGCTTGTAGAATTATGCATGGGGTGTTTCTATGGGCCTGTCCTAGAATTAGCATACTCAATTTCTGCTTACACATCTTTAGCTAGAAATCATTTACATGGACACACTTTACTGCAAAGGGGGCAGTACATGTAGTCTAGTTGTTGATAGAAGAAGAAAATAATGAATTTGATAAAAAGCCAGCTAGTGTCTTGCATAAGTACTTTTGATTATTCCACTAAGTATTCTACATTAATGGCTAATATGCCCCCATAATTTAATTATCTTATTTTACAGAACTTTACAATTTTGAATAAAACTGCAGCAACACCATCATGCACTGTTCACCCTGACTAATGACATTTTCACTTCTGAAAATCACTATCTCCAAAGAAAGTCATAAAATAGAAAGAATATAAGGTGCAATACCCTGTAACAAGTTTACAAAATAGCTTCAGAGTAAGTTTTCCTTTCTTTGAAAACAATGTTCTATAGGCATATATTTGAATCAGAGATTGTTAAGTTGTAATCATTAGGCATGTAAGCCATAGGATCAACTTCTTGTGTTTAATTACTGGTGCAGTGTGAAACATTTTTCTAGTTACTACATCTGTTTGAGTTACAATGGGTTCATCTGGAAAATAGAGATCAAAAGCATTAGTTATATAAAATTATTTTGTGCGATAAACAAGAAAATATGTGTAGCGGTTTCCCCCTCTCATTGGGGGATATGTTCCAAGACCCTCAGCAGATGCTGAACCCCATATTGTACAGATACACCCTGTACAGCATGGACCCACAAAATAAAGGTACGATACACACCCTGGGTGGAATGGAGTAGGACTGTAGGAGATTTCATTATGCTACTCAGAGTGGTGTACAATTTAAAACTTATAAATTGTTTATTTCTAGAATTTTCCATTTAATATTTTCAGACCATGGTTGACCTCAGGTAACAGAAACTATGGAAAGCAAAATCATAAATAAGTGGGGACTGCTTAGCTCAGAGCCTGATAAATAGTGAACACTAAAACATTTTAGCTATTAGTTACTGAGTGCTCTTTTCTTTTGAATTGCCAACATTGCAAATTGTCCTCACTGAGGATTCACTAAGCTCTATTATAGTCTGGATGTTGAGGCTGCTGTACCCACTTTGATCACACTCACCTAGCACTTTTAACTCTGCAGGTAAAATGAAGAACCTAATTCACGTTTTACTTCACTATCAAACATTGGTATTTTACAGATTCATTTTTAGAAAATTCATTATATTTTTATTTTCACAATTGAAGTAATTGCTTTATATTTTCCAAACGTAGGTTTCTGATTTGCAAACAAGCATCCAAAAAACAACTTGAAACCTACCCAAAACAGAAAAAGTGGCCACAACTTGGAAGAAGAGACAAAATAACATGTATACATCCATGAAGATTATTGGGCCACTGGGATTCACGTGATATAAAGATGAAATGCTAGCAATGCCTGTTTGAAGCCTATCAAGACAATAACATTTTCAGAGCACCTAATATATGCCAGGTATGTAAGGAGCATGTGAAATGTTGATGTACTGTATATTAACTCAGTGCATATTCACAAATATGCTGATAATTAGGTACTGTTATCATCCTCATTTTACAAATGAGCAAAGTGTGATATGATAAATATAGCTGGTAGTGCAAGATGTAAAAGGGCTAAAATAAATATGATCGAGGATGTTAGAGGATCTCCAGTTTTCCCTTTGCCTTCTACCTTTGTTACCTTTTCTTTCTTTTTCTACTATTTGTGAAATTTGACTGGCTGATAAGCCACAAGACTTGCAAAAACTGTTCTTGAAAAATACTGTTTTTAATGTTTATTAGAGCCTCAAAAGAAGGATGAAAATAGAAATGATCCTGAACCATAGAGTTCCCTTAAAGTATAAAACTGCTGCCTAAACCAAAACCTCAAGTATATGCACTCAATTTCTCCCTATTTTATAAAATCTTGACCTTGCTTCATTTGAGGAGTTACCTGGTCTGTAGACACTCCCTCATGTGCATCAGTTAAATAAACAGACCTTTAAACTCTATTTAAGTCACTTAAATCATTTTCTTTTGACAAAAATAGCAATGTGTGTAAGTAGCAGTGATACAGACAGGAGACAGGGAGACACTGGGTAGAAGAGGGCAGCTCCCCAGCAAAGGCCCCACCCTCAAGCTTGGAGACCAGGGTCCCTAAATGGGGACAGGCATTTCTGTTTTCATGCCCAAAAGGTTGCCTTTTGGCCTGCCAAGCCCCCTATCCTGTACCCATATAAACCCCAAACCCCAGGCTCCAGAAGCAAATGAGCAGGCAAGGAGACAAGGAGACAAGCAGACGGACAGTGTAACAATGCGGCAGAGAATGATAGAAGAGGAGGAACGTCTGAATGCCAAGAGGAGTTCGGCTGGGGGTGGTCAGAGAGGAGTTTGGCTGCTGGACAGCCAGGCTCCAGAGGAAGATCATCTTCCAACTCCATCCGCCCTTCTGGCTCCCATCCATCCCACTGAGAGCCACCTCCACCATTCAAAACTCCCGCATTCATTCTTCGAGTCCATGTGTGACCCGATTCTTCCCGGACACTGGACAAAAGCTCGGGACACAGAAAGCTGTCACACTGCCCCTCTGTTCTTGCAGAAAGGCAGAGCATCCACTGAGCTGGTTAACACTCAAGCTGTCCACAGACAGCAGGGCTAAAAGGGCACACTGTAACACACGCCCACCTGGGTTCCTACATCTGTCCATCTGCATGTTCTCCCTCCCCTCAGGGGTTGGAGCAGTGGCGGCTACTGAACAGGCAAGCCACAGCCCTGTCGCATGTCCTGCGAGGGGGATCCGGGAACTCTCCTGTTTCAGTAGGGCCAGGATTTGCAAGAACCCAGTCAGCCTGGCTCAAGCATTGATATTCTCAGGCACTACTGCTTTTTTCTTTGTAAATATTTTTATGTAAATTATCATGCATACAAAAAAGTAGAAACAATCCTGTTACAGATGAAATTCCATGAATGCCCATCACTCACTGTCAACACTTATCAAGCTGATCATTGTTTCATGTATTCTTCATCCCATACACATTTGTTTGTATTGCTGAAGTATTTTAAAGAAAATCTCAGGCATATGTAATTTCAATGAACTAAAAGTTTTTTTTTTTTTTTTTTTTTTTTTTTTTTGAGAGGGAGTCTCACTGTGTTGCCCAGGCTGGAGTGCAGTGGCGTGACCTGGGCTCACTGCAAGCTCCGCCTCCCGGGTTCATGCCATTCTCCTGCCTCAGCCTCCCAAGTAGCTGGGACTACAGGCACCCGCCACCACGCTTGGCTAATTTTTTTGTACTTTTTTAGTAGAGACGGGGTTTCACCGCGTTAGCCAGAGTGGTCTCGATCTCCTGACCTCGTGATTCGCCCGCCTCGGCCTCCCAAAGTGCTGTGATTACAGGCGTGAGCCACCACACCCAACCAATGAATTAAAACTTTATTACGCATTGATAAATAAGAGCCTTTTAACTCTACCAAAATGCTGTTGGCACACTTACTAATATTAACAATAATTACTTAATATCATGTACTATTCAATCCATGTTGCACCCATGGTCTCCAATTTCATCAAAGCTTTCAAAGTTGTCTTTTCTTTTTTTTCAAATCAATATCCAAAATGTCCATATGCTTCATTTGGTGATTTTGTTTCTTAAGTTTAATTCACATGGTAAGTCTCCCCTCCTTTTTTATGCTGTTTTTTTGATAGGAGGAACCACGATCACTTGTTTTGTGGCATGTCCCACATTCTGGATTTGGCAGGTTGCTTTTTCAAGTTGTCGTTTACCTTATTTCTGAGACAGAGCAGGGCCCGTCTTAAGGGCCTGCAGGCCCCTATCTCTAAGCACGGAAACAAAGGAAAATCTTGAGTTCCTTCAAAAGAAATTCCAGGCGCCTAGCTACCCTGAGAAGTAAATGAGCAACTTCATAAGCAGGAAGGTAACAGTAGCTTAAAACAATAGACAAAGAAGTTAGAAACACAGGATGTTTGGTTTCCTACAGAAACTAAAGATAACAACATATGTTCCTGAGTTGTTCCTCAGGAATTCAGACATTCACCAAAGTGATCTTCCCACACAATAGACGTCAGATAAGGAGGAACCTGGGACTGAATTCTGATCAGTGTTCTTTGTTCTAAAGTTCTTCCTTGAGGAACCTAGAGGAAGTCATACACATGAAACAGAGCCAACATTCATTTCTGTGGCCTACAAATTTTTTATTAAAACTTCTCCTCCTTAACCCATTGCAAATCAGAAAATCTTTGAATCTATCTATGGGTTGTAAGACCTTGCTTTGAGATATCCTGCCTCTTTAGGTCAAACCAATGAATAACCTCCATGTATTGATTTATGACTTTGCGTGTAACCTCTTCCTCCCCACCTTAAAAAAGTTTTACCTTTAAGCCATCAGGGAGTTCGAGTCTTAATCACTAGCTGCCTGATCCTCCTTGCTTAGCACCCTGCAATAAATCCCTCGCTTTCTCTCACTGCAATCCCTATGTCAGTGTTTGGCTTTGCTGCACCACACAGGTGGACCCAAGTTTGGTTTGGTAACATTTCTTTTTCTGCTATATTTTCAGTAAACTTGTAGTTAGATATAGAGGCTTGATTTTATTCAGTTTTCACTTTTAGGCAAAAGTAAATCATCATTCAAGTGCTATTTACTTCCTATTGCATCATATCATGTGACACATAAAATCTCCTTGTAAAGTTTTAGTGTATCTATTGTTGACCAGTGAGTTCATATGATATCAGCCTGACACCGCCATTATAAATTTTCCCATCAAGCTTTTACCTAAACATCTTACCACCCATCAACGATAGTTATTTGGCTCTATTATCTCACCAAAGATTGCAAAATAGTGATATTCCAATCCCATATTCTCTTGCGCTTTCATTAGCTGGATTAATTTTTTTGTCATGAGAATGTATCCCACTAAGAATGTCTGTCAAAATATTGTGTTTTAAAATCACTTAATTAATTTCTTCCTTTTTGTGTCTATCCAACCAACCATATACAATTAGTACATCTCTTTCAGTTTCCTTTTATATTTTAAGATTCTTTTCTGTTCTGATTCAACATTTGTAACTAAGGAAAATATTTTTTGCATATGATTCCATAGCCAAAATCGTATTCAAGTTATTTTCACAGAAATTTCACTATTTCACTTTCATTTTTATCCTCTCTCCTTGTTGCAGAAAGAGGGAGAGAGAGAGAGAGAGAGAGAAATAGATGGGGGGAGGAGAGAGAATTTTCCACATCTTCTATTTGTGTTTTTCTGCACTATTCTGAATCTTGCTTTCATCACTTAAATATATATTTTATTACCACTGTGTTTCAATGTAGAGAGATCATTCTTATTCCTTTTCACAGCTGCATGGTACAATCAGAGAACCTTTTAATATGCTTAAAGACATTTTTCATCGGGGAGAATATGTCTTTTTATATATTCCCATATTTCTATTGAGCTGTTGGGCTTTTTTGTCACAATTTTTTAGTAGATCTTCATATAGTAGCAGCATCGCACCTTACCTGTATTTGAATTTCTTTCCAAATTTTAGAATCAGCTCACCAATTATAACAATATCTCCCTAGGATTTTGATTGAGACTGCATTGAATTTATAGATCAATTTGAAGAGAATTCACATTGTTACAATATTGGAAATAGCAATCTATGAATTTGATATTCCTCCTTTCTTCACCATTTATTTGTTTTTTTACATTTCTGTGTATATTTCATTAGATTAATTCCAAGATGTTTTATTTTGATGTTATTATTACTATTTTAAACTGTATTGTTATGTTTGTTATTGATCTATAGTTACACAATTGTTTTTATGTATAATGGCTTGTTTCCAAAACAAGCTTTCAAAGTTTGATAATTCCAGCTTTTGCCTTCTTCATCCCCAGCCTAAGTTGCTATTTCTTCATCATCTCAGTGTTCCTTTTTCTACCTTTTGTCCCCTGTTAAACTGATTATCTTTGTAAGATTATCTATATTAATAGAGACTAACATTGAAAACAACACTGGCTTAAGAATTAAGTAAGAAGGAAAGCAAATCTAGAGAAGAACTAAATGTGATAAAATCCTTCAGTAAAATTTATTGTTCCTTAATAAAAATAGCTAGGGCAAAGAAAAAGAAAAAGAGAATATATTTATTATGATCCAGACGTAAACTCAAGGCTATGTCAATGTGAGGGGATAGGGATTAGACATATGGAGAGGTCAAATGCTAAATTATTTGCCTTTTTAAGGGGAAAATGATACTACTAAGTTTAAGAACTCAGTAGTGGTAAGCGTACATGATTATGCAGCTTAGGTTAAGAATAACCACCATAAGAACAAAAGTAGAATTAAACCTTGAAATCAGAAGAAAACTTAGTCTATTTAATGGAAAGCAAAATAGGGGAAAAGAAAATAAATAAATGTAAAACATCAATTGTGATGGCATAAATAGACTCTAAAACAACATGAATTAAAATTAATATAAACAACTTTAACTTCCCATTTTAAAACTGAATATCTGTGATTGGAAAATTGAAATAATATATGTCTTATAAGATACACATGTGAGATAAAACAGAAAGTATAGAATGGTTGGAAAAAATAATTTAAATGTATATGTTATGTTATTGTGAATAAGAAGAAACTTTAATAGCAGCATATGGCAAAATGGTATTTATAAAAACACTTTTCTTCAGGAATAAGCAGAGTATATCATAAAAGGAACAATAAAACGATAGGATAAAACCATCATAAACAAATAAGTAACACACAGTATGGCCTCAAATAGTATGTTAGCAACTTTTGATAAAAGTGCCTGGATAAAGAGTTCAATCAACAATTGCATTTTGATGTCTAACATATCAATTTCAGAAACTGATAGACCGATGAAAAAGAAAATGGTAGGGAAGACAAAACTGAGAGTCAGTATTTTGAAACGCATGTTAAGGTAGCCCTCTAGGAAGACTGATAACACAAAAAAGAAACAAATAAATAAATTATGGAAAAAAGAGGGAAAATAACTATGGAAATATGACATAACAATAAAAATGAAAAGATAACATTATCAACTACACACTTATATATCTGTTAGGCTAGATTATTTCTAGAAAAAGTATATGGGATGCCAAAACTGTCATAATAAATAGACTAATACTAAATATGCTTAAACTTTTGTTTGAAATATATAGTGCAAGATATAGAAGGATACAAACCTTAAGTGGACAACTCAGTGAATTTGCACAAAAAAACACCACCCAGATCAAAAAAAGCAGAACATTACCAGCACCCTTGATGCCTTCACCATGCTTCTCCCAGTCAACACCACCCATCTTCAAATGTAACCTTAAATCACTGACAGTAATATAGGTTACTGTATACTCACATGATTGGCTTTTCCTATTGAATATTATGTTTCTGACATTCATTCCAGTTAGAGCATTACTAATTAAATCATGTTCATTGCTGTAAAGTATCCCGTTGTATAACTGTACAGAAATTTATCCATTCTATTCCTCATGGAAATTTGTTTTGTTTACAGTTTGGGGTTATAAAAAATAGTGCTGCTTTAAAAAATTGTATATCACTTCATGATTTTCTCCTTTTAAAACTTACTTTGTAATTCTAGAATTAATTATCTGTGATTGTGATGGATTGTTTGGATAGTAAGTTTAATTGGTATGCTTTCATTTACTATTTTAATATTCTTTTTTATTAAAATTAAGAGTCAATATTTGAATTATGTTAACTTCTTATAACATACTGGAAAACTTATGTTTATTTGTTGTATATCACAGAGCACTGAAATGAACCTTATCTTTAAAGGATCACAAACTCTGTAAAGCATATGTGCCTAATTGTTTTTTTTTAGAGTGACTGAGACTGCCTTAATGATCCCCTCATCTTGATTTAGCCAGATTTCTTCCTGGCTATAGGCCCTTGATCAACCTGTTCTTAGAGCATTTACTTTAGGAAATTTGCAATTGTAAATTATTTCTCCCCCCACTTCAGATATGTATCCTCTTCCAGCCTCTTGCCTGTTTTTCCAGTGAGTACTGTCTTTCGTAAGGACCCTGGAGTTATCCATTTGAAATGTACTAATCAAGAAAGACAGCACCCTTACCTCTCAAACTCTGTGGGAGGGTAGGAGTTTAATTGGATGAGAGTCAATTAGCTAATACAAATGGACTAATCATAATGACCAAACTCCCTCTAACTTCCTCTACTACTTTACCACAAGCTCACCCCAAAGCTTAAAATTCTTCTGCTTTTTGTTTCAGGGGAGTTGAATTTAATTTCTCTTCCCTATTGTGATAGTCTTGACCCAATTTCAGTAATATTGAATAAAGTCACTCTTACCTGCTTAACTTGTCAGGACAATTTTTCTTTGACAAAGGAGGTCATTATTTGGTTAATTTTTAATCTTTTGTGGTTATTCCTTGGCTCATTATTTCCTGTGCCTTTTGGATCAGTTTTGATCACTTTGCCAGAGCAAAAAAATTACATCTTTCTCAAAAGGTCCTCAGTTCACCTGAGTAGTCTACTTCTCTTCTGTCATTTCCAAGGTTTGTTTCTTTACCTTCTAGTAGGAGAACTGGTTACTCCAACTCCTGACTTTCACGTACTAACTCTGATGTGTCCTATTGTCATAGCAAACCATGTATCTAATTTATTCCTTTACTTGGAATTTTAGTAGTTTCCATTTTCTGCTGTTGTTGCTGATGTTAATTCTTGCCCACAGCGTCCTGGAATTGGCTTCAAAGTGCACATGTCCAGTCAATCTCTTCATCATCATTAGTCAAACATGATGTGTCTGAAGACAAAAAGCAACCCCAATCTCCCCGGTTAGATCTGGCCATGCACATGGATGGAGAAGCATGACCTGGCAGCATGTCAGGCTTCTTTTTCATGCTCTACTACACTGACTTCCAGCACAAGGGCAGTCTTTTTCCTTCCCTTGCGGTTTCTCCCTATGTTTTCCCGTACAATAGATTTACCCTTTTGTCCAAGCTGCCCATTTATTATCCCCACGCCAGACCCAGGTCTGTTTAATCGTGTACATTTCCCTAACCTTACTAAAGAAAGGGGGAAGGGAGAGAAGTTCTAAGATTTTGTGCCTCCTTTGTTCAAAAGCCATTTCCTCAAGCTAAGACTTTAAAATACCTCAAGGGAAAGAAGAAAACAATTTCATGATCCTAGCCTTGATGAAGTCAAGCACGTTGCCAACTATAACCCTCCTCCTATATCTATTGGCTCTGACTCAACAGGCCATCTTCTTTACACAAAAGCTATGTCTGAAATAGAGAAATCAGCTATTTGACACTTCCAGTGATTTATTTTGAGACTATTTTAAACTAATTATTTTGGTAATTATGTATTATCTTGCAAATGAATAAAAGTAGCTCCACCCCGGGGTCTTAGAACATGGTTTGTGCATATTTACTTCATCGTTTTAAAAGAGAATTCAAAGAAAAAGTTTTAAATCTACTTTCCCAATGTTACATCATGTAGAAAATAATATTTCAACTTTCTACTTTTGAGACACCTGATCCCAGAAGAAATTTATGTCCTCTAAATGCCATTTATTTGTTCTTAAAGCTAATGAATTGGCACCAATTCAGAGCTCCACAATCAAAGCTCTATTGGAGATTGGAAGGTGGAAAAAGAAAAGGAAATCTACATATCAAAATAAAATTGCTCACACTTAAGGTAATAATTAAACTTTTTTATTTTTATTTTTTTGCTTTCAGGAAGTTTTCTGCCTCACTAGTTTTGTTGCTGTTGTTATTTTTTTTTCCCCAGAGAAACCAGAGTCAGCGAGAATGAAAGCATTCCCAACTATAAGTTTTTCTTCTCCATGCCTGAAACTTCAACACTTACCTATTTAGAAAGTGATCGAGTATCAGGCTAGCATTATCTAACCTAGTGTAATGATAAGATGCAGCCATTACATTATAGCTGAGCTGCAGTTTGAATCATGAGGGTTCCAAATCCCTCTGGAGGATCCTACATTAAATGGTTTCAAAGTGTTGTTTCAGTACAAGCAACAGTTGCTAACATCAGCTCGATGTTGTTTAGCATCAGCAACACTTGGGAATGGATTAGAAACGCAAACTCTTGGTCCTCTGCATTCTAATCAACCATCCAGGTGAGTCTATGCATGCTAAAATTCTGGAACCATTGTCCCATACACAATAGCTTTAGGAATGACAATAAAGGAATCCAGGAACTGATGCTTAGACTCTGTCAACTTTGACTCATTTGTCTATATTTGTCCACAAGGCCTGACAGTCACATGTAAGAGAAGAGTGGGCAAATCTTACTGAGACAACTTCCTTACCAAATAAACCTCCTTTTATAACTTAAAGATCTTGAATCCAGAGCTATACTTTCTCCCTCAGTCACATAAAATTCTCTGCTTCCTTTTTCAGCTCTAGTCAACCCTTCTAAAGTCTAAACATATCACTGAAGAATATTGACAACAAGTACATCTCTTTAACTGCAGAATTTCAGATGGTTTGTTGAGTGGCAGAAAGAGAGAGTAGACCCATTGTAAGTTGAGTATCTATTCAGCCAGGAAAGATAAATTCAATAGAAGTGAGGTGACTAGATAGAGCAGGATTAGATAAAGAGTATCTTGGGTTGAATTTCCCTGGCCCCTTCTTTGCTAATTATGTATGCATCTGCCAATGACACTTTCCATACTGTGTTTTTTTCCTATTAAATATAATGATTAGATAATTTCTATACCACTGCTCTTTCATACTAGAGGTTTATATCACTGTATCAGAAGAATATACCTTAGTAACCCATGTATATCTGTTTAAATGAATGCATATAGATCTTTTTTGTTTCTTGAATAAAACTCAGTGCCAACAAGGACACTCCCTCAGCAGGGGAAAGAAGCAAGACTGGTCTTTGCCCACATGTCTCTGCGTAATAATTCTGCTGCCAGATTTTCAAGGTGCAAGAGTATTTCCACTTCAATGTCATTTATCCATTTTTTAAAATGTGAATTTGTAGTTTGCAAATTTGCAAATCATACATCTGATAAGGGCTTACAATCTAAATTGTATAAGAAACTCACATAACTCAATAACAAAAAAAAAACACCAAATAATCAAATAATCCAATTAAAACATGGACAAAGAATTTGAATAATTATTTCTTCAAAGAAGACATAAAAATTACTAACAAGTGTATGGAAAGGGGGTCTATATCAATAATCATCAAGGAAATGCAAGTTCAAACCACAATGAGATATCACCTCACTCCTCTTAGGATGGCTATTATAAAAAAAAAAAGATAAAACAAGTGTTGACAAGGGTGTGAAATGTAAATTGGTACACTGTTGGCAGCCATTATGGAAAACAACATGGAGGTTCCTCAAAAATTAAAAATAGAACTACTGAAGCAGGATATTTCCCTGACCCCTATGCGGGCCTCATGACGGGTTACTCAGCCCGCAGCTATCAACCCCTCACAGGAGGGGGAGCATGCAGGTGCGCAGGTACCGGAGCCGGGACATGCCCTTTTGGGCACCGGCAGGAATGAACTTCATACTGGCCCAGCAGCACTGTCTGGTGGGGGCGGTGTTCCTGTGACTCCGGAAGCCCCAGAGAGAGTGTTACAGTCAGTGCTTTTTTAGCTTTGTTGCCTGTGGATGGCTTAAATGTTAACAGATCAGTGGAGTGTGACAGCCTTTTACACCTATACTCATGACTCCAAGCTCTTGTCCAGTGTCCAGGAAAAATGAGTTTGCATGAATGAATTGAAGATGGTAAAGGTGGGGGATTTTATTGCCGATGAAAGTGGCTCTCAGTGGGAAGAGGAGCTGAAAAGAGGACGGAGCAGGAAGGTAATCTTCCCCTGAAGTCCAGCCTTCCCTTACCAGACTTGTCTCTGAAGCTATGCTGTCAAGCTGTTCCTCTGAAGTCAAGCCACTTCTCCCTAATGTCCAACTGTAGTCTCTGACATTCAGCTGCTTCTCCTCTCTCTGCCATATGAGCCTTGGATTTTTATAGGCACAGGATTGGGAGTGGGGCAGGCCATGGGTTGTTTTAGAAAAGGCAACATTCGAATGGGAAAACAAGGATGTAAGTTCTCACTTTGGGCCATAGTTCCAGGCTTGAGGATGGGGCCCTAGCCAGGGACCTACACTCTTCTGCCCAGAATTTCGCTTCTTCCTGTCGCTATCACTGCTAAATGACCCAGCAATGCCTCTGGGTATATACACAAAGGAAATGAAATCAGAACATCAAAGAGATATCTGCACTCCCATGTTAATTGTAGCACTATTCACAATAGCCAGAATATGGAAACAAGCTTCTGTCAATTGATGAATGGATAAATTATAGTATACACACAATGGAATATTATTCAGCCTTAAAGAAGAAAGAGATCCTACCATTTATAACAACATGGATGAACCAGGAGGACATTATGCTAAGTGAAATAAGCCAGACAGAGAAAGAAAAATAGTGCATGATCTCACTTACATGTGGAATCTAAAAATAAAATGAAATACAAAGAGAATATAATCATGGTTACGAGGGGTAGGCGAGTCATAGGAAATGAGGAGATGTAAGACAAAGGGTACAAAGTTGTAGTTGTATAGAATAAACAAGTCTAGAGCTCTAAGGTACAGTGTAAGGACTACGTTTACACTATTATACACTGGAAATTTGCTAAGAGAGTAGATTTTTGGTGCTCTCAGCACACAAACAAAAGGATAACTAGGCAAGAAGATAGATATGTTCATTTGCTTGACTATTACTTATTATTTCACTATGTATATAAAAACATCATGTTGTACACCTTAAATATATATAGTAAATTATGGATATATTATGGATATATATGGATATATAAATAACTCTCTTGCCAGATTTTTAGGGTCCAATAGTGTTGCCTCTGTACGATAATTTATCCATTTTTTAAAAATAAGGCATTTTCTTGTTTTTTGGCATTTCCTGTTTGTACAAGCTTTACATGTATTAAGGATTGTAATTATTTGCCTACGATATATGTTGCATACATTTTCACAGCTCACTGTTTGTCTTTTATATATTTTTTCATATATAAACCAATTTTTTCTTATCTAAACAAATTTATTAATTTTCCCTTTATGTTTCTATATCTGTTCTATTATTTTAAAATGTACTCTCAATCCAAATAAGAGTTAATAGTCACTTACATTAAATTTTATCGTTTTCAGGTTACTTTTCATCTTTAAATTTTTAAATAAACTGTAATGTACTTTGTTGTAAGGGGGGTGCTATTATAAATTTATTTTTTTCTCAAATATATGTTTACTTCTCTGCAAATCATTTTGAAATACTTTATCCTTTCCAACACTCTTGAAAGTCCATCTTTGTAATAGTCTATATTTGTATTTATTCATACATATATCTAGACTTTCTGCTTTGTTGTATTCAGGAACTGAACTGTTGTGTTCAGTTCCTTATTGTTTGATGTTTTGATCTAGGAGAGGGCAAGTCACCACTGATTCTCTTTTGACACATATGCTTTAGTATTTCTTCTTCTTCTTCTTTCAATAGAAATTTAGTCTCTCATTGAGACATTCATTTCCATACCTCCAAATCACAAAATGAATTAACTTTAATTAATTTCAGGATAATGGAAATTATATAAAAATATCTATATTTCAAAAACAGAGTTCATGTATTGTACCATGACCCTCATTATACAGTTTTGTATTTTTCTTAATGCAGATCCTTTTAATATATTTAAAGCATGTTGAGAGTTGTATTATGTATAAGTCAGTGGCTGTATAAATGGAAAAAAGTCATTACTTTAATTAATACTATTAAATTCAAATCACACATAAAATGTGTGCATATATTAGTATATTCTCATTTAAAACAATCAATTTAAAGACAAGCCTAAAGTCTTCCTTGAACATTACTTACCATGCTCTTTCCCTTTCTCAGGTTGATATGCCAGACATGTATCATGGATTTATAGCTTTATTTGTGTTTAGCATAAATTGGATGAAGTGTTAAAACATAAATGAATGCATCATTCTGCACTTATTTTTTATTCCTCAACAAGTTATCTTGATTATATTTACAAATCGATACACATATATCAACCACAAACTTATTAATTACTGCAGAGTATTAATGGTACACTGTGATATACCCTATTGATGGACATTTAGCTTTTATCCTATTGTCATTACTAGAAATATCAGTGCAAAAATAAATAAACCAAGTCATTAAACTTTTGGACCAGGCACGGTGGCTCACGCCTGTAATCCCAGCATTTTGGGAGGCCGAGGCGGGTGGATCACGAGGTCAGGAGATCCAGGTGTGGCCTGTAGTCCCAGCTCCTCGGGAGGCTGAGACAGGAGAATTGCTTGAACCCAGAAGGCGGAGGTTGCAGTGAGCCAAGACACTGCACTCCAGCCTGGCAACGGAGCAAGAATCCATCTCAAAAAAAAAAAGAAAGAAACTTATCCTTCAATCAGACAAGTATGAAATAATTTCTTCTTCATACATCAGTCTCTGCTCAATATTAAAATTGTAAAAATGTTTGTTTCTACTTTTTTCCTTGCAATGGAAGACAATATTTTATCATAGTGGAGGTTAGAAAGTAATGTTACACCAATTCACAGTTTCAGATGACCCACTTCTCAGTTTTATTATTCATAGGATATTATCAGCTAGAAGGTGTTTCATGTACCAGCAATGTGAAATACATAGTTCATTCTGTAGCTAAAATACCATTGCCTAGTACATTCATTGTTGGTTGACACAGGAGCGGTTAATAGGTTCTCAGTAATATTCCTCAAATATGAAGTTTGTTTTAGTAGCTTGTCTGATTTAAGTAAGTGTCAAAACAAGACAAAAATTTAAGACTTCTGAAACTTCACAGCAATTCTCCTTTTAGCCAAACGAAACTGACCTCACATCGTGGGCACTACCACCATAAGCCGATGAGGAGTGCTGCCAGGCTACCACTGATATTCCTTTAAGGTCCAAGGTATCTTCAGTCAGCTTGCAGTGAGTGTTGCCCAGCCTGGGACTCATCGTTCAGGGCAGTGAATCCCTTCTGGCCCAGGGCAAGTCCAGAAATGCTGTTCAACATCTAAGGCCTAGAATCAGAGACCCCAAGAGCCTGCTTGGTGCTCTACACCCCTGTGGCCGAGGTGGTACCTAAGGTGCCATACAAAGTTCCCTTTACTTTCCCCTCCAGTTTTCTCAAGCAGATGGAGTCTCTTTCTGTAGCCATCACAGCTGAGTATGTGCTGAGTCTGACCTAAAGCCAGCAAGTCTTAGTCTCACCCAAGTCCCATGCCATACTTCCTAGGTATTGCTGCTGGTTATTCAGGGCCCCAGTGTTGTATCCTGGAACTGAGTTATTCCCTTCAAGGCAGCAGGTTCACTTCTGGCCCAGGGTGTTTCTAGAAGTGTCATCCAGAAGCTAGGGCTTAGAAAGGGGGCCTTGCATCTCTGCATGGTGCCTTATCCTGTTGTAGCTGAGATGGTCTCCAAGATGCAAGACAAAATCCTCTTTACTCTTCCCTCTCCTCTTCATAAGCAGAAGAAAAAGTCTCTTGGAGCCATGACCTGTGCATTCTGGGGTTGGGGAAGGGGTGGCATAAGCAGTCCTTTAGCTGTACCAGCTAGTGTCTCAGTAGGTTTTATATCCCCCAAGTCCAGTGGCTCTGAATGTAGCTCAGCACTAGAACTTGCCTAAGAGTTGCAGACCTTGTGACCTTGACTGCCTTTCAAGTTTATTTATTATTGGGACATCTGAAATACAATAAGAACGTTACAATTTCAAAAAATACATTTTACACTTTTTGTTATAATATATAATATTCCTGTTTTCATTTGGAAACTATTATGCTGTTGGGAGTTGTAGAATCAAAAGCAAGTGCCAATTACAAAATCAGATGCCTCTGAGAATCTAACATGCACCGATCAATGCTGATGAAATTTGGTCATCCTTAATAGTTTCATGATAGGAGACAGAATTGATGTTTATGCTTCAGACATAACCAACCCATCAAACCCAGAATATTCAAGACACTGATAAAACCATCTGGCAACTTTACGTACTTATTAGCAAAGTGCAGATTTTGCCCTTTTATTTTAAATACAATAATTTAGACATTTGTTTTAGGGAGAATGTAGAAGAACAGAAGGTGCTGTTCACACTCCAGATTTAGAAAGTAACCTAAACTAAAAGTAGAACTATGTCAAACAAAATGTATTCCACAGAAACCACAACTGGCTGACAGTGACAAGGAAGCAGACACTTGGACTGGGAGGAAGATGATTAGGTATAAAGCCAAAATACATGGTGCATACTGTGAACAAATATATTTGATTAATAGACTTCAGGTTGCAAAACCCCAAAGAGACAGACAATGAAAATGTAAACACTAATTATAATTTGTTCTTGGTTCCCTTCTATATAAAGATTAATGAAATTATATGAATCAGAACACAGGAATAACTTTCATAAAATGTTTAAGGAAAGAGATCAAGATTATTCTTTCCTTTTTTTAAATTATACTTTAAATTCTGGGATACATGTGCATCACGTGCAGGTTTGTTACATAGGTATACACATGCCATGGTGGTTTGCTGCACCCATCAACCTGTCATCTACATTAGGTATTTCTCCTAATGCTATCCCTTTCCTACCCACCCCCCACCTCCCGACAGGCCCCGGTGTGTGATGTTCCCCTCCCTGTGTCCATGTGTCCATGTGTGTCATGTATTCATTATTGAATACATGAAAGTGTTCAAGATGGAAAAATATCTTTTTACATCATCCTTAAATATGATCTGTTAGACTAGTAGTTACATGTTTGGATACAGGCTTCAGTGGTGTATGACAAAAAAGTAAAACATTATAATAAAAATGATTTTACTTTTAACAATAGGGACAAAGAAAAGCAATAATAAAAACTATTAAATAATCACTTAAAAAGACACACAAGACTGAGCAACAACAATGACAAAAATCTGGTGATGTTTTTCTTTAATACCTATCCAAGTGAAACAGAAACACAAGAACGTCTTCTGGCTTTTAGCATAACAATACTTTAAATTAATCTGTCTTATCTTTGAAGATGTTAAGGAAAATAACAAAAAGACAGGAATGATCATTTTTTAAAATGTGGACAGTTCATTTCCCTACCTGGAAGAGAGAAGATCTTGGAAATTTAGAAGCAAATTTTATATATTTATATATAGATATAAATCTAAATATATGTAAATATGTATTTACATACTTATATATAGATATATACCTAAATCCATGCCTATGTAAAAGCCATATGGAATTTGGAATAGTTTGCCTATAAGCCAAATGTAAATAAGAAAAGAAAAAATCCTTGGCATTTTCTGAAGGCTTTAGGCAAAGGTGAAAGAAAGAGTAGAATCACACGTTCTTTAACCTTTAATTACTTTTGCTTCCAATCAGAATTCTAACCTGAAGAAGAAAGTTCCATGGGGAAGTATTTATAATTGTCATCAGTGTTTTCTACAGTATTAGAGAGAGAAGGGAATAAGAGACAAGAAAGAATTATCCAATCATCAACCAAAGTGGCAGCTCCAGTGTTCCCATTGTAGATGTACAAGAAACTATTATTCATTGTCTTGACATAACAGACTGAAGAGAAAGTAGTGAGAGAGTGTAATAATGATGCTTAGTAGCAAAGGAATACCTGTCAATTCCAATTATTCAGTATAGTCATCAGAGAAAGGAAGAATTTCCATGGGAATTAATTTTGCCAATTATTTTTGTCTTTATGCAATGGACTCAAAGGCACCTAGCTATTCTCACAAAAATCTGTGACAAAATTTTTTATATCATACAATACATAACGTCTGGCCCCACAGAGTTGCTATGATGATTAAATTAGCAAAATGTCTAGAAGTGACTGGCAGAGAGTAAGTACTCATATCAGTATGCATATTGAATATATATTTTTAAAAGTCAGTAACCAATAGATGCATTTGTAACAAAATCAAACAGCCAGCTACTACTTCATTAAAGTCCCATGAATGTTTTGTATTCATATAAACCAGTATATTCAAAACTACACCAATGGTACAAACTTTTATCTTAAGAGGAAAACAGTTGGGTTTTTCTCCTTAATTTTATTAGTTATTTATCTATTTTAATGGGTTTCACACATTGAACATTGTTTTTAGTGATAGAAACAACTTTCCATTTTGAGTATTTTTTAAAAAAATGCAAACAAATTTAAAAATAAGGAAATGATGGTATGGATGGTATGTAGGTAAGACAAATGCAGGTATGACAAAAACAGTACATATAAAGCTAACATTTTGAAACATACTGATATGAACGAAATAAATAACTACATTTTTCTTTCTTTAAACCATTGTTTCAGTTTTGTATATCAACTTTTAAATCAACTAATTGTCTGGCATGAATTATGAAACCATATGGCATTCAGTAATAACTTATTTGACAAATGATATATGAGACCTTTATGGAAAAATTACAAAATGATAAATGATATGAAAGGACATAAAATTATCTAAGTGAATGTAGTGTGATGCCACGATTATTAATGAAAAACTTAATATTGTGAAGATGATGATTCTCCCCAAATCATCTATTAATTCAATGGAATTACAATGAACAAAAACTCCCATCACCTTTTACATGGAAGTAGATAAATACATCTAAACATCACAGCAAAAACAAGTAGAGGGTACTTTTTCTATCAACATTCATAGTAATTTTAACACATTTGAGCCTGAACCTTTGCCCCTCACCTCATGGGCTCCGGTGTGGAAACTATATTATCCCAGAAAAAATAGATCCCTGAAGCTCAACAAAAATTATAAACCTAGTGCTTTAGCTTCATGCAACAGGATAAAGGAGCACAATTACAAAGAAATCAAGAGAAACAAGGAGCTCAATGACTTGCCCAGAGAATCTGACAGACACAAGCATGAGTATTATCACACAATTCTAGTTTCAATTAAATCAAATGAGCAGGATAGCCTGAGAACTGAGTGGGATGAGTACAATGATTACAAGCTTTCGAAAAAATTGTACGAAAATCCAAGGATGCCATGAAAAGTTTATCATCAAGACTGAAGGAAAATGAACTAAGTAATGCTCCTTTATTGGAAAACCAACCTATGAAACATTGTTAAAAGACACAACTCAAAATGAAACAACAGTAGCAAACATTAATTAAGTGATATATTAAAGTATGTACCAGATCTAGGAGATTCAACTCTCAAAAGAATAACTAATGCTTATTAGGTTTAACCAAAAAAACTAAGTTCTTTGTCTGTTCTGTCTATTTGATGGAAAGCAGAAAAAACCCAAAACATATTTCTTTGCATAGTTTGTTTCTTTAAGATCTGTTCCATTCAATTGTGATTATATATGTGTGTGTGTGTATATATGTGTGTGTGTGTACACACATTCATATTCAAACCAAATATGGCTCAAAACATTAACAATCACTAGTAGATATGTACCATGAGAAACCTACTTTAAAAGGCAACTTGTCTCATGTTATACAAACATTTTTTAATATATTACATCTTTTCCTTCTTTTGCTTATAGAATTGTTGACTATACATACAGAAATTGAATCTAATAAATTTTTAAAATACTTTAATAAATTAACTTTGACATTGATGCAGAAAACATATATGCATATTGATATTTATAGATATACAGAAAACAATATATATGATTCAGAATGATTCAGAGAGCCATCACATAGGCGCACGATCAGATGTGCATGTACATTTTTACCTCTTCTAAAATATATATAAAATAAAATTTTCTAGTTTGACTATGTTTATATGGACAATTCAGTGGCATTAACTACATTCACATTGTTATCCAAGTACTAAGTTTTTCATAGAGGTAACCATATAAATCATTGGAAAAAGGATGGTTTACTAATGGTGCCAGGACCACTGATTTTCTAAATGAGAACAAAATAATTTCTTTCTTATATAATAAAGAAAACTAAATCCTGTGACTTAAAGATCCAAATGCAAAAAGCAAATTTTTCACATTGTTAATGAGAAGAAAATACAGAATATCTTTATGACTTCAAATTATGAAAGGATGTATTAAACAAAATACAAAAAATGCAAACTTTAAATAAAAATACACATGAATTTGGCTACCATATAAAAAAGAAAATTGTCTGTGTCAAAGATACCATCAACTAAAGAACAAACAAAATCACAGTCTAAGGAACTGTTTTAACAATATTAATAGTTGAAAAAGATTAAGTTATACTATATATCAATAACTGACAATCAAAATAAAAATGAGAAAAACCTATTTTTTAAAATGGGCAGAATAAGAAATCACCATTTTGGCTGGCTGGCATATGGGTGTTTATTTTAATATAACATTCGTGATCATTTCTGTCTTTTTTAGATGCTTTCATAAAAAAATTCACTCAAGAGATAATCATAATGACGGAATGTTGGATAATGGGCAAGAAAATAAGAGCAGTGAACAAATTGCATCCAACTAACAGGATTTTTAGAAAAAGAATATATAACTTGGTTAAAAAAGTTATTTAAAAAAGTGAATGAACAAATGAATGAATGAAATGGGGAGGAAAAAAGGAAGTAAGGAAAGAAGGAAGGAAGGAAGGAAGCAAGGAAGGAAGGTAGGTCGCTCCCAGACTGGAAGAATATGATCTCTTGATTGAAAAGGCCCAATGGCCATCTGAAAATAAATTTTAAAGCCCCATCCAAGCAACATCAATATAAGATTTTATGTAAAGTATATGAAATCTCAGAAGTTGTTTAAAAATGAAGAGTTTATGTAAAAAAAGATGAAGAGGTGGAATGGCATTAGTCTTCTCAACATCATTAATACAAACTTGAAGACAATAGAACAATGTCTTTAAAATAATAAATCTGTCTTAATTTGTGAATTCTTTACTCAAGATTAACTATAATTTAACATTTCTAGAGCTGAGTGATGGTATAAGTAATTACATTGTTATATTTTCTTTTGCTTTTTAAATGTTCAATATTTTTCTTTATGGACCAGGCTATTTTAAAAGAAAAATTAAAATGAATTGTAATTACATAACATTTGAATAAAATATTATTGAACTATTACTGACTATGAATATAGAAGACATTAAGAGTTCCAGGTACATGCTGGAGAAATATTCAGTAGCTAATAAAATACAAATATAAATTGCTGCATTATTTCCTGTTTAAGATAAGTAAACTTGAATTTGAGTATAGACTTAGTTTTCTTAGGGATTGGAATTGATTTTATATATGAAAAACACTTACTATAAAATGCTTCTTTGTAGGAGGCCATAACATATCGAATGAACAATTAGTTATAACAAATGTAAAGTGATTTTGCTGTGACAGTTTTTACCATGACCTGGAAGAAGAAAATATTTACCAATAAAATACACTCAGCATATTTTAAACAATGCACTGGGGGATGACTGGTTTAAGAAAAGTGGGCATGTGTAAATACAAGGAACTAAAAGTAGAAAGAACATATATAGAAAAATGAAGGGACTGGTTGACCTTGCTGTTTGGATTTGGAGGAACCTCCCCAACTTCTCTTAATAGCTCCTATTGCTATTAGGATGTTAAATAATCTTAATACCAGTAGGTCTCAAACTAAATTCTCCTTAACTGGTTTATGGATTTTTTTTTTTTTGCAGGGGGTAGGGTATTCAACAGGTATTTTGGAATAATGAAATATAACTTATGCTACTAATATCACACATGAAACTAGGCATTTTTCTTAGGAGAATGAGATATATTAAGTAATTGATGAACTGAAAATCAGATAAGTGCTATAGACATATAATAAGAGATTTACGAAGGAGGCATCTAAAAGAGCTTCCTAGAACCTGAAACATCAGATTTTATCTCCTTCACCTCTATTGCCTGTCACTGGGTGATAGAATTTACAGGCTACTAAGAATAAATAAAACCTAGGCTCTACTGGGGCTCAAACCAAGAAGACAAGAAAGCTGATCTAGTTTTTTACCTTCATTCCAGATCCTTTGGTTTGGATGTACATCTGGAGAACCAGGGACAAGGGTACATGATCATACATTTATATAGAAGAATAAATGTTGCAGAATAAACATGAAAACAAGGGTAAAGAACAATCATGAGGAAAAACTTGTCATTACAGATATTAGGACTTGTTGGGAACAGGCCCCCCAAAATCTGGCCATAAACTGGCCCCAAAACTGGCCATAAACAAAATCTCTGCAGCACTGTAACATGTTCATGATGGCCATAACGCCCACACTGGAAGGTTGTGGGTTTGCTGGAATGAGGGCAAGGAACACCTGGCCCACCCAGGGTGGAAAACCGCTTAAAGGCGTCCTTAAACCACAAACAATAGCATTAGCAATCTGGGCCTTAAGGACATGTTCCTGCTGCAGATAACTAGCCAAACCCATCCCTTTATTTTGGCCCATCCCTTCGTTTCCCATAAGGGATATCTTTAGTTAATCTAATATCTATAGAAACAGTGCTAATGACTGGCTTGCTGTTAATAAATATGTGGGTAAATCTCTGTTCAGGGCTCTCAGCTCTGAAGGCTGTAAGACCCCTGATTTCCCACTCCACACCTCTATATTTCTGTGTGTGTGTGTTTAATTCCTCTAGCACTGCTGGGTTAGGGTCTCCCCAACCAAGCTGATCTCAGCAAGGGCATTATATAAAGTCAATTATTTCAAGCCAGTTTGGCATCGCTTTATAGAGTCAAATATCCAAAAATACCCAGCCAGCTGAGTCTCTCTTTTTTAATCTCAGAAAAAATAGGATTTTTCCATAAGTGCCATATAGAAGACCTCTATTTAGGCTATTTGACCAGACCCAGGTTACATAGCCACCACTACACCACTGCCCAACAAATATCACTATTGTCAATTTGCATAACCTTCTACTGTATTTGGAGCAAACTTTTCTTCTTGAGCTTCAGGTCCTTCTCTGATTGTAACAGTTGAGTATCTCTTAACAGGAATGGGGTAGGTATTAAGCACTTATAAGATTATGTTTTTCACAATGTAGAAAAAGACAGCAGGAAAAGGAAATAGAGAATATAGAAATGTAGTGTTATTTAAGAACACGATATATAACAAAACTAGTAGTTCAATTCAGTGGTAAAATTGATAAGAATAGTGGGGACATAATCTAAAATATATCTGAAAGAAAATAAAAGCAGGCTTCCTTTGCAAATCATAAATTAACATTGATTCCAGATGGGTGATAAATTTAAATGTAAAAATAAAACAAGAAAAATCTTCAAACCATCTTGAAATCCTCTTACGAAAGCAATGGCAGAGAAGACTTTAATTAACTTTAATCATGACTGAAAGACAAAACTCTATAAAAGAAAAGATAAAAGTATTTTTAAAAAATCAAGTATGACAAAAGATATCATCAACCAAGCTAATTCACAAGTATTAGAACAAAAACACAATGTAACACAATTAACAACTAGTTAATTTCTATAAAATATTAAATGCTCTAACAAACGGACAAGAAAAGAAAAACGTGATCCACTAGAAAATAATGTAGATAGACATTTCACAGAGATGCAATTCCAAAAAGTCAACAGACATATGAAACAATCCTCAAATTTCCCGGTAGTTAGGAAAATGCCAATTAGAGTAACAATAAAATACCATTCTACCTATTAGAATGGCTAAAATTAAAAAGGGCTAAAATTTCTACTGTTGATGGTGACTGAGGAAAGAGGTACTTTCATAATTAGTAAAACTGTGATGCATTAAAGCCTTTTTGAAAGCCAACGTATATTAAAACTGAAAATATGTGTGCCCCCTCCTAGAAATCCATCCCATAGAAATAAAAGCACATAAGGACAAATGCATGGAATTATTTACTGCTGCAATTCTTTTGGCAAAAAAAAAAAACTAGAAAAAAGTAAATCTGTTGTCATTAGGAAAATATTAAGATTAATCATGGCACATCCATATCATCAGTCATTATATTGCTACTTAAAATAATGAATTAGAACTTAATGGGGTTGGATGCTTTCCGTGAGTTATTATTGAGTGAGAAAAGCAAGTTATTGACACATGTGTACAGTGTGATATCATTGTTATAAAATCAGCAGTACCAAAAATGAATCATTCTTATATACATAGCTATGTATATCTGTTTATACAAGACATACTTATATTCCTCTATATATTAATCATATTGAAGGCAAAGAAGGGGTTATATACTGATTTAAGGGGAGAGAGAAGTAAAAAGGAAAAGGAGGGCCAAACAAAAGAGGAAATGTAAAAAAAAAGCTGCACTAAAAATAAAGCATCTATAATTTTAAAAAATATTTATTTAAAATTTTGTATCTACCTCCACATAATATATATATAATAAAATAAAAATACAAAAGTCCAGGGGTATTTGAATATCAGTAACAACAAGCTAATAAGTTTTCAACTTATTCTAGTTTGTTATTAGATACATAATAACCTTCAAAGTATCAACTTGTGTATTTTAATGTTGTATTCCCTTTTTGGTTGCTTAAAACCACTCATTGAGAAAATGAACTAGTTGTTCAGCTATGTGAGACACTTTTGTACCTGGCTTAGGTTGGCATTTTATAATGTTCTCTTTTATCATTCATATCCTCAGTGTTCCTTTTTTGTGCTTCTTGAGCTTTCTATTGGGTACATAATAAATTGCATCTTCTTTTCTGTGATGGTTTCATTTACTCTACTGATACTTTTCTCAGTTCTGCTATCTTCACTATTTCATACTGTCATCAGGTCACCTCTTCCCTGAGTTCTTGTATTTCTGCCTTGGGTCTTCTGTCAGAAAGCAGAATTTTCTTAAACATTCACTACAAAATATTCGATCACACTTAATTTCTGCTCTATGGCAACACATGTCTAGTGAGTTCTTTTATAAGTTAATGAATGTTGATACTCCTGATTCTATTGTTTGTTTGTTTATTTATTTATTTTGAGACACAGTCTTGCTCTGTCACCCAGGCTGGAGTGCAGTGGCGCTATCTCAGCTCACTGCAATCTCTGCCTCCCAGCTTCAAGCGATTCTCATGCCTCAGCCTCCTGAGTAGGTGGGATTACAGGCATCCACAACCACCCCCAGCTAATTTTTTATATTTTTAGTAGAGACGAGGTTTCCCCATGTTGCCCAGGCTGGTCTCGAACTCCTGAGCTCAGGCAATCCCCCTGCCTCGGCCTCGCAAAGTGCTGGGATTACAGGCGTGAGCCACTGTGCCCAGCCTTGATTTTATAGTTTAATTGTGTCTTTATACATCTGTTGTATTTGTTTTCTTTTAATGGTAACTTTTTGAAAAATGCGATTTTCATGAACTGGGTATTTGCAAGAGGTTTCTGTATTTTGGAATGCCAAGGTAGAGAGGTTCCTTAGTAACTGTTTTACAACAGAAAGGCCTTCTTCTTTCTAGTTTCTATCAAGACTTCTCTGAACACTCCTCATAGACTCCATTGCATCTGTTGCTCTAAAGCAGACTGGATTGACTATGTGTGTGTTGGAAGGGAGGTGCGGTAATAGGTGTGTGTGTGTTGTTGAGGGTGAGCATGCACACACATGTGCATTATTATGCTGCCACCCAGCTCATACACAGACAACACATGTACATACTGCCTTCCCCTTGCCCTCAAACACGTATTTCCACACACTGTTTTTCAAATAGATAATATTGATTTTGCCCCCCAGGGAATGTTCCATGCCTTCAGGGAGTATACTTAAGGATGTATGAGTTTGTTGGCACCTTCTGAGATGTGTTGCAGCTGGGGTTTTAATACTTAGATCTATCCTTGACTTCTCTCCTTTTCTTCTCCCCTGATTTCCAGTTTTAGCATCTCACAAAAATATCTTGAAGTTTGCTTCCGAGTTTTGTAGAAAATAGAATTTATGTTTTCTGTTTTGCTTTTCTCCTGCTGGATGGTTTCCCAAAGGAGAATGGGAGTGCTGTCTTAATCAAACATATTCATACCAAAAATCAATGTTTATTTTTAACGTATGTGTTATTCACTATATTATTCTTTATATATTCTTGCATATTTTAGTTATGTAATAATAGCATTTTTAAAAGGGAGCCTGATATGGTTTAGCTCCGAGTTCCCATTCAAATCTCATGTTGAATTGTAATCCTCAATGTTGGAAGAGGGACCTGGTGGGGGTTGATTTGCTCATGGGTGTAGGCTTCCTTTTTGCTGTTTTCATGATAGTGAGTGAGTTCTCATGAGATCTGGTTGTTTAAAAGCATGTATCGCTTCTCCCTTCACTCTCTTCCTCCCGCTCCACCATGTGAAGAAGGTGCTTGCTTCCCCTTTGCCCTTTTGCCATGATTGTAAGTTTCCTGAGACCTCCTCAACTATGCTTTCTGTACAACCGGTGGAACTGTGAGTTGATTAAACCTCGTTTTTCCACAAATTACCCAGTCTCACATAGTTTGTTATAACAGTATGAGAATGAACTAATACAGAAAATTGGTACAAGAGAAATGGGGCATTGCTATAAAAGATACCTGAAAATGTGGAAGTAGCTTTGGAACTGGGTACCAGGCAGAGGTTGGAATAGTCTGGAGGGCTCAGAAGAAGACAAGAAGATGTGGGCAACTTTGGATCTTTCTAGAGACCTATTGAATGGTTGTGACCAAAAGACAGATAGTGATATGGACAATGAAGTCTAGGCTTAGGTGCTCTCAGATGGAAATGAGGAATTTATTGGGAACTGGAGCAAAAGGTCACTCTTACTATGCTTTATCAAAGAGACTGGTGGCATTGTGCCCCTGCTCTAGAGATCTGTGAAACTTTGAACTTGAAAGAAATGAGTTAGGGTAGCTGGCAGAAGAAATTTCAAAGAGTAAAGCCCTGAAGAGGTAACCTGGCTGCTTCTAAAAAGCCTATACTAATTTGCATAAACAAAAAATGACCTGAAACTAGAACTTATATTTAAAAGGGAAGCAGAGCATAAAAGTTTGGAAAATTTGCTGCCAGACCATGCAGTAGAAAAGAAAAATCTATTTTCTGAGGAAGAATTCAAGGCTGCAGAAATTTGCATAAGTAAAGAGAAGCCAAATGTTAATAGCCAAGACAATGGGGAAAATGCCTCTGGGGCTTTTCAGAGACATTTGCAGCAGCCCCTCCTGTCACAGGCCTGGAGGCCTAAGGGAGAAAAATGTTTTTGTGGACCAGCACCAGGGTCCTGCTGCTCTGTGCAGTCTCAGGACATGGCACCTGCATCCCAGCCACTCAAGCCCCAGCTGTAGCTAAAGGGGGCCAAGGTACAGCTTGGGCTGTTGCTTCAGAGGTGCAAGCCCCAAGCCTTAGCAACTCCTATATGGTGTTGGGCCTGCAGATTCACAGAAGACAAGACTTGAGGCTTGGGAGCCTCTGGCTAGATTTCGGAGGATGTATGGAAATTCCTGGATATCCACTCAGAAGTCTGCTGCAGAAGCAGAGCTCTCATGGAGAACCTCCCCTAGGGCAATGTGGAGGGAAAATGTGTGGTTGGAGCCCCCATACAGAGTCCCCATTGGGGTACTGCCTAGTGGAGCTGTGAGAAGAGGGCTACCATCCTCCAAAACCCAGAATGGTAGATCCACTGACAGCTTGCACTGCGCACCTGGAAAAGCTGCAGGCTCTCTATCCCGGCCCTTGAAAGCAGCTGTGGGGGCTATACCCTGCAAAGCCACAGAAGTGGAGCTGCCCAAGGCCTTGGGAGCCCACCCCTTGCATCAGCGTGCCCTGGATATGAGACATGGAGTCAAAAGAGATCACTTAGGAGCTTTATGATTTAATGACTGCCCTGCTGGGTTTTGGCCTTGCGTGGGGCCTGTAGCTCCTTGGTTTTGGCCAATTTCTCCCTTTTGGAATGGGAGCTTTTACCAACAAAAAACTTGTTTTTTATTTTATAGGCTCATAGGCAGAAGGTACTTGCCTTCTCTGAGATGACACTTTGGACTTGGACTTTTGTGTTAATGCTGGAATGAGTTAAGACTTTGGGGGACTGTTGGAAAGGCATGGTTGGTTTTTGAATTGTGAGAAGGACATGAGATTTAAGAGGGGCCGGGGTGGAATGATACGGTTAGACTATGTGTCTCCACTCAAATCTCATTTTGAATTGTAATCCCCAATATTGTGGGAGGGACCTGGTGGGAGGTAATTGGATCATAGGGGTGGATTTCCCCCTTGTTGTTCCCATGATAGTGAGTTTTCATGAGATCTGGTTGTTTAAAAGTATGTAGCACTTCCCCCTTCACTCTCTTCCTCCTGCTCCACCATTTGAAGGTGATTGCTTCCTCTTTGCCCTTCTGCCATGATTGTAAGTTTCCTGAGGCTTTCCCAACCATGTTTCCTGTACAGCCGGTGGAACTGTGAGTCGATTAAACCTCTTTTCTTCATAAATTACTCAGTCTCAGGTAGTTCTTTATAGTAATGCAAGAATGAACTAATACAGTGCCTATGTTAAAGGAATACTTATAACCTAATTAAAATATTAGGTTTAAATGTCCTCATCCAAGAAAAGAGGAAATGAAGGGAAATAATATTTGAATATTGTCCACTGTATTAGTCAGGATATGATAAGCCATCCTACAATATTTTAAAAAACTCAAGACCTTATCGTATCAGAATTAAAAATGTTTACTTTTGCACACATTTTATGACCAAAACTGCTCCAAAAAGTGTCTGAAAGAACCAGGCTGATGAAGGGTCTGCTAACTTGCAGCTGCACTAAAGGTAATGCTGGCCATTCATTGTTACCATGGGAGGGGAAAATGAACTGGGTATTTGCATGTGGTGTTTGAACAGGCTTGGAAGTGGCAAATATGACTTTTACACTTCTGCCTGCATTCCTCTGTCCATAACACAGTATTGTGGAATGCTGAGAGATGTAGTTCTCCTGTGTACTCAGGAAAAGAAAATGAACACGGATTGGATGAACATATGGCATGATCTCAGCCATAGCCATCATGATAGTAGTATCTTTGCTACATTATTGCATTCAGTCATCATAAAAGCAGTATGATAGTAATTATGATCCATGGATGAGGAAACCGAGACTCAGAGACGTAGCTTAATTTACTTGAAGTTAAACAGCAAGTAGATGGCAATATAGAGTTCGTTATTTAATAAACACACTAACACATACACACACAAATACACAGACCTGTGATTTAGACAGAGAGTTTTGAAACACTGACTTGATGTGAGTGATTTGAAATCATAGACCCTCCATTGAGTATATTAACTGTTAACTCAAAACAGTTATTCTGAAAAAAAATCCTAAAATGAATATAACCTGAAATTAAAACTCCAGCATCAATTTTTAGAATTATGACAAATGGAAATCTCTGATTAGCATTGTTACCCTAGATATCAGCAATAATATGAAGAGTCATAGTTTTTAGTTATTCTTATCTGTTCTTTCCACTTTGGTAGTCAAAAAAATCTTGGAATTTTGACAGCTTTCATCACAAAGCAATATACATGCCTATTTCTTGCACCTTTTGAACTTTAATGTCTTAACTTATTATTTAGTGTTTTAGATGTCACAGAGGTCCATTTAACTGCCTGAACAATTTAGAGAATAATTAGTAATTAAACACTATTTCTTATGACAATAATAACTCTTGCAAAGCAGTAAAACAAAATGAGGTATCTGATGAAATTTATGACTTAACAAATATACTTTAAAATAGTAACATAAAATAATATTCATCAGCAAAAATCTCTGGGAATTTCAGGACTACATAAACCAAAACAAAAAGTGGAATTTATGTACATAGCCATCACATTTGCTCCACATTGAAAGATTATTCAACATCAATTTTTTAACCCAACCACTGACCTCACAGTCCAGAAGTATAATTTCTAAATGCTTGTCCTGAGTTTTTTGACTGGATTGTTGCCATTACCTGAAACTCCTTATTTTAGATAATACAACAAGGCAAGGAGGGGATTTAAAGTGTGTCTTCTTGTTAGTACCTTTATGGTCCCTCTTCACTTCTCACATTCTATGGACCTTTATTGTTCTTAAAGGTTAAAGGTATTCATTTGTTCTACATAGTAGTATTTTTTTCTATTATCTGGCTTGGAAGGATAATGCAGTGAGCTGATTAAGTTAATATTCTGTTTGAAGAATTGATAGAAAGTTCATGCAAAAATAACCAGTTTCCAAGAGCATGTGATTCAACACAAAATAGCAACTATAATTCAACATATAATGCTGTTAATCTGTTGATTTGCCTATCTTATACATTCACTGAGTATTGATAATATGCCTTATGCTGTCCTGCACACTGGGAATAGAGATATTTTCAAAAGATAATGTATGTTATTTAATCTTATTTGATTGTTCAAATTAAGTATCACTATATTAAAGTATATTAGGAGCATTGTTAATTACTGTGCAAGATAATTTAATGGAATTCTAATTTGTGGTATTTTTGTTATTTTCACAATATCCTAGCAAAGACTACAAAATAGAAGACATTGATTCATTATTTTCTTTATTACCTCAGCCATTTAATGATTTTTACTTCCAGCTAAATAATCAGATAAAAAATTTAACTCAATGACAGGTAAGTACAATTATTTTCTTCTACATAAATACATTTTGGATTATACGTGTGGGATGATCTGACTTAAATTATATATATATACATTATATTCAGCACAATACTTTCATTTTATAAAGAACAGTGTGCTATATCATTTTAAAGATTTTTGTTAAGAAATTTACTTACCCTTAGTTTTCTGCAATTAATTACAGAAAGTTCTCCCAGCTATATAGAATTATGCTATGTAAAATGAAATTCAAAAGACAAGTAACTCTTATTTGCAAAATGAATAACTCCCCATCTGCAAAGGCTAAAAACAAATTAGTAATTTGAGGGTTGGAAGAATTTTAATCAGTATGGTCACATGAATGGAAGTCAAAAGAAGAAATTTTAGCTTCTGTTTTATGCATTGGTCCAAAGAAATTGTTTCTCTAAAATAAATTTTATACACCACTGGACCACATCATGAACTAGTCACATTTGATTCAAAAATAATCTTACTATAATGGGAACTACCCCTACAATTCTCATATGCCAAACTCTTAAATTTCCAAACATTGCTTTAAGAATAGTATCATATACATGGATAGCAGGTGGCTTAGATCCATGCAGTATTTCAGCTTTGTGGCCTAAATTTCAGTTTTCACAAGCAGCTTTTCATGCAATGAAAGTAATTTTACATGTTAATTCTAATGGGACTCCCATTACTACTCACAATATGCACTCTTTGTAAGAATGGGCATTATTATTTTGCTATCTAGTGTACACACAGAAGGCTAAATGCCATCATAAATTATATATTACTATTTCTGAAATCAATATTTTAAAAGATTTTATTTTTTTAAATAATTACATAGAAGTGGTATTCTAGACAAATTACTTGATTTATGTAAATTGGCTCTGGTCTCCTGGTAGGTATATCATAGATTTCCAAGGAAAACTAAGAAGTTCACCATTCCATAAGCTATGTGATTATGGATGCAAATTAAAATATGAATGCCATTACTAATTTTGTGTGACATTTTGCAAACCACATAGCACTATATTTATTGGGTCGAATTTTAAAATGACTTATTAATCCAAGACTAGTAACACTGATGGAAAAATAACTCGAAGAAAATAATGTATGATTGTATGAAAAAATGTATTTAAATGCTCTATTATTTAAATATTATTGTAGAAGGGAATGCACATTTCTTAAACAACTTTTATCTTTTAAAGTGTGAATTCAATGAGACCAGAAAGAATCCTGAAAAAACTAAAAATCAATCATAAAAGCCTTCACTTTTGTTTACAATCCTATTATGTACATAGTGATATTCAGCCACTTTTTGTTTCTTGAGCCAGCAATACACAAGCCTTTTGCCATTGCCATTTCAAACATGTGGTGAAAAATAAAATATACATTGTGAAACACTTCACAATCATAAAAGTTAAGGCTGTTTCTCGTCAAAAATAGGGGATTGAAGTGAAGTCAGTGAAAATGGTGGAGTAGAGAACTCCAAAAGTCTATTCCTAAACAACACTTCTAATACATTGGCAGAAATCATCAGAATCAGTTTTATTAGAACTCTGGAAATTAATCACAGGTTTACAACAATGAGGGAGAATGGTTAATCAAGAAAAGGTGGCACAATCTTGGTAGAAGACGTTTGTGGAATTTTAACTATCGCTGGCTTTTATAGTCGGTGGTGGCCTTGAGGGTGGGAGTCTGCATTCCACATCTGGATTCCTTATGCCAGAGAGAGCAAAACAGATGTTGTTCTCAGGAAATTGTAGTTGTTTTTGCCTGTCTGCTGACTCCCTGAAGGATGGGCTCAAAGGACTCTTTATTTTTCCTAAATCACAGCTCTTCTAGGGTGGGAACAGTTCTGGAGCAGGTGTCAAAAATCACTTAAAGGCAAATATATTAGTCACTGCCACCCTAGGCAAGGGATAACAGTTGGGGCAAAGAATAGGCAAACAAAAAGCATGGGAAGAAAAGAGTGATTTGCTTTTTGGAATAAAGGCTTTGAAAAACTACCACATACTTCTGGGAATCTAAAAGGCCATATGCATGCCTAGGGCCGAGAACTGCTCAAAAAATTACCCAAGAGCCCCTAATCTCTCACCTCAGGTTCACCTCTATGCTCTGTACAAGCAGGACGGAAAGTATAGGCAAAGTTGTAAATTGCCAGACTGAGTGTAGAAGGCATGCTCCAACTCACACACACACAAATACACACACACACACACACACACACGCACAGAGAGAGAGAGAGAGAGATCATCACTTTGGGATTAGTTATCAACATAAGAATTTGGGGAGGACACAAACATTCAGTCCATGGCAGGCACCAAACCATAGATCCTGAAAGCTTAGAGAACACCAAACAAAATAAATTAAAAAAAAGAAAGAAAGAAGAACAACTGGGCATATCATATTCAAATTGCAGAAAATCAAAGATGAAGAAAAAATCTTAAAAGAGAAAAAAAATCACCATACCTATAGAGGAGCAAAGATGTGAGTTACATTTGACATTTCCTCAGAAACCATACAAAATATATGAGTGGTGTGAAATATTTAGTGTTGAGAGAAAAAAAATCCATCAACCTAGAATCTTACTGATATGGTTTGGCTCTGTGTTACCACCCAAATCTCACCTTGAATTGTAATCCCTGCAATCCCCACATGTCAAGGGTGGGACCAGGTGGAGGTAATTGGATCATGGGGGTAGTTTTCCCCATGTTGTTTTCATGATAATGAGTGAGTCTCCTGAGATCTGAAGGTCTAAGCATCTGATATTTTCCCTGCACGCTCTCTTCTCCTTCCTGTTGCCTTGTGAAGACGTGCCTTGCTTCCCCATTAGCCTTCCACCATAACTGTAAGTTTCCTGAGGCCTCTCCAGCTATGCTGAACTTTGAGTCAATTACACTTTTTTCCTTTGTAAATTACTCAGTCTTCAGTATTTCTTCATACCTGCATGAGAACAGATGAATACAATAAACTGGTACCACAGAGAGTGGGGTGCTGTTATAAAGATACCAAAAAATGTGGAAGTGACTTTGGAACTGGGTAACAGGCAGAAGTTTGAAAAATTTGGAGGGCTCAGAAGAAGACAGGAAGATGTGGGAAAGTTTGAAACTTCCTAGAGACTTGTTCAATGGTTTTGACCGAAATGCTGATGGTGATATAGACAATGAAGTCCACACTGAGGTGGTCTCGGACGGAGATGAGGAACTTATTGGGAACTGGAGCAAAGGTCACTCTTGCTGTGCTTTAACAAGGAGACTGGAGGCATTTTGCTCCTGCCCTAGAGCTCTCTGGAATTTTGAACGTGTGGGAGATGATCCAAAACTGGAACTTACATTTAAAAGGGAAACAGAGCATAAAAGTTTGGAAAATTTGCAACCTGATGATGCAACAGAAAAGAAAAACCCATTTTTGGCAGATAAATTCAAGCCAGCTATAGAAATTTGTGTAAGTAACAAGGAACCAAATGTTAACCACAAAGACAATGGGGAATATGTCTCTAGGCATGTCAGAGGTCTTCATGGAAGCCCCTCCCATCACAGATCTGGAGGCCTAGGAGGAGAAAATTGTTTTGTGGGCCAGGCCCAGTGCCTTACTGCTTTGTGCAGTCTTGCGACTTGGCACCCTGCGTCCCAGCCATGGCTAAAAGGGGCTAATTTACAGCTCAGGCTGTTCCTTCAGAGGGTGCAAGCCCCAAGCCTTGATGGCTTACATGTGCCCTTTGGCCTGCAGGCACATAGAAGTCAAGAACTGAGGTTTGAGAAACTCTGCCTAGATTTCAGAGGATGTATGGAAACGCCTGGATGTCCAGACAAGAATTTGCTGCAGGGGTGGAGCCCTCATGGAGAGCCACTTCTAGGGCAGTGCAGAAGGGAGATGTGAGGTCAGAGTCTCCACACAGAGTCACCACTGGGGCACTACCTAGTGGAGCTGTGAGAAGAGGGCCACTGTTCTCCAGACCTCAGAATGGTAGATTCACTGACAGCTTGCACTGTGTGCCAGGAAAAGCCACAGACACTAAACACCAGCCTGTGAAAACAGCCAAGAGGGGAGCTATACCCTGCAAAGCCACAGGGACAGAGATGCCCTAGGCTGTGTGTGACCACCTCTTGCATCAGCATGACCTGGATGTCAGACATGGAGTCAAAGAAGATTATTTTGGAACTTTAAGGTTTAATGACTGCTCTATTGGACTTTGGATTTGCATGGGGCCTGTAGTCCCTTTGTTTTGGCCAATTTCTCCCATTTGGAATGGGTGTATTTACCAAATGCCTGTACCCCCATTTTATCTAGGAAGTAACGAATTTGCTTTTGATTTCACAGGCTCATAGGCAGAAGGGACTTGCCTTGTCTCAGATGAGACTTTGGACTTAGACTTTTGAGTTAATGCCAGAATGAGTTAAGACTTTGGGGGACTGTTGGGAAGGCATGATTGGTTTTGAAATGTGAGGACATGAGATTTGAGAAGGGCCAGGGGCAGAATGGTATAGTTTGGCTCTGTCCCCACCCAAATCTCATCTTAAATTGTATATCTCATAATTCCCATTGTTGTGGGAGGGACCTGGTGGGAGATAATTGAATCATGGGGGCTGTTGCTCCCATACTATTCTCGTGGTAGTGAATAAGTCTCATGAGATCGGATGGTTTTATAAGGAGAAACTCCTTTTGCTTGGCTCTCACTCTCTCTTTGCCTGCTGCTGTCCATGTAAGACGTGAGTTGCTTCTCCTTGCCTTTTGTCATGATTATGAGGCTTCCTCAGCCACGTGGAAATGTAAACCTCTTTCTTTTGTAAATTGCCCAGTCTCAGGTATGTCTTTATCAGCAGCATGAAAATGGACTAATATGCCAGCTATGCTGAGCTGTGTGTAAATTAAACCTTTTTCCTTTATAAATTACCCAGTCTTGGGCAGTTCTTTATAGCAGTATGAAAACAGACTAATACACTTACCCTGTGAAATTATCCTTCAGAAGAGAAGGAGAAATAAATACTTTCCCTGACAAACAAAAATTGAGGGAATTTCTTGCCAGTAGATCTACCTTGCAAGAAATCTTAAAAGAAGGTTTGAAAAGAAGGAAAATGATAGGTCAGAAACTTGGATCCACATAATGGAAGAGAAGTCATAAGTGAAGGTAAAATAAGAACTTTTTATTTTTCTTATTTTTGATTTGTCTAATAGATATCAATTCATTCAAAATAACAACTCAGTATTCAATGATAATAGCTTATATATAAGTGAAATGAATGGCAGAAATGATAACAACAGACAGGAGGGAGAAATTAGAAATATTTTGTTATTTTAAGGTACTTGCAATATCTTTGAGGTGATATAGAATTACTTGAAAGTATACTTGGATTGGTTGTAAAACTATATCTCTACTGATTTCCTGTTTCAAGGTTTCAGGATATAAGGTCAAACATTGATCACTTTTCTAAATAAAAGAAATGAACAAGTAGAATTTGAAATTTAAAACACATTACCATTGACATAATACCTCAACAATGAAATCTGTAGGTATAAATCTAACAAAATATGTATAAGATCTATATGAGAAAAACTATGAAATTCTGATGAAAGAAATCATAAAGAACACAAAATTTGAGAAATATTCTATTTTCATGGATAGAAATTATTGTCAAGATGTCAGAGTTTCCCATTTTTATAAATTCAGTGTAATCCCAGTCATATTCTCAGAAAGTTATTTTGTGGATATCAACAAACTAGTTCTACATTTCATATGTAGAGAGAAATGACCTTGAGTAGCCAACACAATATTGAAGGAGAAGAACAGCTTCAGAGGATAGACAGTACCTGACTTTGAGACTTACTATAAAGCTATAGTAATCAAGACAGTGTGAAATTGGCAAAAAGAATAAACATATAGATCAACAAAGGATAATAGCCCACAAATAGGAAAAGAAGAGCTAACTACACCCAAAGCTGACAGAAGGAAGAAAACAATAAAGGTTTATTGTGAAGATAAATGATAGAGCTTTAGTTTCTAATTTCTAAACAGGGCATAATAATAGTATAGACCTCATAGGTCTATTGTAAGAAATACATGACATGAATCAGATAAACTATGTCTGCCACATGGTAACTACCCTGTAGGTATGAATTGTTTTTTCTAAAAGAGAATAAAATGCAAATATCAGTGAGGTTTCAAAAAACCTCTTCTCTAATTTTATTAATACATCCAACTAACAAGGGTTGCACTGAGGAAATACAGAGTACGCACATCTAACACAGGCTGGCAAGAGGTGGTGGTGAGGATAGCAAGGGAAGGCTTCCTGAGTATCCTGCTGTCACACCTCAGCTCCATCACTAGGCATGGCTTATGAGCAAGGTTAAAAAAACAAGACCAGGGAGATTAAACGATAAGGAAATTTACACAAATGGACCTGGGGAGAAGATATGATCAGGTATATAAACCTCACTCTCCAAAGTAAACTTTTACATTGAATGGGGTTGTTATGGGGTGGAGATGGGGCACGGTTGGGATGGGACAAATAAGGGTCATCTTCAGAGACTAGGAAACCTCTGAGTTAGAGAGAAGACCGGTGATTCTGATTTATTTTTTCCATTGGGAGCAGTGGAAGAGGCTGCGAAGAAGAGCTGGTTAGCACGTCAAGACACATAATTTGACAGAAAAACACACTGGGAAGGCTGAGGTGGAGGGTCCTGTAATGTGGTATTGTGCTACATTTGGATAAAATACAGCTGCCGGAACAGCATCAGCTTTCAAGGAACCCTCGTGTGAAGACAGAAAGAGCCTGAGTAAATGAATCCAATTGGCAATCCCAAAATTGTGTTTTATTTCTATTTACATTTATTTTACCCTCGTTAGGCCTGGTTTTAGAACGTTGGCTACAGAGTTATTTTTATCTTACATGAGATATTATGAATAGTGGGAAGAGCACTTAAAGAGGAGACACAGAGACTACTTCAGGCCGGGAAGAGTGGAGACAGTTTGAGATCTACACAGATTACAACAGTCCAACCTTTGTCACTTACTAGCTATGCAATATTGGGGAAATTTCCAAAACTTTGATTCTTGAGTTCTGCATCTGAAAAATTAGCTTCATTTTGCAAGGCTGTTGGAAAGGTCAGAGATAATAAATGCAAAGAACCTAGCCAACCTCTCCACATGTATTAAACCTTTAGTAAATGAAAGTTGTTACCATTACTGGTGCTGATTGCTACCTTACCTTCTAGAATTTTAAAGAAACTATTGAGCAGTTCTCAGGGAATCTGAGGTACTTAGGACCCAGAATACCAAGAGTCAAAATTACTACTTAATAAATAGAACTAAACAATGGAGAGAAAGTTATTTAGTATGAATATGGGCCAATTGTTTCAATCTGAATGCCATTCAAATGACCTAGTAGTTGTGTAAGGGGCCATATACTATTACGTTATTCTCCTTTGTTTTGCTCCCAGCTGTATCTTCAATCAACATCCCAATTGCCACTCATTTCACAGCCATGAAACACTCAGCCCTTGCCAAATTATATTCAAGATATTACAATTTTATTGCAATGTACTTGAATTGGACTCCCTCAAGCCAAAGGAAAGCGTGCCAGCCAACTGGTTTCCAAAGATCAGCTCAAAAGAATATAACACTTATTTTTCAGTAAATCTTTTGAGAAGATATAGGTAAAACAACTACTTTGCAAACTGTGTTCAAATGCAATGGGAAAGGGCCCAGAACATCTACCTTGGACTCTACCAATGGGAAGTTTCTTTACTGTTTATCCAGGATTCGAGGGCCACTTTGCATTCCAAGATTTAGTCTCTGACACACACTATCTAAAGGGCTGACTCTTGTTCCCCATTCCCAAAGTTCTAACTCCTCATGACATAGCAAAATTTAAACTTCAGTCACTCTCATGAATTTGCAGTTTCCCTCAACAGACTTGCCTTGAGGCATTTACACTTAACTGCCAATTTACTACACTCATGTGGACCACAACCCTCTTCATTCTTTCTTTTTATTTGTCCTTCTGGTATAGCGTATCTCACAATCTTCCTTGTGATACTATTGCTCCTAGACATGAAAATCCTGACATCTTCAGCAACAGCACAGTGTATTCCAAAGAGCAGATGTCCAATTAATGTTAAGGGAATAAATGAGCCAATGAGCACAGTATCTAAGTTAATAAGATTTAATTTCTCCTAAATTCTTAAATAAGGTAAGCAAATCCAGATCTAAGTCATTTAATTTTACAGACCAACAGACTAAAAATAATAGGGAAGACAAGAATTGACAATCTTTTACTTTATTTTGCTCTATTTCTTTGTTGTTGTTGTTTGGACATGAGTTTATTTACATCAAAGTCCTTATAAAGGCCTAAAAATCTGATTTTGTGGCACATATTTTGCTCTATTTCTTGAACCCAACGGTTTTATTGCTGAGTAATCTCACATTTCCAGAGAAACACCTATTTCAATGCCATATTATCCTGTTCTGGATCACAAAATGAGATGGAAAGTTTCTCCAACTTGTTTCACAAAATATAAAAACTCCTACTTTTAAACTCGATACACAGCAATAAATGTGTAAACCACGTGATCTATAAACTCATACTCAGAAACGATTTAAACTAATTTTTAAAGAAACATTTGAAAAATAAGAAAGAGAAGGAAAGGAAGGAAGGAGGAAGATCTTCAAGTTATCATATAAATAGGAATACAAAGTTGATATGCATCCAAAGTGAAGGAAGTGACCACTACAGAGTTTGAATGCTCTAAATCATGAGGAGAGCAAGTAATAGTCTTCAGAGGAGGATGCAGAGTGAAGAGCTGGCCAGCAGGTCAGGTTCCAGAGTTAGGGGTGCACACTGGAGAAATTCCAGGAGAAAGGTGTTGTAATGATGGAAACAGCAAGAGCTGGATGAAATAGCTCCTGGACAGAGTTAGTTCTCAGGGATACCATGGGCCTCAAAGCAGCAGGATCCTAGGTTAATGAAGTTTAAAGACAATCTCCAAATTTTGATTTATTCTCACACTTAACTTCCTTTTATAGGCCTGCTTTTAGTACTTTGACTACAAGTGTCTCCTTTTTTTTTGCCTGAAATACATTTTGGAATAGTGAGATTAAAAGGTTCATTAAGAGACAACATGTCTACCTCAGGTGGGAAGAGTGGAATGGTTTAGACTCTAGACAAATTCAGACCAGGACTCTTGTCCTAGCTCTGCCATTTACCAGTCTTGTGAACTTGAGAAAATTGGAAGTCTATTATCTGCCAAATGAATTTGGTAAGCCTTATCTTGTAAGACCATTAGAATGTATGTACTACATATAAACCACATGGCAAGATGACTGGAATATATTACCCAATATTTAAAGAATGGCAGTTTTTAATATTATTATTTTGATTCAAGAGGATAGAATCCACCACACTTGGAAGTTTTTGTTTGTTTGTTTGTTTGTTTGTTTTGGTCCAGATGTTAGAGAATATGGAATACTCTTGTACAAAAATATTGAATCATCCAAAAATTATCCCTAGCAAGTAAAGTTATGTAAATATTGTCCATGAGGGCACCTGTTGTTTAATTCAGTTGTGGGGTTGTCTTCCCCAGCTAGATGTAACTCAAGCTCCTAAAATTGGTGTCAAGGCACAAGTTCTCGTATCCTTCTCAGGTGCCTTTCCATCCCAAACCATCTTTGTTTACATTCCTTATACCCTTAACAAAATCTAGCCCTCTTTTAAGAGTTTGCCAAATTATCCTCAATATAACTAAATCAAAATGTCCTTTTAATGCACCGGGATCTAATTCTCCCATTTCAAGGCAAAAACTGCCAACATAGTGGCTTCTGTGCATTTCCTCTCAAAGGATTATCATTCTTATTCTTCAGAAACTCCTTGTAGAACATGTGTTTAGAACACCTAATTTGCAAACTATGTTTACCTGCACTGGAACTAGAGCACAATACACCTTCCCACCCTGCCCACGTGGAGATTTGTCTCTGGTTTACCCACAATCCCAATAGAAGCAATTTTCCATTATAGAGTGAACGTTGTATTTCCCCAAAAATTCATGTAATGAAGGCCTAGCTCCCAACATTATGATATTTGGAGTGGGCCTTTGAGAGATAATTACTTTTAGGTGATGTTATAAGGGTAGGGACCCCACATTAGGATTTGTGTCTCTATAAGAGGAAGAGAGACTAGAACTCACTCTCTCCCCTCCTTGTAAGGAGACACAGAAAATGTGACTTTATGCAATCCAGGAAGAGTACCCTCATTAGGAACTGAATATGTTGGCTCCTTGATCTTGGACTTCCCAGCTTCCAGAACTGTGAGGAATCAGTTTATGTTGTTTAGGCCACCCAGATTATGGTATTTTGTTTATAGAAGCCCAAGTACAGTAACTCTTGGGATTTTATCTCTCAACTGAAGCACACCCATCGAGGGTATGGCTGCTACTCATCAATTCCAGAACCTCAGCTAGCCCACCAACTTAAATGAAAGTTACATTCCACCGAGGACTTGCAGTTTTCCAAAGCCCCAAACTGCCTGGCTTAGGAAATTCCCTCTTGGTTGCTCTCATAAGGAACACCCTCATCCTCACTCATTATTTTTAATTTAACTATAGGTCATAAAGGGCAGTTAAATGATCGTAGCTCATAGGCTCAAAACTTCTATAAGCAGGGAGTGGGTATTTATCTGAGCATCTCCAGTATTAGCACAGAGCCTTCTGGAGAGCAGATGCTCAATTAATGTTTGGTCACTAGAAGAGCCAGTGAACACAAGGTCTAATTCCTAATTTATTAAGATTTTTTGTTCCACTTTATTGAATAAGCTAAGAGAAGCAAAGTACAAATGAGTTAATTTTACAGAACTAAAGATTAAGAAAAATCAGAGAAAACAAGGATTAATCGTGTTTTATTTTTTTCTCCATTGTATTACCCTACTTATTTTACTGTGTGATTATTTCAAATTTTCAAGAAAATCTTTCCTGTGGTGTCGTATCTTCTTATCTGAATGATCAAAAGTCCTCAGTCCTCAGTAGAGGTAGGAAGATATGCTGGACATATGGCTCTGGAAACTGCACTAGCTTTGGCAGTAGCGCCAGGCATGGCTGCATCTATGGCTTGGGCTCTCTCTTCCTCATCTCACAAAGCCTCTTCATAATGGGATGTGGAGACACTAGGGACAGTATCACTGACCTTTGCCAAAACTTCAGGACTTTCATCTTACTGGTTTCAAGATGTGCTCTTAAATCCCAAAGGAATTCATAGCGTGCAGGATCACTGTTGAGCAGTACTCCAGGTACTTTTTAGCCTCATCAAATCCTGAGTGATGAGCTTCTTGAGCTCTCCATAGTGTAGTGCTTCCTCCCAGCATATGTTCACATCATATCTAGGAATTTCCAGATGTCTTCCCCAATGGCACAGTTGCTCTTTATGAAGATCACACTCAGAAGATTTATCAGGAGACCAGTCTTGGGTAACCCCCTGCCACCAAACACCCTCCCATTGTTGGGAACTTTTAGCTTTACAAGGTCATAACAAGGTCATATGAGTGATGGGTTGAATTGACTTCCTTCATATTAACGTAAAGGCAACCTTAATGCACTCAGAAGTTCTTCTGAGGATCTCAGCATACTGATTTCGGTATTTTTAGTTGACAACCTTCAGCATATCTTCCTTTGTAATGGGCTGTTTCATTTTATACTTGTAGAGCAGGAACTGCTCCAACAACCCAGCTTTCCTGGTTTGAGGGTCTCTGCATGAGTTCTTACTGGAAGGTGGGGCCTCAGCCGTGCTTTTCTTTTCCTTATCTTGGCCATTGGGAAATTTATCAGATCTAGTGCAAAAAATGCCTATTTAAGTAGTGGTGGATGAGGCTTTCTGAGGCTCCTTCAAAGTGCTACATGACCCAGCAGTAGGTAGGCTCTCAGTAACACCTCCACAAAGAAGAGGTGAGGAGGGAGGAGACTCTTCTGCTGCCACTACTATTGCCTGAGTACCCCCATTACCCCGAGTCTTACTTTGAGTCTGGTGACATTTCTTATGGACATGGAACTTACTTTTCTGATACCAAGACATGATGACTCTGGTTAGGCAGAGTAGGAAAAAGTGTGGACAGGATGGCTGGCAATGTGGGCACCTGAAGGAGGGAGAATGAGATGGTGTGAGCACCAGCAGCAGGGAGAGACTACCATGGCTTTAACAAAGGCCACAGCCACAGGTTTCCAAGAGCACTGCTTTAGGAACCCATGGAGCTCCTGTTCTCCTGGTCAGCCTCTCCACTGAGAACCCTGTGGATAAAGTTAGAGTGAGTTTTAGGCTGCAGCCTGCCAACCCTGCCTTAGGTGTACTGAGATGGTGGCAGGGGCTGGTAATGGGGGTTCTCTGTTATGGAGTGTGGGGGTCTAAGTTCATAATCGTAATCATCATATCAATTGTTGGCAGGCCCTGGTTCCCCTCCCTTCTGCTGCTCTGAAGTTGACACCTCAAACCAAAGCCAGCACCTCCCTGAGACCCCAGACGATAAAGTGAAGGAGGATCTCAGTCCACCATCTCTGTCAGAGGGCACCCAACTGGGAGCTATATGGAGGTCTCTCTGTCATGAGATGCTTGGGTCTTCAGTTCTCATTCTAGGAATCCACCTGATCTCTAGGTAGTTCCTGGAAGACTTCCCTTTTGCTGACTGGTGGCTACAATCATACACCAAAGATTTCATCTGCCTTAGATTTTATATATATAAAGAAGTGGGGAGGAGCCTCAGCCTGATAGTCCTGCCCTGGTCCTTTAAGTACTGAGTGCAAGGGTGGGGCACAGATGCTTTGTTATCTATTCAATGGTGGGTGGTCCTCCCAACCCTTCCTTTGTCTCTTGGCATGGCCCAGGGCTTCTCTATTCCCACCAGATTCTCCTGAGACTCTCTAGTAAGATATGGGTACCACCTCACCTGCCTGTGGTCTTCCAAGGCTGAGAATAGGGGATGAATTTGGTGTTCCCCTCCGACACCATGTCTTCACCTTAATTCCTAGTAATACCTGGAAATCCTCCTACTGCAGACCTCAGGCCATCTACTTTAGACAAAATCCCTCACCATCATTACCAATAAACGCCCCCATACCACAGCAGGAAATGAGTGCAAGTCATGTAATCAGTGCACAGGCATCCCAGGGTGCCAGTAGAGCAGGGGTTCCTTCAGTCCTCATGTAGGGCACTTACTTTGATTCCTGGCTGCACCTTGGCTGCTTTTCTTTGCTGACTTGAGTACTCTTCCCTTAGACCAAGGCCCTCACATCTCTGAGACCCCCTTGAAGAAGTCAGCCTGGCCCAGGGCTTCCTAAGTTTGATGGCAGGAGCAGGCTTTGTGCTACGGTACTCTTCTGAGATCAGTGGTCCCTCAGAAATCACGCAGGCTTCTGCTGTTGATTCCCTGAAAGGCATGGTACTCCTTCCTTTGCTGACCTTAGCCCTCTGTCCCCTGCCCACTCCAGGCCAAGGACCTCAGCTCCCGGTATCATCAAGTAGGAAAGGAGAGCTCACATATACTTGACATCCATGTTCGGGCACTCAGGGAGCTGCAAACAAGAGCTTGATGGGATTCTCCACCTAACCTTCCTCACCTTGACTGCTGCTAGGGTTTGCTCCTTCTCCCTCAGCTGCTCTGGGTTCACGTACTTTTACTAAGACCCTCACCTCCCCGAGGCCCTAGAGGCAGAAGTGAGCACACATCTCATCCTGTCTACTCTGTTCAGTGCCTCCCAAGACTGAGAACAGGGGTCAGGCTTTTTGGGGGAGAAGGCCCGGGGCATGCTTCTGAGGTGGGTGGTTCTCTTACTCTCATTAGGTATTCTCACCTTGACTTCTGCCTGAGCCTAAGACCCCTCGCTAGCTTGCACGTGTGCTAAGGTGGCCTGCCTTAGGCCACGTCCCTCACCTTTCTGTGACCCTCGGGTGGAAGTGAGTCCTACCCATATTCCCAGTGAAAGTGTTCTCAAGGCTGACTGCAGGGGTGACATCTGTGGTGCCTTCTCTGTTCTGGAGTGGGTAGTTCCCTCAGTCTCACAGAGGATTCCCAATTTGACTTCTCTTAGAGCCTTACTTCAATGAGAGCCCTTTGCAGCAAGGCCCTGACATCCTTGGCTCCTGTCTCTTTAATGAAAAGCTTCCTGGGAAATGCCACACTCCTGAAAAATCTTGAGCAGAATAGGTCTGTGTCCAAGTGGAGTGATGTGAAATGGGGAAGCTGAAGAACGAGGCAGAGGTCCTGGGATAGGAGGTGGCTGTCAGAAAACACACACTAATCTAATTCTCTTCATCACTAAGACTTAATCTTTCACAGTCACTGGCAAATGTTAGGTGTTTAATAAATGACATTTATTTATGATTATTTATGATTATCTTCTTATCTGAGATTTTTTAAAAATCCAGGATATGTCAGAGAAAATGCAATGCTCTCAAACAACACCAAATCATCCAAAAATTTGCTGTAGCAAGTAAAATTAGATTTTCCCCACTAGGGAATCCATTATTTAATTTGGATGTTGGGGGTTCTTCCCCATCTGGATACAATTCAAATCTTCTAGAATTTTGTTAAGGACTAACTCCTTCAGTGCATCCCAGCTACACTTCCATCCAAACCCCGTATATTTTCATTCATTTCTTCCCCACCAAAATCTAGCCCTCCCTTAGAATCTGCCAAATTACACTCAGGATAATCTCATTAGAATGTCTTTTCCTAGTAGGATCTAGTTCTTTCTTCCAATTCTAGGTAAAAAGAAAAAAAAAAGCCAACACAGTGGCTTTCGTGCATCTCACTCTTAATTTAGGGAAACTCCCTGGAGACAATTTGCATAGAAAACGTAGCTTGTGCATTGTGTTCTACTGTACTGAGATAAGAGCAAATGTATCTCTAATTCCTGTCTATTATGAAATTAATTTTGCCCCCAACCTCAAATTCACAGGCTCAAGTCCTAACCCCCAGTACCTCAGAATGTGACTCTATTTGGAGATAAGGTCTTTAAACAGGTGATTAGTTAAAATGAGGCCATTAGAGTACTTTTATAAAATCTGACTGGAGTCCTGAAAAGAAGAGGTTAGGACACACTAGGAAACACCGGGGATGCACACACACAAAAGGACAACAATGTGAAGAGGCTGCAAGAGGGCAGCCTTCTGCAAGCTGAGAGAGGCCTCAGAGGAAACCAACCCTGCTGGCACCTTGATCTTGGACTTACAGCCTCCAGAACTGTGAGAAAATAAACTTCTGTTGTGTAAGCCACTAGTCTAAATGTAAAGATTTCTTTCTGGATTATCTATGATCTCAAAGTAATTCATAAAAGCATGCTTTAGTGGTGTCCTGTTTATTGGTGAGGAAGGAATTTCCATATTATGGTTATGTGGTATTCAAACACATGATACTGGGCACTGTACAGATGAGGTCAACAGCAGTTTATTAATCACATATACTCACAGCCCAGGGTAGCAGTATACCACATACCACACAGGGTCACACAAGGGTTGTACTCAGGAACAGAGTGAATGAATAAGGTCTCTGGGAGGCATGATTTGTAGATCAAGAGGGAGAGGTGACCTCTAGTTCTCATGGGAAGACGTGATTGGCTTGTGTGAATAATTCTGAAGGCTGTCAGGGAAAGAAAACAAGATCTGTGCCTGGTTCTCTTAGTAAAGACAGTTGTTTGGCTAAGGGACTTAATCTGCAAGTGCATAGTGTAGAGAGGAATTTCTAGTTAGGTCATTTGAAAAATCGAAGGCAATATATTGTAGGAGATCAGTCAGGGTGGTGGGAAAAATTGTAGAAAGATGCAAACCTTCTTGGAAAGCCAGGGGTTTGCAAAGCTTCCAAAGAAAATTTGGCTGAAGGCAGCTGAGTTCTCTTAAGAGCTTAGGTTAGATAACAAGGGGATGTAAAGAAACTGATCTAGATAAGTTAATTTACTTAGGCCTCGGAACCTGGCCTTTAATCATCCATGTGCAGGACTGCTCTCTCCAGAGGGGCCACCATGTTAATTATCCACAAGTGTGTTGTCTCAAAGCCTTTCTCATTAAATCTGTGCTGAATAAATGCCTGCAGCACCAGCAGCTGCAGCTGCTGACTCTTTACAGCACCCTCCGTGGGGTCTGTGCGTGGCCGGTCCCCTAGCCCACTCTTTCACTGGATGTCTGTGTCTGAGTGCATTCTTTCATCCATCATTTGGCCATGGTCTGCGGGTCAGACCCCGGCAGGTGGTGCCCTGTGAGAGGAATGCTGCAACAAATCATGAAGGAACCCTCCAAAACAAAGGTAAGGAGACTGTGCAGTCAGTAAGTCAGTAAATCAGTAAGTCATCGGTGCCTGCTCAGGATTTCCAAGTTCGAGGGAATTGTTCAGGCTAGGGTTTCATCATGGGACAACAGTTATCAGCTCAAAAGAAACAGTATATAAAAGTATTGAAACAGCTGCTTAAAGCTAGTGGAGGCTTGGTTTCACAGGCTCAATTAAGGGACCTAATGCAAACTGTTGTATCTCATAACCCATGGTTCCCAGAAGAAGGTATGCTAGATGTAGAGCTCTGGGAACAAGTGGGAGAAATCTTAAACAGCATCATGTGCAAGGGCAACGGGTCCCAGTAACATCTTTAACATTATGGGCTTTAGTTAGGGTGGCTTTGGTCCCGTTATACACAGAAGAGCCTAAAAAGGGGAGGGAAGAGGAACCATCACCTACCTTACTGCCTCCTTATCCCTCAGCCCCACTATCATCGGGCCAAAATAACAAAGAGGAGACAGAGGTTTTGCCTGAGCCCCCTCTTCCAATAGATAGGAAAAAAGATAAGGGATACACTACAGCTATGGGACCCTGTCTTAGGCAAGCAGCATTAGAAGGGGAGCTCTTAGCCTGCCTGGCAGTATATAGTATTAGGCCTTAATTTTGGGCTTTACACTATAGTTCAGTTTTCCATTAAAGGGTTTTCTCTCTCAACTTTGAAATGCATCATCTGAGGGTTCTGACCTCTGTTTACCAATTTCATAGCCTCATCTAGCACCCCCATGCAATTAATTTAAAAATTACAACACATTGACTTTCAGTTTCCTAAAACTCAAACTGTCTTGCCTCATGAAATTTATGCTTTACTGCTCTCAACTGGAATGCCCCCTTCTCATCGATCCTTTCTACTTTCCTGTAAGTCATAGAGGGTGGCTCAACATTTACTTTATATGACTGCAGCTTTTAGCCTCAAAGATTCTATGGGCAGAAGCTGGGCCTTTATCTGAGCAGCTCCGGTACTGTTACAGAGCCTTCCAAAAAGCAGGTACTCAAATGATGTTTGGGGAATATGAGAGAGAGTGAGCAAGAGATCTAACTTATTAAATTTAATTTATCCTACATTGTTAAGCTAAACATATCAAGGTATAAATTTTAATTTAATTTTATAAAACAAAAGACTGAAAGGAATGAAGAAAACCAAGATCATGTTTTATTATTTTTTTCTATTTCATTATCTCAATTATTTTACTGGGGGTTCTTTTGTATTTCCAAAAAAAATCCCTTTTGGTGATGTTATATTTGCTTGACTGGATGAAAAAAGCTTCAGACTTCAATAGGGTTGAGAGAAGCTGCTGAACTTCGCCCTGAGACAGTCTTGGCCACTGCAGTAGTGCCAGTTTCGGCTGCATCTCTGGCTTGGGCTCTCTTCCTCATCTTGCAAAGCCTCTTCATATTGTGATGAGAAGGCACCTGGAGCAATATCATTGACCTTGGCCAAATATTCCAGGACTTTCATCTTGCTGGTTTCAGTATAGGCTCTTGGACCCCAAAGGAATTGATAGTGTGCAGGATAACTGCAGGGCACCTGGTGGTACTCCAGGTACGTTAGCCTCACGAAATCCTGAGTGATGAGCTTCCTGGGCTCTCCATAGATGTAGTACTTCTTCCCATCATATATTTGCATCATATCCAGAAATTTCCAGGTATCTTCCTTGTTGGCACAGTTGCCTTTCAGGAAGATCACAACCAGGAAAGTCATGAGGAGACCAGTCTTGGGTAACACTTTGCCAACATGAATCCTCCCATTGTTGGGGAGTTTCAGCTTGCTGACAAGGTCATATAAGTGACAAGTTGGGTTGACTTCCTTCAAGTCAACTGCAAAGACAACCTCAATGTGCTCAGAAGCTCTTCTGTGAATCTCAGCAAACTGGTTTTGGTATCTTGGGTTGACAATCTTCAGCATATCTTCCTTCAAAATACGCTGTTTCATTTTGAACTTGTAGAGCAGGAACTGCTCCAACAAACCCACCTTAATATTTATGAAATTGCTGCATGAACTCTCAGTGGAGGGTGAGACCTCTGAGGAACATGGGTACTCCTCATCTCTACTGTTAGCCCTTTCGTCAGATCCTGCATTAAAAACACCTGCAGAAGTCATGGTGCTGGATTCGCAAGGCTCCTGGGAAGTGCCACTTGACTCAGCAGCAGATGAGCTCTGGGGAATATCCCCAAGAATAGGAGAGGAAGTGGGGAGGGGATCATCTTCCACTTATTCACTGGCCTGAGCTCCACTCTGAAGCAGAGAGTCATCTTGGATCTGGTAGTGTTTCTCACAAGTGTGGAGCTTACTGTTCTGATCCTGAGACATGTTGACTCTGATAAAGGACAGCAGGCAGGAGAATGAGTAGGAGAACGGGTCAAGAGAGCCCACTGGAGGAGGAAGATTGAGAGGGTCTGTGCACCTTCAACGTGGAAATTCTACCATGGTTATAATAAAAACAACATTTGCAGTTTTCCATGACGGAACTGCTCTAGGAACCCACTGGGATTCTGTTCTCCTGATCAATGTGCCCCTTGGGAAACCTTTGGAGGAAGTTAGACGGAACCATAGGCTTTAGCCTGGCAGCCCTGCCTCAGGCATATTAAGGTGACATAGTGGCTGCCAGTCTTCTGAGTTGAGGGGTCCTTTTACTTCACATTCAAGACAATCATGCCAACTGGTGGCAGGTCATGAGAACCATTTCCTCTGAAGTTATATTACAAACCTCCCTGGGACCCATAAGAAGGATGTGAAGGGGGTCCTCAGCTTATCACTGCTGTCTGAGTGCCCACGGTGCTGACTGCTGAGTAGATTATTTTCTGTCCTGGCCTTTCTGGGATCCTCAGTCCTCACTTGGGGTCCTTACATTGGCATATAGGGCCTAGGAGCCCAACTCCCTTCATTTGAATGGTGACTACTGCACCTTCAGACTAAGGATCTCACCTCCCATAGACCTGACATAAAGAGGTGGTGGAGAGCTTCAACTTCACAACCCTGCCCTGGCCCTTCAAGTACTGAAACCAGGGTAGGGCCAGATTCTTTTTTAACTCTTCTATTTAGTGGTAGATTGTTCCTTTAGCACTTGCTTTGACCTCTGGTAGGGTGTGGAACTTCTCCTTCCCTTCCTAATGCTTATCCCCTCATACTAAAGACAAAACAACCCTGAAACATGCCCTATGGGGAACGTGAGGGTCTTCTCACCTGTTCTCATTTGTTCTTACCTGTCCTCGTTGTCCCAAGGCTGAGAGTAACAGTTGAATTCTGTGGTGTTCCCACTCATAGTGTATGTGGTCCCCTCAGTTATTAACGTACTTACTGTGGCCTCTGGAGAAACCTGGAAATCCTCTAGCTGCTGACCTTAACTCACAATCAGACCAACTTCCTTACTTCCTTGTGACATCATACGAGGAAGTATGTCACATCATGTCAACAATGCCCATGTATTCCAGGGCTGCCAGTAAGGGTGGGGCTCCGTGTGGTTCTCTTAGTTCTGAGGGTAGAGGGTTTCCTAAGTCCTAACTAGGGACCATCACCTTAACTCATGGCAGGGCCTTGGACTTTTTGTTGACTTGAGGACCCTCCCCTCAGACTAAGCCCTCATATCTCTGAAACCCTTCTTGCAGAAGTCAGCCTGACAGCCCTGCCCAAGGCCTCTCAGGGTTGATGGCAGGGGGAGGTCCTGTGCCACCTCCCTACTATAGGGTCTGTGGTCCCCTCAGTCATCACTCATGCATTTGATTCCTGGCAGGGCATGGAACATTTCCCTCTACTGTCTAAGTCTCAAAACCTTAGAACGAGGTTCCCACTCCTTGAGGTCCCAGAATGAAAACAGGAAATGCCACCTGTCTGTGCCCTCCCAGGGATGACATCAAGATTCAGGCTCCTTGGGGCTATCTCTGTGGAGGGTAGAGGTCTGCCCTCAGTCCTTACTCAGGGTCCTCACCTTGACTCTTTACAGGACTTGAGTTTCTTCTTTCAACTTTAGGTCACTCATGTAGACTAAGGCTCTTATGTTCCTGAGAACACTGAACAATAAGTGAGAAATAGCCTAACAGTCCTGCTTCAGTCTTCCAGGTCTAAAAGCAGACACAGTCTGATCTCTGTTACTCCATTTACTATGGGGTGCTTGTTTCTTTACTTCTCATTCGTCAGAGTCTTCATTTTGGTTTCTACACTTTCTATGAGAGGCTTCTGGAGAAATGCCACATCATTCCAAACTCTTCATTAGTTTTCCCTCTGCAAACGTTGCAGAGAATAGGATGTGTCCTAAGAATGATGTGAGATGGGAAATCTGAAGCACAAAGCAGAAAGCTCTGGACAGGTGTGCTTTCAGAGAGAAAAAAAAAAAAAAAGAAAACCATTGCTGATACATACCTTCTTGTCACTAGGCAGACTTAGCTTCTTATGTAACTTCTGTTCAAATATATCTACTTGCTACAGCGAAGAGGCTGAGCCAAATGATTTTGTGAGTCCCTAGTCTTTTGAGGTTTCTGACATTGACTTTGCAGATAATGATATTGCCAACACATATCTCTTTCTTTATTCACAACTTGCATTTATTTTGGTATTTTCGTTGCTTATTCCTTGGGCTGTGTATTCCAAAACAGTATTTGGGGTTTGAAGTCTTGCTTTGTATCACCTGAGATATATTTTGAAGTAGTGAGTAGAAAATAAGTAACACAAGGTCTGCCTGAGGCTGGAAGAAGTGGGACAGCTGTGGACTCTAGATAAATTCAGAGCCAGGGTCTAGTCTAATTCTGTCACTTGCCAGTCTTGTGAACTTGAGAAAATTGCAAGTTTTTAACCTGCAAAGTCAATTTGATAAACCCCATCTTATCAAATATATATATATATATTCTATGTAAATCACCTGACACAGTGTTAGGTAAACTTTGGGTCTTTAATGAATGGTAATTATTACTAAACTTAGTTTGACCCAAGATGATGACAATCTTCCCTTACAGAATTTTATTTGCAGAATATGTTAGAGAATACTCCAAATAACATAGAAATCCACATCTGCTGAAATGCTGCCCAGCCAGTAAAATTGAGTAGTGTTTCCTCATTAAAGCATCTGTTATTTGGCTGTGGAGTTGTCTCCTTTAGCTGGAGGCAACTCAAAGTTCTTGTTTCGTGTTAGGGACCGAAAACTTCCCCGGTCACTTTTCCATCCAAACCGCCCCTATTTTCATTCACTTCATCACCACCAAAAACCAAACCCTCCCTTAGAGTTTGACAAATTATACTCAAAGTAACCTAATTCAAATGTCTTTTTAATGGAGCAGACTCTCGCTCTCCCAGCCTATGATAGGGGTGATGGTTCAGTGGCTTCTTGGCATTTTGTGTAAAGAAAGTATCACTCATATTGCTCAGATACTCCCTGGATATCATGTGCCCAGAAGACACAGTTTGTGAAGTGGGGCAACTGCACAGGTCTCTTTGCCTTCCTATCCCAGTTGGGGATTTCTTTCTTGTATATATACTATGTCAAAATAACTTTTAAGACTTGCTTCCGGGCCGGGCGCGGTGGCTCACGCCTGTAATCCCAGCACTTTGGGAGGCCAAGGTGGGCGGATCATGAGGTCAGGAGATTGAGACCATCCTGGCTAACACGGTGAAACCCCGTCTCTACTAAAAATACAAAAAATTAGCCAGGTGTGGTGGCGGGCGCCTGTAGTCCCAGCTACTCGGGAGGCTGAGGCAGGAGAATGGCGTGAACTGGGGAGGTGGAGCTTGCAGTGAGCCGAGATTGCACCACTGCACTCCAGCCTGGGCAACAGAGCCAGACTCCGTCTCAAAAAAAAAAAAAAAAAAAAAAAAAGACTTGCTTCCCATTTCAGGGACAGCGTCTCAACTCTGAGAGGCACCATCTGAAGGCCTGGCCCATGCTCACCACTCCCACAGCCTCATCAAGCCCAACCTGCAGCTTCATTTAAATTAACTCCCATGGAGAGACTTGCAGTTTTCTAAGACTCTGAACTGCCTTCATCAGATAATTTACATTTGACTACATTAATGTGAAATCTTCTCTTCCTTATCCCCTCTTTTTACTTGTCATTTGTGTCTTAGAGATGGTACCTCATCATCTTCCTTATATGTTAGTTGCTGCTTGACTCTCAAATTCGACAGGCAGAAGTTGGATCTCCTTTTGCTTACCATCACCAGTACTATCAGGGAGCCTTCCAAACAGCAGGTACTCGATTACGGGTTGGGAAATAATAATTAAAAAATAATGAAAACAATAAGCAGGAAATCTAATTTGTTATTTATTTTCTCATGCAGTTTGAATAAGCAAAGCAAATACAGGTTTATATAATTTAATATTACAAGCAATAAGCAAAAAGATTAGGAAAAAAAACAAATTAACTACTCTACTTTTGTTTCACTATTTTGTGATCTCAACTATTTTGCTGTGGGGTTCTTTCACATTTCCATGAAAATCCCTATTCCAATGCCAGGTTACCTTATTCTGTACTAAAAATAAAATGTTGAAGATCTTTCCCTGTCTATTGATATATCTACATCTATATTACCTATATCTGTGTCATCTCTATATATGTTTTCCATATATATATATTTATATTTATTTTAATAAATTTTGGCGGCTATAACAGAATACCATAGGTATACCATAGGGTGGTTTTAAACAATAGATAATTATTTACCACAGTTCTGGAGGCTGGGAAGTACAAAATGGAGGCACTGGCAGATTTGGTTTCTGGTGAAGGCGTGCTTCCTTGTTCATAGATGGCCATCTTCTCACTGTCTCCTCACATGAAAGAAGGGATAAAGAAGCGCTCTGGGATTGCTTTTATAAGAGCACCAATTCCAATCACGAAGGTTCTGCCCTCATGACCTAATCACCTCAAATACCCAACCAGCAAATAGAATATCTGTCTATCCATTTATCTATCTATCTATCTATCTATCTATCTATCTATCTATCTATCTACCTCCTATTGGTTCTGTTTCTCTGGATAACTCTTACTAGTACAGGTATCTATATCATATTTTGAATATTTATAGCATTTTATAATAAAGTCTATGTTTCATCTCTTTTGGAAAATCTTGAAAGCTTAAATAATTAATCACAAATTTACATGATCAGAAAAGGAACATTGTTGATATTCCTTTATAACAGTTATTCCAGAGTATAAACTAGTTTATAGCAGTTTATACTCTGGAACCAAAAATCAGGTGAGCAATCACAATACCTGGTTTTAAATTCCTATCACTGAAAGGGGCATTGAGGAAAGCAGAAGAGAGAGTCTTGAAACACTGTTACCCCTCACCCAGCCTCTTCCACCCCCCACCCTTCCCCACAGTAGCCATGCAGTGCAGAGAGAGAATCTGTGCACTGTGGGGAGAGAACGCAGTGACTGGAGGATTTTACATTAAATTTGGTGCTGCCCTGTCACAGTGAAGTATAAACTGCTGGTTTATACTCTCCTACTTATATGTTAATCCATCTATATAAACATATAGGTACACACACAAACATACATACTTATTACGTGTATGTAGGTATGAGTGTGTGTGGCCCACAATCTCTGTACTCAAGTTTTTGCTCTAATGTTCTTCAACTGTTGATTAGCTTGCAGTTTGGGGACATTCACGTGCCATAATAATTTAGGTTTTAAATTTGGGTTATACTACTTATACTTCTGGAAAAGAATAATTAAAAGGGATAGATTTAACAACATACCTAAAACAACTTTAAAAAATAGATAAAAATGACAACATATCTATGTCAATTTTTAATATAGTGGACATCCGGCAACAAAAGACAGTGATTCCTGTGAGACTGAAAAGAAGGTGAGCCTGTAACTTCCCCAGCTTGCTGCCTTGAGCCTGCAGTGCAGGGAGGGGTAGCTCATTTGAAACCTGGCCATCTTCTGTTGTTGAGGAGATGAAGCTGACGGTGAGAGGAGGATCCGATGTCTAGAGTTCCTAGCACAAAGTATCTGTGAGGAAAAAGTTTCACAGAGAGAGAATTCCAGCCTACCTAGGGGGTTCCTGTTCTCGCAGCCAATGTAAAATCATGTCATGCCCAGAACATGAGAGAGACAGACTAGAGAGAGAGAGGGAGAGTACTCAGAAGGGGTTAATCTCTGTAGTGATGCGAGATTAGTCCTAGATTTATGAAGCTCTGGTCACACCTAAGAAACTTTAAAAGCAAGAATTATCAGGATCATAGCATTTTGAACAAACTTAACTGAGTCACAGAACAAAGTATAAGAATATGAATCTATTTAAAAAATAAATATCCAGCACACTTATGCTGTACAAATGTGAGCGAGGCCAAATTCACAATACTTGGCATACAATCTAATTGCCCGACACGCAAAGAAAATGGAGAATATGTCCACTAGGGAGAATATATAGATCAAAACATCATATTGTATCCCATAAATATGCACAATTATTATCTGTCAATAAAAAATAGATTTTAAAAATCAATGGATTAAAATTCATTGAGAAATGACATAGATAACATAAGCAGACAATGACATTAAAAGTTCATGTCTCTTCAATAGATGGTTGTGGGTAAACTAGATATCTATGCAAAAGAACGAAACTAGAACACTACCTCTCATCATATACAAAAGTCAAATTTAAATGGATGAAAGACTTAAATGAAAGACCTCCAACTATGAATCTACTACAAGTAAACATGGGGAAAACTCTCCGGGACATTGGTCTGGGCACAAATTTCTTGCATAATTCCCCATTAGCACAGGTAAGCAAAGCAAAAAAAAAAAAAAAATGGAAAAATAGGATTACATCAAGTTGAAAAGCTTCTGCACAGAAAATGAAATATTTAAAAGTGAAGAGACAATCCACAGAATTGGAGAAAGTATACTCAAACTACCCATCTGACAAGCAAATAATAAACAGAATATATAAGGAGCTCAAACATCTCTGTAGGAAAAAATCTAATAATCCCATTTAAAAAAATGGGTAAAAGATTTGAACAGACATTTCTCAAAGGAAGACAGGCTAATTGCAAGCAGGCATATGAGAAGGTGCTCAGCATCACTGATAAACAGAGAAATGCAAATCAAAACTAGAATGAGATATCATCTCACCCCAGTTAAAATGGCTTATATATAAAAGACAGGTATTAAATGCTGGGGAGGATGTGGGGAAAAGGGAAGGCTCGCACACTCTTGGTAGCAATGTAAATTAGTACAACCACCATGGAGAACAGTTTGGAGTTTCCTCACAAATACTAAAAATTCAGCTACCATATGAGCCAACAATCCCACTGCTGGGTGTACACCTAAAAGAAAGGAAATCAATTTATTGAAGATGTAGCTGAACTCCTACCTTTGTTGCAGCACTGTTTACGATATCTAAGATTAGGAAGCAACCTAAGTTTCCATCAACAGATGAATGAACAAAGAAAATGTGTTACATATACACAGTGGTGCACTATTCAGACATTAAGAAAGAATGAGATCCTGTCATTTACAACCACATGGATGGAACTGGAGATCATTATGTTAAGTGAAATAAAGCAGGCACAGAAAGAGAAACATGGCGTGTTCTCACTTATTTGTGGGATCTAAAAATTAAAACAGGCCAGGTGAGTGGCTCATGGCTGTAATCCTGGGACTTGGAGATGCCAAAATGGGTGGATCACCTGAGGTCAGGAGTTCAAGACCAGCCTGGTGAACATGGTGAAACTGTGTCTCTACTAAAAATACAAAAAATTAGCTGGGCGTGGTGGTGCACGCCTGTAATTCCAGCTACTCGGGAGGCTGAGGCAGGAAAATCGCTTGAACATGGGAGGCGGAGGTTGCAGTGAGCCAAGATTGTGCCACTGTACTCCAGCCTGGGTGAGAGTGAGACTCTGTCTCAAAAAACTAAAAACAAAAATAAATAAAAATGAAAACAATTGAACTTATGGAGATAGAGAGTAGAAGCATGGTTACCACGGACAGGAAAGGGGAGTGGGAGGAAGGTTGGGATGCTTAATGGGAACAAAATTAGTTAAAAATAATGAATAAGCCATATTTGCTAGTGCAACAAGGTGAATATGGTCAATAGTACCTTAATTGTACATTTAAGAAAAACTAAAAGAGTATAATTGGGTTGTTTATAACAATTAGACGTAAAGAATGAGATTCTGTCATTTGCAACCACATGGATGGAACTGAAGATCATTATGTTAAGTGAAATAAAGCAGGCATAGAAAGAGAAACATGGCATGTTCTCACTTATTTGTGGGATCTAAAAATGAAAACAGGCTTGGTGCGGTGACTGATACCTGTAATCCTGGCACTTTGGGAGGCCGAGGTGGGAGAATCACCTGAGGTCAGGAGTTCAGGACCAGTCTGGCTAACATGGTGAAATCCTGTCTCTACTAAAAATACAAAAAATTAGCCGAGTGTGGCAGCACACACCTCTAGTCCCAGCTACTTGGGAAGTCGAAGCTGCAGTCAGCCATGATCAAGCCATTGCAATCCAGCCTAGGTGACAGAAGGACACCATTTCCATGATAAAGAGCCCACTGGAACCTACTCCTGCAATAACAGCATTTATCCACTCATGAGAGCAAAAGCCTCATGGCCTAGTTACTTCCCCCTAAGCTCCATCTCCCAACACTGTTGCATTGGGGATTAAGTTTCCAACACATGCTTTTTGAGGAACACATTAAAACCATATTAGTCAGGAATGACCCTCATAATGCAGGATCCTCTGAATACTGCTTATTATGATTAATACAATGAAGTATAGAAGTGACTGATGCTTGAGATTCTTTGAAGGCAGCTAGGCAAATAGGTTATTTATTTCCCCTCTTTTTAAACTGGGTGAGGTGCTTGAGGCTAAGCAACGGGTTATACTCTAGTTTCTCACATTTGCTTGAAGGGCTCTTTGGAAAACTTTAACTTAATATGCTTTGTTAACCTTTTGTGCAAAAAGTCACTTTCTCTCTATCCAATCCTTCTCCCATAGGCCTTTGGATCATCTTAAATGAAAATCTTACACAGAATGCAAAATCTTATGCATGTACAATATCTCTCTTTCCCCTTTGTGCACATTAGCATTTTCACAGCTGGTCTCTTGGTATGTCTGTCTTGTTTTCCTCCCCAGCAGATACCCTTCTTCATGGTTCTTTGTTTAAGGAACTAGAGGCCGTTGGCCTGTGAAATTCTAAGGTGAGCCCTCAAAAATCAATATTGTGGAGAATTAGTGCCAACAGAAATTCTGGTAAAAGAGAAACCTCGTGGTATTTGGAATGCTGGGAATTTTGAGTGAAGCTGACCTGACAGCTTCAGGTTTCCCAGGACTCAGGAAAAGAACAATGAACTGAGAATATTTTTCTGGAGGACAAACCAAGACATATACCTTCGGAAAAATGAGTGTTCCTTTGTGCATCTGGGGAAGTGAGGCTGACTTAGGGTATTGGTAAGGAGTGAGAATAGAAGTAGGCATAAGTCTGAGGTTCTAAACCTAAGAGGCTGAGCAAGAGATTTGGGAAAAATCCTTAGTCTGATTTCTTTAAAGTAGTCTTTGGCTACTCCTACCTGGTGCTGAAAACTGCCTTGTTGATATATCCTTTTAAAATTTTCAGGCCAGGCTCAGAGGCTTATACCTGTAATCTCAGTACTTTGGTAGGCTGAGGTGGGAGGATTGTTTGAGACCAGAAGTTCAAGACCAGACGGGGCTACAAAGACCCCATCTCTATAGAAAATAAAAAATAAAAATTAGGTGGTCATGGTGGCATCCACCTGTAGTCCTAGCTACTCGAAAGGCCAAGGCAGGAGGGTTACATGAGCCCAGGAGTCCGATGCTGCAGTGAGCCATAATCCTGTCACAGTGCTCCAGCCTGGGCCACAGAGACCGTTTCTAAAACACATAAATAAATAAAATTTTCATCATGATGTCCCGAGATTGCTCTGGAAGCTTAGAATAATTTCAAAAGTAGAAATATGGCTGGGCAGTGTGGCTTATACCTGTAATTCCAGCACATTGGAAGGCGGAGTTGGGAGGATCCCTTGAGCCCAGGAGTTCAAGACTAGCCTGGGGAATATGGCAAAACCCCGTCTCTATTAAAAATATTTTTTAGAGATACAAGGATAAACCACCATTTTGGTTCCCAAGTTTTATTCAAGAACTCTGCAGTGTGGATTGAACAGAAAATTGGAAATCATAGTCAAAGGGCTTCCCTTGGTTCGCCACTCATTTATTTGTAACTTGACTTCTTTTTTTTTCTGCTTAAAAATTTCAATTCTCGTGGTAATACCAGAGTAGAAGGAGAGGGTGACTTTACCGAACTGACAGCCATTGGGGAGGCAGATGCGGGTGTGGAGGTGTGGGCTGAAGGTAGTGACTGTTTGATTTTAAAAAGTGTGACTGTCAGTTGTATCTGTTGCTTTTCTCAATGATTCAGGGATACAAGTGGGCTTCTCTCATTTATTAAAAGAAAACGCGACATCTTTCTAAGATTCTCTGTGGGAAAATGACTGTCAATAAAATGCGGGTTTCTGGGCAAAAATATATATATATATATTTTTTAAAATTATCTAGGCATGGTGGTGTGCATCTGTAGTCCCAGCTGCTTGGGAGTCTGAGGTGGGAGGATCACTTGAGCCCAGGAAATTGAAGCTGCAGTGAGCCATGATCAAGCCACTGCACTCCAGCCTAGGTGACAGAAGAGAGAACCTGTCTTCAACAACAACAACAACAAAGTAAAAATCCACAGATATACGGTTGGTTCACCTCCCAAACCAAATACTTCTTAAAGGTGACTCAGGCCTGTGTGGAAGACTGTCCCACCCTGGAAGAGGGCTATCACATAAATCTATTCCTTACTGGTTTCTTCATGTCCCACTGGATTTCTGCATGTCCCACTGGATTTCTGCAGTCCCAGCCACCCAGCCTTGTTCTTTAAAACAGGAAGCCAGATTAGTTGTTGTCTTTGTGTGAACTGGCATTTCAGGGTGAACTTTCAGGAGAGTTGGAAAGTAAAAGAAAGGCTCTATCCACTGGGAAATTACCTTCTGCCACAATTTCTATGTTGAAATCATGACAAATCTTGACAGTGATAGAGAGACATCCTATAGCCTCTGAACGTGCCTTTCCCCTCTGCCCAATCTAAAACATTAAATTAGAAGTCCTATGGCACCATGATTCCATGGGTAAAAGGAATAGTACTGAGGTGGAGGAAGCCACCTGAAACAAGCAGAACCCACTCTACATCAGGAAGGGGCTCTGCCTTGGGCCAGATGCCCTTAGGGAGTAGGGGACCTCTGCTGCGTTCTCAGAAACTGCTAAGAATCCTGTTGCAATTCTGGGCCAGCCAAGCCTCTGGTAGCTTAAAGCCAGATAGAAAGGCAGTAGGTATTGTGTCCGGAATTGGTGGGTTCTTGGTCTCACTGACTTCAAGAATGAAGCCACGGACCCTCACAGTGAGTGTTACAGTTCTTAAAGGCGGCGTGTCCGGAGTTTGTTCCTTCTGATGTTCGGATGTGTTTGGAGTTTCTTCCTTCTGGTGGGTTCGTGATCTCGCTGGCTCAGGAGTGAAGCTGCAGACCTTCGCGGTGAGTGTTACAGCTCATAAAGGCAGTGTGGACCCAAAGAGTGAGCAACAGCAGGATTTATTGCAAAGAGCGAAAGAACAAAGCTTCCACACTGTGGAAGGGGACCCAAGTGGGTTCCCACTGCTGGCTCGGGCAGCCTGCTTTTATTCTCTTGTCTGGCCCCACCCACATCCTGCTGATTGGTAGAGCCGAGTGGTCTGTTTTGACAGGGCACTGATTGGTGCATTTACAATCCCTGAGCTAGACACAAAGGTTCTCCATGTCCCCACCGGATTAGCTAGATACAGATTGTGGACACAAAGCTTCTCCAAGTCCCCACCAGAGTAGCTAGATACAGAGTGTTGATTGGTGCATTCACAAACCCTGAGCTAGACACAGGGTGCTGATTGGTGTCTTTACAAACCTTGAGCTAGATACAGAGTGCCGATTGGTGTATTTACAATCCCTGAGTTAGACATAAAGGTTCTCCAAGGCTCCACCAGAGTAGCTAGATACAGAGTGTTGATTGGTGCATTCACAAACCCTGAGCTAGACACAGGGTGCTGATTGGTATGTTCACAAACCTTGAGCTAGACATAGAATGCCGATTGGTGCATTCACAATCCCTGAGCTAGACATAAAGGTTCTCCACATCCCCACCAGACTCAGGAGCTCAGGTGGCTTTACCCAGTGGATCTCCCACTGGGGCTGCAGGTGGAGCTGCCTGCCAGTCCTGTGCCGTGCACCCACACTCCTCAGCCCTTGGGTGGTCGATGGGACTGCCTGCCGTGGAGCAGGGGGCGGCGCTCGTCGGGGAGACTCGGGCTGCACAGGAGCACACGGAGGCGGGGGAGGCTCAGGCATGGCGGGCTGCAGGTCCCGAGCCCTGCCCCTGGGGAAGGGAGCTAAGGCCCCGCGAGAAATTGAGCACAGCAGCTGCTGGCCCAGGTGCTAAACCCCTCACTGCCCGGGGCCAGTGGGGCCAGCTGGCTGCTCCGAGTGCAGGGTCCGCCCAGCCCACGCCCACCCGGAACTCGCGCTAGCCCGCAAGCACCGCGGACAGCCCTGGTTCCCGCCGGCGCCTCTCCCTCCACACCTCCCTGCAAGCTGAGGGAGCCAGCTCTGGCCTTGGCCAGCCCAGAAAGGGGCTCCCACAGTGCAGCGGCGGGCAGAAGGGCTCCTCAAGTGCTGCCAAAGTGGGAGCCCAGGCAGAGGAGGCACCGAGAGTGAGCGAGGGCTGTGAGTACTGCCAGCACGCTGTCACCTCTCAGTATGCTTGTTCTGGGTCTTAGCCAGTCTATGTTTCCTATTGTCCCCACCAGTCTTTAGAATTTTCTCTTTTGTCTAGGTGAGTTCCTGCAGGGAGGAGGACAGAAAATCAGTCTCTTTGCTCTGGGAAGTCAGCCAGAGATTTCTGGCAAGATAATCCTTAAAATTAACACTTCTCAGTCTCTCCCCTTTGCCCTTCCAGAGTCTCCTTACGCAGTTACTGTTGCACTTGATGCTGTAACATCTTCCATGACTCCTACTGGCACTTTCTGGACAACCCTGGTGGCATCCCGCCTACTAAAAGTTATGCTGGTTTCGAAGGAATTTGAGCTTTTAAATTATCTCATTCTACATAACCTTATAGATCCTGTAAATAGGGGGATCACGAAGATAATATATTGTGTCATGGCAGATATTTCATACAGTGTTGTTTCCTAAATCATACTAGTATCTTAGAAGTCATGCACTTCCCAGTTTATTATGATCTTCAAAATGCTTTGTAAGATGGGGTGAGGGGAGTGGAAATATATATGTATAATATATATATATAATATATATGTAAATATTTTTAAAATTTATCAAGGCATGGTGATATTTTATATATATATATAATATTTATGTGTGTGTATATATATATATACACACACACACACACACAGGCATGCACTTCCCAGATTATTATGATCTTCAAAATGCTTTGTAAGATGGGGTGAGGGGAGTAGAAATTTTATATATATGTGTAATATATATAATATTTATGTATACACACACACACAGAGTATACATTTTTCTAACCTTTCTTGTGAATTCCTTCCTGAGCTTCCTGTTTGAGTCATGATAGAAAAGGAACTGAATTTCTGTGTGTAGGAAATTTAAGCTTCCTGCCTGCTGGTGTTCTGGAAATTGCCTTGTGTATTCACAAGCTCTAGGAGTTTTGAGAATAAGCAAGAGGCACTTTATCCAGTCCCACTCATCTACAAAAACCTATATTTTTAATGTTTAAAAAATGAGGCTTTATGGACCCACACATTATTGTATGTCTATAAGTGTTTTTTATAATTTGTAACTGTAAAGAGTTAAAACGCACAGTTGGAAAATCAAAAGAGCAATTGGAAATCAAGTTAACTGCAATAAAACAAGATGACTTTTGCATGTACAAGGATACTGCATGCAGACTGTGAAAATAGCAAATAAAGCTTTGATATAAGTTAAAAAATTTTTTTAACTGATAAATACATGCATAAAAGAGCATTTTTCCCATATATTTATTGGCCACTTGTATGTCTTCTTTTAAGAAGTGTCTGTTTAGGTCCTTCACCCATTTTTTATTAGGGTTGTTTGTTTTGTGCTTATTGATTTCTTTACATTCCTTTTAGATTCTGGATATTAGACATTTGTCAGATGCATAGTTTGAAAACATTTTCCCTCATTCTTTAGGTTGTGTGTTTGTTCTGTTGATAGCTTCCTTGGCTGTGCAGAAGGTCTTTAGTTTAATTAGGCCCCACTTGTTTATTTTTGTTTTTGTTTTTTTTTTTTTGGTCTATTTTTGGTATTTTGTCTATTTTTTATTTATTTTTGCCTAATTTTTGCCTATTTTTTGTTTTTGTCTATTTTTCTGTTTTTGTTTTTTTTTTGGTCTATTTTTTGTTGTTGTTATTTTTGTTACAATTGCTTACGGTGTCTTCATCATGAAATGTTTGCCGGGAACTCTGTCCAGAATGGTATTTCCTAGATTTTCTTCAAGGGTTTTATAGTTTTAGGTTTTACATTTAAGCCTTTAATCCATCTTGAATTGAGTTTTGTATATGGTGTAAGGAAGGAGTTCAGTTTCACTCTTCTGCATGTGGCCAGCCAGTAATCCCAGTACCATTTATTGAATAAAGAGTCCTTTCCCCATTGCTTGTTATTGTAGAATTTGCAGAAGATCAGATGGTTGTAGGTGTGCGACTTGATTTCTGGGCTCCTTAACCTGTTCCATTGGTCTATGTGTCTATTTTGCTGCCAGCAACTTGCTGTTTTAGTTACTGTAGACTTGTAGTATAATTTGACGTCATGTAGTGGGAGAGCTCTGGCTTTGCTCCTTTTGCTTAGAATTGCTTTGGCTATTCGGGCCCTTTTCTGGTTTCATATGAATGTTGGATAGTTTTTTCTACTTCTGTGAAAACCGTTGTTGGTATATCATTGAATTGGTGAATTGGTTTGGGCAGTATGGCCATCTTAACAATATTAATTCCTCCTGTCTATGAATATGGAATGTTTTTCCATTTGTTTGTGTTGTCTCTGATTTCTTTGAGCAGTGTTTTATAATTCTCTTTGCAGTGATCATTCCCCTCCCTGGCTAGATGTATAGCTAGGTGTTTTATTCTTTTTGTGGCTATGTGAATGGGATTGCATTTTTGATTTGACCTCAGCTTGGACATTATTGATATATAGAAATGCTACTGATTTTTCTACATTAACTTTGTATCCTAAACTTGACTAAAGTTGTTTATCTGATGTAAGAGCCTTTGGAAGAGACTATGGGTTTTTCTAGGTATAGTATCATGTCATCTGCAAAGAGTGATAGTTTGACTTCCTCTCTTCCTATTTGGTTGCCTTTTTCTTTCTTTCTTTTTTCCTGATTGCTCTGGCTAGGACTTCCAGAACAATATTGAATAGGACTGGCGAGAGTGGGCATCCTTGTCTTGTTCCAGTTCTCGAGGGAATGCTTTTAGCTTTTGCCCATTCAGTATGATGTTGACTGTGGGTTTGTCATAGATGGCTCTTATTATTTTGAGGTATCTTCCTTTAATGCCTAGTCTGATGAGAGCTTTTAACATGAAGGGATGTGGAATATTATCAACATCTTTTTCTGTATCTATTAAAATGATCATGTAGTTTTTGCTTTTACTTCTGGTTATATGATGAATCACATTTATTGATTTGTGTATGTTCAACATCACCAATCATTCGAGAAATGTTATCATGACCACAATGAGATACCATCTGATGCCATTTAGAATGACTATGATTTGAAAGTGAAAAAAATAAATGTTGGTGAGGTTGTGGTGAAAAGGCAACACTTATACACTGCTAGTGGGCATGTAAATTAGTTCAGCCACTGTGAAGAGGAGTATGGACGTTTCTCAAAGAACTTAAGACAGAATTTACCATTTCATCCAGCAATCCCATTACTGGGTATACACACAAAGAAATATAAAACTTTCTACCATAAAGAGACATGCACACATATGTTCATCACAGCACTATTCACAATAGCCAAGACAAATTCACCTAGATGCCCATCAACAGTGAGTGGGATAAAAAAAAAATATGGCACATATACATCACAGAATACTACACAGCCATAAAAAAGAACAAAAGCATGCCTTTTGCAGCAACAGGGATGCAGCTGAAGGACATTATCCTAAGCAAATTAACACAGGAACAGGAAACTACATACCACACGTTCTCACTCACATGTGGAAGCTAAATATTGAGTATACACAGACATAACGAATGGAAAAATAAACACTAGATTCTACTTGAGGGTGGAAGGTGGGACTAGGGTGAGGATCAAAAACTACCTGTTGGGTACGATACTTACTACTTGGGTGATGAAATAATTTGTATACCAAACCCCAGCAAGTTGCAGTTTACCCATGTAAAAATTCTGGACATGCACCCCCTGAACCTAAAATAAAAGTTGGAAGGAAAAAAATAAATAAAACAATATTTGAAAACCAAAAAAAAAAAAAAAATCAAGTTATTCACATAGAACAGAAACACGAAGAAGATATAAACTATATTTCTTCTAGTCCTGCTTAGGTCCTCTACTAAGTTGAACATTAACTGCATTATTTTTCAAAAGGGTAAAGAATCTCCCTCAACCTTCACTTGACATGGGAGAAACTGCTGTTTGTAGCCCCAGAATGTGCACTGGCCATGGGATTAGCCTCAGTCCTGGCTGCAGCTATACCTCAGGCTCTCTCTTCCTCATGTCTCAGTGCCTTGTATAAAGGGATAGGAAGACACCTTGGGATGGTATCATTGACTTTGACCAAAAGTCACCAGTTTTTCATCTTGCTGATTTCAGCATGGACTCTTGGATTCCACAGGAATTCATGGTGTAGAGGATCTCTGTTGGACACCTGCTGGTACTCTAGCTACTTTCCTGTACCAAACTTTTTTCTGGACTCTTCATATATGAAATCACTCTCCCAGTGTAGATCCAAATCTTACTCAGAAATGTTCGGATCTCCTCTTCTGCAGTGCAGTTACCTTTCATGAAGCTTATACCCAGGAGCATCATCAAGATACCACTTTTAGGCAATGCTTTATCACCACTCAGACTCCTGTTGCTGGGGACATCCAGTTCACTGAAAAGAGCATTGACATGACTGCTGGGGTCAACTTCTTCAATTCAAGGCCAAAGACCAGCTCCATGCACTCAGAGATTCTCCTGAGGATCTCAGGGAAATGGTCCTTGCACTTTTTGTTAATAACGTTCAGCAATGCTGCTTTTGTCATGGGATCTTTAATTTTACACTTCTCCAGCAGAAATTGTATTACCAAACTTCCCTTCCTGAATAGAAGGTCTCTGTGTGAGCTCCAGTGGTGGCTCTTGCTGGAGAGGTTCTTGGCTTTTCCTCATTTTGGTTCTTGGCATGTTCATCAGATCTTGTGCATGAAACATCTACAGAATAAGTGATGATGAAGGGGGCTCTCTGAGACTCCTGGGGAATGTCAGTAGCAAGAGAGCTCTGAAGAGCACTCTCCAAAACAGGAGAAAAGGAGGAGAGGGACTCTTCCTCTCCTGCAGTGATGTGAGCACCCTAGTGGCATTTCTCATGAGTGTGGAACTTCCTCTTCTGACCCCAAGGCATGACTGTGGGCAGAGACAGCAGACAGAAGCGTGAATAGGGTCGCAGGTGACATGGTCACTTGGTGGAAGGAGAATGAAATGCTGTGAGCACCGTCAGCAAGGAGAGACCACCTTGGCTTTAACCAAGGCTGCCAATGCAGGTTTCTGTGAAATCACTGCTCTAGGAACCTATTGGGCAATTGTTCTCCCAGTGAGTCTGTCCCCTGAGAACCTGGTAAAGCAACTTAGAGTGAGTCTTAGGCTGCAGCTTGCAACCCAGCTTGGGGCCTACTGGAGTGACAGCAGAGATTAACTGTGGAGATCCCTGTGTTCTGGGGTTGGGGAGAACACTCAGATGATATTTCAGATCATTATGCTAACTGTTGACAGAGCCTGGTACCTCTTTCCTGTTCTGCTCTGAAGTTGACACTTTGAAGCCCCCTGGAACCCACAAAAAGTGAGACAGTGGCTCAGCCTACCACCCTTGTCAGGGGTGACAACCTTGGGGGATCCTTTCTGTCTTGGGATCACTGGACCCTCAGTCCTTATTCAGAGTTCTCATATTGGCTCTGTGTAGGGCTTGGGACCCCCTCTTCTGTTCTATCGTGGCTTCACTTTCTTACTAAGGAGCTCACCTCCCTTAGACCCAGTATAAAACATGGGCGAAGCCTCTCCCTGACAGTCCTGCTATGGGTTTTCAAATGCTGAAAGCCAGGGTGGGGGTTGGACATTATGTTGCCCCTTCTACTGGGGGAAGGAGTATGATCATCTTAGTCTTCACCAAGGGTCCTCAATTTGACTCCTAGAAGGACTTGCAGCTCCTCTGTTCTTTGACTTGAAGGCATCTCCTCATAGCAAGGCCCAGAACTCTCTGAGACCTAGTAGAGGGAAGGGAGGGCAGCCTTATTTGGCCATACCTGCCTGGAGTCTCCCCAGGCAGAAAGCTGTGGCAGGCGCTTTTGGGCCTCATGAGGGTTGGCCTCACCAGTCCTCGCTCAGATTCTTCATTTTGACTCGTGACAGTGCCCACAATTTCTCCCTTTCGTGGCCTGATACCATCCCCCTCAGAATAAGGCCCTCATTTCTCTGTCACCCTGAGGGGGAATTGAGGGGTGCCTCTGCTCTGCCTGACATTTATCCCTGAATCTGCCAGGACTAACAGTAGGGGAGATATTATGTGCTGCCTCCATTGTTATAGGAGGTTTCATGTTCTGCTCCTTCCTCATGGTCCTCGCCCTGACTCCTGGCTCGACCTGGTAATGTTCTCTATGATGAGATGGCCAGCCTCAGACCAAGTTCCTCACCACCTGGAGTCCCCAGACGTGGAAGTCAAAGTGATCTTGCTGGAGCTATTAGGGGATTCTGAGAACTAATAGCAGGAGAAAGACTCTGTGGGACTCCACTGTTCAAGGGTTTGTGACTCCTTGAGTTCTCACTCAGCCAGGATCTCTGACTCCTCCCTCTAGTGACATGAGTCCTCCAGGGAGAGGAATGAGTGGCTGACATACTCGGGTTATTCGTGCCTGGGGATTTCCAGGGCTGAAAGGGGCAGGACTATGTGGGTTCCTGTCTCTTCTAGGTTGGTTGCTCCCCTCAGTCCTTGCTCAGGGTCCTCACAATGAACATTCCTAAGACCTAGAGGCCTGTCTGCTTATGTACAGCCTTTAATTCCCTATGACTACCAAGAAGGAAATACGAGTTTCCTTGACTACCAAGAAGGATGTAAGAGTTTCCTTATCTGAGCATGAAAGCCTTATGGTCACCTACAGCTGACAGTACCTGAGGGATTCTGCGTTGTCTGTACTGTTATGATTTGGGTGGTTCCTTCCATCCTCACGGTCCTCAGCTTGACTGTTTGCATGACCTGGAATTTATCCCTGTGGTAACCTGAGGCTGGCCCCTTAGACCAGATGCCTTACCTCCTTGAGATGCCTTGAAAGGAAATGAGTGGGACTCATCATCTCAGAATTCCCGGGTTTGCCAGGGAGAGACATCAATGGCAGGGCTTTGTGTGGCTCCACCTGTTCTGGGAGGAGTACCGTCATCCCTGTTTAGGGTCAGCAGTGTGACTCCTATTAAACATCCTCTGCTGACTAGGGTTGCTCCCATTAGACTAAGACTCTCACTTCCTTGAGACCACTCCCAGAGGAACTGAGGGGGCACTTCAGCCTGAGAGTTCTGCCCTGGGCCTCCTAGGGCTGACATTAGGGTCAGGACACTGTGCATTCCCACTGTTCTGTGGTGAGTGGTCTCCTCTATCCTTCCTCAGCATCTTTACCTTGACTCCTACCTAACGAAATCTGAAACTCTACCCTCCACTGACTCAAGGCCTCACTCCTCAGACCAAGGCCATATCTTCCTGGAATCTCCCAGTTGGAAGTTAGGAACAGGCACATCTGGCCACAGTTATTGAGGATCCTCTGAAGAATAATAGCAGGGTCAGAATCCTACAAGATTCCACTGTTTTGGAGTCAGTGGCTCCCTCAGTTCTCACTCAGGTTTCTAACATTGATTTGGGGATGTGGAACTCCTTCCTCTGCTAATCTGAGTCTGCCAGCCTGAAGCCAAAGCTTTTCCTTTACTGAGAAACCAGAGGGGGAAGTCAGGGTGCTTCTCCTTGGCTACCCCAGTGTCCTCACCTTAAATCCAATCCAGGCTTGAGAGGACCTCCTTCGTGGGCAGAATTGGAGCTACTGCCATGAGATCAAAGCTTTATCTCCCTGGGGCACCAGTAGAAGCCTTAATGAGGGGGAACCTCAACCAGATAGCCCTGCCTATGGCCACCCAAGGCAGAAAGCAAGATATAACTTTAAGAGCCCCTACTGTTCTGGGTGGATAATTCCTCATTTCTCATTCAGAGTCCTCATCTTGATCATTTTCAGAGGCTGAGATCCTCCTCCCAGTAACCAGAGCATATTACCCTTAGACCGGGACTCTTATGTACCTGAGAACTTTGAGTAAATAGAGAAATTTTAGCTTACTGCTATAGCTTGGGCCTTCTAGATCTGAGAGTAGGCAGGGCCTGGTCTTTCTGTGACCCCGATATTCTGAGGCAGTGATCTCCAGAATCCTCATTTATGGGGGTTCTCATCATGCCTCCTTTCTCTTTAAGACTGCTGGGAAATGTCACACACCTGCAAACAATTGAGCAGATTCCCTACTGCAAACCTTGCAGACAATGGCTCACTGTCCCAGGTTCTGTATGAGATAGGGAAGCTGTACCACAAGGCAGGAGGCCCAGGACAGGTGGTGGGCTGTCAGTGAAAAAAGCACCCTGATCTATTCCTTTGCTTCACCAGCCAGACTTAGCCTATTATGTACTTTGCTTTGAGGAGATTTAATTTCTATGGGGAAAGGGCAGAGCAGGATGATTTTGGGAGCTCCTGATCTTATTGGGTTATCTAATGTTGCATATGTAGATGATCATATTGTCACTGTGTATTATTTTTTTCTTTTCGTAATTCATACTACTCATTTTTTCAGCATTATGATTACTCTAGTTGTAGAATCCAAAGAAGTGCTTTGGGTACAGTGTCCTTTTAATGCTCTGGTAAGCATTTTGGGCAGTGAGAGGAAAAATGGATTAAAAGACACAAAGTCTGGCTCAGGCTGAGAGGATTGGAAAAATGTGGGCTCTGGATGAATCCAGACCAGAGATCTAATCCCAGCTCTGTCAATTACAAGCTTGTGAGCTTTTAGAAATTTGCAATTTCTTCATTTTGAAGTGAGTCTGCTAAATCCTATCTTGTAGGAATTTTGGGGTATAAGTACTGTCCATAAAACATATGGCATACTAAGTAGGAAATACTGAGTCTTTCATAAATGACAGATATCATAATATGTGTTTTTACACAAATTATTTTTAATTTTCCTAACTATATATTAAGAAACAAAATTACCACATCTTGAAAATATTTGAGACAGTTTAAGCCTATGGAAGTTCTTTGAATTTAGCAGCCTTGTTTCAAAAAGGTTTTTAGTGAACTCATTCTGGCTTATATTGATCACTGCATTTCATGTGATTATTTTAAACCCAGAAAATACCACCCTCCAATCAGAGGGGTTTTTTGATGCAGTAGATAACATGGAATATGAAGTGCACTAGAACAAAACAAACTAACGGCAGTCTTAATAACCTAAATAAATCCAGGTATCCTTTATTTGTATGAAAAGAAATAGGAAAACGAATTAGGCAAACCAAGAATTAAACAACTTTTACATTTCTGTTTTTCCTTTTCTTTCTCTTCATATTATGATGTCAACTATTTTACTGTGGAGTTAAGATTCATATGAAAATCAATTCTCTGTTACCATGTTATCTAGTTCTCAATTACAAAGAAAATGTGTTGTATGACTTTGTTTTATTAATTCCCAAACCGTAACTTTCAGATTGGTTAAACAGCCATGAATGTGAGAGCTATGTTATTGATAATTGTATAATCTGAAGCAAAATAAACCTTCACTTAACAGGAACAATGTTGATAACTGACAGAGATAAAACATAAATCTGCAAGTTACTCATGTGTAACAAAAGAAAGATACATATCTTGTTCCCTCCAGCCTCTACTATACTGCACTACTTAGAAAGCTCACTACTCTCTTCTAACATAAAGTGAAAATTCTACTTCAGACCTCCCTAGAAATGGGAGGATCTGTAGGATATGGCCCCATAAGGTACCCTGGCCAAGGAAATAGTGCCAGCCCTGCCTTAAGCTCTCAGTCTCAATGCTCTCTCTACCTCATCTATCAAAGCGTCTTCATACAGATGTGGGTATAAACCGGGACTGGTGTTACTGCTGTCGGCCAAAACACGCAGGACTCTCATCTTGGTGGTTTCAGCATAGGCTCGTGGACCCCACAGGAACTCATAGCATGGAGGATCACTGTTGCACACCTGCCGGTAAACCACGTACTTATCTTGCACCAAATCTTCAGTAATGATCTTCCGAGCATCCCCATAGATTGAATGCAGGATCCCATCATATATCCCCAACAGACCCAGGAACTCCCAGACCTCCTCTTCAGTGGCACAGTTGCCGTTCATGAAGATCACAACCAGGAGCGACATCAGGAGACCCGACTTCGGCAGCGCATTATCACCACTCAGAATTCCTTCACTGGGGAGGCCTAGCTTGCTGACAAGGGTGTAGGACTCGCCGCTGGAATCCATTTCTTTCAATTCAACGCCAAAGGCCACCACCAAATGTTGGGAGGTTCTGTTGAGGATCTGAGGGAAGTAGGGCTTGTACTCTCTGCGGACACACTTCAGCATGTCTGCCTTCAAAATGGACTCTTTCTTCTCAAACTTCTTCTGCAGGAATTGCGCCAACGTGCACGCCTTCTTCTTTACAGCATCTTTGCTTAAGCGCTTAAAAATGATGGCTTTCTGTGAGGCGCTTACACTTTCCTCATCTTCACCCTCGGCAGCCACATCATATTTTGAGCCTGAAACACCTGCATCAGGCGAGCCAGTGGGTGAAGCTCCCTGAGACTCCTGAGGAACGGAGACATCATGGGAAGTGCTTGGACTTTTCTCATCTTGGCCGTTGGCAGCCACATCATATTTTGAGCCTGAAACACCTGCATCAGGAGAGCCAGTGGGTGAAGCTCCCTGAGACTCCTGAGGAACGGAGGCATCACGGGAGGTGCTTGGACTTTTCTCATCTTGGCCGTTGGCAGCCACATCGGATTTTGAATATGAAACAACTGCATCAGGAGACCCAGTGGGTGACACTCCCTGAGACTCCTGAGGAATGGAGGCATCAGAAGACCTACGACAATCACCCAGACAAGCGCGAGAAGAGGATGAGGAAGAGTGGGACTCTTCCTGCTTCTCTGCAGTGGCCTGGGGACCCGTGAGACCCTGTGGCTGACCATTGGTCTCTTGGCGTTTCTCACAGGTACGGAGCTTACTCTTGTGACCCCGAGGCATGATGGCTGTGGCCTGTGACAGCAGGTAGGAGTGTGGGTAGGAAGACTAGGAAGGCTGGCACCTGGATGGGAGAGAGTGACGTCACGTCAATATCTTCAGCAGAGAGCGACCATCTTGGCTTTAACTAGGGCCCCTTCTGCAGGTTTCCGCAGAACAGCTGCTCTAGGAACCCACAGGACTCCTTTTCTCCTGGTCAGTTTGTCTCCTTCAAACTCAGGAGGAAGTTAGAGTATTAGACTATAGCATGACAGCCCATTTTGGGGCTTACTGAGGTGACAGCAGGGGCTGGCAGTGGGGGCCCCTCTGTTCAGGGGTTGGATCCTCTCTGTTTACATTCAGGATCATCATTAAAACTGGAAACCATCATTCTCAGCAAACTATCGCAAGGACAAAAAACCAAACACCGCATGTTCTCACTCATAGGTGGGAAGTTAACAGTGAGAACACATGGACACAGGAAGGGGAACATCACACTCCGAGGACTGTTGTGGGGTGGGGGGAGGGGGGAGGGATAGCATTAGGAGATATACCTAGTGCTAAATGACGAGTTAATGGGTGCAGCACACCAGCATGGCACATGTATACATATGTAACAAACCTGCACATTGTGCACATGTACCCTAAAACTTAAAGTATAATAAAAAAAAAATTGTTGACAAGACCCAGAGGCCCATTTCCTTGTGCCACTCTGAAATTGACAGTAGGAATTTTAACCCGGAGGAAATAAGGAAGCACTTCTGCCCAACACTTCATTCCGGGGACACCCAGACCACCTAGGGCTGACAACAGCGGAGGCATTTGAGTGCTCTTCCAGTTATAGTGAGAATGCTCCTCACAGTAATTAGACTCCTCACCCTGACTCTTCCCACAACCTGGAAATCACCCTCACTGACCTGCTGCCATCTCCTTACAACCAGGGGCCTACCTCTCTGACTCTCACAGGGACAAAGTGAGAATGCACCTCAGTCTCTAGAGACCTGCCCGGACCCCCAGGCTAACGTCAAGGGCAGAGTTCGGTGCAACCCGTTACGGGACATGGAATCCCCTCCCTCAATTCTAAGGAGGGTCCTCTTAACTATGTAGGGCCTGAGATTTCTCCCTCTACTGACCTGGGTCCACAAGCCTTGGACCGAGGCCTTCATGTTCTTCAACACGACGGAAAAAAATGAATGGACTTTGGGCCTAACAGCCATGTTTGGGGACTCCTCAGGGACCAGGTCGGGGCAGGTTGGGGCAGGGCTCTGTGGAGCCGCCTTTCTTCGGGGGAAGGGGGTTGAAGTTGTCGGGGAATGCCCCCCGTTCTAGGTCAGGATACCCACCAAGACAGCTGAGAAGATCTGGGACGCCTCCTTCCGCTGACGTGACAGCACTTTTCAGGCTCAGGCGACCGGCTCAGACCCCTTTATTAGGTGGAAGTCAAGAGGAACCACTTCCGGCCACGCCCACCTGGCGCTCCCTGCGTAACAGTAGCTGCAGGGCTCTGTTACTCCCCCTTGTGTTCTGTGGGTGCAGCAGATTCCAGGGAACTCACGTAAAGTTCTTTCAGGGGCTCTTCGCGGACCCTTGGACTTCTCTATCTGTTGAGCTGAATCAGTCAACCGGAGATAGAGGCTCTCATTCCCTGAGAGTCCAGAGTTGGAAGTAAGGTGCAGCCTGAGCTCGGGAGCCATGCCGGGACCTTCCAAGACTGACAGTAGGGGTGGAGCTCTGTGAGACCCCCTTTTTGGAATGGACTTTGCCCTCAGCCCTCACTCAGTGTCGTCGCTTCATTCTTGCCATGTCCCCTCTACTGACTTGAGGACACCCTCTCAGACTAGACTTCAACTTCCTGAGACTCCTCATGTGCAATTCAGTTACACCTCACCTGGCCACTACTGCCTGGGGCCTCCTAAACCTGGCTGCTGCTATTAAGTTGTGATGCAAGATCGGGGAATGAAGGGAGATTTGGGGGGCACTCTTGTCTCTTCTGATATGTGGAGCCCCTCAGTCCTCACTCAGGGTCCTCACATTGACTGCTGGCAGGGTCTCAGTTTTCTCCATTTTCTGATGTAAATTCATCCCCTTCCTCTGACTAGATCCTGTAAAATTCATAAGGAGAAAGTGAGAAGACTTCTTAGCCTGATAGCTATGTCTGGGACTTCTCTCTTGGCTGACATCAGTGTCTGTATTCAACACCTTCATGAATGAATTTCTACCATTATCTTGTGTGACTCACTGCAATATTTGCTATCCTAATTTAGTCCATTCTTTATATTATATTAAAATAATACGAATTTAAAGGCCAGTCCACTTCCACTAAAGAAGTTTCAGGTAGTTATTAGCACAGTGTCTGGATTCATACTTCTTCAGCCTACCCAGATGTTTTTGCTGTGGCAATATTACCCCATGGAACTGGCACATAGGGTCCAAGTTTCTGACTGAATTTCCTTTAGTGAAGCAGAAAAAAAAATGCATTGTCCAATGGCACAGTGAAAGAAGCAAAGACCAAAGTTTTAAAGCTTTTCCTCTAGCCAATTCCGTTATCTGCGTCTGTTGTAGGCCACAGACCTGTCTCTACTTCAGCTCATGCCCCTACCTGCCCACACACCCATTCTTGTTCAATACAAACTGACCATCTCTCAAGGTTCGCATTTTTGTTGTTTTGCTGTTGTTAATACTGCTTTTTTTTTAAAAAAAAATTCTTCCTTTAACTTTTCTATGGTTGAGTTTGGTCATGGGAAAGAACCACCCGGGTTTGGTTGTCATCTTCACAGCTATGGCTAAGGCAATGAATCTGTAAAAAATTTAAGGAGAATCAATAACTTTACAATATCTCCTCCACAGTAAATAAACATAGTACACTGCTTTATTGGAGATTTATTTTTCCTAAGTCTTTCAGTAAATTTTTATAGCTGTCTCCTTAATGAACATGTACATTTCTATTTGGTTTTCTGTTAGATATATTTTGGATATTGTTGCTGTTGTGAAAGGCATATTTCACATTACATATTATAATTAGTTATTGATTTTGTGTGACTATACTCCTGACTTACCTATGGTGATCTTTTGTACACACGTTTTCTTTATTTCCTTATACATTTAAATATTTTTGCACCAATTACGTTGTTTTATTTTTAAATTAGGAGATTATATTATCACAATTATCTCCTTTTGTTATTGTTACCTCTAATTTACTCGGTATTATTATTATAGTTGTGAACTATAGATGTATTTTCATCCAGTTGTCAGCAGTAGGGTTTATACTATACAGGTGTATATTCTTCTGGACTCTATTCGGGATGTTTGTAATGTTTCACATTTAGTATGTCAATTATAGATTTTACAAGATGGAAATTCTCTCCTAATGTAAGTTTGCTAAAAGTTACTATCATACACTGGTATTGAGGGTTTTTTAAGGCTTCTCCTTTACCCCTGCACATGATCACATGCTTTTTCACCATTTTTGGTAACATAGTGATTTCCAATTGATGGTATTTTCTAATATGGTATCATCTTTGCATTTCTTGGATGCAGGCTATTTATTCATTAATTCACTGCTATATTGGATATGCCTATATTGGATATACTATGAATTTATTGAGAATATTTTGTCTCTATGTGAATGAACTGATCTCAAATGTTGTTTTATTGGACTATCTTCATCTGGTCTTTGTGTCAAAGAAAGCAAGCTTGTTAAAATGATGGAGTAATTCTCCCAATCTTTTCGTGTTGTTTGGAAGAGTTTACATGAAGTGGTGATTAGTTTCTTCTTCACCATTTGATGTAATGGGTCTCTAAACCTGGCTGGTCCTAAAACAGTTTGAAGGTACTTTGGGTTTGGACTATAGTTTCATTTTCTACTGTGCATTCAAAGAGTTCTGTATTTTTATGAGTCATTTTCATTTTGCTAAAAATTGTTCCATTTTACTTAGGTTTTCATATTTAAAAGCATGATATTCATAATAAAATCCTGTTATGGAAATTCTCAAATATATGCAGTAGTACAGAGAATAGAATAATAAACTCAATTAGCTAAGATTTGTCACTAATAATCTTCAATTTTTATGAGTAGAATATTGTTCATATTAAAGTTTATTGGCAAGTGCACTCCAGAGGTGATATGGTGCAGTTTCATTAAGAGATATATAATTTCTGTTGTTTCTTTTGTGATGATGTTGGCAGCCATCACTTTTATCCATTAATCTATCATGGGTTGCAAGATGGTAATTCTCTGATTCTAAAATTCTTTTGAGTTTATTACCCGAAATTTTTCAGATAGAACCTTCTCCTTGTCCATCATTTGTTATCTTGAGATACAGATAATACTTGATAACACTTACGGTGTTCTCTATTAGTATTACATCTTTTCTACACCTAAGTTTTGTATAATTTTACTTATCTAATATCATTTATTTCTGCTTTTTTCATTTGTAATTGATGGTACTCATACACATTGTTATATAAATCCTTTCAAAGAACTGGCTTTTACTAGTTGGTTTGACTATTTTCTCATTTATCACTTTTGAATTTATCTTCATTATTCCTACCTTCTTCTTTGTGTTTAATATGCTATTCATTCTCTAGCTTCTTGAATTGTTACAATGTTTCAAACTTTTTTATAGTAAATCTATTTAATGCAATAAATATCCCCATAAGTACTGCTTGGGCTACTTTTCAACAATTATGCTAATAGAACTTTATGTGTAGAGCTCAATTTTTTTACAAGCTGAACATATATCTCTTAATGCTCTATAATATTTTCAATATCTAAATATAAATATATGTATATATTTTGTGTGTGTGTTTATGCATACAAAAACTAGGGAGTGTAAAATTTATTTAGGACAGAAACAGAGAATTATTTAAAGGAGGTTTAAAGAGCCATGGTATGTTGTGTTGTGTTATATTTTACTTAATGATAGAAGACACTTGAGCAAATTTAATTACTAATGACAGAATGGATGTTTTTTTAAGCAGCCATTCTTAAAATGGCTGCTTAAAATTGTTAATGGCTGAAAGAGCTTCAGATGAGAAAATCAATACAAATAATTAGCTAACTGCAAATATTCATGGGTTATTCCAGGAAAACAAACTACTCTAAATATATAACACAGGGATGGAGTTTTAATGGGCATACTTTATTTTGTAGAGCAGTTTCCAAGTTTACAGAAAAATTCGGTGGTAAATACAAAGAATTCTCTTATACCCTCTCATCGGTTCACACACAGTTTCTCCTATTATTATCACACATTAATGTGGTATACTTGTTAAAATTGATGAGCTAATATTGATACATTTTTATTAATTAAAGTTAACCATTTATATTAGAGTTTAATCTTTCTATTATATATCTTATGGGTTTTTTAAAATGAATGACACGTACACACTATAACAGTATCATACAGAACAGTTTCACTATACTAAAAAAAATCCACTGTGTTCCCCTTATTCCCCCATCCCCCCAGAACCCCCCTTTTTTTAACTGTCTCCATAATTTTGCCTTTTCCAGAATGTCATATAGTTAGAATCCTACAGCATGTAACCTTTTCAAATAGGCTACTTTCACTTAGCAATATGCATTTAGGCTCCTGCATGTCTTTTCATAGCTTAATAACACATTGTTTAATCACTAAACAATATTTCATTGTATGCTTGTGGGACACTTAATTCTTGTTGGTTTCTGCTAAGTTTTGACAATTAGGAATAAAGCTGCTTTGAACATTTGTATTCAAGTTTTGGTGTGGACATCAGTTTTCAACCCATTTGACTAAATACCAAGGAGAGTAACTGCTGAATCATATGACGAGAGTATTTTAATTTTGTAAGATATTGACAAACTGTCTTCCAACGAGGCTGTACCATCTTTGCACTGCCATCATTACTGAATGAGAGATTCTATGCCCTACATCCTCTCCAGTATGTGTCTTGTCAGTGTTTTGGATTTTATCCACTCTAATACATGTGTAGTGATATCTGATTGTTGTTTTAATTTGCAGTTCCCTAATGATCCATGATATAAAGCATCTTTTCATCTTTGTGCTTGTTTGTAGAGAATTGATATCATTCCTTCCTAAAGATTTGACAGCATTCACCAGTGAGCTCATTTGGGACTGTTGTTTACTCTTTTGGAAGCTTATCAGTCATTGATTCAATTTCTTTAATAGATATAGGCCTATTAAGATGATCTCAGTCTCCTTGTGTGAGTTTTGGTAGATTGTGTCTTTCAAGGAATTGGTCTGTCTCATCTAGGTTACCAAGTTGGTGGGCATAGAATTTTTCATAACATTCCTTTACTATCTGTTTAATGTCAATAGAATAATCAGTGATGGCCTTTCTTTCATTTTTGACATTAGCAATTTGTGTCTTCTCTCTTCTTTTCTTAGTTAATGTGACTGGAGGTTTATTAATTTTATTAATCTTATCAAAGGACTGCCTTTTAGTTTTGCTGATTTTCTCTATTGATGTGTTCAGTTTTATTGATTTCTTCTCTAATATTTATTTTTAATTTTATTAGGATTTAATTCACTCTTCTTTTTGTACTTTTCTAAGGTGGAAGGTTAGATTAATATATTAGTTGTCCCTTTTGCTAGTATATGCAGTCAATGACATAAATTTCCCTCCGAGTTCTACTTTTGCTGCACCTCACACATTTTGATAAGTTGTAGTTTTAAAATTTCTCTTGAGATGCCTTCTTTGACCCATGTGATATTTAGAAGCATGTTGTTCAATCTACGTATGTTTGGGGATTTTCCAGCTATCATTCTGTTTTCAATTTCTAGTTAAATTCAACTGTAAATTTAGAGCATACTTTGTATGCTTTCTATCCCTTTAAATTTGATGGTGTGTTTTTATGGGACAGAATGTGTTCTATCTTGGTGTATGTGAGCCTGAAAAAGTGCATTTTATCATTTGGTTAAGTATTATATAAAAGTCGTTTAGATGTGGTTGATTGATGGTGCTGTTCAGTTTAACTATACCCTTACTGATTTTCTCCTGCTGTATCTATCAATTACTGATAGAGGTGTGTTGAAGTCTTCAACTTTAAGAGTGGATGTGTCTCATCAGTATTTGCCTTATGTGACTCATTTTAACACCCTAGTTTTGGTGCATACACAATAAGGACTGGTATATATTCTTGGAGAATTGACCCCTTTATCATTATGAAATGCCCCTCTTTATACCTCATAATTTTCCTTAACCTGAATTCTGCTTGGATTGAAATAAACATGGCTACTCCAGCTTTCTTTACATTTGTGATGTAATCACATATCTTTTTCCAGTTCCTTTACTTTTAACCTGTCTGAATCTTTATGTTTAAGGTGGATTTCTTGTAGGCAACATAAAAGTTTTTTTTTTAATCTCCTCTGATAATTTCTGGTTTTGTCTTTTTATTGGTGTATTTAAATCATTGTATTTAAAAGTTATTATTGGTATAGTTGGGTTAATATCTACCAATTTGTTCGGTTTTAACTTTGTGGTCATTGTGTGTTTTTTATTTTTATTTTTATTTTTTATTTATTTTTTGTTATACTTTAAGTTCTAGGGTACATGTGCACAACATGCAGGTTTGTTACATATGTATACATGCGCCATGTTGCTTTGCTGCATCAATTAACTCATCATTTACATTAGATATCTCTCCTAATGCTATCCCTCCCCCCTCCCCTTACCCCACAACAGGCCCCAGTGTGTGATATTGCCCACCCTGTGACCAAGTGTTCTCATAGTTCAATTCCCAACTATGAGTGAGAACATGCGGTGCTTGGTTTTCTGTCCTCGTGATAGTTTGCTCAGAATGATGGTTTCCAGCTTCGTCCATGTCCCTACAAAGGACATGAACTCATCCTTTTTTATGGCTGCATAGTATTCCATGGTGTATATGTGCCACATTTTCTTAATCCAGTATATCATTGAAGGACATTTGAGTTGGTTCCAAGTCTTTGCTATTGTGAATAGTGCCGCAATAAACATACGTGTGCATGTGTCTTTATAGCAGCATGATTTATAATCCTTTGGGTATATATCCAGTAATGGGATGGCTGGGTCAAATGGTGTTTCTAGTTCTAGATCCCTGAGGAATCGCCACACTGACTTCCACAATGGTTAAACTAGTTTACACTCCCACTAACAATGTAAAAGTGTTCCTATTTCTCCACATCCTCTCCAGCACCTGTTGTTTCCTGACTTTTTAATGATCGCCATTCTAACTGGTGTGAGATGGTATCTCATTGTGGTTTTGATTTGCATTTATCTGATGACCAGTGATGATGAGCATTTTTTCATATGTCTGTTGGCGGCATAAATGTCTTCTTTTGAGAATTGTCTGTTCATATCCTTCGCCCACTTTTTGATGGAGTTGTTTGATTTTTTCTTATAAATTTGTTTAAGTTCTTTGTAGATTCTGGATATTAGCCCTTTGTCAGATGGGTAGATTGCAAAACTTTTCTCGCATTCTGTATGGTGCCTGTTCCCTCTGATGGTAATTTCTTTTGCTCTGCAGAGGCTCTTTAGTTTAATTAGATAACATTTGTCTATTTTGGTTTTTGTTGCCATTGCTTTTGGTGTTTTAGTCATGCAGTCCTTGCCCATGCCTATGTCCTGAATGGTATTGCCTAGGTTTTCTTCTAGGGTTTTTATGGTTTTAGGTCTAACGTTTAAGTCTTTAATCCATCTTGAATTAATTTTTGTGTAAGGTGTAAGGAAGGGAGCCAGTTTCAGCTTTCTACATATCGCTAGCCAGTTTTCCCAACACCATTTATTAAATAGGGAATCCTTTCTCCATTGCTTTTCTCAGGTTTGTCAAAGATCAGATAGTTGTAGATATGCGGCGTTATTTCTGAGGGCTCTGTTCTGTTCCATTGATCTATATCTCTGTTTTGGTACCAGTACCATGCTGTTTTGGTTACTGTAGCCTTGTAGTATAGTTTGAAGTCAGGTAGCATGATGCCTCCGGCTTTGTTCTTTTGGCTTAGAATTGACTTGGCGATGCGGGCTCTTTTTTGGTTCCATATGAACTTTAAAGTAGCTTTTTCCAATTCTGTGAAGAAAGTCATTGGTAGCTTGATGGGGATGGCATTGAATCTATAAATTACCTTGGGCACTATGGCCATTTTCACGGTATTGATTCTTCCTACCCATGAGCATGGAATGTTCTTCCATTTGTTTGTGTCCTCTTTTATTTCGTTGAGCAGTGGTTTGTAGTTGTCCTGGAAGAGGTCCTTCACATCCCTTGTAAGTTGGATTCCTAGGTATTTCATTCTCTTTGAAGCAATTGTGAATGGGAGTTCACTCATGATTTGGCTCTCTGTCTGTTATTGGTGTACAGGAATTGTTGTGATTTTTGCACATTGATTTTGTATCCTGAGACTTTGCTGAAGTTGCTTATCAGCTTAAGGATATTTTGGGCTGAGACAATGTGGTTTTCTAAACATGCAATCATGTCATCTGCAAACAGGGACAATTTGGCTTCCTATTTTCCCAACTGAATACCCTTTATTTCTTTCTCTTGCCTGTTTGCCCTGGCCAGAACTTCCAACACTATGTTGAATAGGAGTGGTGAGAGAGGGCATCCCTGTCTTGTGCCAGCTCTCAAAGGGAATGTTTCCAGTTTTTGCCCATTCAGTATGATATTGGCTGTGGGTTTGTCATAAATAGCTCTTATTATTTTGAGATATGTTCCATCAATACCTAGTTTACTGAGAGTTTTTAGCATGAAGGGCTGTTGAATTTTGTCAAAGGCCTTTTCTGCATCTATTGAGATAATCATGTGGTTTTTGTCTTTGGTTCTGTTTATGTGATGGATTACATTTATTGATTTGCATATGTTGAACCAGCCTTGCATCCCAGGGATGAAGCCAACTTGTTCTTAGTGGATGAGCTTTTTGATGTGCTGCTGGATTCGGTTTGCCAGTATTTTATTGAGGATTTTTGCATCGATTTTCATCAGGAATATTGGGCTAAAATTCTCTTTTTTTGTTGTGTCTCTGCCAGGCTTTGGTATCAGGATGATGCTGGCCTCATAAAATGAGCTAGGGAGGATTCCCTCTTTTTCTATTGATTGGAATAGTTGCAGAACAAATGGTACCATCTCCTCCTTGTACCTCTGGTAGAATTCAGCTGAGAATCTGTCTGGTCCTGGACTTGTTTTGGTTGGTAGGCTATGAATTACTGTCTCAATTTCAAAGCTTGTTATTGGTCTATTCAGGGATTCAAGTTCTTCCTGGTTTAGTTTTGGGAAGGTGTATGTGTCCAGGAATGTATCCATTTCTTCTAGATTTTCTAGTTTATTTGCATAGAGGTGTTTGTAGTATTCTCTGATGGTAGTTTGTGTTTCTGTGGGATCGGTGGTGATATCCCCTTTATCATTTGTTATTGCATCAATTTGATTCTTCTCTCTTTTCTTCTTTATTAGTCTTGCTAGCAGTCTATCAATTTTGTTGACCTTTTCACAAAACCAGATCCTGGATTCATTGATTTCTTGAAGGGATTTTTGTGTCTCTATCTCCTTCAGTTCTGCTCTGATCTTAGTTATTCCTTACCTTCTGCTAGCTTTTGAATTTGTTTGCTCTTGCTTCTCTAGTTCTTTTAATTGTGATGTTAGGGTGTCGATTTTAGATCTTTCCTGCTTTCTCTTGTGGGCATTTAGTGCTATAAATTTCCCTCTACACACTGCTTTAAATTTGTCCTAGAGATTCTGGTATGTTGTGTCTTTGTTCTCATTGGTTTCAGAGAACATCTTTATTTCTGCCTTCATTTCGTTATTTACCCAGTAGTCATTCAGGAGTAAGCTGTTCAGTTTCCATGTAGTTGTGTGGTTTTCAGTGAGTTTCTTAGTCCTGAGTTCTAATTTGATTGCATTGTGGTCTGAGAGACAGTTTGTTGTGATTTCTGTTCTTTTACATTTGCTGAGGAGTGCTTTACTTCCAACTATGTGGTTAATTTTGGAAGAAGTGTGATGTGGTGCTGAGAAGAATGTGTATTCTGTTGATTTGGGGTGGAGAGTTCTGTAGATGTCTATTAGGTCTGCTTGGTGCAGAGCTGAGTTCAAGTCCTGGATATCCTTGTTAACCTTCTGTCACATTGATCTGTCTAATATTGACAGTGGGGTGTTAAAGTCTCCCATTATTATTGTGTGGGAGTCTAAATCTCTTTGTATGTCTCTAAGGACTTGATTTATGAATCTGGGTGCTCCTGTATTGGGTGCATATATATTTAGGATAGTTAGCTCTTCTTGTTGAATTGATTCCTTTACCATTATGTAATGATCTTCTTTGTCTCTTTTGGTCTTTGTTGGTTTAAAGTCTGTTTTATCAGAGACCAGGATTGCAACCCCTGCTTTTTTTTTTTTTTTTTTTTTGCTTTCCATTTGCTTGGTAGATCTTCCTTCAACCCTTTATTTTGAGCCTATGTGTGTCGCTGCAAATGAGATGGGTCTCCTGAATACAGCACACTGGTAGGTCTTGACTCTGTCCAATTTGCCAGTCTGGTTCTTTTAATTGGGGCATTTAGTCCATTTACATTTAAGGTTAATATTGTTATGTGTGAATTTCATCCTGTCATAATGATATTAGCTGGTTATTTTGGCTGTTAGTTGATGCAGTTTCTTCCTAGCATCCGTGGTCTTTACAATTTGGCATGTTTTGTAAACAAAGAAGCTGGGAAGCTCGAACTGGGTGGAGCCCACCACAGCTCAAGGAGGCCTGCCTGCCTCTATAGGCTCCACCTCTGGGGGCAGGGCACAGACAAACAAAAAGACCACAGTAACCTCTGCAGACTTAAATGTCCCTGTCTGACAGCTTTGAAGAGAGCAGTGGTTCTCCCAGCACGCAGCTGGAAATCTGAGAACGGGCAGACTGCCTCCTCAAGTGGGTCCCTGACCCCTGACCACCGAGCAGCGTAACTGGGAGGCACCCCCCAGTACGGGCAGACTGACACCTCACACGGCCGGGTACTCCTCTGAGACAAAAATTCCAGAGGAACAATCAGACAGCAGCATTCGCGGTTCAAGAAAATCTGCTGTTCTGCAGCCACCACTGCTGATACCCAGGCAAACAGGGTCCGGAGTGGACCTCTAGCAAACTCCAACAGACCCGCAGCTGAGGGTCCTGTCTGTTAGAAGGAAAACTAACAAACAGAAAGGACATCCACACCAAAAACCCATCTGTACATCACCATCATCAAAGACCAAAAGTAGATAAAACCACAAAGATAGGGAAAAAACAGAGCAGAAAAACTGGAAACTCTAAAAAGCAGAGCACCTCTCCTCCTCCAAAGGAATGCAGTTCCTCACCAGCAACAGAACAAAGCTGGACGGAGAATGACTTTGACGAGTTGAGAGAAGAAGGCTTCAGATGATCAAACTACTCTGAGCTACAGGAGGAAATTCAAACCAAAGGCAAAGAAGTTAAAAACTTGGAAAAAAATTTAGGCGAATGTATAACTAGAATAACCAATACAGAGAAGTGCTTAAAGGAGCTGATGGAACTGAAAGCCAAGGCTCGAGAACTACATGAAGAATGCAGAAGCCTCAGGAGCCGATGTGATCAACTGGAAGAAAGGGTATCAGTGATGGAAGATCAAATTAATGAAATGAAGCAAGAAGGGAAGTTTAGAGAAAAAAGAATAAAAAGAAACGAACAAAGCCTCCAAGAAATATGGGACTATGTGAAAAGACCAAATCTACGTCTGATTGGTGTACCTGAAAGTGACGGGGAGAATGGAACCAAGTTGGAAAACACTCTGTAGGATATTATCCAGGAGAACTTCCCCAATCTAGCAAGGCAGGCCAACATTCAGATTCAGGAAATACAGAGAACGCCACAAAGGTACTCCTCGAGAAGAGCAACTCCAAAACACATAATTGTCAGATTCACCAAAGTTGAAATGAAGGAAAAAATGTTAAGGGCAGCCAGAGAGAAAGGTCGGGTTACCCACAAAGGGAAGCCCATCAGACTAACAGCTGATCTCTCGGCAGAAACTCTACAAGCCAGAAGAGAGCGGGGGCCAATATTCAACATTCTTAAAGAAAAGAATTTTCAACCCAGAATTTCATATCCAGCCAAACTAAGCTTCATAAGTGAAGGAGAAATAAAATCCTTTACAGACAAGCAAATGCTGAGAGATTTTGTCACCACCAGGCCTGCCCTAAAAGAGCTCCTGAAGGAAGCACTAAACATGGAAAGGAACAACCAGTACCAGCCACTGCAAAATCATGCCAAATTGTAAAGACCATCAAGGCTAGGAAGAAACTGCATCAACTAACGAGCAAAATCACCAGCTAACATCATAATGACAGGATCAAATTCACACATAACAATATTAACTTTAAATGTAAATGGACTAAATGCCCCAATTAAAAGACACAGACTGGCAAATTGGATAAAGAGTCAAGACCCATCAGTGTGCTGTATTCAGGAAACCCATCTCACGTGCACAGACACACATAGGCTCAAAATAAAAGGATGGAGGAAGATCTACCAAGCAAACGGAAAACAAAAAAAGGCAGGGGTTGCAATCCTAGTCTCTGATAAAACAGACTTTAAACCAACAATGATCAAAAGAGACAAAGAAAGCCATTACATAATGGTAAAGGGATCAATTCAACAAGAAGAGCTAACTATCCTAAATATATATGCACCCAATACAGGAGCACCCAGATTCATAAAGTAAGTCCTGAGTGACCTACAAAGAGACTTAGACTCCCACACAATAATAATGGGAGACTTTAACACCCCACTGTCAACATTAGACAGATCAACGAGACAGAAAGTCAACAAGGATACCCAGGAATTGAACTCAGCTCTGCACCAAGCGGACCTAATAGACATCTACAGAACTCTCCACCCCAAATCAACAGAATATACATTTTTTTCAGCACCACACCACACCTATTCCAAAATTGACCACATAGTTGGAAGTAAAGCTCTCCTCAGCAAATGTAAAAGAAAAGAAATTATAACAAACTGTCTCTCAGACCACAGTGCAATCAAACTAGAACTCAGGATTAAGAAACTCACTCAAAACCGCTCAACTACATGGAAACTGAACAACCTGCTCCTGAATGACTACTGGGTACATAATGAGATGAAGCCAGAAATAAAGATGTTCTTTGAAACCAACGAGAACAAAGACACAACATACCAGAATCTCTGGGACAAATTTAAAGCAGTGTGTAGAGGGAAATTTATAGCACTAAATGCCCACAAGAGAAAGCAGGAAGGATCCAAAATTGACACCCTAACATCACAATTAAAAGAACTAGAAAAGCAAGAGCAAACACATTCAAAAGCTAGCAGAAGGCAAGAAATAACTAAAATCAGAGCAGAACTGAAGGAAATAGAGACACAAAAAACCCTTCAAAAAATTAATGAATCCAGGAGCTGGTTTTTTGAAAGGATCAACAAAATTGATAGACCACTAGCAAGACTAATAAAGAAGAAAAGAGAGAAGAATCAAATAGACGCAATAAAAAATGATAAAGGGGATATCACCACCAATCCCACAGAAACACAAACTACCATCAGAGAATACTACAAACACCTCTATGCAAATAAATTAGAAAATCTAGAAGAAATGGATAAATTCCTCGACACATACACCCTCCCAAGACTAAACCAGGAAGAAGTTGAATCTCTGAATAGACCAATAACAGGCTCTGAAATTGTGGCAATAATCAATAGCTTACCAACCAAAAAGAGTCCAGGACCAGATGGATTCACAGCCGAATTCTACCAGAGGTACAAGGAAGAACTGGTACCATTCCTTCTGAAATTATTCCAATCAACAGAAAAAGAGGGAATCCTCCCTAACTCATTTTATGAGGCCAGCATCATCCTGATACCAAAGCCTGGCAGAGACACAACAAAAAAAGAGAATTTTAGACCAATAGCCTTGATGAACATTGATGCAAAAATCCTCAATAAAATACTGGCAAACTGAATCCAGCAGCACATAAAAAAGCTTATCCACCATGATCAAGTGGGCTTCATCCCTGGGATGCAAGGCTGGTTCAATATATGCAAATCAATAAGTGTAATCCAGCATATAAACAGAACCAAAGACAAAAACCACATGATTATCTCTATAGATGCAGAAAAGGCCTTTGACAAAATTCAACAACGCTTCATGCTGAAAACTCTCAATAAATTAGGTATTGATGGGAAATATCTCAAAATAATAAGAGCTATCTATGACAAACCCACAGCCAATATCATACTGAATGGGCAAAAACTGGAAACATTCCCTTTGAAAGCTGGCACAAGACAGGGATGCCCTCTCTCACCACTCCTATTCAACATAGTGTTGGAAGTTCTGGCCAGGGCAATCAGGCAAGAGAAAGAAATAAAGGGTATTCAGCTGGGGAAATAGGAAGCCAAATTGTCCCTGTTTGCAGATGACATGATTGCATGTTTAGAAAACCACATTGTCTCAGCCCAAAATATCCTTAAGCTGATAAGCAACTTCAGCAAAGTCTCAGGATACAAAATCAATGTGCAAAAATCACAACAATTCCTATACACCAATAACAGACAGAGAGCCAAATCATGAGTGAACTCCCATTCACAATTGCTTCAAAGAGAATGAAATACCTAGGAATCCAACTTACAAGGGACGTGAAGGACCTCTTCAAGGAGAACTACAAACCACTGCTCAACGAAGTAAAAGAAGATACAAACAAATGGAAGAACATTCCATGCTCATGGGTAGGAAGAATCAATATCGTGAAAATGGCCATACTGCCCAAGGTAATTTATAGATTCAATGCCATCCCCATCAAGCTACCAATGACTTTCTTCACAGAATTGGAAAAAGCTACTTTAAAGTTCATATGGAACCAAAAAAGAGCCCGCATCGCCAAGTCAATTCTAAGCCAAAAGAACAAAGCCGGAGGATTCATGCTACCTGACTTCAAACTATACTACAAGGCTACAGTAACCAAAACAGCATGGTACTGGTACCAAAACAGAGATATAGATCAATGGAACAGAACAGAGCCCTCAGAAATAACGCCGCATATCTACAACTATCTGATCTTTGACAAACCTGAGAAAAGCAATGGAGAAAGGATTCCCTATTTAATAAATGGTGTTGGGAAAACTGGCTAGCGATATGTAGAAAGCTGAAACTGGCTCCCTTCCTTACACCTTATACAAAAATTAATTCAAGATGGATTAAAGACTTAAACGTTAGACCTAAAACCATAAAAACCCTAGAAGAAAACCTAGGCATTACCATTCAGGACATAGGCATGGGCAAGGACTTCATGACTAAAACACCAAAAGCAATGGCAACAACAGCCAAAATTGACAAATGGGATCTAATTAAACTAAAGAGCTTCTGCACAGCAAAAGAAACTACCATCAGAGGGAACAGGCAACCTACAGAATGGGAGAAAATTTTTGCAACCTACTCATCTGACAAAGGGCTAATATCCAGAATCTACAATGAACTCAAACAAATTTACAAGAAAAAAACAAACAACCCCACCAAAAAGTGGGCAAAGGATATGAACAGACACTTCTCAAAAGAAGACATTTATGCAGCCAAAAAACACAGGAAAAAATGCTCACCATCACTGGCCATCAGAGAAATGCAAATCAAAACCACAATGAGATACCATCTCACACCAGTTAGAATGGCGATCATTAAAAAGTCAGGAAACAACAGGTGCTGGAGAGGATGTGGAGAAATAGGAACACTTTTACACTGTTGGTGGGGGTGTAAACTAGTTCAACCATTGTGGAAGTCAGTGTGGCAATTCCTCAGGGATCTAGAACTAGAAATACCATTTGACCCAGCCATCCCATTACTGGGTATATACCCAAAGGACTATAAATCATGCTACTATAAAGACACATGCACACGTATGTTTATTGCGGCACTATTCACAATAGCAAAGACTTGGAACCAACCCAAATGTCCAACAATGATAGACTGGATTAAGAAAATGTGGCACATATACACCATGGAATACTATGCAGCCACAAAAAATGATGAGTTCATGTCCTTTGTAGGGACATGGATGAAATTGGAAATCATCATTCTCAGTAAACTATCGCAAGGAAAAAAAACCAAACACCGCATGTTCTCACTCATAGGTGGGAATTGAACAATGAGAACACATGGACACAGGAAGGGGAACATCACACTCTGGGGACTGTTGTGGGGTGGGGGGAGGGTGGAGGGATAGCATTAGGAGATATACCTAATGCTAAATGACGAGTTAATGGGTGCAGCACACCAGCATGGCACAGGTATACATATGTAACAAACCTGCACATTGTGCACATGTACCCTAAAACTTAAAAGTATAATAATAAAATAAAAAAAAAAACAAAAAACAATTTGGCATGTTTTTGCAGTGGGTGGTACCGGTTATTCCTTTCCATGTTTAGTGCTTCCTTCAGGAGCTCTCATAAGGCAGGCTTGGTGGTGACAAAATCTCTCAGCATTTGCTTGTCTGTAAAGGATTTTATTTCTCCTTCACTTTTGAAGCTTAGGTTGGCCGGATATAAAATTCTGGGTTGAAACTTCTTTTCTTTAAGAATGTTGAATATTGGCCCCCACTCTCTCCTGGCTTGTAGGGTTTCTGCCGAGAGATCCGCTGTTAGTCTGGTGGGCTTCCCTTTGTGGGTAACTGGACCTTTCTCTCTGGCTACCCATAACATTTTTCCTTCATTTCAACCTTGGTGAATCTGACAATTATGTGTCTTGTGGTTGCTCTTCTTGAGGAGTATCTTTGTGACGTTCTTTGTATTTCCTGAATTTGAATGTTGGCCTGCCTTGCTAGGTTGGGGAAGTTCTCCTGGAGAATATCCTGCAGAGTGCTTTCCAGCTTGGTTCCCTTCTCCCTGTCAGTTTCAGGTACAACAATCAAAGGTAGATTTGGTCTTTTCACATAGTCCCATATTTCTTGGAGACTTTCTTCCTTTCTTTTTACTCCTTTTTTCTCTAAACTTCTCTTCTCGCTTCATTTCATTAATTTGATCTTCAATCACTGATACCCTTTCTTTCACTTGATCGAATAGGCTACTGAAGCTTATGCATGTCATGTAGTTCTTGTGCCATGGTTTTCAGCTCCATCGGGTCATTTAAGGTCTTGTCTACACTGTTTATTCTAGTTAGGCATTTGTCTAATCTTTTTTCAAGGTTTTTAGCTTTCTTATGCTGGGTTAGAACATCCTCCTTTAGCTTGGAGAAGTTACTTATTACCGACCTTCTGAAGCCTACTTCTGTCAACTCATCAAAGTAATTCTCTGTCCAGCTTTGTTCTGTTGCTGGCGAGGAGCTGTGATCCTTTGGAGGAGAAGAGATGCTCTGGTTTTTAGAATTTTCAGCTTTTCTGCTCTGGTTTCTCCCTTTGTGGTTTTATCTACCTTTGGTCTTTGATGATGGTGACCTACAGGTGGGGTTTTGGTATGGATGTCCTTTTTGTTGATGTTGATGCTATTCCTTTCTGTTTGTTAGTTTTCCTTCTAACAGTCAGGTCCCTCAGCTGCAGGTCTGTTGGAGTTTGCTGGAGGTCCACTCCAGACCCTGTTTGCCTGGGTATCACCAGCGGAGGCTTCGGAACAGCAAACATTGCAGAACAGCAAATATTGTTTCCTGATCCTTCCTCTGGAAGCTTTGTGTCAGAGGGGCACCCGGCTGTATGAAGTGTCAGTCGGCCCCTACTGGGAGGTGTCTCCCAGTTAGGCTACGTGGGGGTCAGAGACCCACTTGAGGAGGCAGTCTGTCCGTTCTCAGAGCTCAAACACCGTGCTGGGAGAACCACTGCTCTTTTATTTTTATTTTTATTTTTATTTTATTTTATGTTATTTTTCATCTTCCACTCTTTTGCTGCATTCTCTGGTTTTGAGTATTTTGTGCAATTCCATTTTCTCTACTCTTTAGCACATCAATTATACTTCTGTGTTTTTAGTTCTTTCAGTAGTTGCCGTAGAGTTTGAAATATGATCACAACTAATCCAAGTCCACATTCAAAACATACCCCACCACTTCACAAGTAGCACAAGTACCTTATAGAAGAATATTCCCAATACCTACTTCCTATCTCTTATAACACTGCTGTCATTTATTTTACTTGTTCATAAGGTATAATCATTGAATACATTATTGCTATTATTATTTTGAACAAACTGTTGTCACTTTGATCAACCAAGAATAAGAAAATGCTTTCTTTTACCATCATTTATTTTGTAACACTCTTCCTGCCTGCATGTAGATCTGAGTTTCTGATATATATAATTTTCCTTCTCTCTGACAAACTTCTTTTAACCTTTCTTGCAAGGCATGTCTACTGGTGATAATGTCCCTCAGGTTTTGATTTTTATTTGAGAGAGTTTTTTCTCCCCCTTCATTTTGAAGATTATTTTTACTGAATATAAAATTCTAGGCTTTTTTATTTTAAAAGTTTATGTCTTTAACTCAACTCTCTTCTGTCTCATTTTTCTGTTTACCCACCATTCTTGCATGTTGTGCACTTTTTCCATTATAGTCCTTAGCATATTAATCATAATTATTTTAAATTCCTGGTCTGATAATTCCAAAATGTCTGCCATATCTAAGTCTGGTTCTGATGATTGATCTATCTCTTCAAACTGTGTATTTTGTCTTTTACTTGTAATTTTTTTGTCAAAAACCAAACATAATATACTGGGTGAAAGGAGCAAAGGTCAGTAGGCCTTTAGTGTGAGTTTTCATATTTTTCTGGCCAGGAATGAGTCTGTGTTTACTGCTTGCTATAGCTGTAGGTGTTAGATTCCATCATTTCCTTGGATGCCCTTGTTTTTGTCTCCCCTGTTCTTCTTAAATAAGTCTTAGCGATGTGCAGTTCTTTCAGTTATAATCCTTGGTTCTTATATAGGAGCCTTGGTGATGTAGTGGTAATGTATGCAGTGAGGGGAAGCATTCTATGACCCTGTAGTTAAGTCTCAATCTTTTGATGAGACTGCCAGTTCACTAAGCTATGACTTCACAAGTACTTCAGGTTTTTTACCCCTTAGGGGAAACAGGAAGTCAAGAGGACCTGTAAATGAGTATTTCTCGTCCTCCACTTACAAGGATATAGAGGGGGCTGGAATGGAGACTTTTCCTCTTTTGAAGTTGTTTAGGCCCTAGTGAAACCCTTGTCAGTTAGACTCTGGTAAATAGGTTTATCTTTAAGCAGGCCTTGTTATAAGGAACAGGTTGCTCTGGGCACATTTCAAAATGGCTTTTTTCCTCCCCCTGCTGAAAGGACAAGGGCATTTTTATCTGATCTCCACTCTTCACTGTGAGAACCTATTAGGACCACTGGAGGAAAAACTCAAAAGAGTAAGAAGGCCCCCTAATATACTGGGCCCCAGTAGAGTTTTTAACTGTGAAGCTAGTCTACACTGAAGATTCAGTAACTTGTCAAACATAACTTACATTTTCCTATCCTGGTACCAGCTCTAGCAGTGGTTTCTGCTCCTGGGGTTCTGTTCCAGTGAGCTGTGGATTCTCTGTATCTTCTAGTCTGTCTTCCTTTTGTGGGGACAGCCATTTGCTCTGTGACCTCAGTTAACTGATTGGTCTAAGAAAGGTGGTTGATTTTCAGTTTGTTCAACTTTTTTCTGATTGGTAGGTTGGAAGTGACACATGTCTAAGCTCCTTACATGTTGGACTGGAAACTGAAAGTGGACAAGAAAATATCCACTGTCAAACTCGCTTTTTTTTTTTTTTTTTGCATAATTCATTTCCTCTTGTCTATAGGACTAAGAGTGTTTTTTAAGCTCTTGCTTAGAGACCAACCTCAGTCCTAACCAAAGCCTGCAATGTCATGCCACATTTCCCTCTTTACAGGCCATTCAAAACATGGCAGGTTTCTTCTTCAAGACAAGCAGGATAGCAAGAGCCTATCTGACAGCAAAATAGTGTCTTACATCGTATCTGTTATTAGATGAGTGTCATCTCTACTCTGACTTCTAATGTAATTGCTTGAGTGATATCCCATCACCTTTGTCATAATCTATTTTTTAGCATAAAATCATATGCCCCACCTACATTAAAGTTAGGAGTACACAAGTCATGACCACCAGAAGGTGGGACTTTCTGGGGACCCATAAGGTTTTTTTTCTGTTGCAGTCTGCCCTGTAGAACCCATTGTTTCCTGTCTCTACCTTATGCAAAATACATACATCCCTTCCAAAGATCCCCAAAACTCTGTTCTCATTACAGCATCAGCTCCAAATTCAAATTGCACTATCTAAATCAGGTCCATCTGTAGATGAAGAGGCTCTGGGGTAGTTGTTAAGTACAGCAGTTGGGCAAGATACACCTTTATATGTAGATTTCTGTAACAAAAGAAACAAGTTGTCTGTCAACACACCCAATGTACAATGATGAGATATGCATAGGATAACAGCTATCAACATGCTTATGTAAAAACAGGCAGAATTGGAGGTACAAAAAGTATCTAGAAAATAGCAGTTCTGAAATCCCAATGAACAAAGGTTGTCTGTTCCTTGATTAGATTTCAAAGCCTAAGAATAATTTTCTTGGATAGTGGCTCCATCCTGTGGGTTCTTGGTTGTACCTTCTGTTTCACCTTTCTTTTTTAATGGAAGGTAGCATATGTTTGCAGTTTAGTATGCAGAACAATTATTTACCAAACTGCGATCAAATACACTGAGTCAAGTACAGGGAACGCCTATCTTACTTCTGTCTGGAAAATTTTGCTTTAGTTTATCCAGGATTCAAGAATAATTGCTAGAGCCATTTTGCATTCTAAGTTTTAATCTCTTGACCCTGAGACACACCATTTGAGGCCCTGGTGCCAGTTCGTCACTCCCAGAGCCTTACCTCACTAACCACAGGGAGAAACCTAAACATCAGTACCACTGAAGAAATACTGTTTCTCAAGTACCCAAACAGACTTATCTCAAGACGCTTACACTTAATTGTTCTTGCCTTGATTCCCACCTTCTCATTCCTTCTTTTAAATCATCCCACCTGACTACCATTAGATGCCACCAACTTCTACTGCTCCTATAACAGAAATCCTAGGATCTCCAACAATAACATGGTGTTTTCCAAAAAGTGGATATTCAATTAATATTTAGAGAATAAATGAGCCAATTAGCATTGTTATATACTGAATGTTTGCGTCAGTCTAAAATCTGTGTGTTGAAATCCTAACTTCCAATATGATGGTATTAAGAGTCAAGGTCTTTGAATAGTAATTAGGCCATGAGGGTGGAGCCCTTGTGAATGGAATTAGTGCACTTATAAAAATACATGAGGAAGCTTGCTTTCTCTCTCTCTGCCATGTGAGGATACCACGAGAAGACAGCCATCTGCAAACCAGGGGCCTTGATCTGTCTATATTTATTAATATTTAATTTCTCCTGCATTCTTGAATAAGCTAAGTAAATTTATGTATGTATGTATGTATATGTAAATTTTAAAGAACAATACACTGAAAATTTAGAGAATCTAAAAGTTGAACATCTTCCACTTCATTTGTCTCCATTTCTTGATTCAAACAATTTTACTGTTATTTCATATTTCCAATGAAACACTTAATTGATTGCCACATTATCTTGTTTCAGATCATGAAGTAAAATAGAAGATTTTCCTTTTTTCTCAAAATAGCTTAGTTCCTACCCTTAGACCTAATACACAGCAATAAATGTATAATCCAAGTGACAATTCATAAACTTATATTCTGAAGCAATTTAAACCTTTGATTTAAAAAATAACATTTAGAAATTAACTGAAAAGAAAGAGAATTAAGAAAAAAGGAAAGAGTTAAGAAAGAACAAGATAATGGAAGGAAGGAAGGAAGGAAAATCTTTGTTATTTGGTAAAACAAAATACAAAAATGATGCATGTACAGTGTGTTTCCTCCTGCCCCAAAATGGCCTCTACTACTTGAAAGTTGTTTGCTCTATTCAATTGGAAATAGAAGAACCTACCTCAGACTTTACTAGGGGTGTAAAAGGCTGTTGTACATGGCCCTGGAACATGCCCTGGCCATAATGATAGTGCCAATCCTGGCTGCAACACTGGCTTGGGCTCTCTTTTACTCATCTCAGAATGACTTTTCACACAGGAATAGAAAGAAACAGTGACATATCATTGGCCTTAGACAAAAATTTTAGGACCTTTATTCTTGCTGATTTAACCGTGAGCTCCTGGATACCACAGGAATTTATAGCATGTAGGATCACTACTGGGAACTTGCTGGTACTCCAGGTACCTTTCCTATGTAAAATTTCTGGTGATGAGCTTTCTGAAGTACCTACCGATGAAATGCTTTGTCCCAGCATATATATTTATCATATTTAGAAACTCTCAGACCTTCTCTTTAGTGGTGCAGGTGCTCTTCATGAAGGTCACACTAAGAAGAATCATCAACAATCTGCTCTTTGGCAACCCCTACCAGCACTCCAACTCCCATCATTGATGAGTTCCAATTTGCTGACAAGGGTATAGAGATGCTTCATAGAGTTAAAATCCGTTGAGTCAAAGCCAATGAGCAACTCCACATGTCAGAGGCTCTCCATTGGATTATGGAGATGTGGTCCTTATAATTTTTGCTGACATTTTTTAGAATGTGTGCTTTCATGATAAAAGTCTAATTTTATATTTGAACAAAGTAAACATATGCAGTTGTGCATAAACAAAGCCACCTCTTTGGTTAGAAGGTATTTGCATGAGTTTTCAGGGGCAGGTGGTGCTTGTGAAATGCTTGGATTTTCATCCTCGTGGCTGTTCACCCCTTCATCAGTCTTTGTACACAAAACATTTACAGCACTATTCATGGTGAATGGGGTGATCCGAGGGGCCTAGGGAGAGCTGTGTGTCCTAACAGCCAGCAAAGTCTGAAGAATACTCAGAAAAATAATCCTTCTACTGCAGTGGCCTATGGTTTTCCCCACCTTCCCTAGATTCTGGGTACCACCTCAGGCAAATATGTGAGACACAGCTGCCTGGTGTCTCTCAGGGCTGAAAGCAGAGGTAAGAATGTGTTAATCTTTATGTTCTGAAATTTGTGGTCACCTCAGTCTTCTCTCACGCAGGTCTTCATGTGGGATCCTTGTTTTTTGATCAAAGGCTCTCTGGTAATAACACCTTCCTGCAAGCTCTGAGCTTTTGCCCAACTGCATACCTTATAAAGAATAAGTCAGGGTCTCACTGTAGATGTGAAATAGGGAAGCTGCACCAAAGGCATAAAGCACAGGATAGGAGGACTGTCAGAGAAAAAAAACACACTGACCTATTCTTTCTCTTGACCAGTCAGACTTCTCTATGAATCCTGTGTTCAAAAAATATATATTTCTACAGGGAAGAGGCAGAACTGGAAGATTTTGTAAGCCCCTGATCTTTCCAAGTTGTATGTAACATTGCATACTCCAGTGCAGGGACCTTTATTTTTAACCTCAAATATAGTATAATAGTAAGAAATATCTACCAAATGTGTTAGTGATTTGGAGTTTATATGTACATACATATAATCTCAAAAGTTCCACACAAAATTACCTAGCTTATCTATGTGTGATTCATTCTGATATTTACTATTCTATTTTTAGTCCATTAGCTATACTTTATAAGATAATAAAGAATTCCAAGACTTACCTCTAAAGGAGTTTCATGTGTTAATTAGTATATCCTCTGGAGTCACAGTGCCTCAACAATGCAAACTTCTGTGCTCCATTATATAAACGCATGGTACTGTAACCTGTAGTCTAAAGTGTTGTCTCAGATTCCTATAGGAAAGCAGTAGAAATGAATGTTCCAAGACACACTGGGGAGAAACAAGGGCAGAATTTTTGAAAACCTTTTGTCCAACTGATCTTGTCATACATCTTCTATTGCAGACTGTAGAACAACCTCGACTTCAGGATACGCTCCTTCCCTCCACCACAAAGCATTTTTTGACCTAAAATTGGATCCTTAAAAAAGCATACATAAGTTGTCCCTTATCAAAACTAAAAATTGAGGGAGAGGTAGAGCAAGGTGGTGGAATAGAAAGCTTCACCAATTGTACCCCCTTCCCACAAGGACACAAAGTTAACAACAGTCTACACAGAAAAAACACGTTGTTAAGGACCAAAAATCAGGTGAGCACTCATAGTACCTGATTTTAACTTCACATCGCTGAAAGAGGCACTGAAGAGATAGCAAAAATAGTCCTGAATCATTGACACACCAGCTCTCGCCTACCCCTGGGCAGCAGTGGCATGGTGCAGAGAGCATCTCTCGGTGCTGGGGGAGGGGGAACACAGCAATTGCGAGGCATTGAACTCAGCTGTTCTGTTAGAGCAGAAAGGAAAACCAGGCCAAACTCAACTGACGCCCTCCCACAGAGGGAGCATTTAAACCAGCCCTAGCCAGAAGGGAATCACCATTCCCAGTGGTCCAAACTTGCGTGGAAACCTCGCCACAGAGGACTATAGCACTCTGGGTCTCCAGGTAAATTTGAAAGGCAGTCTAGGCCATAATGACTGCAAATCTTAGGTGAGTACTAGGGCTGAACTAGGCCCATAGACAGCGGATGGGGGGCACAAAACATACTCAGACATCAGCTGGGGCAGCCAAGGGAGTGCTGCCATTGCCCCTCACTTAAACCCAGGATGCATAGCTCACAGCTCCAAAAGAAACCCCTTCCCTCCACTTGAGGAGAGGAGAAGGAAGAGTGGGGAAGGCTTTGTCTTGCATCTTGGATACCAGCTCAGCCAAAGCCGAACAGGGCACTGGTGAGAGTTGTGAGGCCCCCGTTTCAAGCTTTAGCTCCCAGGTGACATTTCTAGACACACCCTGGGCCAGAAGGGAACCCGCTGCCTTGAAGGAAAGGACTCAGTCCTGGCAGCAATCGTCGCCTGATAACTGAAGAGCCCTGAAGCCCTGAATAACCAGTAGTAATACCCAGGTACTACATGGAGGGTCATGGTGAGCTTCTGACACTTGTGGGCTTCATGTTAGACTTGGAACCTTACCAGCTGTGCTGGGGAAAAGCTCCTTCTGCTTGAGAAAAGCAGAGGGAGAAGTAAAGGGAACTTTGTCTTGCACCTTAGGTACCAGCACCATCACAAGAGCGTGGAGCCCCAAGCAGGTTCTTGGGGTCCCCAGTTCCAGGACTTGGTTCTTGTACAGCATTTCTAGACCTGCCCTTGGCCAGACGGGAGACCACTGCTCTGAAGAGTCCCAGCTCAGGCAACGTTCACCACAAACTGACTTAAGAGTCTTTAGGCCTTAAGAGAACATCAGTGTTAGTCTGGTAGTACAGCTCATGGCCAGGGGTGGTGGTGGCTATGGGGTAAGGTTAATCTGCCTTTGTGAAGGGGACTGCTGAGTGGGAAGAACTGTGTCTTGTGGTTTGAATGCCAGCTCAGCCACAATACAATGGAATATGAAGTAGACTTCTAAGTTTTTGGCTCTAATCCCTGACTCCCAGAAAGCACTGCTGTACCCACATGGAGCCTGAGGCACCTTGCTGCCCTGAAAGGAAGGACACAGGCCTGGTTGGCTTTGTCACAGGCTGAATGTAGAACCCCAAGGCTTTGAGCAAACATGGGCAGTAGCCAGGGAATGGTTACACAGGCCTTGGGTGAGACCCAGCACTGTGCTGGCTTCAGGTCTGACCCAGTGAAATCATAGTGGTGGTGGCCACAGGGGCGCTTGTGTCACTCAACATGCAGCATTAGGTGGCTCAGAACAGAGAGAGAGAGAGACTCTGTATGTCTGTGACAAATTAAGGGAAGAGAACAAGAGTCTCTGCCTGGTAATCCAGAGAATTCTCTTGGATTGGGTCCAAGACCATCAAGGCGGTACCTCTATGAGTCTGCAACAATCACAAGGTTACTGGGCTTGGGATGCTCCATAAAGCAGAAACAGCTTATAAGAAACAGCTTGTAAGGAGACATTACAACTGATGCTGCAGAAATGGAAAGGATCGTTAGTGGCAGCTGTAAGCAACTATATGCCGATATATTACAAAATCTAGGAGAAATGGACAAATTTCTAGATACATACAACCTACCAAGTTTGATTCAGGAAGAAATTCAAAACCTGAACAGATAAATAACAAGTGACGAGATTAAAGACACAATAAAAAGTTTAGTTGCATGCAGTCCTTCATATAAATATTGAATCCAGTCATGTCAAGGAACATGTGTTTTAGACACAGAGATGTTGTTCTTTGACTTATGATGGGACTACATTCCAAAAAAATCCTAAGTGAAAAATATCAATTGAAAATGAATTTAATACCACTTACAATGGGGTTACATCCTGATAAACCCATTGTAAAACCAAAAAAGTCATAACTTGAACCTCATAAGTTGGAGACGATCTGTAAATATAATTTCTGCTCTTAAAATATACTTTGAAACTTTTTCTGGAGGGAGTATTTCAAGTTGGTTGAATAGACATAGCCTATACTTAACTTTTAATGTTTTCACCTAGTTATAAAAACAGCAAGTAAATCAGAGGCTAAATAGAGTCAGGCAAGAGGTTGAATAATATTAAAAAAACAACAACAGCAACAATAAAAACCTAGAGGATGTGTGTTCATTATTAGTATTGTGATGGTTAATTTTACATGTCAACTTGCCTGAGCCATGGAGTGCCCAAATATTTACTCAAACACATTATTCTGGGTGTTTCTGTAGGGCTATTTTTGGATGAAATTAACATTTGAATCAGTAGACTGGGTAAAGCATATTTCCTTCCCCAATATGTATGGGCCTCATTCAATCAGTTGAAGGCCTGAATGACAAAAACAATAACTTTTCCTTGAATATGAGAAAATTTCTCCCTCATTACTTCATTCAAGCTGGGTCATCAGTTGTTTCCTGACTTCCCACTTGAACAGGGGTGACAACTTTGGGGGATCCTTTCTGTCTTGGGATCACTGACCCTCAGTCCTTATTCAGAGTTCTCATATTGACTCCGTGTAGGGCCTGGGACCCCCTCTTCTGTTCTATCGTGGCTTCACTTTCTTACTAAGGAGCTCATCTCCCTTAGACCCAATGTAAAACATTGGCGAAGCCTCTCCCTGACAGTCCTGCTATGGGTTTTCAAATGCTGAAAGCCAGGGTGGGGGTTGGACATTATGTTGCCCCTTCTATTGGGGGAAGGAGTATGATCATCTTAGTCTTCACCAAGGGTCCTCAATTTGACTCCTAGAAGGACCTGCAGCTCCTCTGTTCTTTGACTTGAAGGCATCTCCTCATAGCAAGGCCCAGAACTCTCTGAGACCTAGTAGAGGGAAGGGAGGGCAGCCTTATTTGGCCATACCTGCCTGGAGTCTCCCAAGGCAGAAAGCTGTGGCAGGCGCTTTTGGGCCTCATGAGGGTTGGCCTCACCAGTCCTCGCTCAGATTCTTCATTTTGACTCGTGACAGTGCCCACAATTTCTCCCTTTCGTGGCCTGATACCATCCCCCTCAGAATAAGGCCCTCATTTCTCTGTCACCCTGAGGGGGAATTGAGGGGTGCCTCTGCTCTGCCTGACATTTATCCCTGAATCTGCCAGGCCTAACAGTAGGGGAGAGATTATGTGCTGCCTCCATTGTTATAGGAGGTTTCATGTTCTGCTCCTTCCTCATTGTCCTTGCCCTGACTCCTGGCTCGACCTGGTAATGTTCTCTATGATGAGATGGCCAGCCTCAGACCAAGTTCCTCACCACCTGGAGTCCCCAGACGTGGAAGTCAAAGTGACCTCGCTGGAGCTATTAGGGGATTCTGAGAACTAATAGCAGGAGAAAGACTCTATGGGACCCAACTGTTCAGGGGTTTGTGACTCCTTGACTTCTCAGCCAGGATCTCTGACTCCTCCCTCTAGTGACATGAGTCCTCCAGGGAGAGGAGTGAGTGGCTGACATATTCGGGTTATTCGTGCTGGGGATTTCGAGGGCTGAAATGGGTGGGGCTATGTGGGTTCCTGTCTCTTCTAGGTTGGTTGCTCCCCTCAGTCCTTGCTCAGGGTCCTCACAATGAACATTCCCAAGACCTAGAGGCCTGTCTGCTTATGTACAGCCTTTAATTCCCTAATACTACCAAGAAGGATGTAAGAGTTTCCTCATCTGAGCACGAAAGCCTTATGATCACCTACAGCTGACAGTACCTAAGGGATTCTGCGTTGTCTGTACTGTTATGATTTGAGTGGTTCCTTCCATCTTCATGGTCCTCAGCTTGACTGTTTGCATGACCTGGAATTTATCCCTGTGGTAATCTCAGGCTGACCCCTTACACCAGATGCCTTACCTCCTTGAGATGCCTTGAAAGGAAATGAGTGGGACTCATCATCTCAGAATTCCTGGGTTTGCCAGGGAGAGACATCAATGGCAGGGCTTCGTGTGGCTCCACCTGTTCTGGGAGGAGTACCGTCATCCCTGTTTAGGGTCAGCAGTGTGACTCCTATTAAACATCCTCTGCTGACTAGGGTTGCTCCCATTAGACTAAGACTCTCACTTCCTTGAGACCACTCCCAGAGGAACTGAGGGGGCACTTCAGCCTGAGAGTTCTGCCCTGGGCCTCCTAGGGCTGACATTAGGGTCAGGACACTGTGCATTCCCACTGTTCTGTGGTGAGTGGTCTCCTCTATCCTCCCTCAGCATCTTTACCTTGACTCCTACCTAATGAAATCTGAAACTCTACCCTCCACTGACTCAAGGCCTCACTCCTCAGACCAAGGCCATATCTTCCTGGAATCTCCCAGTTGGAAGTGAGGAACAGGCACATCTGGCCACAGTTATTGAGGATCCTCTGAAGAATAATAGCAGGGTCAGAATCCTACAAGATTCCACTGTTTTGGAGTCAGTGGCTCCCTCAGTTCTCACTCAGGTTTCTAACATTGATTTGGGGATGTGGAACTCCTTCCTCTGCTAATCTGAGTCTGCCAGCCTGAAGCCAAAGCTTTTCCTTTACTGAGAAACCAGAGGGGGAAGTCAGGGTGCTTCTCCTTGGCTACCCCAGTGTCCTCACCTTAAATCCAATCCAGGCTTGAGAGGACCTCCTTCGTGGGCAGAATCGGAGCTACTGCCATGAGATCAAAGCCTTTATCTCCCTGGGGCACCAGTAGAAGCCCTAAAGAAAATGAGGGGAAACCTCAACCAGATAGCCCTGCCTATGGCCACCCAAGGCAGAAAGCAAGATATAGCTTTAAGAGCCCCTGCTGTTCTGGGTGGATAATTCCTCATTTCTCATTCAGAGTCCTCATCTTGATCATTTTCAGAGGCTGAGATCCTCCTCCCAATAACCAGAGCACACCACCCTTAGACCAGGACTCTTATGTACCTGAGAACCTTGAGTAAATAGAGAAATTTTAGCTTACTGCTATAGCTTGGGCCTTCTAGATCTGAGAGTAGGCAGGGCCTGGTCTTTCTGTGACCCCGATATTCTGAGGCAGTGATCTCCAGAATCTTCATTTATGGGGGTTCTCATCATGCCTCCTTACTCTTTAACACTGCTGGGAAATGCCATACACCTGCAAACACTTGAGCAGGTTCCCTACTGCAAACCTTGCAGACAATGGCTCACTGTCCCAGGTTCTGTATGAGATAGGGAAGCTGTACCACAAGGCAGGAGGCCCAGGACAGGTGGTGGGCTGTCAGTGAAAAAAGCACCCTGATCTATTCCTTTGCTTCACCAGCCAGACTTAGCCTATTATGTACTTTGCTTTGAGGAGATTTAATTTCTATGGGGAAAGGGCAGAGCAGGATGATTTTGGGAGCTCCTGATCTTATTGGGTTATCTAATGTTGCATATGTAGATGATCATATTGTCACTGTGTATTATTTTTTTCTTTTCGTAATTCATACTACTCATTTTTTCAGCATTATGATTACTCTAGTTGTAGAATCCAAAGAAGTGCTTTGGGTACAGTGTCCTTTTAATGCTCTGGTAAGCATTTTGGGCAGTGAGAGGAAAAGTGGATTAAAAGACACAAAGTCTGGCTCAGGCTGAGAGGATTGGAAAAATATGGGCTCTAGATGAATCCAGACCAGAGATCTAATCCCAGCTCTGTCAATTACAAGCTTGTGAGCTTTTAGAAATTTGCAATTTCTTCATTTTGAAGTGAGTCTGCTAAACCCTATCTTGTAGGAATTTTGGGGTATAAGTACTGTCCATAAAACATATGGCATACTAAGTAGGAAATACTGAGTCTTTCATAAATGACAGTTACCATAATATATGTTTTTACACAAATTATTAATTTTTAATTTTCCTAACTATATATTAAGAAACAAAATTACCACATCTTGAAAATATTTGAGACAGTTTAAGCCTATGGAAGTTCTTTGAATTTAGCAGCCTTGTTTCAAAAAGGTTTTTAGTGAACTCATTCTGGCTTATATTGATCACTGCATTTCATGTGATTATTTTAAACCCAGAAAATACCACCCTCCAATCAGAGGGGTTTTTTGATGCAGTAGATAACATGGAATATGAAGTGCACTAGAACAAAACAAACTAACGGCAGTCTTAATAACCTAAATAAATCCAGGTATCCTTTATTTATATGAAAAGAAATAGGAAAACGAATTAGGCAAACCAAGAATTAAACAATTTTTACATTTCTGTTTTTCCTTTTCTTTCTCTTCATATTATGATGTCAACTATTTTACTGTGGAGTTCTTTAAGATTCATATCAAAGTCCCTTCTCTATTATCATGTTATCTAGTTCTGAATTATAAAGAAAATATGAATGGTGTATGATTTTGTTTTACTAATACCCAAACCGTAACTTTCAAATTGATTAAACGGCCATGAATGTGAGAGCTATGTTATTGATAAATGTATAATCTGAAGCAAAATAAACCTTCACTTAACAGGAACAATGTTGAAAATTGACAAGGAGGTAAAACATAAATCTACAAGTTACTCATGTATAACAAGACAAAAGAAATACATATCTTGTTCCCTCCAGCCTCTACTATACTGCACTACTTAGAAGGCTCACTACTCTCTTCTAACATAAAGCGAAAATTCTACTTCAGACCTCCCTAGAAATGGGAGGATCTGTAGGATATGGCCCCATAAGGTGCCCTGGCCAAGGGAACAGTGCCAGCCCTGCCTTAAGCTCTCAGTCTCAATGCTCTCTCTACCTCATCTGTCAAAGCGTCTTCATACAGATGTGGGTATAAACCGGGACTGGTGTTATTGATCTCGGCCAAAACACGCAGGACTCTCATCTTGGTGGTTTCAGCATAGGCTCGTGGACCCCACAGGAACTCATAGCATGGAGGATCACTGTTGCACACCTGCCGGTAAACCACGTACTTATCTTGCACCAAATCTTCAGTAATGATCTTCCGAGCATCCCCATAGATTGAATGCAGGATCCCATCATATATCCCCAACAGACCCAGGAACTTCCAGACCTCCTCTTCAGTGGCACGGTTGCCTCTCATGAAGATCAAACCCAGGATCGACATCAGGAGACCCGACTTCGGCAGCGCATTATCACCACTCAGACTTCCTTCATTGGAGAGACCCAGCTTGCTGACAAGGGTGTAGGACTCGCCGCTGGAATCCGTTTCTTTCAATTCAACGCCAAAGAACACCGTCAAATGTTCGGAGGTTCTCTTGAGGATCTCAGGGAAGCATGGCTTGTACTGTCTGCGGAGACGCTTCAGCATGTCTGCCTTCAAAATGGGCTCTTTCTTCTCAAACTTCTTCTGCAGGAATTGCACCATCTTGTTTGCCTTCCTTTTTATAGGATCTCCGTCTGTGGTTGTAAAGAACGCAGCTCTCTTGGAGGAGCTTAAACTTTCCTCATCTTGACCCTTGGCAGCCACATCAGATTTTGAGCCTGAAACATCTGCATCAGGCGAGCCAGTGGGTGAAGCTCCCTGAGACTCCTGAGGAACAGAGGCATCACGGGAGGTGCTTGGACTTTTCTCATTTTGACCCTTGGCAGCCTCATCAGATTTTGAGCATGAAATACCTGCATCAGGAGGGCCAATGGGTGAAGCTCCCTGAGACTCTTGAGAAACGGAGGCATCACGGGAGGTACTAGGACTTTTCTCATCTTGACCCATGGCAGCCACATCATATTTTGAGCATGAAGCACCTGCATCAGGATAGCCAGTGGGTGAAGCTCCCTGAGACTCCTGAGGAACGGAGGAACCAGAAGACCTACGACGAGCACCCTGACAAACAGCAGAAGAGGATGACGAAGAGCGAGACTCTTCTTGTTTCTCTGCAGTGGCCTGGGGACCTGTGAGACCTTGCGGCTGATCATGGGTCTCTCGGCGTTTCCCACGGGCACGGAGCTTACTCTTCTGACCCCGAGGCATGGTGGCTGTGGCCTATGACAGCAGGTAGGAGTGTGGGCATAAAGGTTGGCAAGGCTGGCACCTGGACGGGAGAGAGTGACATCATGTCAACACCTTCAGCAGAGAGCAACCATCTTGGCTTTAACCAGGGGCCCTTCTGGAGGTTTCATGAAGCAATTGCTCCAGGAACTCGCAGGACTCCTGTTCGCTTGGTCTGTTTGTCTCCTTCGAACTTAGGAGGAAGTTAAGAGTCAGTGTTAGACTATAGCATGACAGCCCATTTTGGGGCTTACTGAGGTGATAGCAGGGACTGGCAGTGGGGGCCCCTTTGTTCAGAGGTGGGGTCCTCTCCGTTTTTATTCTGGATCATCATAAAAATTGTTGTCAAGTCCCAGAGGCCCATTCCCCTCTGCCGCTCTGAAATTGACACTAGGAATTTTTACAGTACCAATGAGGAGGAAATAAAGAAGCGCTCCTGCCCAGCACTTCTTTCCGGGGACACCCAGACCGCCTAGGGCTGACAGCAGCGGAGGCATTTGAATGCACTTGCTGTTATATTGAGAATGACCCCCACGGTAATCAGACTCCTCACCCTGACTCTTCCCACCACTTGGAAATCACCCTCGCTGACCTGCTGCCATCTTCTTACAACCAGGGACCTACCTCTCTGACTCTCACGGGGACAAAGTGAGAACACACCTCTCTCTAGAGACCTGCCCGGACCCCCAGGCTGACATCAGGGGCGTAGTTTGGTGCAACCCGTGCTGCGGCATGGGCATGGAGTCCCCTCAGTCTTAAGCAGAGTCTTCTTTTTAGCTATGTAGTGCCTGAGATTTCTCTGTCTACTGACCTGAGTCCACCAGCCTTGGACCGAGGACTTCATGCTCTTCAACCCCACAGAAAAAGTGAACGGACTTTGGGCCTAACGGCCATGCTTGGGGACTCCTCAGTTACCATCTTAGGGGCAGGATGGGGCAGGGCTCTCTGGAGCTGCCTATTTTAGGAGGTAGGGGGTTGCAGTTGTTGGGGAATGTCCCCCGAGTTCTAGGTCAAGATACCCATAAGATACCTGAGAAGATCTGGGATGCCCTCTTCCGCTCACCTGACGCAGCACTTTTCAGACCAAGGCCTCCGGTGTGGACGCTTTTCTACGCGGAAGTCAGGAGGAACTACTTCCGGCCATGCCCACCTGGCCTTCCCAACATAACAGCAGGGGTGGGGCTCTGTCACTCTCCATGTGTTCTGTGGACTGGGTGGCCGCCGAAAAGCTCACATAAAATTCTTTCAGGGGCTCTTTGTGGACCCTTGGACTTCTCTGTCTGCTGAGCTGAGTCAGTCAACAGGAGACGGAGGATCTTATTCCCTGAGAGTCCTGAGTAGGAAGTACTGAGCTGGGAAGTAGTAGGAGCTGGGAAGCCATGCCAGGACCTTCCAAGACTGACAGTAGGGGTGGGGCTCTGTGGAACCCCCTCTCCCAGAATGGACTTTGCCCTCAGCTCTCATTCAGTGTCGTGGCTTCATTCTTGCGCCATGTTCCTTCCCTCTACTGACTTGAGGACACCCTCTCAGACTAGACTTCAACTTCCTGAGACTCCTCATGTGCAATTCACCTGGCCACTACTGTCTGGGGCCTCCTAGACCTAGCTGCAGCCAGTTAGTTATGCTGTGGAGTTAGGGAAAGGAGGAGACATGCTGAGCCCTCCTCTCTTCTGAAATGTGCAGCCTTTCAGCAGTCAATTAAGGTCCACCCACTGACTGCTGTCAGGCCTTGTGATTTTTCCCTTTTCTGATATGAATTCATCCCCTTCTCCCAACCATAGCCTTCAAAAATCAACAAGGAGAAAATAAGGGGACTCCTTATCATGGCAGTTGGTCTGTGCTTTCTTTTGGCTGACATCAGCATCATCAAATATTTCAGGAGTATATTAATGTTCTTATTACATGTGCTTCACTGTGACCCTTCTATTTTAGTATATGTTTCATATTCTATTACAGTGATCATTTAAAAAGTCAGCCCTCATTCGCTATAGAGGTTTTAGGTGGTTATTACTACAATGTCTGAACTCATATTGCTTTAACAAACTCAATTGTTTGTGTTGTTCTAATGGTTATTACCCCATGATTCCAGCATGTGGCGCCTGAGATGTTGCCTCAGATTCTTTAAATGAAGCTGTAGAAAATAATTGTCCCAGGCACGCATAAAGAAGCAAAGGCAGAACTTTAAAATAATTCCTGCAACTAATGCTGTCATCTGTTTCTTACTGCAGGCTATGGACTTGTTTTCACTTCAGGGCATGCCGCCATATAAGCACTGGTTCAACAGAGACTTAATGTCTCTCAGGGGGTTCTCATTCTGTTATTTTACTGATGTTTATGACATTGTTCTTTATTTTTTCTTTAGATTTCCCATGGTTAATTTTAGGCATGGGAAAGAAGCACTAGCTTGTTTGTCATCTTGGAAGCTGTAGATAAAAACTATATCTGTAAATAACCTAAGGAGAATGGATATCTTTGCAATATAGGCATACCTTATTTTATTACAATCTGATATATTACACTTTGCAGTTATTGTGTTTCCTTACAGATTGAAGCTTTGCGTCAACCTTGATTCAAGCAAGTCATTCAGTGCCATCTTTCCAACAGTATGTGCATATCAAAATATCAACATAATAGGAGCTTGGAAGAAATGGACTCTAACCCGTATGGATGATTTTGAGGGGTTCAGGACTTCAGTGGAGGAAGTAACTGCAGATGTGGTAGAATAGCAAGAGAATTAGAATTAGAAATGGTGCTTGTAGATGTGACTGAATTGCTGTAATCTCATGATAAAACTTGAATGGATGAGGAGTTGTTTCTTATGTATGAACTAATAAAGTAGTTTCTTGAGATTGAATCTACTCTTTGTGACAATGCTGTGAGCATTGTTGAAATGAAAACAAAATATTTTAAATATTACAAAAACTTAGTTGATAAAGCAGGTGCAGGTTTCAAGAGGATTGACTGTAGTTTTGAAAGATGTTCTACTGCGGGTAAAATGTTATCAAACAGCATGGCATGCTACAGGGAATATTTTGTGAAAGGAAGAGTCAATCGATGTGGCAGACTTCATTTAATATGGTTTGGCTCTGTGTCCCCACCCAAATCTCATCTTGAATTGTAATATCCAAGTGTTGAGGGAGGAAAGTGATTGGATCATGGGGGCAGTTGCCCCCATGGTGTTCTTATGATAGTGAGTGAGTTCTCATGACACCTGATGGTTCTATAAGTGTCTGACATTTACCCTAAGTGCTCTTCTCTCTCCTGCCACCATCTGAAGAAGGTCCTTGCTTCCCCTTCACCTTCCACCATGATCATAAGTTTCTTGAGGCCTCCCCAGCCATGTGGAACTGTGAGTCAATTAAACCTCTTTTCTTTATAAATTACCCAGTCCCAGGTAGTATTTTACAGCCATGTGAGAAAAGACTAATACAATAAATTAGTACCAGGAGTTTGGGGCACTGCTATAAAGATACTTGAAAATGTGGAAGCAACATTGGAACTGGGTAACAGGCAGAGGTTGGAACAGTTTGGAGAGCTCAGAAGAAGACAGGAAGATGTGGGAACGTTTGGAACTTCCTAGAGACTTGTCGAATGGTTTTAACCAAAATGCTGATAGTCATGTGAACAATGAAGTCCAGGCTGAGGTGGTCTCAGAAGGAGATGAGGAACTTATTGGGAACTGGAACAAAGATCACTCTTGCTATGCTTTAGCAAAGCAACTGGCAGCATTTTGCCTCTGTGCTAGAGATCTGTGAAACTTTGAACCTGAGAGAGACGATTAGGGCATCTGGCTGAAGAAATTTCTAAGCAGCAAAGTGTTCAAGATGGGATAGAGCATAAAAGCTTGAAAAATTTGTAGCCTGATGATGCAATAGAAAAGAAAAACCCACTTTCTGGGAAGAAATTCAAGCCGGCTGCAGAAATTTGCACAAGTAATAAGAAGCCAAATGTTAATTGCCAAGACAATGGGGAAAATTTTTCCAGGGCATTTAGGAGACCTTTGTGGCAGCCCCTCCTATCACAGGCCCAGAGGGCTAAAAGGTAAAAATTGGTTTCATGGGCGGGCCCCAGGACCCCTCTATGCAGCCTCCGGACTCATTTTCCTGTCTCCCAGCTGCCCCTGCTCCAGTCATGGCTAAAAGGGGCCAAGGTACAGCTCGGGCCATTGCTTCAGAGGGTGCAAGCCCCAGGCCTTGGCAGCTTCCATGTGGTGTTGGCCCTGTGGGTGCACTGAAGGCAAGAAATGAGGTTTGGGAACCTCCACCTAGATTTCAGAAGATGCATGGAAATGCCTGGGTGTCCAGGCAGAAGTTTGCTACAGGAGTGGAACCCTCATGTAGAACCATTGCTAGGGCAATGCGGAAGGGAAATGTGGGGTTGGGTCCCCCACACAGAGTCCCTACTGGGCACTGCCTAATGGAGCAGTGAGAAGAGGGCACCATCCACCAGACTCCAAAATGGTCGATCCACCAACAGCTTGCAGCATGTGCCTGGAAAAGCAGCAGGCCAAGGCCATGGGAGCCCAACCTTCCATCAGTGTGCCCCAGATGTGAGACGTGGAGTCAAAGGAGATCATTTTGAAACTTTAAGATTTAATGGCTGCCTCACTGGATTTCACACTTGCATGGAGCCTGTAGCCCCTTTGTTTTGGCCATTTGGAATGGAAGCATTTATCCAATGCCTGTACCCCTGTTGTATCTTGGAAGTAACTAACTTGCTTTTGATTTTACAGGCTCATACGTGGAAGGGACCTGCCTTGTATCAGATGAGACTTTGGACTTGGACTTTCAGGTTAATGCTGGAATTAGTTAAGGCTTTGGGGGACTGTTGGGAAGGCATGATTGCTTTTGAAATGTGAAAAGACATGAGATTTGGGAGGGGCTGGGGTGGAATGATATGGTTTGGCTCTGTGTCCCTACCCAAATCTCATCTTGAATTGTAATTCCTGTGTGTTGAGGGAAGGACCTGTAATCCCCATGTGTGGAGGGCAGGAGGTGATTGGATCATGGGGGTGGTTTCCCCCATGCTGTTCTCTTGATAATGAGTGAGTTCTCATGAGATCTGACGGTTTTATCAGCATCTGGCATTTCCCCTGCTTGCTCTTCTGTTTCCTGCCACCATGTGATGAAGGTCCTTGCTTCCCCTTCACCTTCCACCATGATTGTAAGTTTCCCGAGGCCTCCCCAGCCATGTGGAACTGTGAGTCAATTAAACCTCTTTCCTTTACAAATTATCCAGTCTCGGTTAGTATCTGTATAGCAGTGTGAGAATGGACTAAGAAAACATTGTTGCCTTATTTTGAGAAATTACCACAGCCACCTCAACCCTTGGCAATCATTACTCTTATTAATAGGCAGCCATCAACATTAAGGCATGATCCTCCACCAGCAAAAAAGGTTACAATTCACTGAAGGCTCAGATGATCATTAGCATTTTTTAGCAATAAAGTATTTTTAAAATTAAGGTATGTACACTTTTAAAAAATCATGTAATTGCAAACTTAATAGGCTACAGTATAGTGTGGACATAACTTTTTTATGGACCAGGAAACCAAAAAATTGTGACTCATTTATTGCAACATTCACTTCATTGTGGTGTCTGGATCTGAACCCACAATATTTCTGAGGTGTGCCTATATTCTGTTTTCCTGAATAAACATAGAATACTGCTGTATTTGGTACTTTTTCCCAACTGTATCAGTAAATTTTTATAATTGCCTCCATAAAGATCTTGTACATTTCAGTAAGGTTTCAACTTAAGTATGTTTTAGGTATTGTTGGTGTTGTGAATGGTATTTTTTTTCCATTTCATACCTCTTATTTATTTTGGTATTTTTATGTATGGCTTTTTATTGGCTACACATGCCAATCCAGATTTGTGGTATCATACCTCTGTGTGTTTTTCCAGACTTTATTGGGAATGCTTCTAATTTCAAAGTTACAAAGGTTTGGCAACAATTTACCATATGGAAATTTCATTCATATGTAAGTGTGCTAAAAGTTATTGCCATGTACTTGTCTTGAATTTGTATTAGTCATTGTTTAATGTTTGTGTGGACATAGTGGGTGTATATATTTATGGAGTACATGAGATGTTTTGATGGAGGCATGCAATGTGAAATAAGCATGTCATGGAGAATGGGGTATCAGTCCCCTCAAGCATATATCCTTTGTGTTACAAACAATCCAATTACAGTCTTTTAGTTATTTTAAAATACACAAATAAGTTATTATTGACTATAGTCACCTTGATGTGTGATAAAATAATATGTATTATTCATTTTTTCTAACTATGTTTTTGTGCCCATTAAACATCCCCACATCCCCACATCCCCACATCCCCACATCCCCACATCCCCACATCCCCTTCAACTCCCACTACCCTACCCAGACTCTGGTAATCATCCTTCTACTCCCCATGTCCATGAGTTCAATTGTTTCGATTGTGTTGAATTTTTATCAAAGGCTTCAACTCTGCTCCTGCACGTGATCAAATGATATAGGAAAAAAATGCCAAATATATAGGCCAATATATAGGGGAATGCCAATTAAAACCAGTATGAGATATCACCCCACACCTGTTAGAACTGGTTTTATAAAAAAGACAAGTGATAGCAAGTGTTGACAATGATGTGGAGAAAAGGGAATCCTTTTACACTGCTGGTGGGAATGTAAATTAGTGCAGTCATTTTGGAAAATGGTATAGAAGTTCCTCCGAAACTAAAATTAGAATTACCATATGATCTAGCAATCCTACTTCTGGGTATATATTCAAAGAAATTGAAATCAGTCATTTCAGCATTACTCCCAATAACCAAGATATGGATGTGATGTAAGTGCCCTTCAAAGGATGAATGGATAAAGAAAATGTTTATATATTTATATGTATATATACGTATATATATATACACACACATATATATGTGTATGTGTATATATATATATATGCACAGTGGAATACTATACAGCCTTAAATAAGAAGGGGATCCCGTCATTCATGACAACATGGATAGACTTGGAGGACATTATGCTAACTGAAATAAGCTAGGAACAGAAAGAAAAATACTATATGATCTTACTTATATGTGCAATCTAAAAAAGTAGATCTCATGGAAACAGAGAGTAAAAGGTTACCAGAAACTGGGGTGTAGGGGATAGGGAATAGAGAGATGTTGATCAAAGAATATAAAGTTTCAGTTAGACTGGAGGGGTAAGTTTTTGTAATCAATTGCACTACATGGTGACCACAATTAATCATAATTATCGCACATTTCAAAATTGCTAAAATAATGGATTTTTAAAGTCTTTACCACAAAAAACATAAGTTGATGAGATGATGGCTATGTTAGTTTGATTAAATCTTTCTACAATGTATACACAGACAAAACATTACATTGTATCTCATAAATATGCACAATTACTTTTACCAAGTAAAATAAATTTCAAAATACTATAGTAATTTAAAATTTATGGTATACTTACAGAGATAAGCAAATAGACTAGGAGAACTGAATAGAATGTCCTAAAATAGACTGGATTCTCGATTATTAAAAATGTCATTTCAGGGAAGTGGATAAAGAAGAGTATTTTTACCAAAATAAGACAGTGGAACAACTGGATATACAAATATGAAAAAAAGTGTCTGGAACACTTCTTCACACTATACAAAAATCCATTCTAGGAGGGATTAAGTCCTTACTTTAAATATTTTATGATGAAAATGTTTAAACTTACAAAATAGTAGAGAAGAATAAAAATAATTTTACATATATGTTTTTCTCAACTAGGGAGACAACAGCACTGGGCAAGCAGGACGTATGGAAGTTATGTACTGAAAGACTGGTGACACTAGTCAAGTGAATAACAGTAGGGCTGGCTGGGTAACATGTGAGCTGGAGAGGAAGAGATGAAATGGTAAGTCTTTCTAATAAATGGTAACTCCATTATTCCCCTTTTCCCCCCTCAATACCATTTGTTGTCCCTGATACCATTATGGACCTTTACTTTCAAAGAGTAGTGGTTGAGACTTGTTGCTGGCTTGGGAGAAAGCTTACCTGGGCCAAAAGATCTGTTCATTCCATCTACCTGCACACCAGCACCATTCTCCCCACTGACCTGTGGATCTCTGCTTTCCCAATAAGTATAAATTTGACAGTAGTGTTATAAAAAGTAGTGACTAAGGGATATAGGAATGATTACAAACACACTGAAGAGAACCAAAATGTTACTGACCTAGAGGCAGTGCCAACTTATCCACATGTGACAGGAGCAGTATCCTACCTCATTCCTCAACAGGATGAATATTTCTGATGTAAGGTTAAAAAAAAAATTTGGAGCATGGCCCTCTCCCTCTTTTGTCCAAGTGGAGGCATCCTACACATTCTTGTGTTTAGCTGGGAAACCCTCTTGTAGAAGCTCATAATTGAGGTTTAGAGTACTTAATGGAGCAAGGGAGGAGTCTCTCTCTTTGTTGCTTTCAGGACTACTCTGAATGAAAAGAGGCCAGAAAGCAGGGAGTAACATTGAGTTAATTCCACAGTGGGCAGGCAGCTTAGAATGATCCCATTGTGAGGGCCTCTTCCTCTAGCTAGTGAACTATTAGTTTGGTGCAAAAGTAATCGTGGCTTTTGCCATTAAAAGTAATGGCAAAACAATACAACCACACAGGGCAGGTTGTCCTTGGAAGTGTGCCTAAATGAGGACTCTCTACCATGTAAATGGTATTTGGGGCTCCAGAGGGAAGTAATTTAGGCTGATAGCCTATGCTTAAATGTGGAGAAGTCACCCAGAAATTGATCCAAAGGATCATAATCTGAGGGGAACTGGAGGAGGATGGGTGCTGTCTTGCTTGCCTCCTCAATCATGGGTACTTCCTAGCCCAGAGCAAGGTTGGTTTCCACCTCTATTCTACATACTTCCTTCCGGCTATCCTCAACTTTGACAATAAGAACAACTCCTCCTTACTCAAATATTTCATGAACTTATTTGTACCTGTTACAGGTAACACTTTTGGCTTAGAAACTTGGAACATAAAGAATGAAGAAAAACCAGAAGGAAGAGTTACTATCTGGGTAAATATAATAGACTATTTTTCTTATATTCATTTTCTATTGCTGCATAACAAAGTATCGCCAATTTAGCAAGGTAAGAAAAACAAATTTATTATCTCACAGTTTCTGTGTATAAAGCGTCCAGGCAAAACTCAACTGAGGTTTCTGCTTTAGAGTTTTACCTGTCTGCATTCAAGGTATCAGCTGAGCTGTGTTCTCATCTGAATGCTAAATGGAGAAAAATCTAAACTCACTCACTGTGTCACTGTGTTGGCAATAGAGCTAAGAAACCTGCTGTGCAAATGTAAAGTTACTGTGTTTTATACACTGGATGAAGTGTCTGTGGAGCTCCTTGGAAAAAGAAAAGACACCTGATTTTAAGATGTGCCTTCTGAAAGACAAAGGGTATGGCAGAATACGGCAGTATCACTCCATGCTGGAAAAGCACTCTAAGCTGAAATAAATCTATGCATCACTTTGGGCTATGGAGAATAATGAAATTTGTTTAACTAAACATATAGAACCAGTGAAAAATAGCTTACCAAAAGAATAAGCCATGGCCATATGTAAAACCAGATCTTTTGTTAAGAGCTCATTTAGAAGTAATAAAACTAATTTTAAAAGAATGACACAGAAGGGGGAGAATCAAAAAGAAAAAAGTCACTCTCCACATAATACCACCATATTTCCAGTAAAGAAGGAAAGTAAAATGTTATAAAGAGTATTGACTGCAATATATATTTGTATAAGATCTTAGAGAAATAAATGTATCATTCTATTAACCCACAATCATGCAACTATTCTGACTTGTTACTTTGGTACAATTATTTGCAATGTTTATTTTTCTCTATAGTTGATCTATGATCTGATTTTATTCTCCCTCTTTTTCTGTTCTTCTAGCACACGAGTCTATAGTCTTGTGTTTGCTTATACAGAAGTCCAGTATTTATGGCAAAGGATTCCTCAAGAACTTTAGGACTCTCCTACAATTTTCTCTAGCCATTTACAGGAAAACTTAGAGTAATTTGTCCCATTAGGGGACTCTCTAATTGTTTAATACTTCGATGATTTGCTGGTAGCCTCAGAAACTAAAGAGCAATACAAAACTGATACTTTGACTTTGTTTTAATTCCTCTCTCCTGGTGTAGAAAAAGGAGTGAGGATTTTCCCTACCCTTTTTTCTTAGAGCATTTACTTCAGAGAAACTATAAATATAAAATATTTTCTTTTATAAGCTAAATAAGCCACTTGCCAGTTTTATAGCTCAGGATTGTTTTCCCTTTTGATGAAAACAATTAGCCAACACAGAAGGCCACCTTAATTTTTAAGTGAATTTAGAAAGGACTCTGTGTGACAAATGGTGCCATCAAGTTCTCTTCCTTGAGGACTAATTATCTTTATATGAAGAATATGTATTTAACAGATTGTATCGGCTTGGCTATATAAAAGGTGGATATTGCTTTCTGTCTTTGGTATCTCTTTAGTGGATTGCCTATGATGTGCATCACATTCCAGTTTAATGATTACTCAAGAAAACTTGTTTTTCTTTCTTATATGATAATGTTGATGTTTACCTAAGCCCTGTGATCTTGGGAAACAGTGAAGGTTAAGAAGCTTTCTTTTCCCCCTTGAGCCCCCAACTTTGTATTCTAGCAGAAAAAGGTTTATTGGAAAGAACCACTCTTCACCACGTGACTTAGACAAGACTCATGGAAGCCTCTCTGGTTTACCGATGACAAGGCCAAAGATCCTCAATATTCCCTTTCTTTTCCTTGTACATGATAAATAAACTCCTTGTTTCTACTAATCAATCGAAACAAAATACTTGTTGGCCAAACTTTGGTTAGGATTTTCTTTTTCCTCAACGCTCCTGAACTTTGGCCCACTCTCGGCTAAGCCAGTATGCAACCCCTCTTGAGCATGGATTGGCCTCGGTAAAAATTCTCTAATCAACTATCAAGTCACAACAGCCTTTCATCCCACTTCCTCACACACCTGGTTCTTTCTAGCTTTGTTTATTTCTCTCTATAAAAGAAAAACTGCCTAACTCTTGAGATACTTGCAGATCTTATAGTCACAGTGTTCTTCCTATTGCAGTAGTCTCCACCTACTTCAAAAGTCTCTCTTGCAATAATTATTTTTGAGAAAAATCCGTTCTTACTAAGTCTGAATTGTTTTTTATTTGCCATATATTTTGTGGAGAGGTATTTTTGCGTTAGCAGGATATTTTGTTTCTGTTTCCTCAACACATATAATCATGAGGATGTCATTTCATCATCTTTACAATAACTGATTACATAGAAGCAAGTCACAGGCCTACTAATGCTCAAGGATAGTCACACACAAAGGCATGACTGTCAGGAGGTGGAGCTCATGGGATACCCATGAGATTCTGTCAGCCACAGTCCATTCTCTAGGTCCCAATGTTTAATGTCCCTACCTTATTCGAAATACATTTACCTTCCTCCAAGGTCCCCAAAAATCTGACACAATTACAACATCAGCTCAAAGTTCAAGTCTCATCATCTAAATCAGGTCTAACTGCACATGATGAGGCTGTGTGGAGAGTAGTTCATTAAGCATACCAGCTGGGGACAATATATCTCTATTTGTGGACCTGTGAAATGAAAGAGACTAGTCATCAGTCCTAACACATCCAGTGCACAGTGGTGGGATAGGCATAGGATAACATCCATACACATTTCACTTGATCTCCGTTTTTTGAGCCTCAAAACTTTACAACTGAGTTATTTCATATTTCCAAAGAAACACCCACTTGATGCTCTGTTATCCTGTTCCAAATAATAAAATGAGATGGAAAATTCCCACATTTGTTTTATAAAATAGAAAGCTTCTACTCTTAAACCTGATACACAGCAACAAATGTATTGAATAATTGAAGTGGTGATTCATATATTTGTATTGTAAGGCTATTCACATTTTCTATTAAAATAAGCAACATTTAGAAAGGAACTAGAAAGAAAGAAACTATAAAAGAATGAATGAAAGTAAGAAAAAGAAGTAAAGGAAAAGAAAGGAAAGGAAGAAGAAGAAGAAAGAAAGAAAAGTAACTCTGTGTTGACACATAAAACAGGAAGACAAAATGTTACACATTGTGTTTCCTCCAGTCCGATACCAGTCCCTCACTACTTAGACTGTTGACTGCTTTCTTCAACCACAAAGTGGAGAAACTAACTCAGATTTATTCATTACAGATGGGAGAAGCAGTGGGACAGTAGCCCCAGAACATGCACCGTTCATAGATAGGAGTGCTAGTCTCACTCCTGCTCTTTCTCATCTCTCGAAAACTCTTCATACAGATTCAGGAAGATACTACAGATGGTATCATTGATCTTAGCCAAAACTTCCAGGATTTTAATCTTTTTGGTTTCAGCATGGGCTCTTTGACCCTGCTGGAACTCATAGAGTGAAGGATAATTATTGGACACGTGCCAGTATTCCAGGTACTTTTCCTGTACCAAATTTCTGGTAATGAGCTTTCTGGCTGTCCATAGATGAAGTGTTAGCTTCTATCCTGCACCTTCATTGTATTCAGGAATTTCCAGATTTTCTCTTCAGTGTGACAGTTGCCCTTCAAGAAGATCACACCCAGGAGAGTCATTAGGAAACCAACGGTCTTAGATAATCACTTATCACCACTCAGACTTCTCTCATTGGGGGGAATCCAGCTTCCTAATAAAGGCATAAGAAGAATGACTATAAGGTTGACTTCTTTCAATTCAAGGCCAAAGACCTGTTCCATGGGCTTCGAATAACAATGAGACAATATTTTTCACCACAAAGATTGAATAAAATGTAAAAGAATGATGATAAAAGTAAATGTCTCTGAGAATATAAGGCACTCATATACATTAAGAGACTAGGAACTGTAGTATAGCATTTTGGAAACAGAACTTCAGCAGTACAGCATTTGTAAAACATTTCAATCTTCACACCTTTCCCACTTTAATCCAATTTGCACTTCTCTATGTCTTTCTTATGAGAAGGTGTGCACATTTTCCTCAAGATTTCATGTTCAAAAATGTTCATTTTAGTTTCATTAATCATAGCAACAAATGGTAAACAATTTATGTGTCCATCAGGAGACAAATCAATTAATTATTGTACAAGCATAATAATTCTAGAGAGTAGTTAAAAAGTGAGGTGGGTCTACATGTGCTGTCATGGAAATATCCTGCACTCATTTTATTAAATCATCAGGTCAAGAGGCAGAACAATATGGACATTGTTACCTATGCATATTAAGAATTCAATATATTTTTATAGCACACCTATATATGAAAAAAAAGCCTAGTATCAACTTTAAAATGATACATACAAGATTAATTGTGTTTACCTCCAGAGAGGGGGCTGAATTTTGAGGAAAGGGGGAGATTGTGATTTATTCCATACTGTTAGAATTTTTGGTAACAAGAATATATGTACTATTACCTTTGTAATTAAAATATTTTAATACAACCACAAAAGTAGTAGCTGTGCATTAATCATATAAAGTAACTGCTAGCTGATACAACATACAAAATCAGCAACTGAACGGCTTAAAACAACAAAAGTTCATATCTCATACACATAAAATCTGATGTAAGTGGGCAGGGGTCTCCACTAACAGGTGATCCAGAGATACAGGCTGCCTCCAACATGTTGCTTTACATCTCAGCATGAGCTCTTGATAGCTTATGTTTCAGGGGCAAGGGAAGTCACATAATTCTTCCTAACTACAGGTGAACTGGGTAATACAGTCTTCCCATGAGTCCAGAAAGGAGAGTAAGACACCATGTGGATGAGCACTTGCAGTCTCTCTCATTAACTGTTACATAATAAGTGCATGGTAAAGGAATAATTATTAGAATTTGTTATGAAAACAACCCTCTTCATTTCTTGGTGGAGTTTCTAAGGAGGCAAATTTGCCTTGCAATTCTTCAACAATTTCTGTCAGCCTCCTACATGACAGTTGCTTTCAAATACAGGATCACATTTCATTTTCAAAAGGACCCTGTAAAATCTCAGCATGGGGAATTCTCCTTTTTCATTCAGTAGCACCTTTCTGCACTGATCTCACTGCACTGAGTGTCAATAGGATAAGAATGTGCACCTTTCTATTTCTGCATGGTAAGAATCTTGACTTATGAATTCTGCAAACCTCAACATGACTGAACGTGCAGGACACTTACAAGTGCCATTTGGCACAAGGAAAAAATCAGGATTTTCCTCTGGGACCAGTAGTGAGATAAGAGGCAGCACAACAATGGTGAATTATTTTTATCTTTGCTGTTCAAACACAGCATGTCTGCCAAAAAGCCATTTTTTTCTTCTTAGACAGACTCTGATGGGAGGAGGGCTGAGGAATTTGGCCTCAGTAGATGTTTGCTTCACAGTGATTTCCATGGCCTTTCCTCACCTCCAACTTACGAAGGTGGCTTTGTTTTGGACCATCTAGGTAGTCTCACCCATCAGTGCATTTGTTCAGGGACTGGTCTCAAATAGCACACCCTTTAAAAATCCTACTGAAAATCTGGGTTATTAAAAAAAACCTTCTTTCACACTTCAGTTACATCCCAAGAACCAGTACATCATCTGTGAAAAATCATAACCAGACTCTAATAATTGGTTCATTTGAAATACACTTTAAGACTACTTAAAGATGTGGGGTGGAAGGGGCGGTTGTGGTAATCAGATGTCTAAACATCACTGTCAGAGGTTCCACTGAAAGGGATGGGACCTCCAAGGGGCATCTGCAGAGAGCAGGATGCTCTAAGTCTAGAGTCAGACAAGTGATTCTGGTCTGTCCGTATCACGGAAAACAGGGGTGCAATCTTCAGAGAAGGCAGTGAAGAGCTCGGTAGAAGACAAGGTGCCAGTTTATATATGAAGGCACACTGGGGAATACTTAGGGGAAAGGTGCTGTAATGTAAGAAAGTGCTGAATCAGGACTCATGTCCCAGCACTTGGGCAGAATTCTACTCTCAAGGAAACCTTGGGCTAGGGACAGGAGGATCCTCAGAAAATGAATCCCACAAATAATCCCAAATGTATGCTTTATTCTCATCTTTACCTTCCTTATTTAGGCCTTGTTATGGTTTGGATCTATGTCCTCCCACAAATCTCATGTTGAAATACAATCCCAAGGGCTGGAGGTGGGGCACTGTGGAAGGTGATTGAATTATGGGGGCAGATTTCCCCCTTGGTACTGTCCTGAGTTTTCATGAGATCTTGTTTTTTAAAAGTGTGTAGTACTTCTCCATTCTCTCTCTTCCTCCTGCTTCAGCCATGTAAGATGTGCCTGCTTCCCCCTCACCTTCTGCCATGATCGCAAGTTTTCTGAGGCCTCCCCAGAAGCAGAAACATCCTGTACAGCCTACAGAACTGTGAGCCAATTAAACCTCTTTTCTTTATAAATTACCCAGTCTCAGGTATTTCTTTAGAACAATGTGAGAATGGCTTTGCTATAAAGAAATATCTGAGACTGGATAATTTATAAAGAAAAGAAGGGCTGCCCAAGGTATCCAGGAGTGGGGCACTGCTACAAAGATACCTGAAAATGCGGAAGCAGCTTTGGAACTGGGTAATGGGAAGAGATTGGAAGGTTTTGGAGGGCTCAGAAGACAGGAAGGTGAGGGAAAATTTGGGACTTCCTAGTGACTTGTGGAATGGTTGTGACCAAAATGCTGATAGTGATTTGGACAATGAAGTTCAGGTTGAGGAGGTGAGGAGGTCTCAGATGGAAATAAGAAACGTACTGGGAACTGGAGCAAAGGTCACTTTTGTTATGTGTTAGCCAAGAACCTGGTGGCATTGTGCCCCTGCCCTAGGGATCTGTGGAACTTTGAACTTGAGAGTGATGATTTAGGTTACCTGGTAGAAGAAATTTCTAAGCAGCAAAGCATTCAAGATGTGAGCTGGCTGCCTCTAACAATATATGCTCATATATGTGATCAAACAAATGATGTAAAACTGGAGCTTTATATTCAAAAGGGAAGCAGAGCATAAAAGTTTGGAAAATTTGCAGCCTGGCCATGTGGTAGAAAACAAATGCCTATTTTCAGGGGAGGAATTCAAGCAGGCTGCAGAAATTTGCATAAGTGAAAAGGAGCCAAGTGCTAATAGCCAAGACCCTGGGAAAAAGGCCTTGAAGGCATTGCAGAGACTTCACAGCAGTCTCTACCGTCACAGGCCCAGTGGTCTAGGAGAAATGAATGGTTGGTTTTGTGGGCCATGCCCAGCCCTCCCCACCCGCTCTTGCTTTCTGTGTAGCCTCAGGATACTGCTCCCTGCATCCTGACCACTCCAGCACCAGCTGTGGCTCAAAGGGGCCCAGGTACAGCTCAGGCTGCTGCTTCAGAGGGTGCAAGTTGTAAGCCTTGGCAGCTTCCACATTATGTTAAGTCTATCGTTACACAGTGTGCAAGACTTGAGGCTTGGGAGCCTCCACCTAGATTTCAGAGGATGTATGGAAACACCTGGATGTCCAGACAGAAGCCTGCTGCAGGGCCCAAGCCCTCATGGAGAGCCTCTACTAAGGCAGTGTTGAGGGGAAATGTGGGGTTGGAGCCCCCAGACGTAATCCCCACTGGGACACTGTCTAGTGTAGTTATGATAAAAGGGCCATCGTCCTCCAGACTCTGTGATGTTAGATCTACTGGAAGCTTGCACTATGCACCTGGAAAAGCTGCAGGCACTCAGTGCCAGCCCATGAGAGCAACCACAGGGGTTAAAGCCTGCAAAGCCACAAGGGTGGAGCTTGGGAGTATCAGAGTGCTTTGGATATGGAATACGGAGTCAAAAAAGATTACTTTGGGCCAGGCGCGGGGGCTCACACCTGTAATCCCAGCACTTTGGGAGGCCGAGGCAGGTGGATCACTTGAGGTCAGGAGTTCGAGACCAGCCTGACCAACATGGTGAAACCCCCTCTCTACTAAAAAAAAAATACAAAATTAGCCAGGCGTGGTGGCACACACCTGTAATCCCAGCTATTTTGGAGGCTGAGGCAGGAGAATCACTTGAAGGCAGAAGGCATGCACTCCAGCCTGGGCAGCAAGAGTGAAACTCCGTCTCAAAAAAAAAAAAAGATTATTTTGGAGCTTTAATATTTACTGACTGCCCTGCTAGGTTTCTGACTTGCATGGGGCCTGTATTCCCCTTCTTTGGGCTGATTTCTCCCTTTTGGAATGGGAGTATTTAACCAATGCTTTTACTGCCATTGTATCTTTGTATCTTGGAAGTAACTTTTTTTCTTTCCCATAAGTGAAAGGGACTAGCCTTGTCTCAGATGAGACTTTGGACTTTTGAGTTAATGCTGGAATGAGTTAAGACTTTGGGGCACTGTTGGGAAGGGATGATTGGATTTTGCAATGTGAGAAGGACATGAGATTCGAGAGGGGCCAGGGATGAAATGATACAGTTTGGCTATGTGTCCCCACCCAAATCTCATGGTGAAATGTAATCCCCAAGGCTAGAGATGATGTCTGGTGGGAGGTGATTGTATTACGGGGGTAGATTTCCCCCTTCATACTGTCCTGAGTTCTCATGAGATCTGGTTGTTTAAAAGTGTGTGGCACCTACCCCTTCTTTCTCTTCCTCCTGTTCCAGCCATGTGAGTCATGCCCGCTTTCCCTTCACCTTCCACCATGATTGTAAGTTTTCCGAGGCCTCCCCAGAAGCACATACCGCTATGCTTCCTGTATAGCCTACAGAACCATGAGCCAATTAAATCTATTTTCTTTATAAATTACCCAGTCTCAGATATTTCTTTATAGCAATGTGAGAACAACCTAATACAGGCCTGCTTTTAGTACTTTGGCCAGAGTCCTTTATTTTTAATTGTAATAGATTTTGCAGTAGTGAAAAGACTAGTGAATTAGACAAAAGATCTGCCTCAGATTGGGAGGAGTAGAAAAATGTGAGCATAGAATAATTCTGGCCACATTAGACCAGGGGTCTAGTCTCAGCTCTGTCACCTATTAGCCATGTAAACTTCAAATTACAAGTTTGGCAAATAATGTCTGATAAGCCCTAACTTGTAGCACTGTTGGAATCTATGTAATGGATATGAAGCACTTAGCAGAATTATGGAAAATATTGGGTCTTTAAAGAATGGTAGTTATATAATTATAATTATTTTTACCACAGATGATATCACCCTCCCCTCTTGGGAGATTTATTTTTATTAATTGAGGAAAATATGCAGCTTTCTAGGACAATTAATATCAAATTAGCCCATTATGTATTTAGCATATAAAAGCAAATAAAATTTCCCCATTTGAAGATAAGTTGTTTAATTTGCATGTAGGGAGTCTTCCCCAGTTGAATGAAACACAAAGTCCTAGAATTTGTGTCAAGGACCAACAACTTCCCTCCCAGGTGCCATTCCATCCAAACCACCCCTATTTTCATTCATTTCATCATCATCAAATATGTTCTCCCTTAGAGTTTGCCAAATTATACTGAAGATAACTTAATTAAAATATCCTTTTAAGATGAGTGTGGTGGTTCACACCTGTATTCCCAGTACTTTGGGAGGCTGAAGTGGGTGGATCACTTGATGTCAGGAGTTCAAGACCAGCCTTGGTGACACAGTGAAACCCTGTCTGTACAAAAATACAAAAAATTTGCTGGGTAGGGTGATGTGTGATTCTAGTCCCAGCTACTTGAGAGGCTAATGTGGGAGGATTGCTTGAGCCTGGGAAGTCAAGGCTATAGTGAGCCATGATTGCACCACTGTGTTCCAGCCTGGGGAAAAGAACCAGACCCTGTCTCAAAAATATGTCCTTTTAAATACTAGGATTTGGCTCTCTCAGTTCAGAGCAAAGGAGCCAACACAGTAGCTTTTCAGCATCCCACATCAAGGCAGTTTCACCATTATTTCTCAAAAATTTCCTGGAGAGGCTGTGCATAAAATAAGTAGATTGTGCTATGTGTTCAACTGAATGTGAACAAGAGCACAGGACACTATCCACTTCTCACTTCTGCCCCAAGAGATTTTTTTTTTTTTTTTTTTTTTTTTTTTAAGACAGAGTCTCGCTCTGTCACCCAGGCTGGAGCACAGTGGCAAGATCTCGGCTCACTGCAAGCTTCGCCTCCTAGGTTCAAGCAATTCTCTGCCTCAGCCTCCAAAGTAGCTGGGACTACAGGCGCCCTCCACCATGCCCAGCTAATTTTTTTGTATTTTTAGTAGAGATGGGGTTTCACCATGTTAGCCAGGATGGTCTCAATCTCCTGACCTCGTGATCTGCCCGCCTCGGCCTCCCAAAGTGCTGGGATTACAGGCGTGAGCCACTGCGCCCGGCCGAGGTTTTCTTCTGGTTTATTGATGTCACCAAGGTAACTCTTAAGTGGAGCTTTCCACTCCAGGGTTTTGTCCTTCAACAATGAGACACACCATCTGAGTGCCTGGCCTCTGCTCTCCAGTCCCAAAGCTTCATCTAGCCCACCACCCAGCTTAAATTAAAAGTATATCCCACTGAGAGACTCAAAGTTTCCAAAAGTCTAAAAGGGCCTTTCTTCAGAGAATTTGCACCTTACCATTTTCAGCCAGATACACTTCAGCACTTTTCCCAAACCCCTCTCTAACTCCTTACCTCCTTACTCCCTCTTGTTACTTGTCCTTTAGGTCTTAGAAGTATTTCACCATCTTCCATACATTATTACTGTTCATTAATTGTAAAAGTCTAAGCAGAGGTGGGTGTTTTGTATCCTGGTTTTCCCATTTCTAACAAAATTACTTTCAAAAATCAGATGTTGGATTAATATTGGAGGAATGAATGAGCCGGTAAGCATAGATGCTGGTTCATAAACATTTTATTTCTTCCTACCTTCTTCAGTAAGCTAAGCCAATCCAGGTATGACTTTTATTTTTATATAACAGACTAAAATGGAAAAAGAAAACCAAGAACTGAAAAGTTTACTTTTTCTCACCTATGTTTTGATCTCCAAAATTTTACTGCTAAATCATCTCACATTTTTTAAGGAAATACCTATTCCAATACTGTGTTTCCTTGTTCTGGCTCATTAAATATGAAAGAAGGTTTCCCAATTTGTTTTACAGAACAATAAAACTCCTACTCTTAAATAGCAATACGTGTGTAACCAAAGTCATTAATAAATATAGATTCTGAAGTTATCTAAAACTTCTATTATAAGCAACAACATTTGAAATATAACACCAAAAAAAAAAGAAAGAAAAAGATACAACTCCGAGTTACTATAGACTATTAACACAAAATGATATATGCTGTGTTCCCTCCAGACGCACTCTGGCCATTCACTACTTAGAATGTTGACTGCTCTTCTCTTCCACAAAGAAAACAATCTTCAGACTTGAACATTTGAAATGTAACCTAGGGGAAACAAAAAGATGGAAAAGTAAAACTCGAGTTATCAATATACAATAGGAATGCAAAGATGATATACACTTATTTCTTCCAGCCCCACCATGGCCCTCCACTATTAGAATGTTGACAGACCTTTTCGACCAAAAAGTGAAGAACAAGCCTCAGATTTCACTTAGCATGGGAGAAGCTGCTAGACGTGGTTCTGGAACGTGCATTTGCCATGGCAGCAGTATGAGCCCTGGCTGCAGCTCTGGCTTGGGTTCTCTGTTCCTCATCCCTCAAAGCCTCTTCATAGCAGGATGGGAAGGCACTAGGGACGGTATCATGTATCTTGGCTACAAACTCCAGGACTTTCATCTTGCTAGTTTCAGCGTGAGCTCTTGGACCCCACAGGAATTCATAGCGTGGAGGATCACTGTTGGGCACTTGCTGGTACTCCAGGTACTTTAGCTGCACCAAATCTTTGGTCATGACCTTCCTGGGATCCCCATAGAGGAAGTGCTTCCTATCGGCATATACACCCATCATATTCATAATTTCCCAGACTGCCTCTTCTGGGGCACGGTTGCCATTCAGAAAGATCACACCCAGTGCAATCATCAGGAGGCCAGTCTTGGGAATTTTTTCTTCATCACTGGTTGTTTCATCATAGGTGAGGTCTAATTTGCTGAAAAAGGCATAGTAGTGCCTGATGGGATCCACTTCCTTCAAATCAACACCAAGTGCCAGCTCCATGTGCTCAGAGGCTCTCTTGAGGATCTCATTGAAGTGACACTTATCCTTCCTGATAACAAACTTTATCATATCTCCCTTTGTAATTGGCTCTTTCGTTTCATACTTCTGAAGCAAGAAATGCACCAGCGACACTACTTTCTTGTTTAAAGGATCTTCTTTCCAGCCCTCAGCTTCCCTTGAGGAACCTAGACTTTTCTCATCTTGGCTGCTGGCACCTTCATTTGAACTGCATGAAACAGGTGCAATAGCATTGGTGGTGGATGGGGCTCCCTGAAGCGCTTCAGGGATGCTAGGTGTCTCAGCAGCAGGCAAATTCTGGGGTCTGTCACCAAAGAGAAGATAGGCAGGGGAGGGTGACTCTCCTTCTGCCACAGTGGCCTGCGTAGCTCCCAGATCCTGATTCTCACAACGAGCCTGGTGGCGTTTCTCACGGGCACGGAGCTTACTCTTCTGACCTCGAGGCATAATTACTCTTGTCAGGGACTACAGACAATAGTGCAGGCAGTTGAATTGATGAAGAGGGCACCCTAGAAGACGGAGGATGAGATAGTGTTCACAGCCTTGGTAGGGAGATTCTACCTTGGTCTAAGAATGGCCACCTCTCCTGGTTCTCTTGAGGGTATTGCTTTAGGAACCCATAAGGCAGGAGCGGGGTGGGACTGTTCTGTGGGGGGTTGTCACATCAGTTCTAACTCAGGATATTAATTTTACTCCTGACTACATCAGTTCTAACTTAGGATATTAATTTTACTTTAGTCTTTTGAGTCCTCCGTCTGTTGACTTGAGGCTGCCTCGCTTTAGACCATGGCTTCCCATCCCACAGATTCCCAACAGGAAGTAAGGGTGTTAGGCCTAACAGCTGCGCTTTGGGACACAGAGAGTTGAAAGTGGGAGCAGGACAGAGCAGAGAAGGATGGGTCTCTGTGAGGCAGCCTCTGTTCTGGGAAGAGTGTGTCTTGAAGGTCATAACAAATGATACTCACTTTGACACCTGCCGGATCCTGAGATTTATTTCTCTGGCCGCATGTTTCAGACCAAGGTTTCGCCCGTAACAGCTTGATGATGTGGAAGATAGGTCAAGAGAAACATGTCCGGCCACGCCCACTTTGCTCTCCCAGCTTAACGGCAAATGGTTCTGCGTTCGGGGGAGGGGCAGTTCTTAAAGAAATACATATATTTCTTTCATTGACTTTGCAGGCACTGGGACTTCTCTCTTTGCTAAGCTGAATCAGTCAGCCTCAGAAAAAGGATCATTTCCCTGAGTCCAGAGTAGGAAGTAAGGTGGAACCTGAGCCCAGCAGCCACGCCTGGGGACTCCCAAGATTGACAGTAGGGGCGGGGCTCTGTGGGGGTCCCTCTTCTTGGGTAGGTAATGCCCTCAGTCCTCACTCAGTGTCTTATCTTGACTTTTTGTAGGTGCTGGGCCACTTCTCTGCTGACTTGAGGCCATCAAATAAGGCACTAAATCTGTAAATAAAGATAATTGACATCTGTACAATATTATGTTCACCATATATAAACATATTGTATTGCTGTACTTAGGCATCCACCTAAGTCTATCAACACATTTTTATATTTGCTTTGATAGAGTGTGTATGTTTTTGTGAATGTTCTTTTTAGGTATATTTTGAATGTTGCTGCTCTTTTGAATGGTATATTTTTCATTCCATTTTTTTTTATTTTTAAAGCCCTCTCAAATTTATTGAAATAGATTTTCAGGATGGTACATTAGGAGAAAAATGAGGATGACAGAAACATCAAAGGATCTTTCATTCAGGCACTAAAAGTAATCCAGAAAAGAACTTCTCAGAGAAAATCTTAAGTAGCTAGGATCTTTCCTTATTTGGAACCATTACTTTCAATTTAATGCTTTGTATATTATGTTTGTTTTGTTTCTACTACACTGGCTGAGTCAGCTTTGAATTTCTGAAAAGCTTTACTTATGCCCCTCGCGTAAGATCCTAATCCAGTTCACAGTGAATTTCATGACTTAAAGTCTTGAGGTAGCACAAATGTTTTTACAAGATTCCTTGAGGCTTCTTTTTCTTTAACCTTTATTTTAAGTACAGGAGTATATGTGTAGGTTTGTTATATAGGTAAACTCGTGTCATGGGGGTTTGTTGTACAGATTATTTTATCAGCCTTGTATTAAGTCTAGCACCTATTAGTTATTTTTCCTGACCCTCTCCTTCCTCCCACCCTCCACCTTCTAAAAGGCCCCAGTATCCATTGTTCCGCTATATGTGTCCATGTGTTCCCATCATTTAGCTCCCACTTATAAGTGAGAACATGTGGTATTTGGTTTTCTGTTTTTATTTTAGTTTGCTAAGAATAATGGCCTCCAGTTCCATCCATGTTCTTGAAAAGGGCATGATCTTCTTTTATGGCTGCATAGTATTCCATGATGTATATGTGTCACGTTTTTGTTAGCCAGTCTACCATTGATGGACATTTTGGTTGAGTCTATGCCTTTGCTCTCTTGAATAGTAATACAATGAACACATGTGTGAATGTACCTTTATGATAGAATAATTTATATTCCTTTGGGTATCTACCCAGTCATAGGATTGCTGGGTGGAATGGTAGTTTTGTTTTCAGCTCTTTGAGGAATCACCACACTGCTTTCCACACTGGTTAAACTAATTCATACTCCCACCAACAGTGTGTAAGCATTCCTTTTTCTCCACAACCTCTCCAGCATCTGTTATTTTCTTGACTTTTTGGTAATAGTCATTCTATTTTTTACATTGTTACATTTTCTAATTAGTTATTTGTTGTGAGATGGTATTTCACTGTGGTTTTGATTTGCGTTTCTCATCAATGATCAATGATGTTGAGCTTTTTTTCATATGCTTGTGGCCATATGTATATCTTCTTTTGAAAAGTGTTTGTTCATGTCCTTTGCCCACATAATGGGATTGTTATTACATTTTCTCTTTTTTTCTTCAACTTTTAAGTTCTGGGGTACGTGTGCAGGTTTGTCACATATGTAAACATGTGCCATGGTGGTTTGTGTCACATAGGTAAACACGTGTCACATAGGTAAACATATGCCATGGTGGTTTGCTTCCCAGATCATCCCATCACATAGGTATTAAGCCCAGCATCCATTAGCCAGCATTCATCTTCTTGATGCCCTGCCTCCCCCAACCCCCACCCCATTGTTACATTTTCTAATTAGTTGTTTGTTTCATGTGGCTAGATTCCTGATTTCACTATAGTGATTTTCTACACAAGTTTACTGAATTTCCTTATACATTTGAATATTTTGTGAGCTGATTTCTTTAGAATTTTTAATTAGAGAATCATATTCTCTTTCTTTTCATTTTTCATAAATTTTATCTTAGTATTCTTCTGTGTGCCTGTATACTGGCTCCGCAATCCAGTCCGAGTTTGACCAGCAGAATTGGCACCACACCTCTGTATCTGGTTCTGAACTATTGAGAATGCTGCCAACATTTCAAATAGTATGATTGCTGTTTATTTTATGATATGGAAATTCCATTCTAATGTAAATATACTAAAGGTTATTACCATGAATTGGTGTTCAGTTATTACCAGTGGCTTTTCCTTTACTGCTGCATGTGATCAAATGCGTTCTCCTTCTCTGTTAACATAGTGAATTCCAATTCACATTTTTCCTAATATGATATCATCTTTGCATTTCTTAGACACAGCCTATTTCCCTATTTCTTCACTGCTGTATTATTCACTGCTGTATTAGATATTCTATACATTTATTTAGAATGTGTCTCTATGTGAGTAAATTTGGCTGAAGTGTTCTTTCCTTGGGATATGATCATCTAGTTTTTGTATCAAGTATAGCTAGCCTGCTAAAGTGGTTGAATAGCTTCCCATCTTCTTGTATGGTTTGTAAGAGTTTATTTAATGTGGTGATAAACTTTTCCTTCATGATTTGATGTAATGGGCTTCCAAACATGGCTGATCCTGGAAGATTTTGCGGGTGCCCAGGGCTAGACTACGTTTTGCTTGTACTATCTGATTAAAGTTTTCTATTTCTTTATGAACCTAGTTATCAACTTATATTTCATTAAAAATTGTTTCATTTTACTTGAGTTTTCCAATTTAAAGTCATGATATTTATAATAAATCATGAATTATATAAATTCTCAATTGTATACAGCATTACAGAAAATAGAATAATAACCCAATATACCTGACATTCAGCATCATAATCTTCAATAGTTATAGGGAGAAGCTTGTTCAGATTAAGGTTTATTTATTTATTAATCTGTGGGTAAGACCACTCCAGAGATGATGCTGTACACTTCCATTAGGAGATACATAGCGGCTGGGCATGGTGGCTCACGCCTGTAATCCCAGCACTTTGAGAGGCCAAGCCAGGCGGATCACTTGTGATCAGGAGTTCGAGACCAGCCTGGCCAACATGGTGAAACCCCATCTCTACCAAAAATATAAAAAATTAGCCCCATGTGGTGGCACGCACCTGTAATCCCAGCTACTTGGGAGGCTGAGGCAGGAGAATCCCTTGAACCCAGGAGGTGGAGGTTGCAGTGAGCTGAGATCGTGCCACTGCACTCCAGCCTGGGTAACAGAGCAAGACTCTGTCTCAAAAAAAAAAAAAAAAAAAGGAGATATATAGCATGTGTTCATTTTTTGTGGTGATGGTACAGTCACTAAGGATCATCGCTCTCATTCATCAATTTGTTACTGGTTGCAGAATTATAATACTCTAATTCTATTATTCCTTTTGAGATTATTAGCTGAAATAGATCTAGAGGTAGAATATTTTATTAACCTTCATTTGCTATTCTTAAGGTGTGCCTTTTTATTGCCCAGAGGAATAAATAAAACAAAATCTTTGTCTAATTGATATGAGAAAACTCTTTAGTCCAAAAATTTTTAATACATATTTATAATTTTGAGTTACAAAAATATTTTTCTGGAGAATGAATCTGGTTCATAACCCATTGAATAATTAATCTCTTATTAAGGATTATTAGTTAGAAGTGTTGGAATAAATAATGTTCAGGCCCTAGTGTTTGTCACATGACATTACTTGTGCCTACAAATAGTTATAATTTTGGAAAACAGAAAATGTTGCTATGATTTCTTCAAAGCTACCTTTCTTTGAAGGTTTCTGTGTTGTTCCTATATAGCTAGCCAGTCAGTAGGCCAACTGGGTTTTATTTTTATCTTTACAAATCGTAATGTGGATATGGTAAGTGATACAAGTTTTGTTATTATCTTAGCTTGCATGTGTGTAGACCTAAAAAACAATTGTGGCACTCTTCCCTCTGGGTTCACAAACTGATTCAATATATGGCTATTCAAATGAACTTTATATCAAGACTCTTTTCATTAATGTGGTAAATGCAGAAATATTCATGTATTTGAATAAATATACTAATATGTTGTCACAATTTATTAAAAGAAATTTTCCAACTTCTCAATTCACCTGTTACTAAATGAAATATTTAGATTGTTCAATGAATATTTACTTCTTGAGCTTGTAACTTTTATGACATGTTTCTGGGTTAATAAGCCTAGAAATGTAGAATGTTATGGAGCAAAGATATTAAACTATGAGTAAGGAGTCTCAGGTTATTGTTATGGCTTGAGTGTGTTCCCCAAAGTTCACGTGTTAGAAACTTAGTCCCCTAAGCAATAGTGTTGAGATGTGGGACCTTTGAGAGGCGACTAGGTCATGAGGGCTCTGCTCCTATGAATGGATTACTGCTATTATCGCAGGTTAGTTATTATGAAAGTGAGTTCCTAATAAAAGGATGAGTTCACTACCCTTTCCTCTCTCTTTTGTTTGTGCTTTCTTGCCCTTCTGCCTTCCACTGTGGGATGATATAGCAAGAAGGCCCTCACCAGATGCAAGCCCCTTGAACTTGGTCTTCCTGGCCTCCAAAATTGTAAGAAATACATTTCTTATAAACTACCCAGTCTGTATTTTACTATTATAGGAACATAAAATAGGCTAAGACAAATACAAACCTAGGTTTATCACCATTCAGCTGTTAGAATTGATTTTAGAGCTTTTTATCTACCATAACTTCCCTCTCTCCCTGTTACCTTACCCATCCTGTAACTCCCTGAATGATATAACTACAACTTCTCAAACAAAAGAAGGTCTCCAGAGTGATCTGGCAAAAACTTTAGCCGTTCAGTGGTTGAAGACTTCATTCACCGTTACCTTGATTCTGCTCCAGTCTGACTTGGACTAATTGCTCATCCTTAAACCTTCTGTTTTCAATAACATTTTAACCATTTCAGTGGACATGCTGCCAATAAATGACTGAAGTTCTAATGACTTCCTCTTCCCTAAACCTTACTCTTTTGATTACTGAGAATTTTTGGTCTTCCCTTACTTTAAATTTTGAACTCAAAGCAAATGCCTCATTTGCCTCATCCTAGCCCCAGCCCTGGTGAGTGTTAAATCTTTAATGCTAATTCTGGCCACACATTTTAAAAAGCATCATTAATTATATTATTTTTAATTTGTTTTATTCATTTGTTGTTTACTTTTATTTCCATTTGTTTTAGATTTTAGCCATAATTTTATTATCTGCCTTTGTGATATTGAGCAATAACATTACTCTATATATGTCTTATAAAAATTTTAGAGTGGAAAGTAAGGATATTATTCTTACTGAGTTGATGGGAGGATTAAATTAAAATATATATGAAAAAACACTTTGTAAACTTTACAGACGTCTAGTTACTTATAAATATTTATTGGAATGAAACTTTGAGAAAGTACTAAAAAAGTATTTACCCAATCTTTGAGATTCTCAATATATTAAGTGTTCTGTGAATGCATAACAAGTTATCACAAACTTCCTGGCTTAAAATAACACCCATTTGTTATCTCACAGTTCTGTAGGTCAGTAATTCTGATACAGTTCATCTGTATTCTCTGCTCAGGTCCTCAGTCTCAGAGTGTCTTGTTGACTGGGCAGCATGCTTATCAGGAGGCAGCAGGCACAGATTTACTTGAAAGATTCAGGCTGATGGCAGAATCAAGTTCCTTGTGGTTATAGGACTGAGGTCCCCATTTTTTTTTTTTTTTTTTGCTGGATGCCAGGCGGGGCCATTCTTAGTTCCTGGAAGTTGCCTACATTCCTTGCCATATGGACCTCTCCATTTTCAAAGTCAGCAATGGAGAATCTCCTTCATGTAGAATCCACAATAATTTTAATCCCTTTCATCAGGAAGAGTCTTGCCACTTTTAAGGGCTCACTTCATTAGGTCAGGTCCATCAAGGATAATTTCACTTCTTAAAGTCAACTATGTCATGTAACATAACCTAATCATGCAAGTGATATCCTATCATATTCATAGGTACTTCCTGCACTTAATGGGAGGGGATTATACAGGGTTGCGGGTCATTGGGGAAAATCTTAAAATTCTGCCTATCATGCCTAGAAAAAATAAATTATTGCAGAATTTCTGACCATAACAGTAGCTAGAACTCCCAAGTTGCACACATATATTATGAAATAAAAGGACAGGAAGATAAAATCATGGGGTATAAAAGAATTTAAAATCTCTACTGCTGTAGATTTTTTAAAAATTATTCTCTTTGAAGCAATTGTGCTTAGTGGCTGCTGGCATCCATAAAGCAACGATTTCAATGGAATATTTGCCTCAGTAGGCAAAATTCAGGCCCCTAATTCCCTAACTGGAAGGCTGCATTCAAATATTCAACTTTACAGTGTCTGTTGTTTCATCATTAATGTCTTCATGTTGTTTCTTCAATTCAGGGATTACTTTCTGCTTATCGTTTATTTAACAAACGCATATACCAAGCACTATGCCAAGAGTGGGTATGCAGTATGAATGGGCCCGCCTATATGTCTTCAGTGTACTAAGTCAAAATCAACAGAGTTTACAGCTCATTCATTCTTTCTATTACAGTAACTTTAAATATAAAAAGCAATACATTACTCTTACATTCCAGTATTTTCAAAGGCATAGCAATGGTAATGTAACACAATAGGAGTGATACATGGAATACTAAATTGGAACCAGGACAACTGGGTTTCAGTGTTAGCTCAGCTTCAGCATGCCTCTGAACTTGACCATACCTTTACCTGCCTAGGCCTCAGTTTCCATTGGACTAGCCTGTTATGAGTATTTATTTTTTGTCACTAGTGTTTACAAAAAGCAAACAATAAATTTAGATGCTGTAGGATATATATACATAATATAAAAGAAATTTCAAGAGAAGTGGCATTAATTCATTTGGAAAGGAATAATCTGCCAAATACATATAATAATAACATGTAAATAATAATAATATGGTAAGTTGTGACTAGCTAGTGGCTAGAATTTTCCTGTGCTAAGAAAAGGGGAAATCGTAGGAATTTAAGGAAGAAATAAAAAAGGATAACAATCAAATAAAGAAACAAGTTTAATTAATTTAAACACTAGGGGATTTTATAGATGTAAAAGACATATTGTTAGAAAATGCTAAAAGAAATTAAGAAAAAAAATTAAAGGGCTACTACCAAGCAAAGGTAAAAGTTTGGTTAATTCAGAAAGCATTATGTGAAAACTGAATTGATACTGCAGCATTTTGAGCATTTTAAATCTGATGATCTAAGAGGTTTTGAATGGTTTGTTCATTGGTTTTCTTTTGTTTTCACTTAGGGGAACTAATCCTCTCAGTGTACATGTGTGCACTCATAGGGCAGGTAAGAAGGAATGGGAGGGCAAGTTAGCAACTGCTACAAAGCAAGTGAGGTGTATCCTAAGAAAGAAAAAAAAGTTAATTAGCCTGGCTTTTCAGACTTCTTTATAGATCTAAAGTGTGACTGAATTATGGAATGAGACCCACAGATATCCTCACCCAATTCTCTAAAACATCTTTCTGTTATTGGACGACAATAATATGAGGGAATAGTGTTAAGGCAGTAGGACAAATATTTTAAAATACAGATAATAATAACTATTTATTAAGGACCGTAATGTTCAAGGAAGTGGATTGTGTGCATTGCCCTACTTAGCCTGTGGTTTGGGTTTTATTAACTGGACTGTACATTCAAAGAAACTGAGGCTCATAAAGATTAGGAAGGTTTTATTCATCCATATAATTTATATTTACTATATCCAGGAAGTTGAACAAAGTCATGAAAATAGCAAAGGCTTAGACTGAACAAGAGGTAGAGAAGAGGATTGTCAGAAGTCTTTTTCTGGTCAAATGTGGAAAACATTCCTTGGCAATGTATATGCAACTTTATTTAGTTTCACGTATCACACTCAACCTCATGCATCACTTTGTTTTAGCCTTTTCTGGTTATTTTTTGTAATATTACTCATTATTTTAATAACCAAAATGATTGTTTTGGATTAGTCCAGCTATAAACTTGGTATTAAAATCATTATAAAGAAAAATTAGTATGATATTTATTGTAAGAATGTTATTCATGGTAGTATAATCTTAAATATTCAGCTGTAAAAACTTAGGAAATACGACTTTAGCTTAGCTCTTTTACTGAAAAGAAACTATGTTGTCTTTAATTGATGGACAGTCAGTTGTCTTTTTTAGTAAAGTCAAATGGGAATCTCAGTCAGATTTATGCATTCTTGTAGTAAGCGAACATGATGTAATTCTATGTACTTTGATTACCACCTCAATAAATTTCTTTCCCATTTTAATATTTTTCTGGGTACAAAATAAATAAGCAATCCTTAATTTGACAGCTATTTATTGGTAATATAATTTGGTCAGGTACTGGGCAAGGAGTGGAGGATAAAATGATGAGTAAAATGTGGGTATACTCTGCCTTCGTGGAGCTTGTCAACTTATGATCTAGTGAGAAAGATATAAATCCAATAGACACACACACATACATACTACAAATTGTTAAAGATTATTAAAGAAAAGGACAGAAAAATAGAATCATGGGATATTATCTAATTCAACAAGTTTGAGAAGACTGTCCTGAAATATTAGTACTTGAACCTAGACAAAAGGATGAATGTGAGTTAGATTCACAAGGGTGGGGTGAGGTTTAAGGACTATTTCTTTAAGGAACTGCCTGTTCAAAGGGTTGAGTGAAGAATAAGCCTGGTACACTCAACTGACTGAAAGAGGACCACTTTGACATGAATGTAAAAGTCAATGAGGAGAGTGTAGTAAGGGGTTGGGTTTCTCAGATGCAAATTAAAACTGCTAAATGTTTTAAAGCAGAGGAATGACCTGATTAGATATAAATTTTGTAAATGCCACTGTGACTGCAATGTAGGAAACATATTTAAACATATTTAAGGGAAGCAAGCAAACATGCATACACACGTGCATGGACACACACACACATGCACAAATATATAAAAAAAGAATATGGATACTGAGTATTCTAGGATGGTGACATTGGAGATGGAGAAATTTGGATACATTAAGAAGTCATGTGTGAGTAGAATTTGCGGGACTTATAGGCTAATTTGGATATGGATGGTGTGAGAGAGGACAGTGTGAAGACACCTGTTTATATCCCAGCATTCACCATTGTACCACCTATTAAAACTGGGAATTCTGCAAGTGTGCAATTTACTGGGCTTCAGCAAAGTCTGGGCTTCAGGTACACAGCTGAAGTTGTAAGTAGGTATTTGAAAATGGATGGAATGGATATAAATGAGATTGGCAAGGAAGAAAGTACAGAATGAGATCAGAAATTTGTAGGAAATCCAACATTTAAAGAGTAAATAGAGAGGTGTGCTCACCGTAGTTGACTTAGAACACATAGAAAAGAATTGTATAACCTGCAATACTACTGCACGTACATAGAAATTAACATTATGTTCCAGGGCTTGCAGTTCTTAAACATTTTTACTTTTAATGATCAGATATAGTAAGTGCTCATTCAATGTTTTTTTTGTTTTGTTTTGTTTTTGTTTTTTGTTTTTTTTTTTTTGAGACGGAGTCTTGCTCTGTCGCCAAGGCTGGAGTGCAATGGCGCGATCTCTGCTCGCTGCAAGCTCCGCCTCCAGGCCTCAGCCTCCTGGGTAGCTGGGACTACCGGCGCCTGCCCCAACACCCGGCTAATTTTTTGTATTCTTAGTAGAGACGTGGTTTCACCATGTTAGCCAGGATGTTCTCCATCTCCTGACCTCGTGATCCGCCTACCTCTGCCTCCCAAAGTGCTGGGATTACAGGCGTGAGCCACCATGCCCGGCCCATTCAATGTTAATGAGTGAATTAATCCACTTAGAATATTGTTAAATTAGAAGCATAATGAGGCGATAATAAGTACATTCTATAAAGAGGTAAGCCTATATAACTAATAATTCTAGTTTTAGGGCATGTGGAGAATTTGGTTAAATACAGATAAATATGTGGAATTCCATACTGTCTTTGCTTCAGGAAAAAAACTAATTATCACCATTTGTGAAACAGCAGAAAGCATATGTTCTGTCGATAGTGGTATCATGTTGCTATGTGAAAGACCACAAATTAAATGCACATTATGATGGCAAAGTAGAATAACTCATTGTTAGCTTTTACTAGACTGTCATTTGTCTTCCTATTCAAACAAATATTGACTAGTTTGTTCTAATTCGATTTCAACTTGAACAGCATTTAAAAATATCAATGTCTACAAGCATAGGGTGTTTTTTAAGTGCACCTAAAATCCATTTTTAAGGAAGGAAAATGGTTGTGTGCGTTGTACTTATACATAAATGTGAAATTCATGGCAAAGCTTATTGATAGTAATGTGTAATATTTCACATTTACATTAGAGAGTTCCTTTCAACTTTCAGTGGTACATAGTCTATGGAGTCTGTGGCAATTATATTATTTATGATATAAGACACCAGCTGAGCCCTGAGATGAGCATGATATGTAAAAATTTATTTTCTCAGAACGAATAAGTAATTTTTGAAGTAATTAACTTCTTTCTTGCTTAGTTACAGCCATGCATTTCCAGAATTTAAGAAACTCTCCTCAGGATTATTAATTTCAGGTTTCATTGCATGTGCATTTAATGTTAATTGTGATAACTATTGATGCATGTATACATTTATTGTCATTTTGATTAGTTATTCATAAAAGACCTTGGATGTTTAAGTGAAAAGAAATATTTTCTATTACATTTTAAATTTGATGTAGGTCTTTAAATGTAAGTTTTGTCTTAGTAACTGGATAGTTTTTAACTCAATTTTTATTATTTGCCATTTTTGAAAGTATAAGTGAATTTAACTAAAAAGTAAGAAATATCTTAGATACTCAATGGTAGTAAGGTATAGGATATATAGGTTATATACAAACAAGTATGTAATTCAGAAATCCTATTTTAAAATCTCAAAAATTATTCTAACCAATCTTTGCTTTTTATGCTTCTACTAAACCAAGCTGTTTACTCTTTGAATGAAACTAATTCTAATTATTTTTCTCTACTTCTTGGACTGATGACTGGATTAATGGCCAAAAGACAAACACCAAGAAAGAAAGGCGTTGAAACAATAACCAAGCTATAGCTAAATCAGACACATCTACTTCAAACAAAGAAATTATAAAGAAAAATAATGAAGAAAGCCAGATATAACAAAACAATTCATTTACATATTTTATGAAACATTTACAACCCTGGTGTAAAAAATTCAATCATAATAACAATCTGCTCATGACAAGATCTATTTTGGATCATTTGGACTATTGTGTAGTGATAAACTCACTTCCAAACATATCCATACTATCAATGCTAGAATATAATTTTTTTAAAGGCTTTCCCACTTAACATTTTTTTCTTGCTTTTGTAAAGAGGAACGTCTTTTTATTTAGTGGAAGAATACGTAAAATCGCTATATTACTGAAATTTTCAAAGCCAGTTTTTTTTTGTAAGGAGTAAATTTTATGTGATTCAAAAGTGCCTCTACATTTAAAAAGAGAACAAATGACTTACATTACTTAAGTGTTTTCAGACACACAATGTGATTATCTCAATGCTGAGGAGTGTGGGTATATATTATTTTGTCCCCACCTCATGGATCAAGGAAACTGAGGCACAGAGAAGCTAAGTCATCTGCTTAAAGTTGTTAGAACATACATTTCATTGTGTATAGTGGTAAAAGTTTGAATATTTTACTATTCCTTCCTCCTATCCTCAGGAGCAAAATTACTTCAAATTAGATGAATTTTCTTTTTGTTGGTGCTTTATTAAAAATACTGTAAAAACAGAAAGTAGTAAAGAAGAGATAGAGAAATGGATTGAACAGTAATAATAATAAAACTTCTAGAGATAGCCAAGTCAGCAGGAAAGAGTATAATAACCAATTGAGACAATATGAAAGAAATATGATGAGGAAAATATGTCAGGAAATTCCCAGATGGGTCTTCTTTTCTTTCGGCCTATTGAACTGTTGACAACTCCCTGTTCTCATTTGGTTTGAACATCTAAATGATGCTTACATGTGCCTGATTATTTATAGTAGACATTACTAAGTATTTATTGAATGTCAAATTGTTGGTTGTATTAATCAGGATCCCCCAGAGAAACGGGAAGAAAAGGATAGATGATAGATTAGATAGATAGATAGACAGACAGATAGAGATAGATAGATGATAGATAGATAGATAGATAGATGATAGATAGATAAATAGATAGATAGATAATGGAAATTGTCTCATGTGATTATGGAGGAGCAGAATCTTATGACTGCTGGCTAGAAAATCAGGAAAGCTAGTAGTATAATGCAGTCCAAGACTGAAGGCCTGAGAATAGGTGAGGGTCAGGGAGGGGTGATGGTGTAAGTCTCAGTCTGAATCTGAAGGCCCAAGAGCCAGAAGTGCCAATGTCCAAGGTCAAGAAAAGATGATTGTCCCACCTCAACAGAGAGAGTGAGCAAATTCATCCTTCCTTTGCCTTTTTGTTCTATTTGGGCCCTCAATAGATTGGATGATAACCAGCCACATTGGTGAGGGTAGTCTTTACTTAGTCTACTGATTCAAATACTAATCTCTTCTGGAAACACTCTCATAGACACACCCAGAAATAATGGTGTTATGGTGTGGCTCTGTGTCCCCACCTAAATCTCATGTTGAATTGTAATCCCCAGTGTTGGGGAGGAACCTGGTGGGAGGTGATTGGATCATGGGTCAGATTTCCCTCTTGCTGTTCTCATGATAGTGAGTGAGTTCTCATGCTGGTTATTTGAAAGTGTGTAGCACTTCCCCCATTGCTCTCTCTCTCTCCTGTCAGCCATGTGAAGATATGCCTGCTACCCCTTCACCTTCTGCCATGATTGTAAGTTTCCTGAGGCTTCCCCAGCCACGTGGAACTGTGAGTCAATTAAACCTCTTTTCTTTATAAATTGCCCAGTCTCAGGTAGTTTTTTATAGCAGTGTGAGAACAGACTAATACACATGATTTACCAGCTATCTGAGTATCCCTTAGCCCAGTCAAGTTGACTCACAAAATTAGCCATCACAGTACAGTAGTCCCCCCTTATTCAAGGGGGGACATGTTCTAGCACCCCCACTGAATGCCTGAAACCGCAAATAGTACCAAACCCTATATATACTATGTTGTTTTCAATTTGATAACTGAGATGGCTATAAAGTGATTAACAGGTAGTATAGACAGCATAGATATGTTGCACAAATGAATGATCCACATCCTGGACAGAATGGAATGGGATGGCATGAGATTTAATCACACTGCTCAAAACAGTGCACTATTTAAAATGTATGATTTGTTTATTCCCAAAATTTTTCATTTAACGTTTTTGGATTGTGGTTGACTGCAGGTAGCTGAAGCTATAGAATGTGAAACCACAGATAAGTGGGGACTACTGTAGTATAAGATAAATTTTGGTGTATTTTAATATAATTGCTTAGTAATTTTGCATACATAATATTTGTAGAGCATATTATTGTGTTAGTCGGTTTTGTGTTGCTATAAAGGTATCCCTGAGGCTGGGCAATTTATTAAAAAAGGTATATATTTTGGCTGGTGCCAGCATCTGCTTCTGTTGAAGTCTCAGGAAGTTTACAGTCATGGCAGAAGGCAAAGAGGAGCCGGCTTATCACATGGTGAGAGAGGGTGCAAGAGGGAAGGGAGGAGGTGCCAGCCTCTTAAAGCAATCAGCTCTCACATGAACTAATAGAGCAAGAACTCACTCATTACCAAGGAGGGCACCGAGCCATCCATGAGGGATTTGTTCCCATGACTCAAACACCTCCCACTAGGACCTACCTCCAGCACTCGGGGTCACATTTCTACATGAGATTTGGAGGGGACAAATGCCCAAACTATATCCGTTATTTTCAAATCATTCCAAGTTGTTATAAAATCCAAGTTTAACAATTATAGCAATTAATCTAATTTACCTTGCAGGGGTAGATATTGAACCAGATTTTGCCCTGAAAGAGTTTTTAAATGCCTGTGTAGTTCTTTGAATAGTTTATTGATTCAGTTAGCTATTGCCATAATTGTACTGTATATATTTTTTAAATCCCAAATTCAATGCATACAGTAAGTATTCATCTCTCTCTCATGTTGTGCAGGTTGGGTGGTATTTAATGACCTTGGTTGAGTTTGTTTGGGCTTGGCTCCAAACTGCAGTTAGAGCCCAAGTCTGCTACATGTAACTTTCATCCTGTTTCTACCAGGGGCTAACTGTGGCATCTACTATTTATGGCAATGGTAAGATATGCATGAGAACAAGTCCAAGTTCACAATCACACAAGCACATTTCAAATCTCATTTCATATCCACTAGCATCCCATTGGCAAAAGTAAGTCATATTGCCAAACCTAACATCAGTGGGTTGTGGATGTATACTCTTCCCATATAGATGGGGGCAGGGGAGGAAAGAAGTGAATATTTGCTCAACGATAAATTAATCTACCATCTATACTTGAATCAAAATGCAATCTGCCTTTGAGTTTTTGTTATGGATTACCAGAATGTGAACAATTTTCTATTTGTGATACACTAAAAAATAGTAAAGTAGTTAAAAGTGTTTTAATGTCAGCAGAACTTTAAGACGCTTTTAAAATTAATAATGTAAAATCTTTAGTGTACATGTACACCACAGGCCTATGTATCAAGGTTCTCTCACATATAAACAGACATTTTGTTTATAGTCTTACTTTTTCTGGAATTTTTAACCAACATTTATAAATGGTGGGCAAGACTGTAGATGCTGAAATTTTACACTAATATTTGGAAAAAAGAAAGCAAAACCTATAATCCACTGTCTAATATTAAAAAGCATTGTATATTTAATTAGAGATTTATTAGGTAGGTGCAAAAATAGAATTCAAATGATAGATTTGTTGATTGTACTTAACTTTGGATTTTTGAATCAGCTGAGGATTGGCAATTTTCTTACCAAGGCCATCATTATGTAGATGCAAACATTTGGTAATCCTAGTTCTATGATGGAGATTGAGCTATCATGATACTTTCTGAAAGAACACAATGAAATTTGATTTAATATTTTATGTTTTGATAGCCATTTGGACCATGACATCACCTTTATTACCACAGCCTCTATTTAATTGCTTACTTTGATCACTTGCTTATATTTTATCTTTTTAAGATTCAAAATATTAAAATTTCTGGTGATCACCTGATATAGTTTGACTGTGTTTCCACCCAAATCTCACCCGGAATTGTAATCCAAATTGTAATCCCCACATGTTGAAAGAGGGACCTGATGGGAGGTGATTGAATCATGAGGGGAGTTTCCCCCATGTTGTTCTCATGATAGTGAGTTCTCACAAGATCTGGTTGTTTGATAAGTGCCTGGCACTTCCCCCTTCTCTCTCTCTTGTTTGCCACCATATAATACGTGCCTTGCTTCCTCTTCACTTTCTGACTTTCTGCCGTGATTATAAGTTTCCTGAGACCTCCCCAGCCATGTGGAACTGTGAGTCAATTAAACCTCTTTCCTTTAAAAATTAGCTGGTCTCGGGAATTCTTTATAGCAGTGTGAAAATGGACTAATACATCACCTAATATTTTATATCAAAATGTTTCTATGTAAAAAATTACTGTAATCTGTTAACTGAAGGAATTCTAAAACCACATATAGAAATAAAGAGCATTCTATTATTCCTAAAGCTTAACATACATTATTATATGTAACTTTATTTGTACAAAGAGAAAACAATGCCATTTTCATCATGAAGATGGCTTTTGACAGTTGAATCACTTTGTTTTGCATAATGACAATGATTTTTCTGATAGTAAATGTACTACTCTTGGCTTGGTGAGCACATGCAGAACTGAGTTGGTCACATCATGAAAAAAAGACATCTCAAGGTAAACACTTAGGGAGCGTGCTTCTACACATTCTGTGGCCCTTCTCTGAATAGTTAATAAGGAGCTTTCAAATAACAAACATTCTTTGGTACATCTGTCTCATGAATCACAAAACTTCTTGTTCTTTCTCTCATTCTGTTAAAATTATATATAGCAATAAAAATAAATTAATAAAGTAATACATTCTTAATAAAGATTTAAATCTGCCCTCAATATTTATATTTTGAATGATTGAATGGCATTTTGTCTATGAATATTTTATACATGTATAGGTATACTCATATACACATTTCAATAAACATTAAAATTTAAAAATCAGAATTATGTGATTTCATAGTTAAATGTCTGTGTAAGTCAGGATCAGCTATGTAATTTGCCAGGTCCAGTTAAAAATGAAAACGTGGAACCTCTTGTTCAAAAATTATTAAGGATTTCAAGTTAGTGACGGCAGAGCTTTAAAGCAAGCATGGGGCCTTCTAAGCATGATATAGCACAGGTAGCACGCCCATGAAGGTGGCTCTGGTCAAAGTATGTGCTATGTTGAAGCTACTTTTAGAATGCATTTTCCTTCATACAATAAAAATAATAACTCGTCTTTTTGAAGGTTAACAAGAGGAAATATTTTCGGCATATTTACATGTATATAAATATGATATATGTAATGAATCGGGTAAGAATATATATACATAATTTATGCATTATGTCATATACATAATATTGCAACATAGTCTATTTTATATAATTATAATATATTCTATTGCTTTATATAAATATAGTAATATAATATAACCAAAGCATTTTATAGGAGTTCCATGGTATACTGTCCTACATCTTTTCCCTCAGAATCATATCCCATCCCTGTGCTGGAGGGAGGTGAAGACTAGCAGTCTCTACTTCTTTCAAGGTTAGCCTGAAATTCTGAGTGTGTGGTTTATCCCTTTCTTCTGATTTAAGAGGCTCCTTTGGCTAGGATGCCTCCTGGTCATTTGAAATCCCTCAGAAAAACACAACTTTTAGACCTTCAATTCTCTTTCTGAATAGAAAGAATTCTAGCCAGAAGTAAATATGACATCATGCTAGAAAGCTATTCTATATCAATCATGTAATAATAAATAATAACAGCAATAAACATATACAGATACCTGCTATATGCCAATCTCTTTGTACATATCTCTAATTCTTTATAACTATCCAAAGTAATAATATTATCTCAATTTCATAGGTTTGGAAACACATGCCCAGGTGGGCTTTGATTGCACTGCATTACTTAACTCAGAAGAGATAGGGCCACAGCTAAACTTCAGGTCTGCTCAACTATAAAATTTCACATTGCCTATATTTGCTCATACTGCATTAAGGGGAAGGAATTATACAAAGGCATGATCCACTAGGGGTAAACTTAGAGTGTATCTGTCTATGGTCAAGGCAAATCCAGATTTTGGGGCCCCAATACTTTTTAAGTTGGGGAGCCCTCTTAAAACAGTAATAATATAAACATACAAATGTAAGTCAAGCAAGTACCTCTGAAGCTTAACTTTACTGGCTTCATGGTAAATCAACTTACACTTGACATACAATAGCTTCATGGATGCTATACCCTAAAGGGAGCCACAACAAGTAAACAAGAAAACAAATAGATAGAATACATACAGAACTTGTAAGTAATATGAGGGGAAAACAAATGTTACAAAAATAATGGAAGTGGGGGTAGGATGGCAATACTGAAACAGAGAAGGCTTCTTTAATATCCATAATGTAAGTCACAACATGGAGACAACAAGCATTGGGTAACAACATTTCAGGCAGGAGAAAAAAGCATTTGCACACATCCGGAACCTGGAAGTATTTAAGAAACAGAACAACCAGTGTGCTTTCCATTGTGTTTAAAAATTAATAAAATCGGTTATGTAAGCATTCTAGGTAAGAGATATGAATGCTTTTTTAACTCATGTCTTAAATTTGCGAAAATTGTTCTGGGCTGCACACTAGCATGGCCTTGGGACTAAACACATTTATTTCCTGATTTGATTATGAATAATATTTTAATACACATATTTAAGTTCCCAGAAATATAATGGACATTGATTCCTACAAAATATTGCCCACATTTTACCCTTTTGTCAATAATGGTTGTTTTTTCTAGGGAGGGATCTGATTGATTACTCCAGGAACTAAATTATTCAAATAATGGCTACATAGCTAGTCCTGGGCTTTCTCTAAGCACAGTCGTATCAAAGTGAATAAAAAAATTCAGCTCTTTGTTTACTTTGAAGTATATGTTTTTAATTTTTCTTTTGATTCTTTTAGTCTTACTAGTGATTCATAAGCCAAGAAGTAAATCGATAACTCTTCAAGGAAGACTGAGTTTATGGGAAAACCTAGGCTCAGAAAAATAATTTGTTCATTCAGGCGAGAGTGTTCTTTTCTGCCAACACCAAATTTTCAAGAAAGAGTCTCAGTTAAAATGATGCCTAACAGAAAACACTTTATAACTCACTTCCTATGTACAATAAATCTATTGTAATCCTCTTTGTGATGAAACCTAGCAGTTTCAGAAGGTCCCTGGCTCCTCAGAAGAGCACTACAGCACCAGTAAACTGTTATATATCCACTTAGAACTTCACAGTAGAAAACACAGGGAAAATGAGAACTCAGAAATGTAGTTTTACCTCAGAAAAACTGTGCTTTATTAAGTAGGTTATCAAGAACTTGGGGGCAACAGAATTGCTCTGGTGCTTTATTGAAAAGGAATTTTCAAAGTTCCAGGGCCTGGATGACTCAGAAAATTTTCCATGGAGAAAAGAACTTTGCAGCATAAAGTTAATTTAACTATTAAGACTACTTTGCTCTTCGCCAAGTCTAAATTTATGTTCTTTTGTCAGTTTCCATTGGTGGAGCAATATGAAACTTGTCAAAAGTAAAAGCAACAGACATTTATTTAAATACATTTGAATATATATGGTCATGCTAACTACATTCTTACGAGCTGGAAATTATGTTTCCTACTTATGGGATCACTAATGCAGACACTACGGTGAACAGAGAGTCATAGCTCCCATAGTGTGATGATGTTGGACTTGATCCTACTACTTGAGATATACCTACCAAATCCTTAGTGGTTACACCATGGCTGATTAATTGCTCTCCTCTTACCTTGACTCTTCACCCCAAGAAAGCAACATATGGCATAAATTGAAGTTCTCATCTAACAAGTAGTCAAAAAGTTTTAGAATTTCAGAACCAGGATGTACTTTGTAGATCCTTGAGTTAGTAGGACATTAGCAGGGGAAAGCATGGCCTTTGGAATCAAGAAACTTGGGTTTAAGTCTGGTCTGGGTAACTTACAACCAATCCGTTAGTCAAGACAATTTCCTTTACCAACTCTTGATTTTATAATCTGTAAAATAAGGATATTAATCCCTGTCATAGGAGATAGAAAGTAAAAATATTTCTTCCTTATGTATGTGTTTTAAGTGAATGCACACACATGCATGTGCTTAAGGGTGCTTATGTGTTTGATCTTATGAAACAGGCACTATTTGGTATAGATTGTAAAAATGGTTCTGAAAATTGGAGGAAGATATTTCATTCTTCAGGGAGCCTTGGTGGAATCATTATATATCAAATTGCAGGTGTAAGGTGATGGATTTATTAATTAGCTTGGTTTAATCATTCCATAAGGTGAACATTTATCAAAACTTCACATTGTACCACATAAATATATAATATATACAAGTATCACTTGTCAATTGAAAATAAAATAAAGAAATCATGTGGTAACTTAGTACCAGTCCAACTTTTAATATGAAAGACATAGTTTTCCCTGTGTGAACTGTTTAGTATGCTTTGGGCACAGATTCTGATTTTGGCATTCCCACTTGCTCACAATTACCCTACAGGGTTTAAGATGTGAGCACATGAGAATCCAGTGCATCTCACAAGGAAAACAAACCAAAGTGGGAGGATAGCTCTACAATGTCTTGCTCATCCTGTGCTTTCAACACCACTTAACGTGTGCAACTTTTTTAGTTTGATGATGATAAACTAATGTATTTTACACTCCTATTAGTGTGTTTTAGAGGGTCTTTTTGCTCAGCCAAGAGAACACTTAGCTCACACTTGTTTTGAGGATGAAACTATCCTTAATAGTATTGGAAATCACAAAATGAACAAAAAAGAGTTCAAGGAAATGTTAATGTATTAAATTTACATTCTAACACTGCATTTTAATTTGCCTTCTTCATTGCTTCATTTTTTTTTTTTTTTTTTGAGTCAGAGTCTCACTCTGCCATGTCGCCCAGGCTAGAGTGCAGTGGCACGATCTCGGCTCACTGCAAGCTCTGCCTCCTGGGTTCATGCCATTCTCCTGCCTCAGCCTCCTGAGTAGCTGGGACTACAGGCGCCCACCACCACACCCAGCTAATTTTTTTTTTTTTTTGGATTTTTAGTAGAGATGGGGTTTCACCATGTTAGCCAGGATGGTCTCTACCTCCTGACCTTGTGATCCGCCCACCTTGGCCTCCCAAAGTGTTGGGATTACAGGCGTGAGCCACCACACCTGACCCATTGATTCATTTTTACAAGTATTAAGTGTTAATTCTAATTTTAATGAAAGAAGAAAATACAGAGAAATAACATTTTCTAATTAAAAATCACCACCTAAGAAGAATAACATTTTTTTCATGGCATTTTTGTATTTGTTTTTTGCACAAATAACATGCTATACATATTAGTCTTCATTTAATTTTTAATTAAAAATGTAAGAGCTGCATATGGCTAGTGGCTACTGAATTGGACAATATAGACTTAAGGAAAGTGGAAACTGCTTGAAAACAACAAATGCAGTTGAAACCAGTTGAGACAAGTTAAAACAAGGTTAGTATTAAACAGCTGAAACTGACTGAGACCAGCTGAATTTCAGATGCAACTGGCTGAAGCTGGCTGAAACTAAATGGATCTGAATGAAATCAGCTGAAACCAGAAGAAACCAGAGGAAACCAGATGAAAGCATTTGAAATCCATGAAACTGCCTAAAACAAGGTGAAACCTCATGAAATCAGATGGAACTGGCTGGAACTGGAGGAAAAGGATGAAACAAGCTGAAGCTGGCTGAAACAGGTAGAAACCAGGTAATACAGTATGAAAACAGACAAAACCAGATGATTCCAGTTGCAGCCAGCTGAAACGATTAAAAAAACCACCTGAAATAGGCTGAAACCATTTGAAGACAGCTGAAACCAGTAGAAACCTGTGGAAGCCACCTGAAACTGGCTCAAACCAGAAGAAACCAGCAGAAAGTGGGTGGAACTGGAAGAAACCAGCTGGAGCCAGATAAAACTGGCTATAACTGGATGAGGCTGAATGGAACCAGTTGTGACAAGAAGAAACTGGATGGAACTGGATGAAGTCTGCTGAAACTAGATGTAACCATTCGAAACAGGATGAAACTTGTTGAAACTAGATGAAAGTGGCTGAAACTGCATGAAGTTGTCTGAAACCAGCTGAAAGCCAATGGAATTAGATGAATCCAGATGAAACTGGCCCAAACTGGATGGAACTGGCCAATACTGCATGGAACTGGATGTCACTAAAAGACTCTAACCAAAACTGGATGAGACCAGTAGTGACTAATTGAAGCTGACTGAAACTGGATGAAACCAGCTGAAGCTGGCTGGAATCTGGATGAAACTGGTTGACGCTGACCAAAACCTGATTAAATTGGCTAGAACCAGATGAAACCAGATGAGACCATTTGAAGCCCATTGATATCAATGGCACCCACTGAAACTGGCTGAAACTGTTACCAGAACATGTGGGAATCCCAGGTTCAAATGCTTGAACTAACTTGAAAGAAAACATGCAGCCAAGGGATTCATAGCAAGGGTTAAGTAGCAGAGTTTAAGTACATTCCTAGAGAGGAGTGTAAAACAGATCTGGGCTGGTCCAGCTGGAGAAATAGTAGAAGCAGTGTTTATTTAAAGAGAGAGTACAATCTGGAACACAAGACAGAGTAGGCTGCTCAAAAGAATGAACCAGCAGCAGCTAATGCTGGGGGACTTTCTTTATGAGAATCTTAAATGATTATTCATGAAGGGGCATGAGGGGATGTTACTTGCAAGCATGTTTTGGGACATCTCTTTGGATGCACATGCTCTGTGGTTGTACATGCTAGTATACATGTCACGTGTCTCATTAGCATTTAAAATCTCCAACCAGGGATGTGCTTTTTACCATTATAATGAGCAAAGGGCTACTCTAGGGTAAATTTTTGGAGAGTGTGCCTGCTCATCAGCAGGGAAAATCTCTTGTATTGTTATCTCCAGTTAGGGCCTGATAAGCCCCCTTCAGGGTCAGATGACCCTAACCTCAAGGACAGATGTAGCCACTGTAGCCTGTCTCAAGAATTAAGGAAAAAGTCTACAAATTCTGCAGTAGAAGAAAACAGATCTAAACAAGCATTTGGAACATAAATTTTTTTTATTGAGTGCTACTTTGTACCTAGTATAGTGCTAAGTATTGGGAATAACAGAATAAATGAAACTTACAGTTTACTGGAAATAATATTAGTGATCAACAAATATCAAAATTAAATACTGCCTTACACTTGACCAAAGAAATGCAAATGGAAACAGCAATAAATTATAATTTTCAACTGATCAAATTGCCAATGATAAAGAACAAAGAAAACAAGCCAATGTTGAATGTAGAGAGGTAGGCATTGTGTAATCTACTGGCAAATTTGGGGATAAGATTTATCAAAATATATTAAATTTATTTAATAATATATATATTTGTACTTATATGAATGGAGATATAGATTCAAAGATTCTTATAGCATTGCTCAACATTACAAAAAACTGAATCAATGTAAACACCCAAGAATGGAGGATGGGGTAACTGAATTCTCGAGACACTTTAACATATGAATTATGTTAATTTTGTATAAATATAATGCATGTCATGTATTTACCCCAAATATATTAACCCTTTACTACATATACGTAATTATGAATATTAAATATATATAGCTATCAAAATAGAGATATAAAATCCATCTAGTACTTGTTCTAAGATGTGGGAAGTGTTTTGAGTTAATCATGTAAAACTCATATTTTGTCTTTTTGCTTTTGACAGCAGGAACACATTTTCCCCCTTAGCCCTGAAGAGTACGCAGACCATTGTTAGCAAGGAAGCTAGCTTGTTTTTTGCACCAAAGGTAAGACAAATATACGTTGCCAATTTATGTGCTCTGTTACTACAATGCTCACCAGCAGCCTGAGCTCCTTTTTCTAGTCTGATGCTTTGTGACAATTCAGGCAAGGCAGGACCATGCTGTCGATACTTGTTATTTTTTGCCAGTTGGCTTTCTTCCCTCTCACTCTGATTTCAAAGACGCATCATCAGTTATTAACGTCACCATATATTTGTTGCTCTCCAGTGGAAAAGTAACTCTAATAGCTGACAAAACCTTCCAGTGAGCAAGTTGTATCAACCTTCTGAATGCACCATGGGAGAAGTGTCACTTCACATATAAACTAGAAAACTGAGCTGTGTCAAGCCCTTTCAGAGCATCTCTGGCTAGGAGTGTGGCCTTACGTAATAACTCTTCATCAGTAGATGTGGCTACTTTTGGTCTGGCTTCTTTTTCCAGAGATAAGTAGAATAGAGCCCAGGGGTGGCAATAGCAGATATTACAAGGAAACATTCAGGGAAAGCTAAAGCTGAAACACAAAGCCAGATGAGAGACAATATCTGTTCGACATTGATCACAGGCATTGCCTTATATCCTTGCTGTTTACAAAAAGGTTATAATAGACCAAGCGTCATTACTTAGGCCTATAATCCCAGTGCTTTGGGAGGCCAAGGCAGGAGGATTGCTTGAGCCCAGGAGTTCAAGGCCAGCCTGGACAACATAACCAGACCCCATCTCTACCAAAAAAAAAAAGATCATATACTATATGATTCCATTTATAATTTATATAACATTCTGGAAATGGCAAAATTATAAAGATGGAAAATGTACATACTAGCGGTTGCCAGGGGTTAAGGACAGGGAAGTATGCTATTATACAGGGGCAGCACTAGGGGGTTCTTTTTTGATTATGAAATAGTTTGATATCTTGATCGTGGTTGTGTTTACATGAATCTATATGTGTGGTAAAATTACATAGAACCACACACACATACATACACGAATGCATGAAAAACTGGTGACTTCTGAATAAGTTTTGCAGTCTGGTTTTGATATTGTACAATAATCATGTAGGATGTTATGTGGTGGAAGCTGGATAAAGAGTTCATGGCATCTCTCTGTACTATTTTTACAACTTCCTGTGACTCTATAATTATTTCAATTTTGTAAAGTTTCATTTTTTCAAAAAACCAGCTCCTGGATTCATTGATTTTTTTGAAGGGTTTTTTGTGTCTCTATTTCCTTCAGTTCTGCTCTGATCTTAGTTATTTCTTGCCTTCTGCTAGCTTTTGAATTTGTTTGCTCTTGCTTTGCTAGTTCTTTTAATTGTGATGTTAGGGTGTCAATTTTAGATCTTTCCTGCTTTCTCTTGTGGGCATTTAGTGCTATAAATTTCCCTCTACACACTGCTTTGAATGTGTCCCAGAGATTCTGGTATGTTGTGTCTTTGTTCTCGTTGGTTTCAAAGAACATCTTTATTTCTGCCTTCATTTCGTTATGTACCCAGTAGTCATTCAGGAGCAGGTTGTTCAGTTTCCATGTAGTTGAGTGGTTTTGAGTGAGTTTCTTAATCCTGAGTTCTAGTTTGATTGCACTGTGGTCTGAGAGACAGTTTGTTATAATTTCTGTTCTTCTACATTTGCTGAGGAGTGCTTTACTTCCAACTATGTGGTCAATTTTAGAGTAGGTGTGGTGTGGTGCTGAAAAGAATGTCTATTCTGTTGATTTGGGGTGGAGAGTTCTGCAGATGTCTATTAGATCCACTTGGTGCAGAGCTGAGTTCAATTCCTGGATATCCTTGTTAACTTTCTGTCTCGTTGATCTGTCTAATGTTGACAGTGGGGTGTTAAAGTCTCCCATTATTATTACATGGGAGTCTAAGTCTCTTTGTAGGTCTCTAAGGACTTGCTTTATGAATCTGGGTGCCCCTGTATTGGGTGCATATATATTTAGGATAGTTAGCTCTTCTTGTTGCATAATCAAAAAAGCCCTTTCTAATGTAGTATATAGAAGAGGTAGGTTTTTTTTTATATACTTTGAGGCAGAGGGTAAACCAAATACCACAGCATGTGCAGGATGAAGAGGAGAAAACATGAGTTTCTCCAGCATCCTGAATGCTTTAAAAACAAATTGGACTCCAGGACTAGAAGGCAGTGAAACTTTAATATTCAGCTCACTTTTTTTTACATCCTCTGGGAAACCCTCCTAGCATAAGTAAGTGTTTTTTTCTTTCTTTATTCTCCCATAAGACTGTGTTCCTTTCTCTACTATTGAATACACTGTGGTGGTATTTATTTCCTCATGTGTGTGACTCCACTCTGGATTGAGAACAAGGGAAGATTCTGCTCCTCTTTCTCTTCCCCACGATATGGCAATGCTTGAAAGTTTAAGTACTAATAAAATTCTGATTTTAAAAAAATAACGAAATAACCTGGGTTAAAGCATGAAAAAGCAGGAAGGAGTACTCTCAAATACTATATCAACTTGTAGAATACATACCTGTATCCTGCAGTCACATGGTAGTACAATGTGACTGTTTTCTCCCATTTCATATATTAATTTGCCATATATTTTCAGTATTTTTAATATATTGTGATATTCTAGCAAAAGAATGTGGGTAGGGTTGAGATCAGGATTGGAATTAAAACAGTGGGTATGGCTAGAGTGTCAGTGAAGAAAGTCAAATAACTAAACTGTACTAGTTAGGGCTCAGCTTTTTAACAGAGTGATGATAGATTAGCTTGAATTAAACAAGATAGAAGGTTGTTTCTCTGTCAAATGAGAAACAGGCCACAACTGAGTTGTCCAGGCTGGCAGGACAGAATTGCTCCTCAAGCACATTTACAGACCAGATTTGTTCTATCTTGCTTCACTGTCTACTGAGCTGATGTGTTCTATTCTGGCTTGGTTGCTTCCACATCCAAATTCTAGCTTACAGAACATAGGAAAGCAAACGGCTATGGCAAGCAGCTTTGCCTCTAAGGCTATGACGTAAATAGTTTCATGCCAATGTCTTGAGCCTACCTAACTGCCAGGTATTCTAGAGAATGTAGTCTGATGCGGGGGGCCAGATCAAAATTTGGAGATTCTAGACAGACATGAGATAACATGCAACAGTGAATTTTTACCTACATTTTAAGATTAATGGAATATATTTATTGAATAACATATTTCATCTTATTCACTATCACATGAGGCCATATTTAAATTCAATTGCTAACTACACAACTTACTTGGTAAGTTGAACTTGACTCTAAACTTCAGTTGCTTTCCATCCTTAAATGCTTATATGGACCCGTTGCAGGATTGCTATGTGGCAATTATGATAATTAAATAAGATAGTTTACTGTGAAAATTACATGTAATAATAAACATAAGTTGGTTACCATGATTTCTATGCTCAAAAATGGTAGCTATTATTTGTAGACAGTCATATCTCATTGTAATCTTTTAAAATATCCACCAGCTCCCCTTATTTGCAAGACTCTTCTTGTGGAAAATAATCTATGCAGTGTGGTAATCTGTGCAGTTTGACAAAACTTGTATTTTGGGCTTGCTAGTTGTAGCAGCCAATTTAAGGTAAAATTCCTTAACCCAACGCAGAAAAAAATAACTCACACATCAGTTACTACGTGCAGAAGCAAATATTTTAGCAATCACTATATTTTACAAATAGGAAAGACAGCCACATCTGAGAAATATTTCCAGTAATTTTTGAAGCCTAATATATTCTTAGATTTTTGTTTGTCTGCTTGAATATATGTGAGAGAGAATATATTCTGGGAAAATTTTAAACTATGCATTAATCATGCTGATGACTTTGCATTCTGCATTTTTGTAAACATATGAGATGGATATAAAGAAAGAAAAATATGGCCACATTTAGCATATGACCTAGAAAGTAGGAGACAAATACTACTATAATACAGTAATGTACATGTAATTACTGCGCCTTAATTGAAACGTGTGTTTCTGGATTAAAATATCTAAATTATTTTAATAAAAATCTGTAATATTCCTCACATTTATATTCAGGTTAAATTCTGGCATATATACAGCTGACTAGATAAGGGATGAGAAATATATTATATCTAACAGGCCAAATTCAGATAAATGGCTAGTGGTAGCCTGTTGGATTGTGTTGGTAATGATTATGAGGTCATGTTTGTTATGCGTGGGAAAGAGGCCTCGAATCAGTTGGTGATGTCTGTTATGGACATTGAAGGGGGAGCAGCGGCATTTGTTTTGGGTTCCTGTCATCTTGAGTTATAAAGCAGTCTGACTTTTCAATGATTAGCAGACTTCCTGGAACAAATGTGCTAATTGATATCTTAATTAGTGAACAAATGAATATTCTTTTACTGATTTCATTTTTACCCAATAATTTATCATTATGATTTCATTTTAATTGTAAGCTCTCCATTTCTTTTTCTTAGCCCCTAAGATAATGCATATTTGACTTACAAAATAAATTTGACTTACAAAATAAATATGCTGATTTAGAAGAATAAATAGACTTTTAGAATTGGCAATGAAATCGACTCTTATTCAGTGGTTCAGTTACAGTGTCAGAGCATAAGGTGAAATGTAAGCATAGTTAAATGTACACCTCTGACTAAATATCTATTACACAGTATTGGGTATAGAGTCTTGAATAGCAACGCTTTTTTCTCATACTAATGAAGGTTTGGGAATTCCTGAGTTAGACAACTAAAGAAACAAAAAGAAAATCTGACACACGCACACGTATGTTTATTGTGGCATTATTCACAGTAGCAAAGACTTGGAACCAACCCAAATGTCCAACAATGATAGACTGGATTAAGAAAATGTGGCACATATACACCATGGAATACTATGCAGCCGTAAAAAATGATGAGTTCATGTCCTTTGTAGGGACATGGTTGAAATTGGAAATCATCATTCTCAGTAAACTATCGCAAGAACAAAAAACCAAACACCGCATATTCTCACTCATAGGTGGGAATTGAACAATGAGAACACATGGACACAGGAAGGGGAACATCACACTCTGGGGACTGTTGTGGGGTGGGGGGAGGGTGGAGGGATAGCATTGGGAGATATACCTAATGCTAGATGACGAGTTAGTGGGTGCAGCACACCAGCATGGCACGTGTGTACATATGTAACTAACCTGCACTTTGTGCATATGTACCCTAAAACTTAAAGTATAATAATAATACATAAAAAAATAAAATAAAATAAAATAAAATGCCCTTGGTAAAAAAAAGAAAAGAAAATCTATATAGAGATATCTTGATATGCAAACTGTTCTACCTTTAAGATAATGATAAAATACTTAATAGCAAATGAAAGAAACAAGGAGAATGCTAAATTACTGAAACTCACTTGCTGAGTTTACTCCATTCTGTATTCCATATTAAGAGTGGGCCTGTATCATTTTAATTCATATGAAAATATTTGGATACTGTCTTGTGGATCAAGTGAGATAGTGGAGTAGCATTTTATGGAAGGCATTAGGTTAGAAAGTCAGTTCCCTCTCAGGCTGCTAAGTAGTAATGGGAAATATCATTTACCTCCACAGATTGATCAGTCTATAAATTTATGGATGCATACTTGAATTAAGACCTCAAAACCACCTGCAAATCTTATGTTTGCCTAGTCAGCTTTTTCTCTCCCTCACTTCCTTGTCACAGAAGCTATCTCAAACTTTCCCTCCACATCTTAAACCTTCCCAGTCACTATCTCATTAGAAGTCACCTCCTACGTAATAAAGACAAGCCATCCTGAAAGAAATTCTCCTATGCATATCTATTTGTATATATCTCATCTTGCCTTGTCCAATGTCATACATTAGATATCTTTCTTTTTGTCTCTCTTTCAATGTCTTTGGCCTCTGTTGTCCTCACTCCTTAAACACCTCACTCCATCAGTAATCCACTCTCACCTGAATCCTTAGCATAATGCACCAAATGACTTATTTCCGTAGCAAGCTTAAAAAGTTCTCGCTTCTCTTCTATCTTGAAAACAGATCCCTCAATCCCACTTCCCTTCCAGTTTCCACTCTATACATTTTCTTATCTCCATGGAGCAAACTTAAAGTTTTTGCTACACCTCCATTCTTAATTCCTCAAGTCCCATTCACTCTTTAGCCCACGGTAATCTGGCTTCTACCACTACAAAGTCACATGAAACTGATTTTTCTAATATCACCAAAGTTACCAGTGTTGAAATCCGATGGAAACTTTTCCAGTTATTTTAAAATTTATTTCTAGCCATCATTTGATACCATTAAGCACTACTTCTTTCTTAATGTTCTCTCTTTTGTTAACCTTCATGGCACCACTTTTGGGGGTTTTCTTCTTAATTATCTGACCATTCCCTATAAGTCTAGTTTGTAGACTGTACTTTCTTTGCTAAATCTTTAAATATTGGTGTTTAACCTTTAAATATTGGTGTTTCTTGGAGTCCTTGCCACTTGACCTTCTAACTCTATACTCTTTCCTAGATTTAGTGCCATAGATTTAAATGTCATCTACATTTTGGGGGTGGGGAGGAAACTGATTTTATTGCTTCAGTAACCCGGCTGCTCTTCTCAATTTCCTTTATTCCTTTCCACCTTCTACTTTAAAGGCAATAAAATTTAAGGGAAGTCTGCATGGAAGCTTTTGGGTAAAAGTAGAGGAAAACTTGTTGAGACCATCCCTTCCATTTTCATCCTTTGAACTCAGACATGATGCCTGGATCTGCGGCAGCCACTTTTCCATTAAGAGGAGTCATAAAATAAGTCCCCTCTTGGTACAAGAGAACAGAAACCTTAAGAGAGGAAAGTTCTTGATGTCATGTTTGAGCAACTAAAATAATGCCTGAAGTTGCCTGCCACCTGCCTTTGGAATTGTTTTTATGTAAGAAAAATAAATCTGTGTTTTATGAGCCACTATCAGTTAAATTTTCTGTGCTGTGGTGTTAAAGGCCTTCATAAGACAGAAAATCCACATTGTTCCCCTAAACACCAGAACTGAGCTATCTACTCAGCATCTGCATTTGCATGTCTCAGAAATACATCAAACCCAGTAAGTCCAGAATGGAAATCGTCAACTTCTCCCTGCAACACTGCTTTTCCTTCTGTATCCTCTCATTAGTGAATGGAACTGAAGCTTTAGTGTCATTCTTGCTGCGTCGCTCCTACTTTCTTAATCCCACATCAAGATCAGTAAAGATTGTCGATTGTTGATACTACCTCCTAAATATCTCTGACTTATTTTAGAACATTTCATTGTATTTTTAAACATTTGAAATATAAAAATATGTAGATGAGGGCGTATTAAATACCTGTACAATAGAGTACATCATCATAATGCAAAGATAGGACTCCCATTCCTGTCTCCAGCGTATTCTCCCAGTGGCAGCCAGAGTTGTATTTCTAGATTGTGAATAAGATTATGCTGTTTCCCATTTTAATGTTTCAAAAGTTTCCCGTAGTGCTCAGAATAAAGTTCAAACTCTTTAACACTCTTTACATTGCATTTTTGCACCCTGCTGTGGTTAACTTCTCTTGCCTTTTCTCTGGAAGTGACCTTTCTATCTGCTTAGTACCTTGCACTTAGCCCTTTAACAAACAAAACTTAATCAAGTTGGCTTTACTTTATATCTTCCATCAGACTCTGACCTTTGCCAGGCCAAGAAGAAAATCTTATTTACTACGGTACACTCAGGCCTAACACTGCCTGGCTCATAATAAGCATAAATGTATGCTTATTTTATATTCATATAAAATATATGGAGAATTCTGAATAAATGGAAAAACTCCACACTTCTTTAAAATTAGACCTCTATAATTGACTTTATACTTTAAAAATCACTGTATTGAATAATCAGTTAATTTAACAATTCATCCTCATTTTTCAAAAAATTTAAATACATATATAAATAAATAATCCTCCTCTCTTCCTCCTCAATCCTTCTCCAATTCAAAGTAACCACTTGTATCAGTTTTGTGTGTAAAAAAAGTAACTTTTTGCATATAATACATAGATTCTGTATTAGTTTTATATAGCTCCCATAATAAATCATGGCAAACTTAGTGGCTTAAAACAACACCCATTTATTAACTTACATTTCTACATATCAGCAATCTGGCAGAGTATGGTTAGATTTTCTATTTAGGGCTTCACAAGTCCAAAGCCAGAATGTTGGCCAGATTTGTTCTTGCTTGGATCATAGAGTCTTCTTCCAAGTTCATTTCTGTCATTGACAGTTCCTTGCAGTTGTAGGGGCTGAGGTCCATGTTAACTTGCTGGCTATAGGCCATGGACAATTCTTAGCTCCTTAAGGCCACGTGCATTCCATCTCATATGGTACCACCATCTTCAAACCAGCAATGGTACGGTCAAGTCCTTCTCATGTTTCAAGTCTCTTTAAGTTCTTCTGACATCAGCTGGAGAACATCCTCAAGTGATTAGCAGGCCCATCTGGATAATCTTATATTAAGACTGACTATTCCATATAACATAACATAACATAACATAACATAACATAACATAACATAACATAACATAACATAACATAACGTAACATAACATAACTGCAGGAGTAATATTTCATTGTATTCATGGGTTCTGGAAAGATTAGGACAGGAGAGCATTGTGAGAGCATAGGAGTTCACAATACATGCCATTTTCCAAATTCCATTCTTTTCCCCTCATGAAATATCTTAGAGATATTCCTGTTGTAATTGCCACAGAACATTTCGTAGTCTGTAGGTGATGTAACCAACTTAATAATTTTCATATTGGTGGAAATATCAGTTTCTAATTTTGTATTATTGTACAAAGATTACATAGTTGTTAAGACCACAGATTTTGGCATTGCATATTCAAAGTATGTTGAAGCATTTGTTCTGTAGAAGATACTTTAAGATTATTCCTACCGTCCAGTAAACAAAGTGAATTATTCACTTTTTGGGAAAATTATCAGAAGAGTGATTCATTGAAAGAGAAAAAGATAGATGGTGGTAGGGATACATATCTAAACAGAACACTTTTAAAACTTAAAACATTACTTTTTTGTTGTTTAAGAGACAAGGTCTTGCTGTGTTGCTCAGGCTGGACTTGAACTCCTGACCTCAAGCTGTCCCCCCATCTCAGCCTCCTGAGTAGCTAAGACGACTAGTGTGTGCCATGTTGCCCGGCTTAATATTATTAGTTTTCATTTTGATTATCCAATCAGGATATGTGGTTATAGGTCAAAATATCATAAACCCATGATCTGAAGCTCCTGGTGATATTTCCCACAGAATTGTTTATGAACTTCAAGGAACATTTCTTTTTTGTTTGTTTCTGTTGCAGTTATTGTTTACATGTCTATGTAGCCTACTAGTTTACTTGAGTGGAAGTATGGTCTCATTTGTTTTTATTGCCTTCACAGCTTCTGGCACATAGGAGGCGTACAGTGTGTTTGTTCCAAACTATATGAAAAGAAATTTAATGGAAGAATCTAGTTCCTATAATAATGTAGGCAGGGAAAAGGAGCTATATGGAGATGGAAGGTGAGAATAACAATTCACTGTTTGCATTTGACCAACCTATCTGCTCTCAGTCTCCAAATACTACATGCTCATTTTATTCTCTCTGGCTTTGCCTTTCTGCTGTTTCAACTAGCTCTGCCACTTGCTAGTTGTAGGATATTAAGAGTATTTTTAAAAACCTTTTATTTAGAAAATAAATATAGATTTACAGAAAGGTTGCAAAGATAGTAGACAATTCCTGTCTGCCCTTCATCCAGCGTCCTCTAATATTAACATCATATAAAAACATGACACATTTATTAAAACTAAGAAATTAACATTGGTGCAATATTATTAACTCTAGACTTTATTCAGATTTTACCAACTTTTGTACTATTGACCATTTTCTGTTCCAGGATGCAATTCAGGTTACTTTGTATTTAGGCCTCATATCTCCTTAGTCTTCTTTATGAATGTTCTTCCAATATAAATTAGGGAAATATTTATACCAACTTATAGGTTTATTGTGAAAGGTAGGTAAATGACCCATAAGCTAAGCATTTAGGACAGATATGATATTTACTATGTTAGAAAAAGGGAGGCTATAAATATTCTTGTATTTGATTATTTGTAGGCATATGCATTATTTCCTCTGGATTAGATACTTAGAAATGGAACTAATGGATAAAAGGATATTTATATGTTAAATTTTAAGGTATACAATCAAATTGCTCTCCAAAATGATATACCAATATGTATTAGAATATTCATTTTTCCATGCCCTTTCCAATAGTTGATTGTTATCAGTTGTTTTCATTTTTGCCAATTTGATGGGTGAAAAATTATGTCCCCTACTTTTAAAACTCAAATATCTCTAATTTCTAGTGAGATCATGCATTCTTTTAAAAGCTTATTGGCTATCTGTATTACTTCTTGTGTAAACTATCAGTTCATACCCTTCATATATTTTTCTATTGGGATCTGGATATGTTTCTTATTGATTTGTAGTTATTTCTATATTCTGGAAGTTTATATGTCATATGCTTTGCAAATATTTTCTTTCAGGCTGACACTTGAATATTAACTTCATAGTGCTTTTTAAAAACTGTGTCCTTGGTAATATTTATGTAATTAAATTCAATAATTTTAATATTGATCTGAATTGATCTGAAATTATTTTATATATGATATAAAGGAAGGTGGCTTTATTATGTTTAGGTAAACTCCCATATGTGCCATGCATTACATTGAATTTCAATATAATTATACATTTTAAAATTCAGGCAAATTTATTGTCACATCAGATCATCTAAAACATTATTCCCTTCCATTAACCCTGATCATCAATATAGCTACATTTTAAATTTGTACTATTATTATCAATATCCAATGATAAACATACTAAGAAACAGAGTGAGAAAAAGAGAAGAGAAGGGTGGGACACATTCCAAAGGAAAAATAATCACAAGCAAAATTTTGACCATGGGGTCCAATAATTATTTTCCATTGATATGTAGGTAATTGTATGCAATCTCTCTCTCTCTGACACACACACATACACACACATTTACACTCTCAGAATAACATAAATTAAGTGCTCTGATGTTTAATGAGTTAGGTTATTTTTAATGGTAATAATATGTGACCTGTGAATAGAATTAGTTACCTATTAATTTGGAATACTAGAAAACCCAACATAATTCTTATTAAGGCATACATTAAAATTGTTTCTGATACAAAGCATCTTATTAATACCACATTAAGATTTAGTATGCAAAACTAAAGCAGATTTTACAAAAACTTGACTTTATATTAAAGTAGTAGCACCTCACCTGCCAATATGACTGTGAAAAGAAGCCATTCTCAGGGCCTCCTCTACCCTTCTCTAGCACCATTTTAGAATTTTTTAAAGTCTCTCTTTGGGCAGTCTCCTTATGGCTTGAGTATAGACAACACTTTTTTGTTAAATTAGTCTCAGTTCCACTGAAAGGTGCCTGGGCTTGGCTAGGCAAGCATGGGCTGAATTGACACCCCAACTCTCCCCACAGCCAGATGATCATGTGCAGGGCTGAACTGCACAACCATATACAATAGTTCTGATGCCCCTGACCTCAGACTCCCATTATGAACTTCATTAACTCTGCCACTTTGAAGGTAAGACATGATTTCTCTCAAAATCAAATATAGAAACAGTACAAAAACTAGTAGTGAAAGGAAGTGGCTTCTATCATCCTCCATCAAGACAACCTGACGCTAAATTATCAAAATCTGATAAATTGTTATTGATAACTGATAACATACCCACTCTTATACTGATAGCAATACAGTTATTTATAAAATCAATCAAAGTTAAATTCACCCTTGTAGAAATACTATCCATTAACCACATGTGATTTTACATCTATTTCCAGATGCATTTAAGTCCACTAGTCCTTTGGGTAGGCTCTTTAATGCCTTATTTTATGGCTTCCAAAATGTTGTGACCTAAGAATCATTTGGCTAATTACATGCGTGGAATACAAATAATGATATGGGAAAATTATTCTGGGTCAATATGAATAGTGACTCTACGGGGCACTACAGAAAGAGGGAGTTTTGTTAATTAGAATTAGGAATTAGAGTTGGTCCTCTAAAATTTAAAGAGAATCTCAAGGGCCAAGAAGCTCCTCTTTTGCTGATTGACTATCTATACTGAAGGAGGATTCTAAACACCCTTTATCAGAGCTCTGTAAGATGGAGCACCACAAAAAAGCAGACAACAATCCAACAAGACCATTAGTTAGCCTCACCATTATCCTTTCAAAAGATCTGAGATACATATCAGTAAATGTTTGTCGACCACGGGCCTTAGTGGGCAAAGGAAATATATTATTGTTGCTTCTAGTCTTGACACCAAAGTGCATAAAAACTGCTAATACATTAAATAGATATTAACTTTCAGTGATCACAAACTAGATGTATATTTTTAAATAGGTTATGCTTACATATATGTAGCTGATTAGTCTTTATGAATTATATACAAAGTTATTCTTTTAGAACCAAACAATACTGTTCTATTTGATTCCGTATGATAGTGTTTTGCTATCATGAAAAAATAATTGAATAGTCACATTTTACAAAGCTGAAAGCTTTTAATGAATAATGGTTAAGATAATAAATGACCATAAAGAATACTGGGCATTACAGTATAGAGTGATAGAGGGCCAAATGGAAGCTGGGGCAATCTCCTCTAGTACAGTTTGCTAATGCAGTAAATAGTACGGATTCTAGATTTTTCTTCTACTGAAATCTTCTCCAGCAAGGGCTTATCTCATGCCCTTGGTCCAGAAATTTTTTTTTTACTCTTTTTTTTCCAATTTCGACCCCGTCACTATATTTGTTATATAATTTAAAGACCTCTACACATATTTTTGGCACATTTTATCTTTAGAATCTTTGATGTATGAAGCAGATAGAGCTTCAATTATCAAGTATTTATTGGAAATTTTATTAAAAATATACAATGAGGCCATATTTACTTCTGTTACTATCTATTATTAATTTGTTTCTTATATATATTTTACAATGTAGTAGTAGAAGCAAATTTTGATATTATACTTCTGCAATAAGGGTCACTATCTCATTATATGTAGCTATGTGGAATTCTGTCACTCAAAAAAGTGTTAAAAGCAGTGGGAAAATGAGACATGGTGTCTTGCAGGTCAAGAAGTGGTTTATATATGATAGTAATGAGTTTATTTTTATGGTGAGTGAAAGCCTTTTAATTGTTTTAAAAGGAAGAGGAGAATGGGAGTAGTATTTTAAAGAACTAACTATGGGTCATAAATTGTGCTTGTAATATACATGTATCATATTAGATAATTCTCACAATTTCATAATGGAAAGAGTATTGTCCTGATGTTACAAATAACATCAGTTTTAGAGAGGTCAATACATGCCCAAGATTGCAGACTCAGAGTGAGAGTTTGTTTGATACCAAAACCTGTTCTCTTCCCCTACCTCTGGTCGTTTGAAATTGATGGGGAAGATGCAGTGGAAGGTAATAAGGCTAAACATATTAAGGAGCTACGGTTGTAGATGATAGCAAAGGATACTGAGCTCCTGAATCTAAGCTGTAGAGGTTGATACCAAGAGAAGAGAATGAATTCAAGAAATATATAAGAGAAAAATATCTCAAGACATGCAGAACAGGGTAAAGAAAAAAAAAGGCCTCAAATTTCAGCTTGGGTGATGGGCTAACGCGATTCTTATCAAGATTTTAAAAAACCCAGAAAAATGCATTGTTTTGCACCTTTCTTGCGGAGAGTGATGGATGATGATTTGATTCATGTTGTTTGTGTTGAATTTAAAGCGCCTATTTGACAGCCAGATAGAGACATCTAGCATGAAATTGGACAAAAGTAACTAAAGCTGATAAAAAAAAAATGGGATCTCTTACACTGGTGGTAGCTGACTGAGATCAGAAGGTTATTGTAGTACCCTGAGAAACATTAATATTTAAGGCAGGAGTCTGCTCTGAAGGGTATACAAACCCTCTAATGTTTTTAATGTTTTTGTGGGGGGTATCCCCCATTTTATAAATAGTGTGCCCTCATTATTAATTACCTTCTGAAATGGACATTGGAAAAGATAACCCTACATAAACCCTAAGTGTCTCTACACATTCTTGCTTGGAATGCCAAGATTGCAAGGCCTTGACCAATCTTTATCCAGGCCATTTGTCAGAGTTAGGTTAACACGAGCAATACTGATGAATAAGCAGGCTTACTGCTTGCTAGAGAGCAACACTGAGGAATCAGCAGGCTTACTGCTTGCTAGAGAGCAATACTGAGGAATAAGCAGGCTTACTGCTTGCTAGAAAAAGGAAAATTCCCTAAGCTCAGAGTTCTTCAGTTGCGATGCAAACCACCTGCATATATAATATCAACTGAGCCCTTCCATGTCACCACCATGAAATTTTCAGGAAAGGGGAACTAAAACAAACACACTAATGCTCATAGGTCTTACCGTTCCATGAATAATGAAGTTCTTTGTCTTTTACTCATGTGCCTCAGCATTCCTGAAATACTAAAAAGGCTAACTTAATAATTTCTTCACTTTCAAGTAAGGTAAAATCAAATCCGGATCTGATAATGGATTGTGTTTTTTTAAAGTCTGAATGTCAGAGGTGAGAAATTAAACCTAGCCTGTGTATAACCCTGAGAAATGATGAAATATGAGAGTAATTTTGCAGAAGCAAAGGATATGAGGAGATGTGAAGGAAAAACAAACAGGAGAGAAGGTAGTCCCCAAAACTTACAAAGTTCAAGTAAAGATAGATTAAAAATAATAAGTGAATTTGACAATTAAGGTATTTGAATTTTCAATGGGAGCCAATTCAAAGAAATGGTATGGTATATAAACTCTGGAATACCTAGTACAGCGGTTTTCAAACATCTTAGTCTCATGGCCCTTTTAGACTCATAAATTTTTGAATTACTAATCACTGTAAAGTAACAATAAATTAATTATACGTTAATATAATATTATTACAAAAAAATCTATATTTTCCAAAGAAAATAGTAGTGAAGAGTGGCACTGTTTTACATTTTTGTAAATATTTTAAATATCTGGCTTAATAGAAAATAACTTGATTCTCATACTTATTTTTGCATTCATTTTGCTGTGATATCACATCTTAGGTCCTCTGGAAAATTCCAATATAGATACACCTGAGAGTGAGTGGAAAAGGTGAATAATATTTTAGTATTATTATGGAAATATTTTTGACTTTGTGGGTGCCCTAAAAGTTTTTTGGGTATCTCTCCAGGGTCTCTGGATCATACTTCAAGATCTGTTGGAGTAGAAGAAATCTAGATATTTATATCTGATACATTTTAGTAGCTACGCCATACCATAAAACAAAGCATAAAGATGCTGCTACTGGCGCAAAGGAACATGGTGTTCGAAGAATGCTTAATTCATTTGTTTGATTGTTTACTTTGATTTTCTATTTTAAAAAATGCTTTCATGTGCACCCTAACATAAAGTGAGACTATCTGCTGTCAATACAGTATAGTGGTTATTTTTTAGTCTGTGGGGAAGTTAGTAGAATCTGGAAGGGGGTAAAAAACGACTTCTAGGGTACTGGCACTAGTATTGTTTCTTGATCTAAATGCTAACTCCATGACTGTATTCAGTTAGTAAAAATTAAATGAGTTATATACACTTACTTTCAACTTTGCTGTATGTGTGCTCTACTTTAGTAAAAACATATATATGTAAAGCATAAGTGCCAATCTCATTCTCTCTGCTAATGTTTAAAACACAGTTTAGTCTATCAATGAAGTAAGATAGATGCATAGTTTGATCGACAGATGATGAATGTGGACGCATGTAGGCACCGAGTTAAAATGTGTATTTGCAATATAGTACAAAAAACAACTTTCTAAATTGTGACTAAGCTAAACACACTTTAGAGTTATGTTTACACATCCATTTATTTACAAAGTGAATGTTTCTTAGTTGATGATAGTCATTACTGCATGCCTGAGAGGTAAACTGATTTCATTTCCCAGATCTGCTAGGATGGAATTGCACCCATCCTTTAATTTCTGGTAAACTCCTCAACTCATTATTTCTACTCCACAAAAGTTTCTTAAAAGGTAGATATGTGGCTGGCTTAATGGTTCTCTTCACTTCAAAGTTGTGAAAGGATATTAATTAGTAGCTCTTATCTGGGTTTGCTTCCAATAATTCCAACCTCAGTATGAATGTGTTGTTGCTGCACTCTGACAAAGCGCCAAAAATCATTTTTAACACACATAGAAAAGTACCCAGAGGGATCGTTTTCTTTGTTCTGTATGATTCTCACTTAGTTTGGACAATTTGTAGAAAAGTCTCAACATGTTTTCAGGGCACATACAAAGCTATAAGTCTGCAGCATTTACACTAATGTGCTCCCCTGTTAAAGATGGCACATACGTCATAACTAATAGGGGATTGTTGTGGGTTAGTAAGAATGAATATGCTTAACGTGCTTGTGAATGTGCCAGAGAAGTGATCACTCCAGTTATCTTGGGCATCAAGGCTAATTCCTTAATACCTATGTGTAATATAGAACAAGTATTTCATGGTTTGAAACAAAATTGTCATTGTTGAAAGTAAAAGCAACCAATTTAATGCCATAACAGTGAAATGAACTAAGAGTCATACTGTTGAAAAAACATTTAAGCAAAGAGCAATTTTCTCTTGTTTAACACTTGGAAAAGGCTTTAAATAACAGCAGACAAGTGATTTGAATAATGCAGACTCTTCTTGCCTAGATAGTCCCTTAATCCGTTGCTTAGTCTTGGAAGAATACTGGAGGCTATCTTAAAATAATAAACTCGTTGTAACTACTTTCACGGCAGTAAACTTCCTTATTCTACAATATGATCACTACCAATACAATATGATCATACTTTCATATAATTCTTGTTTGCTTTGGCGTTTAAACTGCATTAATCACCACTCCTTATTGAATTGGAAAGCACATTAAAACCAGTGAAGAGCACCTCTTTGCAGTGATATTTGCTAGCGATAGGCTGTGGGTCTGAAATAGCAGTACATTGACACACGGAGAGAAGCACAATTTTTGACAGAAACCAGATACCATTTAGATTTTAAAACAGAGTGGCTAAATTTAAACAAGGTGCATCTGGGCAATGAATTAGGAGAGAACAAGATTTGGAGTTCAATTTTGTAGAAGCTCTTAAGTTAGTGAAGTAATTCCAATAACTCAATGATCTTCTTCATATTATAAGCAGCTAATTAAAATTGCTATACAACCTGACGTCCTGGTTGTGTGAAATTTCACAGTTTAAAATAGCTAAAGTAATGGAGCAGAATTCTTGAATTAGACCAATTGGTATCAAGGGATTTTAAAAGCACACCTGGGGCATGTTTGGAAAATTCTTAAATGTCAGGATTATGTGAGTTGGAGGAAAGCCAGGATGCTCTGTGGGGTAAAACTCCCACCCCTTTCTACTTTTTATGGTGTTCTGAGCTATTTGATTCTGAAATTAGCAATTATTTCCATGCAGACACCCTGGAACAGTGAGTGGTCCTTAAATTTTTTCATGCATCAGAATCCCCTGGAGGACTTGTTAAACCATAGACGGCTGGGCCCCACACCCGGAGTTTCTAATCAGTAGGTTTGGGGCAGGGCCTGACAATTTACATTTCTAATAAGTTACCAGGTGGTGCTGATGCTCGTGCTGACACTGCTCGCCCAGGGATCACACTTTGAGAACCACTGCTCTGGATAACGGCAACATCTCCACCAACATTTCTGAAACTTTAATGTGTATGTGAATCTCCTAGTTACCCTAGTAAAGTGCATACAAAGCATGTGGGGAACTTATGAAAATGCAGATTCTTGGTAAGTATGGTGTGCTAATTTTTCTGTTCTGTGGAGCACAATTTGAGAAGCAAGGATGTATAATATCTTCATGTGTGTCAATCTGTTTATTATGCTATTCTTTCCCTAATAGGAGAAACTCTGCAAGGCATGAAAACACTGGCTAGTGAAGCATTGTGAGGGAGAACGGGCCATGCTGAGGTTGGGGTTAAGCTCAGAGAGAGGGTATCACACTGAAGACAAACTAGACCAACTTTATAGTGTCTCCTTAGTTAAGCACTTAAAAAAATCTTAGTATGAAATATAAACCTTTTACTGTTTGATATTGCATGTATCTCACTTTGAAAATTAAGTGTTCAGAGCCCAGTAGATTTGGAATAAAATGCTCTAGACTTACATTTTCAGGATAGTGTTTCTTATTTTTAGAATTGCAAAAGGAAACTCAATGGTAGCTACGTAATTGTTCCTCCCTTTTACAATAAGCTTAGTTACCTGTTTTGGTCTTGTCTTTCAAACGTTACAGACATCAACTCTCCAGCAGTATATACCCAGCCTTGAACATATCTCGTGATCATAGATGAACCAGTGTCTAACTACCACAGAGGCTAATTAGGCATTTGAGACTATGCTTTCTCAAATCTTATACAAATTATAGTTAGTAAAGTGTAAAGAAAATAGCTCATACTTCAAACCCCAAGCTATTGTTTCCTGTAGTCTCTATGTTGACATATGTTCCGGATCTCCAGTGGAGAGTTTCTCTCCCTTTCTCTCTTTCTTTCTTTCCTTTCTTTCTTTCTAATGGAGTTTCACTCTTATCGCCCAGGCTGGAGTGAAATGGCACAATCTCGGCTCACTGCAACCTCTGCCTCCTGGGTTCAAGCGATTCTCCTGCCTCAGCCTCCCAAGTAGCTGGGATTACAGGCATGCACCACCATGCCCAGCTAATTTTGTATTTTTAGTAAAGGCGGGGTTTCACCATGTTGGCCAGGCTGTTCTCGAACTCCTGACCTCAAGTGATCCACCCACTTCGACCTCCCAAAGTGCGGGGATTACAGGCTTGAGCCACTGCACCCTGCCAGTGGAGCATTTCATGTGCATACATTAATGCCTGTATTACTTTATTCACACATTTTACATGTTATAATTATGTGTTTTTTAATATGACAAAATTCTAGGTTTAATTTTTGATTTGCATGTGTTTTGGAAATGGGGAGGATGTGCCTATTGATGGGAGAAGTGATGTCTTAACACCTGTGGAAACCGATTATGCTCTTGCATACTGATAATTTGCTTACTCCATGTTAGCCTGGTTATTGTACCTAGACATGGAGCCTAGTGGAAAGAAGACAGTGATTCCAGGAGAGGAATATAATTTAATAGTGAGGCATTGAAAAGATAACACGTGCAACAATCCCTAGTAAGATGTAAGACTTTTCCAATAAAAGTTGCCTATAATTCTAAGAAACTTTTGACATGGCTGTTCAAAGAAACTTTTTACATGGGTGTTCACATGACTAATTGAGGGTCAGTGTGCATTTCACTATAGCAGGAGGCTTCATTCAGTTAATATGTTATATTAAGTGCTACATTATTTAACAAAAACAATGCCATAAGATCTGAGATAATATGATTTCCTTTCCTTTTATAGAATCATATGTGATTAAGGTTTTGTTCTTGTAGAAATAACGATGTTTGGATTTTAAGTCCCTGTTTGGAAGGTGTAAGGAAAACTAGTGTTCATTATTTTTTTCTTAAAAAAGTGTCAAATGCAAGAATGTTCCCTCTCACTACTCATAGTCAAAACCTACTAGAAATCTTAGCTAATGCAACAAGGAAATAAAAGCTATAAATATTGAGAAGAAAGAAATCAAAATGTCTCTGTTTAAAGATGAGGTGATTATGCAGAAAATCCTAAAGAATCACGGAAAAATTCCTGGGACTAATAAGTTATTATAGCAAGTTTGCAGGATACAGTGTTAATACATGAAGGTCAATTGCTTTCTTATATATTAATCAGAATTTGAAATTAAAAACACAATACCATTTATATTAACATTTGAAAAATGAAATGCCAATTTCCTGTTGCATAGTTGGCATCCATGCCAGAGTCATCTTGATGAGACTTTTTCCAAGAGGGCTATTTGCCAGAATGAGGGGATCCAGCAATAAAGTCAGGGAGCAAGTGCTCAGAGCGTTCACAAAATAAGCCACAAAACACATAGCCCATGAAAGAGAAATGTGTTTTCAAAAACTCTCAAAATAAGTCCTGTGAAAGACCAAGTATTCTATTGCTTTCCATAATAGAGGCCATCCTGGCCAGTTTTGATCAAGAGAGTACTAAAATACCCGAGTTTATGTAGAGCTATTTGCTCCTCTTCCTCTGATTCTCCCTCACTCCAACTCTGACAAGCAGCCCAAAACAAAACTGGAGAGGAGGCGGAGGAGTGTAAAAGAGACCATATTGCTCTCCCTCTCCTAGTACAAGTTCATACATCTTGTGTCAAACCCAAGGATGGGACAGAAAGGAAGATTAAATTGGATGTGAGCTTAAGGTTTTAATTTATACAGTACCATTCACGAACAGAAAATGATTAGGAAACATCAAATGAGATTAATCTTATTTCATATATTTACAGGAAAGCTAAGGGAACCTCCTAAAATGCCATGTACGGGTAGAGAAGAGATCATGGTTGATAACAACAAACAAAAAGGTAAAGCTATTAATAATTTGTACTATGGAATTAAGCTAATTTGACAAACTGGTACCCAGTAAATTGTTACAACAAAACAAGGAAAATTACTGAATATGGTTGTGTGCCCTCTGTCAGCCTTCACTTTTTCACTCTTCTTTGAGAGCAGGTACACAGGTATTATTTCACTTGTGGGGAAAGTTATATTAAATAAATTTAGAGTACCTCATACTTTCATTGCTAATTTAAAAGCTAAGATGGAGAAGAAGTGGGAGGGGAAAGGTGAGAAATTGAATGTCTTGGTTGAAGGGATTACTAGGTACCTGTTGTTATCCACCTAATAGTAAATAAATAGATGTGTGATGAGGCCTGGTAAGGAAATATAACTATTTTTTAAAGCTGGGATAAAAAGGAAATGGAGGAGGTAAAGAGTTACTCATCACTCCAAAATCTAAATGAAAGTGCCGTGAGGGTACATTTAGGTTTAGATCCCCTCCTTTTTTCTGGTAAGGAATCATTTTTAACAGCTATAAATTAAGGCTCATAACTTACCTTAAATCAGAAGATTGCTACTAAATAGTGGCATATTTACAATAAATGTTTAGCAGGACCCTGTGCCAGGTCCTTGATCCATATGTAAATAATATAACATGGGCAATGAACCTTGTACATAATGGGGAAGATTAATTTGTGTATTCATAATTATAAAAATTATAATGGATGTCTGAACAAAATATATCAGAAGTTTAGAAAGAGTAATTGATTAGGGTGATTAATGGGTGGGAAAACAGGAAAATTACAAGAGAAGGTGAACTTCTTGAAAAAAATACACCACGGCTTATTTATTGTTATGTCTCCAATGTGTTGCCCAATGTCTATGAGTTAGAGGTAAATACATGTTGACATGTGAATGCATGATACAGTTAACAGTGTTGGATTCGGATTCTCCCCTACTAGGTTGTATGTCTTCTAGGATAGAACACCATCCTATATGACCAATATTATCTCCCTTACAGCACATAGCAAAATAGCCCATTTATAGCAAAAAGAGAGAAAGCAAACTCTTATTTATTGAGTGACTTTTAATAGCTGTGCAACAAATATGCTTTACCTGTGTATTGTGTGCTAGGCACAGTTCGTATAAATTATCTTTTCACATATATTATTTCATTTCTGTTTCTTGAGGTGGCTTAATGTAGCTTAATGACTTTGATTAAAAGCTTAAGTTGTTAAGGTACCACACTAGGTATAACAAGGAGCTGAAGATATAGTATATTCATAAAGGGATATAGAGATTCACTACAAAAGATGGAAAGTAGGACTGGTGGAACAGCCTCGTACTCCTCAGTCCTGTTATGCTAGGTCATTCCTAGGTCAGTCTGAAATTTTATAAGCCCACAGCTATACTTATTCATTCTCACATGCAAATGCAGTCCCACCTCAGTTGTTCAGTATTTTGGTCTGAGAGTAGGAAGCCCTCCACCCTGAGTCAGCCTGTAGCCAATGGTCTGAAAGCAAGTATCCCGAGGTTCTTATCTAGTCCTCTTTACTTATTGCCTAGAACATATCACCTAGTGGGCTACACAGAAAGCAGGTAAGGCCTGAACACCCATATTAATAGTACAGGCAAAGCTAACAGGCTCAGATATATTCATAATTGTAGTTGAAATTGAATATAATAATTGCATAGGTTTTACAGCTATACCAGTATGAGAGGGCTTCTGATCACACGACCCATTTTAAAAACAACTGAGTAGATCAGAAGTATTCTCACCACAAAACAACCACCACCACAAAACAAGGAAACTATGTGAGGTGATGGAAATGTTAATTAGCTTGATTGTGGTACTCATTTCACAATGTATATGTATATCAGTTCGCACACCTTAAATATATACACGTTTTATTTACCAGTTAAAGCTCAATAAAGCCTAGGTTTTAGTAACTCATTTAAATTTAAGAAAAATTGCACTGGGAAAGAAGAACAAAATTAAAAATTATTGCAAAACTAAAGATAACTACAAATCCAGTTCTGATTTATAATTGATTCTCATTTGAAAATCATCCATTACATTATCCCATTAAACATTTTTGAGTACTTGCTTTATATCAAGGACTGTCCAAGAGCTCAAAAATAAATACTTGTCTTCCAATAAAATAATTTTCATAATTTATAATATTAAGCACATATTATCTTCAGGAAACTTTACATATACTGTGCTCCTTTAAAACAACCCTTCACTGTGGGTTTTGTTATTCTCCTTTTACAGCTAATGTCACAGGTTCAGAGAAATTAAGTGGTCCAAGTTTACAGAGCTAATGAGTAGAATCCTCCTCTTTCTGAGTCTGAAGCATTGTCTATTTTACCATCCTGCCCTTGTGAGTTCAATTACGGATTCCAACATTGTTTTGGGATTCGAATAATAAAAGGAACTTGCAATGAATACTTACATGGAGTATCAATAGAATGACCATATATCAACCCCAAACCAGGGTATTTTGAGAGTGAAACGTGAGTATTAAAATACCATATAGCAGTAGGTGTAACCTGTGGTATATGATCACCTTTTGTATTAATGTTCTGGGCAGAAAATATATGACAAATTGGGAAGGGTTTAACTGAAAAGAATTCGAAAAAGGAATGAAGTATAGAGACATGAGTAGTGTAAGACATCTGATAAGGGGTGGCAAGACTCCATGGATTAACAGTAGCAGATTTGAGGGGGCAAAAAGCAGAGCAGTGCTGGCTAGAGCCTTGTGAGAGTTGGAGTCATGGCCAGAAAAGGACTGCCTTTCAGAACTGTAGAAGTGAAGGAAAGCAGACACTGCTGTGACTGGAGTGAGGGACAGAGGAAGTGGGCAGGAATACTTTCCTGCCTTCTCTATCTTCCCACTCTCCAATCTCCTGCTGGTTCAATTTTATTGGTCAAATCCAAGCAGAATCCTGAGGACACGTTATCTGATGTCCTCTGTAGAGGTCAACCCTCTGGGATCTAGAGTAGAGCAGAAAATGCACAGGAATGGATTTAAGGGAAGAAATGAGAATAACCAGTGTGGATGGCTTCTGATCATATGACTTATTTTAAACACAAGTGAGTGGATCTGAAGCATTTCCACCACAAAACAGCAACAACAAGAGCCAACTATGTGAGGATATATACACTTCATATTTGTCAATTAAACCTCAGTAAAACTGGGGAGGGGGGAGGTGAAAGAAACCATGAAAAGTCATTGAAAAGGAACAAAAAATTAAACAAATCTAAATATTTAAATGTCTTTGGTATTAGCCAATAATATGGGCTTCAGCATGAAGATATTCTCACTACTTGTCCTACTTTGAATTTTAGTCCCACTACTGACAAATGATCCTAAGATAAGCCCTGCATCCAAATTCTGAAAATCATTTGCGTTGTTTGTTTGGTTGCTTGTTTGGGGTAGATTTTCTTGGTAGCCTGTCTAGTACCCAAGTCTTTCTAGAAGGTGGCACCCTTAGTGATAAAAAACAAGAAACCTGAAGTTCTACAAACCTGGGTTTAAACCAGATTTCTCCCCCTAACTAACTGCAAAACTATAAAAATTGCCTTCTCTGAGTTCTTCTTTTCCCATAACATAAGGCCAATAAGACTGACCTCAATAAGAGAGAATATAAGAAATGCACCTAGTAGGTGCCTAACATGTAGCCAGAGGTCAAGAAATAGTAGTTATTGTTATTAATACTGTTAGTATCATTGTATAATATTTAGTTATTATAGAGAGAGTAGAATATTCATTTTTTCCAGTGCATTGTCCTTAGTCTGACTGCCTATTTGCCTGGATGTCTTTTAGTTGTACCATAACGTTGTCTTCTGCTTACTTGATGGAATGTCCAGTTTGCTTCTCTGCCTCCCTAGAATGACTCAGGTTATATGATGTACTCTAACTTCTATTACAATTCTTTTATTTTTCCTGATCCTCTCCCTTCTCCCACCTTCCACCCTCCTACAGGCTCCAGTGTCTGTTGTTCCCCTCTCTGTCTCCATGTGTCTTATCATTTAGCTCCCACTTATAGGTGAGAACATGCAGTATTTGGTTTTCTGTTCCTGTGTTAGTTTGCTAAGGATATTGGCCTCCACCTCCATCCACGTCCCTGCAAAGTATATGATCTCATTCTTTATGAAGAGAGATAGTTTGACTTGTTCTTTTCCTGTTTGGATGCCTTTTCTTTCCTTGACTTGTCTGATTGCTCTGGCTAGAACTTCCAGTTCTATGTTGAATAGGAATGCTGAGAGTCACCATACTTGACTTGTTTCAGTTCTCAAGGGAAATGGTTCAAGCTTTGCCCATTCAGTTCGATGTTGGCTGAGGGCGTGTTGTATATGAGTTGTATTATTTTGCAGTATATTCCTTCGATGCCTAGTCTGTTGAGGGTTTTATTATGAAGGGATGTTGGATTGCATCTAAAGCTTTTTCTGTGCCTATTGACATAATCACATGGTTTTTGTTTTTAATTCTGTTTATATAGTGAATCACATTTATAGATTTGCTTATATTGAACCAGCCTTGCTAGGAGAGAGATAGCATTAGGAGAAATACCTAATGTAGATGACGGGATGATGGGTGCAGCAAATCAACATGACATGTGTATACCTGTGTAACAAACCTGCATGTTCTGCACATGTATCCCAGAACTTAAGGTATTAAAAAAGTCAAACAATAACAGATGCTGGTGAGGTTGTGAAGAAAAAGGAATGCTTTTACACTGTTGGAAGAAACGTAAATTACTTCAGCCATTATGGAAGACAACCTGGAAACTCCTCAAAGACCTAGAGGTAGAAACACCATTCCACACAGAAATCCCATTATTGGGTATATACCCAAGGGAATATATATCATTCTATTATAAAGATACATGCACACGTGTTCATTGCAGAACTATTCACAATATCAAAGACATGGAATCAACTTAAATGCCCGTCAATGATAGACTGAGTAAAGAAAATGTGGTACATATATACCATGGAATACTACACAGCCATAAAAATGATTGAGATCATGTTTTTGCAGAGACATTGATGGAGCTAAAGACCATTATCCTTAGCAAACTAACACAGGAACAGAAAACCAAATACCGCATGGTCTCACTTATAACCGGGAGCTAACTGATGAGAGCACATGGACACATAGAAGGAAACAACACACACTGGGGTCTTTCAGAGGATGGAGAATGAGACCAGGGAGAGAATCAGGAAAAATTACTAATGGGTACTAAGCTTAATAGCTGGGTAATAAAATAATCTGTACAACAAACCCTCATGATACAAGTTTACCTGTATAATAAACCTGCACTTGTACCCCTGAACTTAAAAGTTTTTAAAAAGTGTGAAAAAAATGAACTCAGACTTGCAGACTGAGGAATGAAATTTTGCTTTTCAAATAGAGTGTGTTAGTCCACTCACGCTGACATAAAATACCATAAACTGGGTTGTTTAGGCAACAGAAATTTATGTTCTCACAGTTCTGCAGGCTAGAAGTCCAAGATCAAGGTGCCAGAACGGTCACTTTTGGGTGAGGGCTGTCTTCCTGGTTTGCATGGCCACATTCTCTCTCTGCTCTCACATGGCCTTTCCTAGGGGTGTGTTTGGAGGAAAAGAGAGAGAGTGCTCTGGTGTCTCTTCTTCTGTGGACACTAATTTTATCAGATTAGGACCCTATCCTTATGACCACACTTAACTTTCATTACTTCCATAAAGGCCCTATCTCCAAATACAATCACATGGGGCATTAGAACTTTGGGGGACCCCATTAAATTCATAACAGAAAGGAAAGGAATATTACAATTATTTAAACATAAATTTGGTTAGGATTGTATATGTGCAGTTAACAAATAGTATCTTAATTCTTTAAATATACCAAGTAAAATAATATAATAAATAGATTTCAATTCCATACTATGTCAACAAAACCCAGACATGAATTAGGTTTGTATCATAGTTTTATGTTATTTTTGTGTCATCCATAGCATACTTTTCTGACTTGATACTACTGTGTATGATCATTTTCATTTTCATCTTCTCCCTGTGCATGTTTTTCTGTAATTTAAAAATTTCTATTTAATGTTTAAACTTCAATAGCTTTTGGAGTACAAGTTTTTTTTTTGTTGTTGTTACATGGATGAATCGTATAGTGGTAAATTCTGAGATCTTAGTGCACCTGTGACCTGATTAGTGTACATTGTATCTAATGTGTAGTTTTTTATCACTAGCCCTACTCTCACCCTCCCCTTTCTGAATCTCTAAAGTCCATTGTGTCACATAGTTATGATTTTATTGTGTTGAAAGGTGATTTACTGTTTATATTGTAATGTACTGTATGCATCTAATAATTATTAATGCTTGCCGTATTTACAACTTCTTTCTTGTAATTCTAAATTCATTTACTAGTAACATGAGAGCTCTCTTCAACGATCAATTTTATTGAACTGCATTAGTTCAACTCTCAAAGCAGTTACTATATCATTTCAGTTATTCAGCAGGTGTTTTGCCTGTAACTTCCTTAGTACTTTTGCACAACCTAAGAAAGTGACAATTAACGTTGAAGACCAGATGCATTACAATAAGAATTTGCCGTTGTTTTCCTTGAATTCACAATGTAATCTGTCTCTTTTACTGAAATTTTTGAAATTGGTTGTTAAGCTTAATTTGGATAGGATCAATGCAAAATGATTTTTTAAGCATACTAGGTAGAAAAGCTTGCTTTTATTACAGTTTAAAAATATAAAGTAGGAATCTATATCATTAAAATTTATCTACAATTTAACTTATAGCTGACTTCTTTTTTCAGTTCTCTTTTTCTTTCTATTGTAGCAAGATATACAAGAGTGGCACAATTGATTGTCACAAATTGTAAATCAGACTTCAAAATGTGACTGCATTGTTTTTCTGTTTTCAGATTAAAATCCATTTTGTTTAAATTCATCTTTTTCAGAAATTTTTGCAGAATGCAAGGGATATACATTATTCTATGAAATACAATAAAACAAATTATTTGTGCCTGCATTTGTCATACCAATGATTAAAAGAAAAAAGGATTTCTGTTTTTTTTCTTATAGATTGGCACTTAGGAAGAAGAAAGATTATCAAAACCTAAATTTTTACTACAGTCTACTTTTCAGAAACATTGAGTAGGATTGAATACTTTTTAGATTTAAACACTGTAAAAAGATAATTGAAGAAAATTGGTATCTGTTTTCTGAGCTATAATTTGAAACTTATTCTAAACAGACCTTTGGGAAATTTATACACACATATACGATATGCCCATACGTGTGTATATATTTAAATATATATATAATATTTGTATATATACTAATAAAAAATATACACAAACATGATATATACTCTATTACAGATGTATATATAATATGTATATATGCGTATATATAACATGTATATATGCAGATATGATATGCAAATATGCATATATAATATGTACATATGCATGTATGCATATATAATATGTACATATGCATGTATGCATATATAATATGTACATATGCAAGTATGCATATATAATATGTACATATGCATATATGCATATATAATATGTACATATGCTATATAAGATGTATATATGCATACATGCATATATAATATGTATAGCTGTATATATATGATAGGTATATATACATATATGTGTATATTATATATGATAGGTATATATACATATATGTGTATATGTATATGTAATAGGTATATACACATATATGTGTATATGTAATAGGTATATATACATATATGTGTATGTCTATATATAATAGGTATATATACATATATGTGTATGTCTATATATAATAGGTATATATACATACGTGTATATATATAATAGGTATATATACATATGTGTATATGTATGTACATATAATATGTATACATGTATATATAATATGTATACATGTATATATAATATGTATACATGTGTATATAATATGTATGTACACTATGTATATATGTGTATAATATGCAGGTATATCTATATATGTATATGTGTAATATGTATGTGTATATATGTATGTATATGTATGTGTACATATGTGTGTGTATATGTATATATGTGTATATAATATGTATATATGTGTATTTGTATGTATATGTATGTATAATATGTATATATGTATATAACACGTATGTATGGTTTGTATATATGTATAAAATATGTATATATCATGTATGTGTATATATGTACATATCATATGTATATATGTATATGTATATATGTATATATGTATGTTTAATATGTATCTATGTGTACATATGTATATGTATATATAATATGTACATACGTATGTACATGTATATACCATATGTACATATGTATGTATATGTATGTATGATGTGTACATATGATATATGTATGTATGATATGTATAATATGTACATATGATATATGGATATATAGTATGTATATAATGCATATATGTATATTTAATATGCATATATAATATGTATATATGTATATATAATATACATGTAATATGTATATAATATGTATATATCTATATATCATATGCATATATAATATGTACATATGTACATATTATATATAATATGCATGTATAATATGTACATATTATAGTATGCATATATAATACATATTATAGTATGCATATATAATACTATATAAAATATGCATATATAATATATTATATATTCTATATATTATATACTATATTATATATATTATATATAATATGTTATATATTATATTATATATAATATATAATATATAATATAGTATATAATATATAATATAGTATAGAGTATATAATATATATAATATAGTATAGAGTATATAATATATAATATAGTATATAGTATATAATATATATAATATAGTATATAGTATATAATATATATAATATAATATATTATATATATTTTATACAATATTATATTATATACTATGTTATATTATATACTATATTATATAATATATAATATAAATAATATATAATATAGTATATAATATAGTATATAATACATAATATAGTATATAATATATATAATATATAATATAATATATATTATATACTATATTATGTATTATATACTATATTATATATTATATACTATATTATATATTATGTACTATATTATATATCATATACTATATTATATATTATATACTATATTATATAATATGTAATATATATAATATATAATATAGTATATAATATAGTATATAATACATAATATGGTATATAATATATAACATTATATAATATAATATATAATATATATTATATATATTATATATTATATTATATAATGTTATATATTATATATTATATATTATATTATATATTATTTATTATATATTGCATATTATATATTATATATTATATAATATATATTATATAATATATAATGTATAATATATAATATATAATGTATAATATATAATATATAATGTATAATATATATTATATCTTATATATATGTATATTATATATATAATATAATATAAAATATATATAATATATAATATATTATATATAATATAATATATATAATTTATATATATTATATAATATATATAATTAATATATATTATATAATATATATAATTAATATATATTATAATATAATATGCATATATAATATGCATATATAATATGTACATATAATATGTACATATTATATATAATATGATATATAATATGTACATTTTATTTATAATATGCATATATAATATGTACATTTTATATATATTATCCATATATAATATGCATATATAATATGTACATTTTATATATAATATGCATATATAATATGCATATATAATCTGTACATATTATATATAATATGCATATGTAATCTGTACATATTATATATAATATGCATATGTAATCTGTACATATTATGTATAATATGCATATGTAATCTGTACATATTATGTATAATATGCATATGTAATCTGTACATATTATGTAAATATGCATATGTAATATGTATCTATAACATGTGTACATGTATATATAATTTGTATATTTGTAATATGTATGTTATAAATATATGTATATATTATATGTAGATATGTATTTATATATGTGTATATTTATATGTATATATACATATATGTACATACCATATGTATAGATACATGTATGTATATGTGTACATGTGATATGTATAGATACACACATATATAAATAATGCACACATATGTACTCTAATTGTTACAAATGTAACCTTTATTTCATACTAGAGACAGAACAGGTATATATTAAAAAATTCATATATTATTTATTTATTTCTCTTAAGACGTTACAACCTTGCCTCTTAAACCCAATTCTAGCCAGAACTCTCTTTAATCACATGATTTCCTGTCCCAATCATTCTTGAGTTTTGGAGCCCTCTACTGTGTCCCCTGTTTGTTACCAGTGAATAAACTCAGAAAAGGGGCATGCAAATTTCTACAGATGTTTTAAAAACCAATCTTTGAAGTAATGTATATTACTTCCATTCATATTTCATTGTCCAGAATGCAACCATATGGCCCCACATAACTGCCAAGGGGCGACGAAACTGTCTCAAAAAAAGAGTATTAAGGAGAAGTAACATTCTCTGTCACATCTTTTCTACCATGAGGATGTGCACATTGTACTTAAGCAATTGACCATTTCCGAAAATTGGATTTTGTCATCTTCTTCAGGAACACAATAAGAACAACAGTGGTTTTTACTTAGATAACTTAAATATTTTCAAACATGTAGCTTGACTTTGTGCCAATTCTTTCATATATTTAACTCTGAATAAATTTTTGTCCTAAATGTCTCCGCTGAAAATAGGAAAAGAATCCTCTACCATTGTCAATCCATGGCCCTTCTTTACAATCATAATACTATTTTTCCTTTGATAAAGTTTGTATTGTGGATTTGTAGGGCATTTTTATTATTTTGGACCAACGTTATTCTTTGTAGAAGTGATTGATGTTTTTAATGATTTTGTATTTATCTAATAGCAAACACATAACTATCTTGGTCGTACATAGGCTCTGTGCTCAAAGAATGAGAAAGTAACAGGAGATAAAGGAAAGTAGTATTTATACTTTGTCTTCACAAAATTCATGTGAATTAAGAGGTGCAGAAATGGTTAATCGTCATGTCGCAATCAATGGCTCTCATGTGGAATTCACACACCTGGCTTAGGGCTAAGCTTCTGTATGAATAATATAACTGTTTTACTCTTTTATGCCTTCACTCTGTGTTTTAAATCAGGTCAAAACATTGCTTTTTTTTGTAAATAAACTGTTAATGAAACACAGTCATGTCCATTGTTTACGTACTGTCTATGGCTGATTTCAAGCTACAATGGCCGAGTTAAATGACTGTGACAGACTATATGTGGTCCACACCACTGAAAATATTTACTATCTGGCTTATTCCAGAAAATATTCACCCATCTGCTCTAAAGCCTTGGAGTATGAACACTAAGTTTCCTTTTATCATTGGAAAATTTTCATTTTTATCCTACAGAAAATATTTAAAAAAAAACCTAAAAGCTATTAAAACCCAACTATAACTGCTAGTTAACAATGTTGGTTGTTTAGTTTCGAGAAGGTTCAAACTCAAATTGAACTAAGGAACACTAGGAAACCTTATTGAACCGCATTTCTTTGTAATGATTTCCTGCCTGTGGAGGCCAGTTTTGAATGCATTTTATAGTCAATTATACATATATGAATACAAAGACAAATTGTCTATAAAATTACAGTTTTAGTCTTGGATATTTCCTATCCCAGTAATATAAGTTTTAATCTTTGTAAATAGTTTGAAAAATAAGAATAAGGAGACTTTAAAATGTAACATAAATCTTACTGCTCCCTGGGACATGTTTTAAATAGTAGGCCTAAAAGAAGTTTCTAAAATATGGCTTTGTATTCTCAAACCTATTTGTACATTAAATAATGTATAACCAAAGTCTAATTTAAATTGAACATACTGAGGTGCTAAATTCTATTTTAATCATAAATATTAAAATTACATATAATATTTCCTTAGTTTAAAAATACCTAAAACAAAATAGTATATAAACCATTCTTATCAAATTACTTCATATATATAAATATATAAATATATCTATAAATATATATATCTATAAATGTATCTATAAATATATCTATAGATATATATAAATATATCTATAAATATATATATAAATATATATATATATAATTAACCCCATTAAGGGCAAATGTGTTCTAGTTTATAGGACCATTAAAAAGCAGGAAATTATATTTCATTTTTTATGGCCTTCCCACCAGATAAAAATTAATATAAAACAATCATATTTGATGATTGATAACTTCAGACTCACAATTGATAGTTTTTATTTTACTCAGAGACACATGTATGTAAAAATTTAAGTGAAAGCATATTTTTTGGAATCTGCCTTGTGAATATGGCATGCTTTATAGTACTTTTTTTTTCCTTTTATATGTGTTCTCATAGATTTCAGTTACTTTAAAGTATGGCCATGCAGTCTAAAAGGGACTCCATCAGAAGCCAGCATTGGCCAAATATACAAAATTGATTTGTTCTCAAGTTTCCTTTCTCCTGCCTTATAATCACCTTCCAATTCGAAGATTCCCCTAGCTGTTTATTAGCTTTATGCAGCAGCCCTTTCTTTCTAGGCAGAATTCCTAAGGGTCCTTTACTAGACCAACCATAACACACTCAATGGGGGTGAGGGGTGCTTGTTAAAGTATACAGATATCTTGGCCACGTTTCACTCTTACTGTATAAAATTCTAAGAGAGATGGACCTGGAAACCAGTCCAAACCTAATCATAAAAAGTAGGCTAATAGCAGACAATGCCATAATGTGTTATTTCTCTGAATTAGAAGTTGTCATTTTAAGAGTATTCTTCATGAGATAAATACTTAAACTGGAGGAGAGTGTTAAATTGGAAGGATTTCAGGTAAATTGGGAAGATTATATAGATATGTGGGAATTTGGTGGGGTTTTTTTTCTATTTACGGTGTAAAGTGAATAACTAGAGGTTCCATGCTTGCTTCAACTGTACATGTGATTTTCACTTTATTAGCTTACATTCTACTACCCTGGATTGCCTAACAGAAATTATTCCTAGGAAATTTTCTAATGTGGTAGGCAATAGCATATTTGCCTATGCAATATTTTGAGGATTTTACACATTTACCATTTTTAGGAAAACCATGAATGTTAGGTGAGAACGTTTCTTACCAACTCAGAGTATAATATTTAAATGACTGGTTTAAATATTTTGTGTATTTGGAAACGTGGGTCCTGTGACTTTGGATATGGTTATTTTCTTGTATAATTCATTTTTCAACAAATATAGAGTATCTCTTAAAGTAAAATATTCAACTACTTTTTTTTTTTTAGTATTTAAGCCATCCAGAACTATAATATAAAATGTATTTATTGTTGATAACAGTAAAGCCATTTTTGTTTGAAATTGCTTTTAAAGAAAGCTACTTATGGCTGGACACGGTGGCTCACGCCTGTAATCCCACCACTTTGGAAGGCTGAAGTGGGTGGATCACCTGAGGTCAGGAGTTCAAGACCAGCCTGGCCAACATAGTGAAACCCTGTCCCTATTTAAAATACAAAAATGAGCCTGGCGTGGTGGAGCACACCTATAGTCTCAGCTGCTCGGGAGGCTGAAGCGTGAGAATCACCTCAACCCAGGAGGCAGAAGTTGCAGTGAGCCAAGATCGTGCCATTTCATTCCATCCTGGGTGACAGAGTGAGACTCTGTCTCAAAAAAAAGAAAAAAAAATCAAACAAAAACAAAACAAAACAAAAAACTACTTACACACTAGTGAGTACCTATTAAATCTAAAACCTAGACCAGTGTATTTTATGAGGACAAGAAACAAAACAAAACAGGAGCTTTATTATTTTGCTTATAAGAGAGAAATCCTTAAAGCAAATGAGAAAAAAATACATTAGAATTGTAATGTTCCCTTTGCAACCTAGAAAGAAAGTGAATGGAAAAATAAAAATAGAGGAAAGAATCATTAACATACCGAACATCTACTGTGCTATGAACTTGATACTTACATAGTCTCATGTAGCCTTCATAGAATGCAGGGATCAGCACATTGTTAATTTTATAGTTTGCAAATGATAAAACAGAGGCACAAATATTAAATAACTTGCCATGGTCTGTATCCCATATAGGATGGCTAAAAAGTGATGTATAGTCAAGATGAGCAAATGCTAAAGCAAAATCAAACCAACTGCTGAGGAAGTCTGGCATTTCACTAATGGTAATGAAACATGATTTCCTTTGATTAACTCGAGAGTGGATGAAGTTGACTGACAATATAAAAGTAGATTAAAATAATGTAGGGGTTTTGACTTTGAAATTAAGTAATTGTGATATTTTCTCTTTAAAACCAAACTAAAGAAACAACTTAAGAATTTAATGATAAAATTGGTTCTTTTATTTTCTTTATTACCTTACCTAATTATCATTATATCTTTTCTTTTAGAGCATAATGGAAAGTTATGAGTTTAATAAAACATATCTTTGAGTCATGATTTCTGTAGAAAAATATTTCAAAGACTATTAATATGCTTTATTTTGAATTTTTCTTTATGTTGCTGGAGTGCTCCATTGCTTCATTCCTCAGGGAGTCCTATGCTATATCTGGAAAGCAAGAGAAAGAGTCATTGTTCACATTTTTAAATCTAAAAGAGCTTTCAAAAGCCAATCTTTAGAAATAAGAGTTATGAAAACCGGGTCTTCATTTCAAAACTCAGGCGTTTGAGAGAGAAAAGTAGAAACCCCAGCTAGGTTGAAGATGAAATCTAAATCAGTGAGGGCCTATGATTAATTTTCAAAATTGAACTCTGGGACAGAACAAGGTTTCATTTCTAAGGTCAAGATTGGTTTGCTTTGGAAGATCAGAATTGGTAACAGAGGATATGCAGACAAGGAATGTCACTTTATTTACAAATAAGTTTCCATATGTCCCAAGTGAATGCATAAGTGCTATAAAGGCTAGTCAATAGCCAAGGATCAAGGATTGAGATAAGGATGACCTTTAAACCAGAAATCATGGCAGGGATCAGGAAAATCCAAAGCAGGCACTGCAGTGCAAGAGCAGCTGTAGCTTCTATGAAAACCAACATTCAGAGACCAAATGGCAGAAGACTTTTCAGTGGAGGCCACCAGGGTACAGCTCTCAGATTGTTCACCTCTGGTGCCATAATAAGTTTTTGTCTCAGATATGACCTTTGGAAATGGAAAGGAGAAACCTTGGAATCTGTGTATTTACTCAGCAGAGATCACATTAACCCAAAAGAGGGCTCATATAAGATTGGAGATGACTAAAATACCAAAGCAGAAATCCAGACTAGTTAGAGATCAAGATGAGTACTGGATTCAAAACTGCTGTAGTAGAGAACCTTCAAAAAGGATGCAATTTCTTTATGAAATTTTCTTGGTGTTCTTATTGGAGCACGGATCAGTGTGAAAAACTACTGGGAGAACAACTTCAGCGATTGAGAAGTACTCATACAACTTGTTGTTTTTCAACACTCCTGTAATTTTTTAAATCAGTGAACTCCAGTTTTAGGTGGTACATAGTTGCCACCATCTCCTCCTTGGTATTTATTGCTCCTCAGATTTTGTAGCAATTGTCTGCCTTTATTAATTCTGAAAACTGCATTTGGCACACAAGTTCAATACAAACTTCATGAGTGAGAAAGCACAGCTTTTTACAAATATAACTTAGTGGGAATATTCTATTTTTTCCTCACAGGTTAAAATAATCAATGAGCAAAGTGAATTATCTAAAGAAATGTAATTTAAAATTTACATTTCTATGATATCTGAGTCAGTGTAACTATAAATCTTAAAACTGCTACATTTGAAATCATTCTTAACCATATTTTAGTCAAGAATACTTTTGCCTTATTTTTTAGGAATAGTGAAACATGAATAATGTGATATTCTAGTGCTATATACACCATCCATGGTGTGTGTTAATATCCAGTGTTAAACAGTAAATTAACTACATTATAAGAGTATTTAAAACTTCATAATAGATCACATATGCAATGGGTTTATTGAACAATTTTAGACTAAAATTTTAGAATGCATACATACATACATACACACATGTAGGAGAAAGACTGGAAGAGATTATAGCGAATCATTCTCAATTATATTTCTGGTGGGAAAATTGAGAGATTTTGTATTGAGAGAAATTGTATCTTTATTGTGAAAGATTTTTTGTTCTCCCCCAAACATGGCATAGAAAGTTATCTTCTGACTCTTCAAATAATTGGATATTTATGATGTTTTATTGCTTTTTTCTAATCTTTCAAAGATTTCAAAGTATCTTTAGAAGGAAAATTTACATATCAATACAGTTCATAAAATTACTACAACAAGTGAAAATATTAGGTCATAGAATAATATATATTATGCAATATTATGTTTATGTGGACCAAAAATATGGAAAAGTAAACATTTTTAAACAAATGTGACAAAACTGTTTTTTAAAGTTAAAGGAATGAGGCCATCTGGTGACTTTTACTTCTGGGAAGGAGGCTTAGAGAATTATTCCTAAGCATCCTGCTGAGGACAATTAAAAGAGTCAGATGAACTTTAAAAAATAAATCCCTAAGTGCATAAAATAGCTAACAAGAGAGTAAGAAATTACCAGATAAAGATGTGTGTGGGGTGGGTTTGCAAAATCAAGAGAGGTAAGCTTGGTACCAAAGTTATTATTTTCCCTCAGGGTATTGCTTCTTGTAAAGAAACAGCTGTGAAACAAAAGTTGTAGTTTTTAACTGGCCTTATAGGAATATTGGGAGGCACATAGGAAAATAAGACCAAAAAAAGTGAGAACCAGTAAAACAGACCACAAAAATCTGTTGAGATTATCAGGGTATAAAATAAGTACATTTTCTTCAATGCATTAAAATAAAGGTTTAAAATATATTCAGTGAATAACCATAAAGATGACATAGTACATATAAAAACAAAAAATAGAATTACTGGAACACAAAATAATTAAAATCAATAATTCAGTATATGTGGTTAACATCAGATTAACATAGCTGAAGAGAGAATTGGTGAACTGGAAGCATGTCAGTGAATATTTATAAAGAGTACTGGTGAACCAGAAAATACATCAGAAAAATACCTAGAATAAAGCACAGTTAAACAAAAATACAAAACAGGATAAAAGTCATGGAGGATACAATACAAAGATAGAACATATAGTTAATATCAGTTAGAAGAAGTGAGAATTAAAGGAGAAAAGGCAATATTTGAATAGATAATGGCTGAAGAATATTGTAAAACTGATAAAAGATACTATTCCACAGATTCAAGTAACCCAACAAATCTCCATCAACGTTAGGTACATATGTGCATGTATACACACACACTCTCACTGGACACATAGTGAAACAGAATAAAAAGCAGAAGGAAACATTAAAAATAATCTAATAAAAATAAGATAGATAAACCTCAAAAGGGAGACAGACTGTAAGTCACAGTGGAATTCAGGAGAAAATAGAATGACTTGTTCAATTTGCCTTTCAAAATAAAATAAATCCTATATGTATATCCAGGTAAAACATTTTCCCAGAACTAATGTAAAGGAAACGAAACAAAATGAAGCTAAAACTGGAATTTGCCATCAGCAGACTCAGTCTAAAAGAAATTCTAAAGGTTCAGATTCACCAATAAATAAATCTCTGAAAGGCAGAGATTTATGAAGAGCTGAAAATTAAAGAAACAAAGTAATGTCTGATCTTAAAATGAACAGAATCAAAATATAATAAAAATAGTCAAAAGATAGCAATATCAAAGTATTCTAGGGTTTTTAAATTGGGAGGGGGTAAAGGTATCAATTCACATATTTTTGAAACAAGGGAGAAATAAACACAGCATTTAGAATAGTGGTTACCTCTGGCAACAAGGCAGGATAAATATCTAAAATAGAGTCTACAAATAAAAGCAGTATATTACGTTCCAGTTTGTAAGTTGGATGGTGGGTTCTTGGGTACTTTATTATCATATTTCTTAATTTTTACACAAAGTACATACATGTTATGTATTAATAATACATACTTTAAAATAAATTAACTATAATATTTAACAAGAAATGGAAATCATATTTAATGAAACAGTAGTCTAGAGCAGTGGTCTGCAACCTTTTTGTCACCAGGGACAAGTTTTGAGGAAGACAATTTTTCTACAGACATTCTTGGTGGGGGAGGAGGGTGGTTTCGGGATGAAACTGTTTCACCTCAGATGATCAGGCATTAGTTCGATTCTCATAAGGAGGGTGCAACCTAAATCCCTTACATGCACAGTTTACAATAGGGTTTGCTGTCCTATGATAATCTAATGCCTCCACTGATCTGACAGGAGGTAGAACTCAAGTGGTAATGCTCACCCATCTGTTGCTCACCTCCTGCTGTGTTGCCTGGTTCCTAACAGGCCATGGTTCACAGCCCAGGGATTGGGGACCCCTGGTCTAGAATACAAAAAGGAATGAATAAAAACTTGATAATTTTGTCAGCAAAATATTTAAATTATTTGTATAATACTTATAACTCAAGCTAAATCATGATATTTTGATGATTTTATGTGTTATCAATCCAATTTGATCACTTATTATTTCTCCAATAGACTGTACTCTCCTTTGCCTAATAATACATACATCACAATATTTTTTCCTATTCCTTTCAGGACATAACACAATTCTGGGAAGGCATTACATATTATACTTGCATGACTCAGGATTTATTCACCAATGCTACACATTTAGCACCAGGAAAAATCAGCAAACATATGTCCTACTTTAGATTGAATGGATGCATTAGTATAAATATGTTCTCATTTGTGAGTAGGCATGCTCATGCCAAACAGGTATACTTTCATCATTTTCATAAATAAATGTGGACTCGTGGATTTTATGTCATGATTACGTCAAATGTTTAAGAGCCATTATAAGCAAACTAATTATTTTTATTCTTATTGTTTATTATTATTTTAGGGCTTGCTTTTTCATACTTTTCATTTCATCTCATATTTGAAAATATATAAAATATAGGTTTAAAAATGTTTTATATCATATGTATACACACACAAACAAAAGTGATAAACTAGAAAGAGTCTGTGTGTGTGTATATGTGTAGTTCTTAGTTGATATTAATGGTTTATTGTAATATGTAGCAATTAATGGCTGTGAATTTTAAAATAATGAGTTTCTAGGTTTTCAGGAAAGCCTTTGTACACCACTTTGTTCATCATCCTGGGAAGAATCATAATCCTCTTACAGGTCATTTTAACATTTCATTGGAGTATGCCAATATTTTATTTGTTGGCAATCACTCATCTTGGAATGTCAGTAATTTTGAATACAGCAGAACATGCAAAGACATTTGAAAGCCTTACTATTTTAAAGAAATTCATTCACTAATAGGTTTTTAAACACATACCATTTGGATAATAACACTATAGGTTCTCAGGTAGAGTCTATTTACTCAGAGTTTAACTTTCATTTTAACACATTTGGATGTTTTGTTTTACAGAGGGGAGAACATTAAAAGTCAAAAGTTATAATGTTTGAGAGAATAAAGGAGTAATTAGGGATGCAGTCATAGCACTTCTCTGAAATAGCTGATGGTCTAATAGAGGGAAATCAGAGTGAGAAAGTCTTTAATAAGTAGAATCCACTTTGAAATGATGAATATTTTAAATTTTAAAAAGACCAAAAAGGGGGCCAGGCTCACTGGCTCATGCCTGTAATTCCAGCACATTGAGAGGCCAAGGCAAGAGTATCACTTGAGGACAGGAGTTCTAGACCAGCCTAGGCAACATAGAAAGACTCTGTCTCTACAATTATTTATAATTAACCAGGGGTGGTGTTGTGCACCTGTATTCCCAAGCTACTTGGGAGGCTGAGGCAGGAGGATCATTTGAGCCAAGGAGTGTGAGGCTTCAGTGAGCTGTGATCATGCCACTGCACTCCAATGTGGGTTACAAAGCAAGATCCTGCCTCTAAAAAAGATTTAAGAAATAACAAACATAAATATCAAAAAGGGAATTAACTGAATCCAAAAATTGAAAACATAGATAAATGAACTTATAATCTATATCAGACTGATTATATGTATAACTTAGATCCTTGGCCTGGTTAAACCAGTACCTCAAAAGTTTCCTCCTTACACCAGCTGATTAACCTCTCCAAGTCCCACGCTATTCAACTGTGGCCCAGAGGATTTTTATTTTTCTGGTTCCGGATTGCCTGGTGATTGCCCACTCTTTGGTTGCACTCTGAAAGGTTTCTTCCTGTTTGTCCAGTTGACTGCAGACCAGCTCTGGCCTAGGAAAACCAGCAAACTTCTCCACTATCTAGTGGGCTGAACGACACCTTCACCCACAAGGTCTGAAACCCAACCTTGGGGCAGGGCCTCCTTCCAAATTTGTCCTTCTACGGAAATGATAATAAATTAATTTTTGTATCCAGGACTATGATTAAATACTTACTAGATAAATTTTAAGAACAAAAATCTACAAATAAGCATTGAATATTACATAGTAGTTTTGTTGTTAGTAGTGGTATTGGTTTAGTGATTCTAAACTCTATTGTGTATATTATAGAGTAATATAATATCCTGTGTGTATCGGTTCTAATGATTAATATACTGATGTTGTTTTGAAGCAAGTTTCTCACTGTGAGAAAAGGGAGATACAACTATGAAGAGTGAGGAACAGCTTGTGGGGGTGCATTTGAATTAGAGATATCAGTGTGAGTTCTTTATGTATGCATCCTATCTGTGCCCACTCAAAGGACCTACAAACAATGGCACTCATTGCAATGAGCACCCCTGTATCAGTCTAAGCCCAATCAGGATACAGAAATCACAATGTTGGTTAAACAGGGGAAGATTAATAAAAATTATTAGATTGTGATAATAGGTGACTATAAGATGTGCAGAAACTCTATATGGTACTCCAGCTGAAGGACAGTATGGAAAGAAGGACAAATTTGGAAGGAGGCCCTGCCCCAGGGTTGGGTTTCAGATCTCGTGGGTGAAAGTGTCGTTCAGCCCACTAGATAGTGGAGAAGTTTGCTGGTTTTCCCAGACCAGAGCTTGTCTGCAGTCAACTGGACAAGCAGGAAGCAAACTTTCAGAGTGCAACCAAAGAGTGGGCAATCACCAGGCAATCTGCAACGAGAAAATAAAAATCCTCTGGGCCACAGTTGAATAGCATGGGACTTGCAGAGGTTAATCAGGTGGTGTAAGGAGGAAACTTTTGAGGTACTAGTTTAACCAGGCCAAGGATCTCAGTTTGCCAAGGATCAGGCATGCTACGTGCATCGCTGGGGCAGAGTGCCACTGTGTCCTTCCACTGGCACAACTGTTCTACCATACTGCAAGAGGATCCTTTCCTGCTGTAATATGTGCCTCCTGTGCCTCCTAAGAAAGCCTAACATCATTCCCACTTTATAGGAGAAACAAAGGAATTTTGTGTATTACCACAGAGTATATATTGAAGTGTGCAGCTGGAACTGAGAGGTAATAAATTGATTACTGTCACAACACTTAATACTCAAATATTTTTTTCTAAATACCATTACTCACTGAAAAGAACCAGTCCTCCTTGGATAAACAACTGATTCTAGGTCTGAATATGGAAAGAGCAGAGTCTGGAACTTTTTTGCCGAAGACTTGCTCAAATATCAATGAGGGCGTGTCAGCTTAAAAGGGCCCCCACTGGCCACATGTGGTTCAATTGAACATCAAAAAGAATAGTGAGACTGGGCACAGTGGCTCACACCTGTAATCCAAGCACTTTGGGAGACTGAGGCGGGTGGATCACTTGAGGTCAGGAGTTTGAGACCAGCCAAGCCAACATGGCAAAACCTTGTCTCTACTAAAAATACAAAAAAAAAAAAAAAAAATAGCCAGGCATGGTGGCACTCACTTGTAATCCCAGCTACTTGGGAGGCTGAGGCATGAGAATCACTTGAACCCAGTAGGTGTAGGTTGCAGTGAGCCAAGATCCTGCCACTGCACTCCAGCCTGGGCAACATAGCAAGACTCTATCTCAAAAAAAAAAAAAGAAAAGAAAAAAAAGGATAGTGACAGTAGAAGCTATAACATAGACAATTGAGAAAAAATCATTGAATCCATGTTAGTATTCAAAAAGAGGAAACAGTAAGGAGTGAAAGTTCTTGTTATGAAAGAATGACAGCCAAAATAGATGGAATAAAGCAATTAGAAAGTGACAATTATAAATGAGCAAAGTGATAACTGATTTAGGCAGGGATCATTAATGGATGCTAAAGCCATTGGGTTTTGGGGCACCTGAACTTTCCACTGTGTTAAACTATCACCCTGGGCCAAGATGGCTGATTAGAAGCAGCTGCAGTCCGTGGCTCTCACAAAGAAGGAAAATGGCTAGTGAATTCTACACCTTCAATTGAGGTATCCAGGTTCTCGCATTGGGACTGACTAGGTGGTTGGCACAACCTATGGAGAGCGAGGAAAAGCAGGGTGGGGCAGCGGCCTGCCCAAGAGTGGCAAGGAGCGTGGGGAGCCCTCACCCCCAGCCAAGGGAGGTGGTGAGTGATTTTGCGACCCTGCCCAGGAAACCATGATTTTCCCACAGATCTTTGCAACCCATGGGTCAGGCGATCCTCTCATGAGCCCATGCCACCAGGGCCTTGGATCCAAAGCACAGAGCTGTGTGGACTCTTGGCAGCCGCTCAGGCAGGCACGGAGACACAGGAGTTTTTGCGTAATCCTGCCCAGGAATTCCAGTGAGGCAGGAGAGCTGACCATGCCCCTAGGAAGGGGGCAGAAGCCAGGGAGCCAAGCAGCGTCGCTCAGCAGGCTCTGCTCACCCAGCACCTCAGAGGTTAAGACCCACTGGCTTGGAATTCCAGCTGGCCAGTGGCAGCAGGCTGAAGACTGCCCCAGAGATGACTGAGTTCCCTTTGGGGAGGGGCAGCCACCATCACTGCAGCTCCAGTGGGCCGTTTTCCCCTGCCAGCTCCTGGAGGTCTGGGTGGTCTGGACCTGGAGGAATTCCCCACAGTGCAGCACAACTGCTGTGGCAGATTGTGGCCAGACAGTTCCTTTAAGTGGGAGCCTGATCCACACCTCCTCACCAGGTGGGGCCTCTCTGCAGGAATTTCAGCAACTCCAGCCAGGATTTTACAGAACTCTGATCTTCCTGGGGTGGAGCCCCTGGACAAAGGGGCAGCCGTGGTCTCTGTGATTCAGCTGACTTAGTCTTTTCTGCCTGCTGGCTCCGGAGAGTCCAAGTGGTCTGGACAAGGGGGGTCCTCCCACCAGTGCAGTGCACCTGCTCCACCAAGGGGCAGCCAGACTGCTTTTTTAAGCAGGTTCCTGATCCCGTTCCTCCTGACTGGGTGAGACTCCCCCCAACAGGGTTCTCCAGACACCTCCTACAGTAGCGTTCAGGCTGCAATCAGGTCGGTGCCCCTCTGGGATGGAGCTCCCAGAGGAAGGAGCAGGCTGCCATCTCTGCTGTTTTGCAGCGTTCCCTGGTGATACCTCCAGGTGCGGGAGGGATCCAGCAATTAGGGTCTGGAGTGGACCCCCAGCAAACTGCAGCAGCCCTACAGAAGAGGGGTCTGATTGTTAAAGGAAAAACAAATAGCAACAACAACATCAACAAAAAAGTCCCCCACAAAAACTCTATTTAAAGATCAGCAACCTCAAAGATAGAAAGTAGATAAACCCAAAAAGATGAAAAAGAATCAATGCAAAAAACGCTGAAAACTCAAAAAGCCAGAGTGCCTCACCTCCTCCAAATGACTTCAACACCTCTCCAGCAAGGGCACAGAACTGAGCTGAGGCTGAGATGGCTGAATTGACAGAAGTAGGCTTCAGAAGGTGGGTAATAACAAACTTAACTGAGCTAATGGAGTATGTTGTAACCCAATGCCAAGAAGCTAAGAATCATGATAAAACAGCACAGGAACTGATAGCCAGTTTAGAGAGGAACATAACTGACCTGATGAGCTGAAAAACACAAGAATTTCACAGTGCAATCACAAGTATCAATAGCAGGATAGACCAAGTGGAGGAAAGAATCTCAGAGTTTGAAGACTATCCTTCTGAAATAAGATAGGCAGACAAGAATAGAGAAAAAAATGAAAAGGAATGGAGAAAACCTCTGAGAAATATGGGATTATATAAAAAGACCAAACCTGTGACTGATTAGGGTACCTGAAAGACATGGGGAGAACAGAACCAAGTTGGAAAACAGACTTCAGGATATCGTCCAGGAGAACTTACAAAACCTACAGAATGGGAGAAAATTTTTGCAATCTATCCATTCGAGAAAGGTCTAATATCTAGAGTCTATAAGGAACTTAAACAAATTTCCAAGAAAAAAATACTCATTAAAAAATGGGTAAAGGATATGACCAGACACTTCTCAAAAGAAGACATACATGTGTCCCAAAAACATATGAAAAAAAAAACAACTCACCATCACTGATGATTAGAGAAATGCAAATCAAAACTGCAGTGAGATACCATCTCACACCAGTCAGAATGGTGATTATTAAAAAGTCAGGAAACAACAGATGCTGGTGAGGTTACGGAGAAAAAGGAACAATTTTACACTGTTGATGGGAGTGTAAATTAGTTCAAGTGTTGTGGAAGACAATGTGGCAAGTCCTCAAAGTTCTAGAAGCAAAAACACCATTTGATCCAGGAATTTCATCACTGGGTATATAACCAAAGGAATATAAGTCATTCTATTATAAAGATACATGCATGCATATGTTCATTTTAGCACTAGTCACAATAGCAAAGACATGGACTCAACCCAAATGTCCATCAGTGATAGACTGGATAAAGAAAATGTGGTACATATACACCATGGAATACTATGCAGCCATAAAAAGAATGAGATCATGTCCTTTGCAGAGACATGGGTGGAGCTGGAAGCAATTATCCTCAGCAAACTAATGCAGGAAGAGAAAACCAAACATCATATGTTCTCACTTATAATTGGGAGCTGAAGGATGAGAACACATGGGTGGGGAAACAACACACACTGGGGTCTGCTGGGGAGGACAGGGGAGGAAGAGCACTGGGAAGAATAGGTAACGTATATTGGGCTTAATACCTAGGGGATGGATTGATCTGTGAAGCAAACCACCGTGGCACTTATTTACCTATATAACAAACCTGCACATCCTGTACATGTACTCTGGAACTTAAAAGTTGAAGAAAAAAAAAAAGAAACTGTCACCCCACTGATTATGTATAGCTACACAAGTAAAAGTGTACCTTTAAAAAGGGTATTGTAGAGAACCCCAATTTAACTAAATTGTCCGCAATTACGGGGTAAACTGATATTATGTGTCTCCTTGATGCGATGTGAAGGAAAGCATGTACCACCCCTGTAGAAATTTTACCAAACATGTTTAACCTGAATCTGATTATGTGGAAACAATTATACAAATCTGAATTGTAAGACATTCTATGAAACAATTGATCTAGATGCTTCCAATATGTCAGTATCGTGAAGGTGATACACTTCTGAATTAAATGACATTTTAGAAACATAACAAGTAAATGCAGTGCAGAATCATGGATTTGTAAAAAGGTATAAAATCATTATTTGTAATATTGGATAAACAATATGATAATACTGCTGTACACATAAATTCGTGTGTTTGTGATATATTTCATTCTTAGGGGATCCATGCTGATATATATATATATATATATATGTATATATATGTCATATATATCATATACACATCATATATATCATATATATTATAACTTTCAAATGATTCAGAAAAACACATGCATAGAGAGACTATATACAGTTCTGGCAATTAGTGACACAAGTGTTAGTGAATCAAGGTGATGAAAATACTGTGTGTTTTTTTTTTAACATATATAAACTCTACTCCCATCACTCCTGCTCACTTCAGACACAGAGGCCAAAATATAAAATATAAAAGTAAATGTGGTAGGCTGAGTATATCTAAGGTAAGTATAGATAATTCCATGACTTTTGTTTGTGATGATGGTACCAGAATTTAAAACACAATGCAATAATTGATTTACTAATAATAAACTTATCTACCAAAAGGTTAAATTATATCATGTGTGTTAATTTAAAGATAATATAAGCCATCTAATATAATTTAGAAAATTCTTAACCTGCTTGCTAAAAGAGGGAGATTTTTGTTACCTGGAGAATTCAGTTATTTGGTATCTGCTTATTACCCTTGATATCCAAAAAAGGAAACTGTTTAGTAATTATTTGGTTGTTTTTCATCTACAGTTGTGTAAATTTAAGAAGCTATCACTTTGAAGGAAGGTTACACTGTGCAAATGTCATTATGTCCAATGAAATTTTGGCAATCTCATCCTTGCTTATAGAGTTTTAAAATTATATTTATTTTTTCCCTTCATAGACTGTGGATTTTGTGGGCATATACCATTTATTATGCTTTAAAAAATAATTTGCAAGACATAGTGTATTCCCTGGCACTCTAAAATTTCATAAACAAAGCAAAATAGGAAAACTTTAACACTGTGGAATTAGCAAATTTACATTCTGAGACACTGCTAATTTTTATAGCTCTTTATAACTGCCAAAATAAAATATCATCACCTTAAAGATATTTTCAGTTCAGAAGATTTTTAATATTTCCCAAACTTTACACACCAAAATGTCGCAACGGGTGATGTTAGATATCCCAGTGATGGCTACAAACTCTCACTGGGATTGACAAGGGGAGGAAACATGGTTTTGCAACATATATATTTCCCTCAGTAGGAACTTGCATTGGCTGGTATAATGTGTGCAAAATGATTTCACTGTAGTAGGATCAATACTGTTATACTATAGCATATGTCTTTTCCATTTAATTCTTTTTGTTACACAATTTTTTTCAAGAGGTAGCTTTTTGTTTAAATTGTTTTTCTCATTGAAATGAAAACCTTCCCTAATTGTTTCTTTTGTAAGACTTTCACAATTTATTTACACATCTCTCATCAATGAATGAGATATAAGTTCTGTCCCCTTGAATTTGTGTTGGCCTTTGTGACTGACTCATTACAAATAGAATGTGGTGAATGTAACACCTCATGATTTCTGAGGCTAGGTAATTAAAGACAATGCTGCTTCTGCTATACTCAATGGAACATTAACTTTTGGAGCATTGAACTGTCATTAAGAAATCTGACTACCTTGAGATGAGCATGCTCTGAGAAAACCCAGGACACATGGAGAGGCCCTGTTTATGTGTTTTGGTCAACAAACACAGCTGAAGTCCCAGATTACAGCCAGTATTAAGCACCAGAAATGGGAGTGAAGACATCTCCAGATAATTCCAGTCCTCAGCCATTAATGTACCTACAGTGTGAAGTCTCCCTCACTTAGGCCCTATGCATTTTGGAACACAGACAAGCCATCTCACTTTATCTCAATTCCTAAACATAGAATCCATGAGCATCTTATTATGATCATTTTAAGCTGCTACATTTTGTGGTAATTTATCATGTAGTAATGGTACTGGGCTGAGAGGATCAAGTTGATACTTTATCTTGCTGGAGGAATTGGTGACAAGGATCTTATTATGTGCAATATTTTATCATATGACCTAGGCAAACTACAAAACTACACAAAAGCAAAGTGGATATTTCAGGCCAGACTATATGAGTTACAGAGATCACTATATATCTATATGAATAACTGTGCTGATTTGTCAACCAAGTTCATATAGGTGTATAAGCAGCTTCATAGCAACAAAGTGACAGGTGGCTGATCACTTATACATGTGCCCATGCTTGAACAGTGAGCATTGCTGACTGATCTTTGTCAATTTCCAAATCATTCTACAGAAACTTTATTAGGTGTTAGCAATTTCTAATGGCAAAGGCAACTGTAACTTTTTAGATTTGCCAATGCTAACTATATGTTGGCTGGTATTTCCAAAGTGACACAAGATAACTTAATTCTTCCTTTCTAGTATTTAACTTATTTGTCTGTATCAAAGTCATTTCTTGCCTTGTCCTCCCTAATTAGATTACATGCTCCTCAAAAGCAGAGCCTCTTTTTTTTCAATTATAAATCTACGTCGACATCTAGCTTAGCTCAGCATTTCGCTTTAGATGATCAAGTCATAACAGTGAAAGTAAAGTAAATTCTAAACAAGGATAGCCTTTGTTGCTGTTGTCATGTGTGTTTGGAAGGGCAAGAGCAAGCCTGTACCTCATATAGTATACTAAGAAAAAAGCCTGCTTTCCGCTTTACATACCAAAAAAAAAAAAAAAAAAAAAAAAAACTCTAACAATTTGTGCTCATAGGCAAGTCCTGAAAGAATACATCCAAAATTTTAAAGGCAAGCACTCTTGGAAGTAAAATTTTGGAGGGTATCAATGAGAAAGGGATTCACCTTGCAATGTATACATTTTGGTATAATTTGACTTTAAAAATTTTGACCAAATATATGTTACTTTATAATTTTTAAAACAAAAATTCATAATTTGCACAGATTACAATTAAAATTGCTTTTGGATTTCACCTTTGGAATGCTAATAATTTTTATTGCAGAGGCTAATGTAATACAAAGAGTTTTATGATAGCTTTTGGTTTATAATTTTTCTGTTGATTGGAAATTACACTCAGAAATCTAGGAAAGTCACCTACTAAAAACTTGAGACTTCCATACTTGCAGACATTCTACATTAAATCTTTGATAAATATGAATTCATACAATTATAAGACATTGATAGAGGTTTGCCAAAATGAATTAACAATACTATTTCCTGCTCCTCTGCTCAATTTTAAGGGACCCTCCATTCAGCTTTATATTACTCCAAGGTTCCTGCTGCTTCCATTCTTTGCAAGCCTTTTTTTCAAATTGAAGTATAATTAAAACACTGTAAATATATAGAGATTTTACCTGTTCAGTTTGATGAATTTTGACCATCAAAATTCCCATGTAACCACCACCCAAAGCAAAATGCAAAACATTTCCCTTACCACTTAATTTTCCTTCATGTTCCTTTTTGAGCGGACCCTGCCATCACTGCTCCCCGCATCTGGAATCAACAATTTTCTGATGTCTATCTCTGTAGATTAGTTTTACATGTTCCAGAACTTCATATCATAAAATCATAGGTTATACCTTTTTTATATCTGACTTCTCTTGCTCAACAATATATCTTTGAGAATCATCTATGTTATTGTTTGAATGAAAAGTTTATCCCTTTCATTTGCTGAGGAGTATTCTGTTAAATCAATATAACATATATTTTTCATATTTTCACCTGTTAATGGACATTTGGGTGGTTTCCAGTTTCTGTTATTATGAATGAAGTTGTGAGGAGTGTTCTTGTATAAATCTTTTTGTGAACACATGTTTTCACTTATCTTGGATAAGTACCTAGAAGAATAGTCAGGTTTTGACATCAAGATTATATTGACCTCATAGAATGAGTTGGGAAGTGTTCACTTCAATTCCTGAAAGTATTTGCATAAGAACTGCTAAATTAATGTGTAAAGCAATTTACTGGTAAAGCTCTGTGAGCATCAATTTTTCTTTATATAAAAGATTTTAGTAATTCATTTTTGTAATGTATATAGATAGAGTTTTCAGTTCTATCTTACTCAGTTTTGTAAGTTGTATTCTTCTAAGGAATTTATCCATTTCATGTAAGTTGTTAAATTTATTGAGGTGGTGGTTTGCAAACCACCGTGGCACATGTATACCTATGTAACAAGCCTGCATGTTCTGCACATGTATCCTGGGTTTTTTTAAGAAAAAATAAAATAGAAATTAAAAAGAAAACCATATGTGCACACACGTGTGTGTGTGTGTATGTGTTTGTGTGTGTGTGTAAGTATTTTCTGGTTGCTCTAAGATATTCTCTGTACCTTTTGTTTTCAACAGTTTTATGATTATATGCCAAGTTATACTTTTCTTGTGTTTATGCTGTTTGGGGTTTGCTGACCTTGAATCTGTCAGTTGATGTAGTTAATCAACTTTGAAAAGTTCTTAGTGATAACTTCTCTTGATATCCTTCTGCCACAGATATCAGGTCTTCTGCTTCATTTTTTAGACTTTGTATTTGATTTTGGTAATTTCTGTTGCTTTCTTTCAAAATCATTCAGAGGAAGAGCTATGTGTTGTTAAGCCAATTGAATGAATTCTTCATTTATGGTATTGTGTATTTCTTTTTTCACTATATTTTCTTGTTATTTTTTATAATTTACAGTTCTATGGTTTATAGATTTCCAGTTTTTTATATCTTTTATTGCTTTGATGAATTTCTACACCTGTTCACGCATGTTACCTCCTTTGGTACTAGATCTTTTAGCCTCATTACCCTCATTATTTTAAAGTCATCAAGTAGTAATTCAGGCATTTGGGCCATCTCTGTATCTACTTATATGGAATATTTCCTCTCTTGATCACAGGTCAATTTTTTTCTTCCATCTTTCACAGTTATTTATTTTATGCCAGACATTGTGTATAAAAGAACAATAGTGACCGGAATAATACTGTTTTACCACAAAATTGGTAAATTGTGTCTGCTCTCAGGTCTATAGATTGGATGACAAATTTACTCTGTTTTCAGGTAGGGTTTGAATTTTCTGCCAAGTTCAATTAAGTTAGGTTAATTATTGACTTTCAATATTTTGAGGTAGGGATCAATAATTTTACTTCAGCAACATTTGTGATCTGAGCACTGAAGTTCTAAAAATGTTTTTCAGGCTGGCTGCTATCTTTTAAAATTGGGAGAGATCACTCTGCTTTTTGCCTCCATGATGGATTGTTGGTTCTTTATAAAGTTCTCTTTGCTGATCAGTTCTCACCATAAACTTCCTGCATATCAGATCATCTCTCAGCCCCTTCCCAGCTTCCAGAGGTTAATTCAGTACACTTATTGGGAATTATATTAGCTCACTTGCTCTGAATTCAAACTTCAGCAGCTGGTAATCCACCTTGAAAGGTCTTGGTGCCTTGAAGGAATTTTTCTTAGTTTACATACACCGTACTCAGGTGCGGAGGTCAGCTCCAGTTCACTTGATGAAGAATTGATGTGCCTTATTAGGGAATTTTCTCATTTCTCCTGCTTTAAGCCTTCAGATGACTACTGCCTTGAACTTGGAGAAGGCCCTACGTACCTTAAGGATTATCTCTGAGCTCTCCTTCCTTGCACACAGACTTCAGTGTACTACTTCTGTGTGTCAAGTGAAAGTTTGTATTATAGGAAAGGTTTGGCAGGTTAGGGAAGACTTACTCTGGCTGGAACTCCTCAGGTTTCTAATACATCATGTCCTCCCAATCACAGCCATTTGTTAAAAATTTGGTTTCTTCTTCTTAATTCCAGCTATGGCAGATAACTTCTCCTACTTCTACTATGTTGCAGTTAAAGCAAACATGTACCTTTTCTTCTAAGCTTTCTCAATATTATCTAATTTGGATTTATTTGCTTCCACAGCTCTCCAACAGGCTTAATAATTATGCATGTCTTTATTCTGTTAAAATGGGAACAACTGTTTCTTGAGAATTTCTATATACCCATTTCTTCCACCCATAAGTGGAAGTCCCTGATTTTTTATAACACCTGTAGAATATAGCATACTGCTTCTTTCAAACAGTTATGCCCTATTCCAGTTCTTATCGCTCATATAAGCATCAAGTTTGCCCAAGTACTGAAGCATACAACATCAACATGAAATTCCCTGAACATATTTTCAACTCAGTGGCTAAAAGAAAATAGAATTAAATGGTATCTTTTTTGACGAATTACATACCTGCATTAGTTTTCTATTGCTGTTATAACAAGTCATCACAAACTTGGGGCTTCAACAGGAATTTATTACTTTACAGTTCTGTAGGTCTTATGTCTGACACAAACCTCATTGGGCTAAAATCAAGGTTTCAGCAGGGCTATGTTCCTTTAGGGGGGCTCTAGGGAAGAACCTGCTTTCTTCCCTTTTCCAGCTTTTAGAGGAAATCCATATTTCTTGGCCCTTGGTCTGCTTCCTCTGTCTTCAAAACCATCAATGTTGCATCTGTCTGACCCTAATTCACATAGCCGTATCTCCCTCTCTGACTCTCCTCTTCTGCCTTTATCACTTATAAGGACCCTTGTGATGACATTGGGCCCACCTAGATAATCCAGGTTAATCTCTCTATTTTAAGGTCATCTGATTAACAGCCTTAGTTCCATCTATATCCTCAGTTCCCCTCTGCCACATAACAGAACATACTGGCAGGTTCTGGGAATTAGAATTTGGGTATCTTGGTGAGGAGGGACTTATTATTCTGCCTACTCCTCACTTTTATTATTTAGAATTCCCAGAAATTGATTAGTATCATTTCATCAAGAAGATCATTCTAATTCTTCAGGAGTTTACACATACCATGATTAACTTTCATTCTACTCTCATGGAAACAATTATGAAAAATTAAAAAATATATCAACCCAACAAAAATGACAGTACCCTCAAATGCTAATACTTAAAATCATTTTTACCAGTGTTATTAAATTTTACAGCATAGATATGTTTTACACTTTTATAATACTTGAATTTACAAGTATTAATAAAAATACATATAGAAATTTAATCTTAAATGTATTTTCTTAAACAAATTAAGAGTAAATTACATGTTCAAGTGATTATTATGTCAAATATTTTATTGGCATAGTTTAACTAGCTTGAGGTATTATCACAAATCTATCTGATAAAGGAAAAATATGTTTTGTTCTGAAGAAAACATACTATGGGATAAAAATATGCTGGGAACTGGGTGGCAGAAAGCAAGTCATTTTTTATAGTATCCCAAGCATTTTAATGGAGAGCTATTTATCATGCTTTCCTATTATCACTTGGTATTTGAACCATAAAGGTAATTAACTAGGAGTAAGTGAACCGAATAATATGCCTACCCCTGTCCACCCTTTATCAGCATGACTTTATGATGCACGGTAGTAGGAGAGATGTTTTAGCTGGGAGGTAAAAAAATAAAATATTAATGCTTTAAATATTGAATGCCTTTATGCCTTTAGAGCAATGATTCAATAATGTGAGCCAGGCCTTGGGATTTAAAGGTGTTAGAGTTACACCTGAGTAGCATAGGCGTTCCTTTGCCAGACCCAAATATCCTGACCCATAACTTCTACCTGGGACTATCACTAGAATCCCTCACTTAGAAACATTGCCATGCTCACTAGCTATAAGGATTGATAGATCAAATTTAATTTATAATATATTGTCTGTGAAACCCTTGCATATTCACAGAATGGTTAATTATAAATAACACAAAATCATAACACTAAATTCTCAAAACAAATAACAGGCTTTTTTGGTTTATTTTCCTAATTTTGAGATGATAAGACATCCAGGAGATTAGGAGATTATTATATTTTGACATGCGACAAAATATCCTGAAGAATGAAAAAAAAAAAAACTTTTTTTTTGAAGATGGGGAATTAGAAGTTGGGAGAATGTGTGACTCATGGAGAGAAAGTAGAAACTGAAACCAAAATAAATTAACAAAAGAATGTAAAGCCCAAAACAAGAAAATGGTTTACCCATCTAAATTCAGGGATATGAAGCACAGGGCATATATGTAAATTTAAAGGTCATATGTCAGGGAATAGGGAGACAAAGGAGGAAAGGGAATGAAAAAGTAGAAGTCTAAGAACTGTCTTTAAATCATGGCACACAATATACCTGTGGAGCTTTCTACCACGGCCTCATCCCTGCATTTTTCTCTTTTCGTATGTCAGGGAGCAATTCAGGCAAATGCATTTCTTGTTATTTCAATATGTATCCTATATCGTTATTTTTTACATTAATCTATCATTTGAAATTTCAGAGTCTGAGTCACAGAATACAAAAGTGAAGAGTCAGGTATATTCAAGGAAGGTTAACAGTCAAATGTATAAAGGTTTAATTAAACTACCTGTAATTTTCAGGCTATTCCACACAAGCCAATTGGCACGGTAGTATTTTGGGGAACAGATGTACATTTAGTCAGAAGTGTCAGTAGCAAAGGAAGAGCATTCGGAGGAGTCAGTTTATAGACCATTATAAGGGTGAGGTTCATTATTTGACATCCTGGAAAAAAATCAACTAGTTGGTGGAGTGATTTTTTATTTTGAATCTTTTGTCTGGTCTTGTGTATATCTTGCATCTAAGAAAATGCTTAGCACAGCAAGAGTCAACTTAGCAAGACTAATGTAGCAACAACTGCTATGAAAATTCTACCATTCGGAATGGGAAAGGGGGTGTTATAAATAAAAAATAAGGCCATCTGGTTGTTTACTTACACCTCTATAATAAATTATATGTAGCTATAATAATATTCATATTTTTCTAATATATAACCATAGTTTGCCCTATTCCATGGACTACCTTAATGGTTTCATTCAAATTATTTGTGATACAATGATGAATATGTATAAATTATAATATATGCTAAACAAAGGAAATACATGAATTAGAAAAAAGCAAAAACATTCTATAAATGCTTATGCTGTACTAAAATCTTGCCCTGAATTTAAAAAGGCAGTTTTTAAAATCAAAAATTTGTAGAGTCAAAGTATTAGGTGTTTATTCAAATGATAAAGTAATAATATGCTTTCAAACAGATGCAATAAGTAGTTCTTTAAAACACCTACACTAATTTATTTAAAATATTTAATTCACACACATTCACACGCACACACACACACACACACATCAATCAATACCCAACTATTACAAAAGCAGTTTTGTACACAATAAGGATACTTCTTTGATAATTATCTAGAGTTGCACATTATCTTTTTTGAAAAGCTTCTTTAGTGTCTAGAAATGTGTCCTCTTTTAAGCAAAAGTGATTTGTTTAGTCTAATGATGATGTAATTAAAAGTGTAAACCTAATGCTATTCTACTCAACAACCATAATTGTCCTTTGTTTTTCTGAAATTTCTTCCCCTTTAAGGTCACTAATAGTTTTGGTTTTTCCCAGGGACATACATAAAAGAAAACAGAGCTCATATTTTTTAATATACAAGGGAGACATTGCACGTGCATCCATTCAGCTGTGTTTTTCGTTGGTTAAATACAATATTCTGTACTTACTTTTTGTGTATTATTTGCTTTTCTCTTATTATAATCACTAGCTTTCTGCTCTGTCATTATTTTGCATGCCAAACATTAGGATTTTCCATCCTCTGTTATGATGTTAGGGCTTTTGATATTTTAATCACATTTAATTTAAAAATAAACCTGTATACATTTTTATCTTTGTGGATTTTTACCACATCTCTTGTAGCATTTTCTAATGCCAAGGGGAAAAGCATTGCTTTGCCAATACAATCTGATTTGATGTTTAAACAAAAGAGGCCTTTTTATTTTTATTGTTTTTAGTTCCAGTGGAACTATACAATTATAAATATTTTCAAATTCTGCTCTGTTATTTCCCTCCATTAAAATATGAAATTCTCTAACACACCTAGCATAATGTGCTCTACTTCTGAAACTTTCTGACTTGACATGAGAAGCAATGTAGCATATGGAAAAAGCATGACTCAAACAGATTTAAGTTAGATCCCTGCCTTTGACAATTAATAATTGTGTCAATTAAGGCTAGTTTATTAATTTCCCCAAATCCCTATAGCTTCCTCTCTAAATGAGGGGAACATGCCCACTCTCTGAGATTCTATGAAGTTTAAATGAGAAAATGAATATAAAGAGCTGAGTAACAGCAAAGCTTTACCATAATGCAATGAATAAGATCTAGGAAATTCAATCCACATGGAGTCAACATGATGAAGAAATTGTGAATGTAATAGAATGACCACTACAAACCTGTACACCTAGTTGGTAGGAGTTCTCAGATTTCAGTTGCCAGATGCAAATCCACCTGGTTCTATGTGCATGTTGTTGTCACCTGACGGGATTTGTAATTTTGGCTTAAATTCCCATGGGGATATTTGTGGAGTTTATGACTAAGATGATCAGATAAAATACAGGATGCCTAGTTCAATTTCAGATAATTTTTAGTGTAAATATGTCCCCCCAAGTACTTCATGGGGAGGGAGAGAAAGTGATAAAGTGAAGTTATGTGTCTAGTTATACACAGACGTTGTTTGAACAATAAGGTGATGGATCCCTAGGGTATGGGATCTTCATTTCCAGGCCTAGACTGGGAGATGCTGCAAAGCTTCCATAGGAGTCCCAAAGGCTGTATGGTGCCACATCTGACATGGCACAAGAAGGAAAGCAGAGCATGGTAGTCTGTCAGAGGATCTTCAACCTTTTTTTGTGCTACAGAGTCTAGTGCCTATGAACTCCTTCCCAAAATATGGTTTTGAATACATAAAACATAATATATGGTATTGTGAAGGAAATTCATTATATTAAACTATAGTTAACAAAAAAATTAAAACAAATTGTGATATTGAGATATATTTGCTTTTAATTGGGACATTAAGTAATAAGAACTATTGGTAAATCTAAAAATCTATAATTTCAAAATAGTAAACAATTCAAGTCATGCACAAAATTGCAATGTAATACTAAAATTATTTCTATTGGTAAAAACTCATAGGTAATGTTAAAAGTACTGTGGTATGTTACCTAAATTCATGATCATAGAAAATACCAAATTTAGCTTAGACATTATGAAAATAAGGTTGTAAGATTTTTTTTCTAATCTCAGGGCACTGACCCCATAAATTCTAATCATGAACCCCGTAGGGTAATTAATTTAAATTAAAAATCTCTGAGATAATGTACTGACTTTCACAGAAGTCCCTCCAACCTTTTATTATGAAAATGTTTAAACTTTAGGTCAAAGTTGAAAGAGCTTTATAGTTATTGTTTTGTATACAGAGTGATTCAGAGTCTTCTATAAGTCACCCCCCCTCCACCTGACCTCTTTAGATAACAAACAACAGAAAGAAGCTGAAAGGGTAGGTGGACCATCAAAGAACTCTTTTAAAGAGAACTGTATAAAAGATGAAGACCTTGAGACAGGATATGATCATAGGTCCATAGTCAGCAGCACTAGACGACAGTGTTTTTTCAAAGGGAAGGTGATTGCAGCCAGTTCAGGAAGAACAAGGCACTACCATCTTAAGGCAAACAGGTCAATCTGACCATGTTTTGTGGCAAAAAACATTGCTATATAAGATTAATTTAACTGGTACATCGGGGTAGTTGTCATGCAGTGTCAGAGATGTACTCTTGAATCAAAGAAAATAAAGAAGTCTAGTACAGTTTAGTCTGGTGGAAAAGACTTACTCCAGTTCAAAGGAACTAAGTTTTTACCAAAGGGAAAGCAAAGAATCTGTTTCTAGGGTATCTTAGACTTACGCATTCGTATCAACCTGAGGTATTTTTTCCTTTTTTTTTTCCAAGACAGTCTCGCTTTATCACCCAGGCTGGAGTGCAGTAGCATGATTTCGGCTCACTACAACCTCTGTCTCCTAGGTTCAAGAGATTCTCCTGCCTCAGCCTCCCAAGTAGCTGGGATTACAGGCATGCACCACCACGCCCAGCTAATTTTTGTATTTTAGTAGATAGAGATGGGGTTTCACCATGTTGGCCAGGCTGGCCTTGAACTCTTGACTTCAAGTGATCTACCCGCCTCAGCCTCCCAAAGTGCTGGGATTACAAGTGTGAGCCACTGTGCCCAACCAACTTGAGGTATTTTTTCAAACGTTCAAATTTTACTTAAAGGTATAGTCACAGAAAGAAAATACAAGCTGGATATTAAGAAATTTAAATCTGCTTCATAGTTAACAATACTAATGGTAAGAGCACGAAAACATATTCTGAGCTCTCTGAGTCTTTTTCCTCATGATCTAAGGAGAGGGTTGGACTAGAGAGTGCCTGGACATAACATTAAATGATTCTATAGCATCTACCACATTAGATAATGAAGGACACAAACAACATGCCATTTGGCAAACACACACACAAAATATAGTTTTTAAAGGCATTGATATTTTTGTTTGCTTTGTGTGTAAGACAAAGGCAAATTTAAGCATTTCTAAGCTGCAGATTTTGCTTCAGGAGTGGTAATATTTCATGGAAACTTACGCAATGATGTTATCATACATCATTTCTCATATGGGACCAGGCAACATGAAATGTTCCATAATACCAAACCCATAAAGAAGGGAGTGATTCCATTCAAGGCCAAGTGAAGTTTTTAGATAATTCAAATTTTTCCTTTAATTACAAAAATCTTAGATTAAAAAATCCATCCAAGAAGCAGTTTAACAATGCTATGGTGATGTCAACAAAATATATTACAGTTAATTGTAGCCCGTTTATTGAAAACATGAAGATTGTAAGGCTGTGCATCAATTATTTTACCATGATAAAAGGCAGCTATAACCTCAAGGAAATTTGGAATGTGTATGACTCATTATTCATACCCTAAATGTACTCAGATTACTCTTTTATTTTGTTTTTTTTTCTCAAAACATATTAGAATTATTTTCTGATTTCTCATGCACTTTCAATTTAGCAGTAATTACTTCTGACAATCATCTGTGTGCTCATTTTTGACCAGCAGCTTCATACTTTGTTAAGCTTCTTAAGTTAAACAATTAGAAAAGCAAATCTCAAAAAAATAAGAAGGAAGAAGAAGAAAGAACAAGAAAGAAGAAGAAAGTGGAAAGAAAGTGGAAATAAGGTATGAATGATGACCTGAGAATATTTTCTTTATGCTAAGGATATTGAATGAGTGACATTGATTTCAAATGCTCTGAAGCTTTGAAAATGTTTCCATATTTCTAAGCAACATTCTGGATACATGGGTCTCTTGAAAATAAGCCTTGTATAAGCAGTGTTATTGTAATGTTCTGTAATGTCACTAGAAATTTATTTCCTTTATATTCAGTGTCCACACGGAATAAGAACTTCCTGGTTCTTCTTTTTTTTCTTCTTTTTTTTTTTTTTTTTTTTTTTTTTTCTGAGACAGAGTCTCCCTCTGTTGCCCAGGCTGGAGTGCAAGGGTGCGATCTTGGCTCACTGCAGCCTCCGCCTCCCAGGTTCAAGGGATTCTTCTGCTTCAGCCTACTGAGTGGCTGGGATTACAGGTGCGTGCCACCATGCCCTGCTAATTTTTGTATTTTTAGTAGAGATAGGATTTTACCATGTTGGTCAGGCTGGTCTCGAACTCCTGACCTCATGATCTACCTGCCTCGGCCTAACACAGTGCTGAGATTACAGGCATGAGCCACTATGCCCGGCTCATATTTTATATTATTCAAACATTGGTTTGTCTAAGCATGAAGATTGAGAGCAGATATCTTTTCTCTTAAGCAAAAGATACTTAAGAACACCAGCCATTAAAAATAACAGACAGTAAAGTGAAAAGGAAGTTGAATTTAAGAGCATTGCAACAAAATGCCAAAACTACTTTTCATGCCTGTGACTTCTACATCTATAAAATTCAGTGACAAATATGTATGAAACACATCATATCAGCACAGATCTGAGGTCTTGATGGTTGCCTCAGATTGTGTATACATGTTTATGATTATGTATACATATGTATGTGTGTGTGTATGGAGGAATATATATATAATTATGGGCGGAATATTTTTCTATCTCCAAATCATATGCTAATCTGTATTAAATTCTTCATGTTTTAAAGAATTCAACATAAAACATATAAATGCAAATTAATAGATTAGAAAAAAATTTACTTACCTTTTTTTGGTAAAAAGAATATGCCATTTTGTCCTTATTTCCTCACTTCTATAATTCCTTATGACTGTTTATACCTTTCTGGGGGAAAAGGAAGTCTTTATTTTCTAGGACTTGTGAAATATTGGGAAAATAAAATAATTTCAAAATATCACTATGCAGTAATGATAATATGAAATAACTAATCCCTGTAATTAAAAGTGAAATCCCAAAATACCTTCTGTTTTTATGTTTTAAAGTTATTTAGTTTTCTCATTAAGACCATTGTAACATGCAGCTTCTCAGAAATATTATCTGTATTTACTAGAAACATCTAAAAGTATTTGTTGCACCAAAAATTTTTTTAAAAAGGACAATTTATGTCATTTGCTATTTCTTCTTTTGTTAATATAATTGCAAGACTTCTAAAAACCCTTGTTTTCTTTAATATTTATCAGAATTTTTGGAAATGATTGAGTCTAATTTGGCAATTTATTGTGTCTTTATGATTCTTTCTTCATGAAGAAGATATTCATTGGAAGTTCTGAAAGTTTGGTAGATGATTTCCAATTTTCTCACCTGTGATTCAAACATGTCTAATTCTAATTCCAACTAGTGAGGCAGAACTAGCCTATCTATAAAAATTGTACTTTGATATATCCAGGTGTCTAGGAGTCAATTTAAAGGAAAACTTTTAAAATACAAGACAAAAGATATTAAAATGTGAGTACTTCTGTGTCAAAAACAAAGAGGAAACATGCAGGAGAGTAAATGTAACATTCAGAGTTGAAAAAATATAATAAATTGCCTCAAAAAATTTGATTTTGTTTCAGTCACATGTAATTTTATTATAGTATTTCTTTGCATTTCTATTTACTTCATTTTATTCTTGGATTTCCAGTTAATACACTTACCATCTGTATTAGTCTGTTTTTACACTGCTGATAAAGACATATCCAAGACTGGGCAATTTACAAAAGAAAGAGGTTTAATTGGACTTACAGTTCCACGTGGCTGGGGAAACCTCACAATCATGGCAGAAGGCAAGGAGGAGCAAGTCACATCTTACATGGATGGTAGCAGGCAAAGAGAGAGAACTTGTTCAGGGAAACTCCCCCTTATACTAACCAGTAGATCTTGTGAGTCTCATTCACTATCATGAGAACAGCACAGGAAAGACTTGCCTCCATGATTCAGTTACCTCCCTCTGGGTCCCTCCCACAACACATGGAAATTCAAGATGAGATTTGGGTGTGGACACAGCCAAACCATATCACCATCATAATTCTTTAATTGTTAAAAGTAGAAGATGGGATGGAGGTAAAAGTAATTACAGAATGGCAGAACAAATAACTTCATATATCACATAATACTGTTTCCAAAGTCTGGAACAAAGAATTCTTAACCAGGGAGTTTTATTTCCCCCTTAGCCTTGGCTTTCTGTATTGAAACTGCTTTATTAGGAATCAAGAGATAGCTGATAATTTCTCTAATAGCTTCTTTAATCTGCTTCAAGATTCCTTTAATAAATTGTTATCTCAGACACAAGGAAAGCTAAAAACATTCTTTAAAAATTCCTCAAATAAAATAACCATGTTGCATTAATATTCAGGGGAATATAATCTCCTTATTGTCCTGAACCCTGCCATTTTGTATTTTTCTTTAGCTTAATCTGATTCAAGACCCTTTCACCTGTATTTTCCAAAAAAGAAGTACTTTCTGTCTTCAAAAATGATTTTGAAACTGCATCATTAGGAATACACAGTCTTTGAAATGGCCATTTTTCTTGCAGAACTTCCCAGGTCTCAGATCAATTCCTCAGGCAGGATTGAAGGTCATGGCCCTTGTGCTTCTTTCTCTACATGTATGTCTGTGTTGGCCAGGGGTGAAGACAAAATTTATCTTCCTCTTCCCTGAGCAAATACCAGAGATAGAATTTTAGTTTTTTTATTTTCTTCTCCCATAACATTGTATTACATTAAGTCTCCACTTTGGTTGGGAAATTAAAGAATAGGCAAGTCCTTAGGGCTTTAAAAATGATAGGATATTATTACACTTTTGACACCTTACCAAACAGGCCTGCTTAAAAGCTAAATCACCTATTAAACAATAGGATATTTGGTGTAACAATATAAATGGCTTATGTATACTATTTTTTGATTAACATGTGTTTTATCTCCCACTGAGAGTAAAGAACAAGCTCTCTCTGTTTGAAAATAAACCCAGCTGTCAAATAATTAACTTTAACACAATTGGAAACCAAATAAGCATGCCAGGGTTTTACTAAAACATTTTTTACTTTCTTGTGATTATTACCATCTACTCATTAACTCCAATTTCAAGAAGCCTTAAGAAAAGTACATAAAATATTCTATTTGTGTATTTTATATAAGTAAATTTCTTGACCCAAAGTGTCTACAAACATACTATTTCCCATTTAAATAAAATTGGTTTTGTGTATTCTGCAATTTTTTTGGACCACTAAATGTAAGTGTAACCAAGGGCTCTGTCTTCATCTGACTCTATTTTGGTGACCTCATCTACTTTGATATATGGTATAACCTTTTTTTCTCTAGAAGTCTTGACTAAAATTTCCAAAGGCTTATTTTATGTCTCTGTTTCTTAAACAACATTCCAAATGTTAAAACTCACTTTTCCTACTAAAGTTCCTTTCCTTCTCGGCTTTCCTAAATAAATAAATCAATAACAAAATAAAAGTGTCATCTTTTTGCTGTTATACAGGTCTAAAACTTCAGAATCAGTATTGATTTTCTTCTTGTCAGTTGATTCTTATGCTATTATCTATTCATGTGAAATCTTCCCAGTCTATTTTCTATCTACTTTCTTCTTTCCTCTGCCACTTGTCCTTGTGCTATAGGGCCTCATTCTCTCTTAGATTATTAAAATAAGCTCTCCATTGGTTTCCAGACCTTTATTAAACATAAATATATGAGTACTAATCTAGCTGCAGGGGTGGTCAGAGGACCACAGGATATTCAGTCTATATTGAAACAACTTGATAAGCTAATTTTTCATTGCTACAGTTCTCCTGCTATTACAAATATGTTCAAGGACATAAAGGAAAACAGAAGCATGAGGAGAGAAATGAGGGATGCAAAAAAGATGCAAAATAAATTTATAAAAATGAAAATTACAACATTTAAAATAAAAATTTCACTAGTTGGGACTACAGAAGAATAGACCTGCACAAGAAAGGTCAAGAGAGAAGAAGACAAATTTCACAAAATGAAGAACAGGAGTCGGGGAAGGCTCAGTGAACTGTATGACTTTATCAAGTACTATAGAATATGTGTAATTAAAGTCCCAGGCAAAAGAGGAAGTCAGGATGAGAGAAAAGAAATATACCAAAACATTCACATATTTGAAAAACTCTGAACAGATAGATTCGAGAATCTCAATGTATCACAAATACAGGTAGATCGACACACACATGCATACACAAACACATCGTAATAAAATTTCAGAAAGGCTGTGATACAAATAAAAGTCTTAAAAGTAGCCAGAAATTCTACTCCTAGGAATTTCCTCAAGACAACTCAAGCAGGAAGTAATTTTGCATTATTAGGTCAAAAGTGCATGTTACTGGGCTGATGAAGGTTTATGATTACTTGGCCTTAGGAAAAATAAGAGAGGGCCTCAAATATGAGGCAATGGTGAAGATTGCAAGAATATGATTCTTGTTACTGGAAAAGGGATAGAAGGTAGAAATCTGCTTTCAAGGATCAGGTAACCATGTATACTAAAAGCAAGATCGACTTAATATTGAGTGACCCAGGTGACAGAGTCTTATAAATTCTTCCTGAGCTAGGATGCAAGTGGGGAATTAATTACATTACAGTAGGTTTCACCTAAATTTCTCCTATATCACACAGCATTTTGGAATCTGAGTTGCTAGATTATGGGGAAAGGAAAAGAAGACTTGAACAATTAGTACCAGGATGACTAGTCTGGGAAGCTTTTTGAGAGTAAGAAGAGATTTTTTTATTATATTGAGTCAGTAATTCCTAACATGCTGTCTGATACAGTATATGTTTGCAGAGTGTGAGAAATATATGAGTACTAATATAGCTTCAGGGATAATCAGGGGATCAAACCTACTGTAATGTAATTGATTCCCCACTTGCATCCTATCTCAGGAAGAATTTATAAGACTCTGTCACATGGGTCACTCAATATTAAGTCAATCTTGCTTTTAGTATACATAGTTACCTGATCCTTGAAAGCAGATTTCTACCTTCTATCCCTTTTCCAGTAACAAGATTCACATTCTTGTAATCTTCACAATTGCCTCATATTTGAGGCCCTCTCTTATTTTTCCTAAGGCCAAGTAATCATAAACCTTTGATGTTGACTAATGTGAAACAACAGACAATAGACTCAGTGTGACTCTTTATGGGATCATCTTGCCACACCTTTACAGAAGTTGGTTGGATGAATAAGATTGTTATGTCTCAGAGGATTCTTTCCATAAGAAGCAGAATTCCAGACAGTGACCAGAGTTATCAAAAAGCAGGGGATAATTTTCTCTTAAACAGTTCCTTTTAAGAAAAGTTACCTTCAAATATCACATGGAAGTGGGCAAACTGTTCCCCAATGCAAAAGCATTACAAAAGTCCTGCTAAATGAACTAAAGTAAGGTGAGAGTTTGAGAGCTGGAGTTTGATGGGTATGGTGTGTCTCAGAATCATAGCATACTAGATACTAGTTTGAGGACAATAAAACTCACTGCAAACTTCAATTGCTTCTAAGAATAGGGCTCTTGCAAACTCAGATAATGTTGGCTCAGAACTGAGTGATGAAGCTGAATCTACACATAAGAGTTCTACAAACCCTGCAGTGGAGAGTGGAGTCCAAGATTTGGGAAGGATGGAACTGGAGAGGACAAGAATTGTTATGATCTGGAAGGGCCAGGAAACTGTGTGTGTGTGTGTGTGTGTGTGTTTCAATTCTCCCCCAAATTTGATATCACTGTTTAACTTGACCTCAATAACTTTTGCTTTTCTTCATTGGTTCCTCGTATTCAATCATGAAATATGTGTCGGATGCCTATTCCACGCAAAAAGATTCCTTATAGTCTGCCCTTAGCCAGCCTTTACCACTCACTTCTGAAATTATAGCAATTTTGACCAATGACTCTTGAGAAATAATTTATTTCTTCATGTTTGCTAAAAATGACACAAATTATCAAACTTCTCTTTTGTCTCACTAAATTAAGCTTATATTGCCACCTAATGCCCAATATGCAATTAATTGGGGCTTTATTTTAGAGTCTTTGGAAGTCTTACATGCTCAGAGGATCGCTACATCTTGTTCCTATGTATATATGTGGAATGGCCATGGGATCCTTTGTATTTCTTTTCTTCTGTAAGAAATTTATACCAGGTTATTAGTGTTACTGTGGATTCACAGAACAGGAACTATATCCATTCAAGTTTCTTTCAACACATAACTTCTTCTAATGGATTGTAGATTGTCACTACGTATAATTAATTTTATGGCCTTCCTTTTGAAAAAACAGTTTTTAGTTTAATATATTTTCAATAATTATTAATTTTCTTGTTACACATTTTATTTTCCACTTTGTTACTGTAACAAATGAAGTCAAAGATTGTCTTAATCTGTCTATGTGTATCTCTCTAGTGATAAGTAGAAAGAAATTCTAAGAGCATTACAGGTCTAGATATAGTTATGGTTTAAATAAAAAAGTCTATGTTTGCTATAAGGATAAACTTATGCATCTTTTAATTTCATGCAACTTGGTAACAGTTATGACGTTTTCACTATATAGGGACATGTCCGTGACAAGATTTAGTCATTCTGAAGTTTTAAGAGACATGTAACTGTCTTACCTTTTTGCTTGAATGTGTAAGTGATTCAGTACTGTCTCAAGCTATATATTATTCCAACCCAGCTGTGTCTGACGTTTCAGACTGATGCTTGAAAATTATGAGTCTTACTGAACTCAGTTCTCAACAGATCTTTTCATTTCAAGACTAAAATCCAATGTGATTATAGGACCTATTCTTTAAGGATCTGGACATTCCTCTGCATAGACTTCAGACATATAAACTTCACTCCTGAATCCTAAAATTATTTATGTAAACAACCAGATGTACTCTTTGTACTGTCACTTGGGTGCATTTTAATATATAATAATAACAGTAATAGTACAAGCAGTAATAATAGTAGTAGGAGTGGTAATATTGATCACTAAAAACTGACATGTATAGAACGCTTGCTACCCTAGGTGAAACCACATTACATGAATTATCTCATTTAACCAACATAATAACCCCGTGAAGAAGTATTGTGATGACCCTCAGTTTAATTTTTTAAAAAAGAACACTAGTTGACACAATTTGTCCAGGGTACACAGTTAGTAAATTTCAGTATCCCATCCAAGTTTTTCCAATTCTGTTATTGTGGTAAAGATATTTAACATGAGACGTATCCTCTTAAATTTTTAAAGGTCAACAGAGACTTGTTAACTATAGCCACAATGTTGTACAGCAGATCTCTAGACTTATTCATCTTGCATAACTGAAACTTTATACTGGTTGAATAGCAGCTGCCCATTTTTTCCTCTTTTTAGCCCTTAGCACAACCACTCAGTGCTTTGCCACTATGAGTTTGACTATGTAAGATACCTCATAAAAGTATAATCATGCAGTATTTGTCCTTCTGTGACTTGCTTATTTCACTAAGCATTATGCTCTTAAGTTTCATCCATGTTGTTGCATATGGTGATATTTCCTCCTTTTTTAAGGCTGAATAATATTCTATTGTTTGTATATACCAACCATATTTATTCATTTATCTATTGGTAGGCATTTAGGATGTTTCCATATCTTTACTATTTTGGATAATGCTGCAATGAAATTAAGAGTGCAGATATCTCTTCAAGATCTTGATTTCAATTCTTTTCTATAAATACTCAGAAGTGGGATTCCTGGATCATATGGTAGTTCTGTGTCCAGAGTTTGTTCCTTCCAGTGGGTTCGTGGTCTCGCTGACTTCAAGAATGGAGCCGTGGACCTTTTCAGTGAGTGCTACAGCTCTTAAAGATGGCATGGACCCAAAGAGTGAGCAGCAGCAAGATTTATTGTGAAGAGTGAAAGAACAAAGCTTCCCCAGTGTGGAAGGGGACCTGAGCGGGTTGCCACTGCTGGCTGGGGTGGTCAGCTTTTATTCCCTTATTTGTCCCCACCCATGTCCTGTTGATTGGTCCATTCTACAGAGTGCTGATAGGTCCATTTTACAAACCTCCAGCTAGCCACAGAGCACTGATTGGTGCATTTTTACAGAGCACTGATTGGAGCATTTTACAAATCTCTACCTAATCACAGAGGCTGATTGGTGCGTTTTACAATCCTAGCTACAGAGTGATGATTGGTGCATTTTACAATCCTCTTGTAAGACAGAAAATTTCTCCAAGACTCCACCCGACCCAGAAGTCTAGCTGGCTTCACCTCTCAATCCCCCCTTTAAACAGGACACCCCAATTGCTGTTGGCAATTGGCCAATTACAGCTCTAGCTACTTCCTACTGGATAGGGGCAAAGAAGGGGCCCTGCAGTGGTAGTGTCCTCCAGAGGGAACTCTCTAGGCCAGCCAAAAGGTCAGTGGGTTGGTCCAGGGGTCCTCGGTAGAAGTTGTGAATTGAGCTCATTTGGGGTTCCATTTGTAAGACCATCTGTAGCTTCATGGCATCAATCCTGGAGGTAACAAGTTTGACAAGGAGGTTAAAAATACAGGGTCCGAAGGCGAGTAATAGCAAGATGGCTGCCACAGGACCTAGAAAGGGGAGAAGCCATGTCGCCCAACTCCAGAGGTTGGTATAAGAGTTTGAAAGGCGTTGTCTTGTTTCAGAATCCTTTCCCTGTAAACTCCAAGTGGCATCTCCTACTATCCCTGACTAAAACAACACTCTTCCCCTAAGAAGGTGCAGAGTCCTCCTTTCTCAGCAGTGAGGAGGTCTAGGCCTCGGTGGTTTTGGAGAGTCAACTGCTGCCAAAGAGTCTATTTGGGATTGTAGAGTAAGGATAGATTTTGTTATTTCTTGTAAACTGAGAAATCTTTTGAGAGTGTGTGGTAGTTTATCTGCTTCACTATCCTACGGGCTATTCCAGTTCCTGTAGCAGTGGCCATTCCTAACCCTATAAGTAGGGGTATTAGTTGTATGGCCCTGTGCTGACAGACTTGAGCTTTGAGGGGCACTGATAGGGTCTGATTTCCACAAGATTAGAAGTTAGGATAATACATATTACACTGTTAACTTTTAGGAAATTTTACTTTTGTTGAAAACCTTGTAAGTTTGGGATTTCAATTATTCTTTGCTATTAATAAGACCTTGTCCAGTCCATATTAACTTAGAATTGGTATAGATGGCTCCTCCTGATTCTGTAAGTACTTTAAGGTTTGACTGAGTGCAAACAGCTCCCTCGCTTGAGCAGACCAATTATTAGGCAATTTTCCTAACTCTGCTTCTACAAGAGTTTCCTTATCACTTACTGAATACCCATTGTGTCTTTTTCCCTTAATCACCCAGGAGGAACCATCTATCATCCTGTCCTGAAGGGAGTTCCTCCTAGGTCTGGTTGGACCTTTGTATGGTAATTAAGATTTAGAACCCCTGTTAGGAAACCTGCTGGGTTAAGGATTTTTGATAGGAAGGCTATGGGTTGTCAGTGGCCTCAGTGCTTTCAGGCTATGCCCTTGTTTATACACTGACACAAGGTGGTACTGGAGTGTTATAGGGTCATAGAGAAGACCTTCAATTATCAATTATAGGTTTTAAATTTACCCTGGCTTTTAAAGAAATAGGGTACACTGTTTTATCTTTACTACTTCTATCTCTTTCTCTCTTTCTTTGTATCTGTCTCTTCTCTTTTTCCTTCTCTTTGACTTTCTGTCTTATGCTCTTTCTCTTCTTTCTGACTCCCTCTTTGTCTCTCTGTCTCTTTCTCTCTTTCCTTCTCTCTTTGACTCCTTCTTTGTCTCTTCTTCTTTCTCTCTCTTTTTGACTCCCTCTTTGTCTCTTTGTCTCTTCCTCTCTCTCTCTCTCTTTGACTTTCTGGCTTTCCCTTCTCTCTTTGACTTCTGTCTTTCCCTTCTCTCTCCCTCTTTCCTCTCTGCTGGTCTTTCCCTGCCTCTGCCAGCCACTTATGCTGCTATTCTCCCCTCTTCTTCCCCTTTTTGATGGCTTTGACAGTGTAAGACGGCCACCTCCTTGGGCAATAACTCCATGATTTCCTTGTGGTATTTAATGGGGTTTCCCCCAGGGGTTGGGAACTCCCTTTCTTTCCATATTACAGCATGGGCATGCAGGATTAGATAAGCATACTTGCTATCTGTATACACATTTATTCTTTTCTCCTTTCCCAGTTCTAAAGCTCAGGTAACTGCCACTAGTTCTGCTAACTGGGTGCTGGTCCCTGGGGGAAGAGGCTTACTTTCAAGTACTGTTACATCACTAACTATGGCATAACCTGCCCTTCGTATCCCATTCTCCACAAATGAACTCCCATCTGCATATAGGTTAAGGTCAGGATTAGGTAAGGGAACTTCTAAGAGATCCTCTCAGGTGGCATAAGTCTGGACTATGATTTGTTGGCAGTCATGCTCGATTGGTTCCCCATCCTCTGGGAGAAAAGTGGCAGGGTTGAGGGCCACACACATGCATATTTGAAGCACCAGTCCCTCAAGAGGTAGTGCCTGGTATCTAAGCAGGTGGCTGTCTGATAGCCATAAACTTTCTTTGGCACCTAGTATGCCATTTACATCATGAGTAGTCCAGATGGTGAGATCCTTTCCTTGTATTTTTTTGATAGCCTCTGATACTAAGATGGCCACCGCTGCAACTACCCATAAACAGTGAGGCCAGCCTTTTGCTACTACATAAATTTCTTTACTTATGTATGCCACTGGTTGTGGGGTTGTCCCACGAGTCTGAGTAAGGACTCCAAGAGCTATTCCTGCTCTCTCTGTGACGTATAAAGAGAAGTTTTGTCCTGTGGGAAGGCTTAAGGCTGGAGCTTGTACTAGGGCCTGCTTTAAGGTTTTGAAGGCTGTTTTTGCCTCTGGTTCCCATTCTACTAGATGAGTATTTGCCCTCTGGGTCTCCTTGATTAGAGTATAAAGGGTCCTGGCTATCTTGCTGTATCCAGGGATCCATAGTCAGCAAAAGCTGTTGATTCCAAGGAACCCCTGCAACTGTTTTAAGGTCTTAGGGCAAAGATAAGCCAGTATAGGCTGTATTCATTCCTTGCTAAGGGCCCTGGTTCCTCTGGCTAAGATTAGGCCTAGATATTTGACTTGTTGTAGGCAGAGTTGGGCCTTCGATTTAGACACCTTGTACCCCTGATTAGCTAGAAAATTCAAGAGATCTAGAGTAGCCTGCTGGCATGAGGCTTCTGAACTGGTAGCCAAAAGTAAATCATCTGCATACTGAAGGACCAGAGTGCCTGGGCTTGAGAAGTGGCCTAGATCTTGGGCCAGTGCCTGACCAAACAGATGAGGGATATCCCTAAACCCTTAGGGCAAGACCGTCCATGTAAGTTGGGACATGGGGTCTGTGGGATCCTCGAAGGCAAAGAGAAACTGGAAGTCAGAGTGCAGGGGAATACAGAAGAAGGCATCCTTGAGGTCCAGAACAGTGAACCATTCTGCTTCCTCTGGTATTTGAGAGAACAGGGTATAGGGGTTGGTTACAACTGGATATGGAGGAATTACTGCCTCACTGATGAGTCTAAGATCTTGCACTAGTCTCCACTGACCATTTGGTTTTTGTACTCCTAGAATTGGGGTGTTGCAGGGACTGCTGCATTTTCTTACTAAGCCTTGAGCTTTTAAATGTCTAACAATATCCTGTAATCCTTTATGAGCTTCAGGCCTTAAGGGATATTGCCTTTGATAAGGAAAAGCGGTGTGGGGTCTTTTAGCCTGATTTGGACTGGGCAGGCATTTTTTGCCCTTCCAGATTGTCCTTCCAATGCCCAGACTTCAGGGTTGATTCTCTCTTCAAGTAAGGGACAACAAATGGGTAACATGTTCCCCCATATTCATATAGGTAATAGCTCCAGCTTTGGCTAATATGTCCCTCCCTAATAAGGGTGTGGGACTTTCAGGCGTAACAAGAAAGGCATGTGAAAAGAGCAAAGTTTCCCAATTACAACTGAGGAGGTGGGAGAAATACCCAGTTACAGGCTGTCCCAGGATTCCTCAGATGGTAACAGACCTTGAGGACCGCTGTCTGGGACAGGAGATTAACACTGAGAAGGCCATGCCAGTGTCCAGGAGGAAGTCAATTTCCTGGCCCTCAATGGTTAAACATACCTGGGGCTCAGTGAGGGTGATGACATGAACTGGTGCTTGCCCTGGGCACCCTCAGTCCTGTTGTTGGATCATCTGGTTGGGGGCTTCTGGTGAAGAACCTTTGTCCTCTGGGGCAGTGCACTTTCCAGTGATTGCCTCAGCATAGTGGACATGGGCCAGGGGGCAGCTTGTTTGTTGTTGGACAATCTTTTTTAAAGTGTCCTTGCAAACCACACAGATAACAAGCCCTAGTGGGTGATTGGCCTGTTCCATTTTCTGTCCTCTCTGAACCACCAAGGTTTGTTTGTCTGAGGGCCATGACTAAGGCTGCAGACTTTCTCTGATCTCGCTTTCCCTTTTTGGCCTGTTCCTCTCGGACCCTATTATAGAACACCAAGGTTGCCAGGTTTAATAGTGCCTCCAGATTTTGTTCAGGGCCCAGGGCTCACTTTTGGAGCTTTCTCCTGATATCTGTGGCTGATTGGGTAATAAACTTATCTTTTAGGATCAGTGGACCCTCAAGGGAGTTGGGTGACAGGGGAATATATTTTCTTAAGGCCTCCCATAGCCGCTTGAGGAAGGCAGAAGGATTTTCTTCCTTTCCCTGAGTTATGGTGGACATCATTGAATAATTCATGGGCTTTTTCCTAATTCTCCTTAGTCCTTCTAGAACACAGGTCAGCAGATGTTTACGACTCCAGTCCTCATGATCTGAGTCAAGGTCCCAGAGGGGATCCATACTGGGGCGGCTTGCTGACCGGTAGGGAATTTGTCCTTCTCTTCAGCTGTCATTCTATCATTTACTTGACTAAGATACTAGGTATCTCCAAACTCTCAGGCTGCAGTAAAAGCCGCCATTCTTTTTATTAAAGGCCAGAGTTTGATCTGACAATAGCATGACATCTCCCCAAGTGAGGTCAAAGGTTTGCTCTAGACCCTGTAGGACATCCATTTACCTATCAGGATCATCTGAAAACTTCCCCAGGTCTACCTTGATCTGCTTTAAATCAGAGAGGGAGAAGGGGACATGTACCTGGATTGGACCAAATTGCCCTCCCCCTACAGCTTGAAGGGGACATAACTGATAACCCAGGGTTTTTTATGGTCCTTTGGAGACTTCTTTGCTTATTTCCTTCTGGGTGGGGGAGATTAGAGGAGGCTTATCATTAATAGGGGAGCTATAGGGAGGCTAGGATATGGAGGTAAGCTGAGAGGTCCTCCTGTGGAATGTAAATTGTAAGCTTTGCGTAGTTGTGGATTATCCTTCAATGAAAAGAAAGTTTGGATATAAGGTATTTCACTCCATTTGCCTTCCCTCTTACAGAGAAGATCAAGCTACAGGATAGTATTGTAATTTATACTCCCTTCAGGTGGCCATTTTTCCCCAGAGAGAGAATACTGAGGCCAGTGCCTGGTGTTTAGCCCCTCAATTCTAAGGAAAAATAGGACAGAATAGCAAGTGAAAGGGGTTTAATGGTACTACGTGGCAAAGTCCTTTAGTGGTTGCCAAGATGTGTCTGGAGTTTGTTCCTTCCAGTGGGTTCATGGTCTCACTGACTTCAAGAATGGAGCCATGGACCTTCGCAGTGAGTGCTACAGCTCTTAAAGATGGCATGGACCTAGAGAGTGAGCAGCAGCAAGATTTACTATGAAGAGCAGAAGAACAAAGCTTCCACAGTGTGGAAGGGAACCCGAGCGGGTTGCTGCTGCTGTCTGGGGTGGCCAGCATTTATTCCTTTATTTGTCCCCACCCAAATCCTGCTAATTGGTCCATTTTACAGAGCACTGATTGGTCCATTTTACAGAGCATGGATTGATCCATTTTACAGAGTGCTAATTGGTCCATTTTACAAACCTCTAGCTAGCCACAGAGTGCTGACTGGTGCATTTTACAAACCTCTAAACACAGAGCGCTGATTGGTGTGTTTTACAATCCTCTTGTAAGACGGAAAAATTCTCCATTCCCCACCCGACCCAGAAGTCCAGCTGGCTTCACCTCTCAGTTCTATTTTTAATTTTTTGAGAAACCTTTATACTGTTTTCCACAGCAGCTGCACCATTTGACATTTATACCAATAGTGTACAAGGGTTCAATTTTCTCCACATTTTTTGCCAACACTTAATTTGTTTTTTTGATATCAGCCATTCTAAAGGTGTGAGGTGATATTTCATTGTGCTTCTGATTTGCATTTCCCTGATAATTAGTAACGTTGAGCATCTCTTCATATTTCTGTTGGCCATTTGTATGTCTTCTTTGGATAAATATCTGTTTAAGTCCTTTTCTCATTTTTAAATTGCTTTATTATTGTTTTATTGCTGTTTTTAGCTGTAGGAGTTATTTATGTATTCCGTATATTAATCCCTTATCAGCTCTATGATTTGAAACTGTTTTCTTCCACTCTGTTGTTTCCTTTGCTGTGCAGAAACTTTATGATTTTATGTAGTCCTGCTGTCTAATTTTTTTTTATTTTGTTGCCTATGCTTTTGGTGTCATATCCAAAAATTCATTACCAGGCCAATATTTTTCCAAAACAAAATAAAAACCAAGGCATTTCCCCAATGTTTTACTCAAGGAGTTTTACAGTTTCAGGTTTTATGTTTAAGTCTTTAATTTATTTTGAGTTGACTTTTGTATGATATATAAGGGTCTAATACCATTATTTTGCTTATGGATATCCAGTTTTCCCAGTACTGTTTTTGAAGAAACTACTGTTTGCACCCCTGTTGAAGATTAATTGAACATATATATATATGGGCTTATTTCTGGATCTCTACTCTCTTCCACTAGTCTATATGTCTGTCTTTATGCCAGAGCCATACTGTTTTAATTACTCTATCTTTGTAATATATATTGAAATCAGTAAGTATGATGCATCCAGCTTTGTTCTTCTTTCTCAAGATTGTTTTGGCTTTTCAGGGTCCTTTCAGAAATGTCTTCTTTATTTTTAGTATATTCTTACTTAGAAGTTTGGAGAATGTAAACAGAATAGAGGAGATATAAACAAAATGTTTTAAATTTAATTTAATTATGTTAACTCTAACGGGGAGTATTTGCATCAGCTAATCAATAAGCTTGATTGTGCCCTGGTATCTGCCTGCTTAATAATTGGAATTTGAAGATGATTAAGGTAAAACATAGCCTTTGGAGGAACTCATTAATAAATAACTAAACCCATTAATTATTTTCAATCAAATGAACCACTAAACATTACTTAAAATTGCATGATTTAAATGTTATTTAAACCAAAACAGCAGTTAAAATATACATGTTAGTACAATGTTCTGGTTTGGACACTAAAATATAAATACAGAAAAAATTGCTTTATTTTACAAACAAGCTAAATGACAACAAGAGTTAAAGACTTGGCTGAAAGTTCTTAAGGGCAGATAAAATGGTCAAACCTTGTCAGCAAATTGCAATTATTAAATAGCAATATTGAAATTCATGGAAGTTGCAACTCTACAATTCCATGCAACAAAAACTTGTCAGTGATATGGACATAGAAGGAATCTTGGAGGAATATAATATGAGGCTTAGGAATTGATATGAGTAAAGAAAGATGAAACTGAGCATATTCAGATGCGGTCGAACTTCAGGAACACTTTGACATCTCAGGGGAAATATTGGAACTGCTGAAAATTCCAACAGAGGAAGGTTTAATATGAGTTACAGTAGGCTGAAAATACATTTTGATTGTAATTCCAAATAATATCATTGAGAAAAGAATATAACTTTTAAAATAACTACTGTGGATTCATAATTGAACTCACAACACAAAACTGAAAAAAGACAGAAGATACACGTGTGATTTTTACAAAACTATATTTGTAAGGATCAAAGATACTTTGCATAGTTTTGCATAATTTGGGGGTGTTATATTGCTAACAAATGACAAAAGTATATGATAGAAATTCAGTGATAAAAAGGAATAAGTTACCGATATACACAAAACATGGATGAATCTTTAAAATATTATTCCAAGCAAAAGAATAGTCAAAAGCACATACTGTATAATTCAATTCATATGATGTTCTAGAATGGGCAAAACCAACATATGGTGATAGAAATTAAAACTGTTGGTGTCTGGGGAGAGTGGGAATAGACTGGAAAGTGTAACTAGTGTTTAAGATGGTCTATATATTGACGTAGGCATGTACATTACATAGATGTATGCATTTGCCAAAGTTCACTGAAACGTCTATTTAAGAACAGCATGTTTCTTTGAATGTAAATTATACTGAATGAAGTGATTACTATTTTCTAGCAACTCTATTTGATACTTTATATGTTTTGTCATTTAACTTGAAGTCTTGCAGCAACTTTCTGAAAAAGGAGCTATTATTTTCATTTAACAAATGAGAAAACAGAAATTAAGTGACATCAGAGGCAGAATTAGAATCCAAGATAAGCTGCTTGCTGAACATGAATGGTCAATCACTACACGATTTTATTTTATTTTTGTCTCCTGCGAAACAAGTTCATTGCAGTTATATTAAAGAGGGTATTATAATTGTGTAAAGCTGATTTCAGAAAACAGAATATTTTTATAGAATTATATACTAGAATACCAAATACATTTAAATTCAAACTTAATGAACACTATAGTATAAATGAATGAAACAGTTACTAAATATGAATAAAATAATCCAGTAGGAAGAAATTTATTTACAAAAAAGACCTTGGTAAATATGTCTAGTTTATGCCTGAATACCTGGGTAAATAAGTTTAAAAGGAATTGATTAGAGTAGGGAAAATATAAGACAAGATAATATTTTGTTCACTTTTTTTACATGAAGAACAGAATAAAAAGTAATAAAATTTGTTTTAAATAAAAATAAGACAATAAATACAATTAAAATATTGCTTTATATTATAGAATGTATTTACATTAACATATTGATGATTGATGTTTAATGTTTGTGGTATTAACAGTAATATATTGTGTATAAAATATTTAAATAAAATTGTAAATAATAAAATATAGTTATAAAATTCAGAAATATAAATATTCAGAAGTCCTAGGAATTATGATGGAAGGACTCAGAGAAATAGGAATTTGAGTCTGACTCCATATGAAATACATGCGGCTTCAAGTACACTGCAAAATTTGCCTTTCTGTAGTAATACCCAAATAATTATTCCACCTAATAATGTTTTATCACTTTGAAATTCTGGGTTCAAAAATACTTCTTAGAAATTATAGCATGCTAAGGTGAAATATGAATCTCTTACACATTGTATACATGTATCAAAATATCACATGTACCCCCAAAATATGTACAACTATGATATATCAATTAAAAAATAGAAAAAAGTAAGAATATATATATACATATACATACATAGGTATGTATATAATATCAATGTAAAACCATTTTAAGGATTATCTTAATGCAGAGTCATTTATGAAATATACGTTAGAAATTTAGAGGATTTCATTACTCTTACAGTAGCCACTTATAGTAACTAAGAGTACTAAGAATAAAGAAAAATTTTACTAAATGTTCAAGACTTTATACTTACCTGAAAGAAAATATCTAATGAGTATTTGAACCCTAACACTAAAAAGGTTAGTAATTGTACCTCAATTGCTGTCTTTGAGTTACTATCCTGCAAAAGGTAACCTTTATATTTACTTTTTAAAATACTGAATTTATAGTTTCTAAATAAAATTACATTCAATTCGTGAATTGAATGTTGAGACAAATAATTCAGTAGCAACTCAAAATCAATAAAAGTTGAAAGATAATATAAAGAACAGCAACTACCTGTTATAAATGAGATGAAATGTCATATTTTAATAAATTACGTCATAGGATAACGAAAGTACATTAGAGATGATCATAGAAACATAATAGTTTTTTGAGAAATTAGACAATGGAAGTTGTGCATGAGAGTGAAAAAGATACATATCCTGATTTTCATAATAGGAAAAACAGATTGATTATGGGAAACATAAACAAGGAAGTATAATGTAAAATCTCAACATAATTGTTACATAGATTACTATTTAGTTAATAATAAACAACTAACCTGAATAAAATGGTAGTGAACAAGAGCCCGGTGGATTATGAGAAACCATTCTCTTTTGGCAGATTTACTAGATTCATAACTACAGTAATATTGCAAATGCTATAGATATGTATATATTTTGAGATGGAGTCTTACTCTGTTGCCTAGGCTGGAGTGCAGTGGCACGATCTTTGCTCACTGCAACCTCTGCCTCCCAGGTTCAAGCAATTCTTCTTCCCCAGCATCCCAAGTAGCTGGGTTTACAGGCATGCACCACCATGCCCAGCTAATTTTTTTATTATTTATTAGCGACGGGGTTTCACCATATTAGCCAGGCTGGTCTCAAACTCCTGACCTCCGGTGATCTGCCCACCTTGGCCTCCCAAAGTGCTGGGAATACAGGCATGATCCATCATGCCCGGCCTGCAAGTGTTATATTTTAATTTCAGAAAGACTTGTAGTTTCAGAATCTCTAACAAGATCCTGTGGACAAGATTTAAAACAAAGGGTAAATACTTGGATCGCTTGTCACATGTACATTCACAATATAGATTAATGGCTTATTGTCACTTTGCAGCATGCTGTATGACATACCCTAGGTTTTTTTCCCGCAAGCCATTCTGCTTCACTTTATAATAAGGACTTCAGCAAATGCCAAGAAACATGTGAAAAAAAAGTTCAGGGAGAATAAAAACTTAGAGTAATAATTATATAGCTGGTAGCAAAAGCGACATTCAAAACATTCCAAATAAAGTAGAATTATATACCAAAGCCCCCAAAATGAAATTTAGTTAAGATAAATGCGTTGTCCTGTACTTTGGTTATCAAATAGTAATTAATTAGCATACAAGACAAGTAAGAGGTATATCAACAATAGTCAAAAAATTAAAGTTTTAAGAAGTTCAGTGTACCTCAGTTTAAAAATTAAACCAAACGTTAAAAAGAAATACCCTACACCATGTAAACCTAAACTAATAGAACTATAGTATCTGGAACAAGTGAGCTGGTATCCCATTGTTTTATATTGATCAGACTGGGTCGTGACTTTTGTGTTCAGTTCTAATATGACATTTTTAAAGGGTCTTTGCCAAATCATACCTTTAGAAAAGGGAGAACAAAAAACAATGAAAATACATGTGAGGGTTATTAAAGGAATTCAAGATAATGAATATATAATGAACGTAAGTACTAGTTATAAAGTGCCATGAAGGAATGGCAGAAAGAATCCTGATAGTGGAATAACACTGCTTTTTATTACTGAAGACACTTTGCCCTACATACATTGTCAAAATCACAAGGAGCCTGTTTCAAACCCATTTTATGATATTCAGAGTACTGATTTCCACTACAGCATACTCTATTTTCAAATACTTTAGAATTGCTGTGTGGATGGAAAATTGGGCAAATATAACTGGCAGATGACAAACTGGAAAAAAGATATGGAAGATTCCCCTCAATAACACACAAATACTTTCATCCAGCAATTCAACTGCTAACATTTTATTTTATGGATTTATTCACATAACTCAGCAATGGAGGCAGATGATCACAGCAAAATTATAAGAAAATAATAATAATAATAACGAACTAAGGAAAACAGTCACCAACAGTGTTACATCACCAGCATATACTTATACTGATGAAATAATATTCAGTAGCTAGAAAGCCTGAGTGTGAAGAATATGAAGCCCTTTGCAGAGAGAAAAGAAGATTCAGGCCAGACATAAAAGCTTTATCTTGGATATCTAGAGTGACTGAAAGATGAGACAGCAGCTAAATAAAGTTGTTGAAAGCATGAATAAAATATGTAAGTCATGTCAAAGAAAAATAAAGTTTGTTCTCTTTAGTTCCAAAGGGTCAAAAGGAAAACAGAAATGAAACATGCAGAAAAATAAATTTCAGGTGAATGGTAAGAAATTTTCCCAATCTTTAAAGCTGACCAAAAATGCTTTGGTTGTTCAAGAAATGAGTTTTCTATCCCTGAATGTGTTTAGGCATAGGCTGCGTATGCTTATTATGAAACAAATATTATGGAGGTGCTTTAAAAATTGTTTGTTAGACAAGGAAACTTATTATTGTAATGTATTATACCTGGGATACTTGGCTCTATCAATAATCATTTATGCCATCTTGGGTAAGTCTCCTAATTTTTGGAACTCAAAATCTTCATCTTTAAAACTAGGGTTTTAAAAATAAAGGAGGGAAGGAATTAACTAGATCATTTTGTCCTTTTCTGCAATATACCTTTTATTGTCTTTTATTTTTTATTTTTTGGCTTTTTTTAAAATTTTTTTATTATACTTAAAGTTCTAGAGTGCATGTGTACAACGTGCAGGTTTGTTACATATGTATAAAAGTGCCATGTTGGTGTGCTGCACCCATTAACTTGTCATTTACATTAAGTATTTTTCCTAATGCAATCCTTCCCCCCTCCCTCAACCCCATGACAGGCCCCGGTGTGTGATGTTCCCCACCCTGTGTCCAAGTGTTCTCATTGTTCAATTCCCACCTGTGAGTGAGAGCATGCAGTATTTGGTTTTCTGTCCTTGCGACAGTTTGCTCAGAATGATGGTTTCCAGCTTCATCCATGTCCCTACAAATGACATGAACTCATCCTTTTTTATGGCTGCATAGTATTTCATGGTGTATATGTGCCACATTTTCTTAATCCAGTCTATCATTGTTGGACATTTGGCTTGGTTCCAAGTCTTTGCTATTGTGAATAGTGCCATAATAAACATACATGTGCATGTGTCTTTATAGCAGCATGATTTATAATCCTTTGGGTGTATACCCAGTAATGGGATCGCTGGGTCAAATGGTGTTTCTAGTTCTAGATCCTTGAGGAATCGCCACACTGTCTTCCACAATAGTTGAACTAGTTTACACTCCCACCAACAGTGTAAAAGTGTTCCTATTTCTCCACTTCCTCTCCAGCACCTGTTGTTTCCTGACTTTTTAATGATTTCCATTCTAACTGGTGTGAGATGGTATCTCATTGTGGTTTTGATTTGCATTTCTCTCATGGCCAGTGATGATGAGCATTTTTTCATGTGTCTGTTGGCTGCATAAATGTCTTCTTTTGAGAAGTGTCTGTTCATATCCTTTGCCCACTTTTTGATGAGGTTGTTTGATTTTTTTCTTGTAAATTTGTTTAAGTTCTTTGTAGATTCTGGATATTAGCCCTTTGTCAGATGGGTAGATTGCAAAGATTTTCTCTCATTCTGTAGGTTGCCTGTTCCCTCTGATGGTAGTTTCTTTTGCTGTGCAGAAGCTCTTTAGTTTAATTAGATCCCATTTGTCAATTTTGGCTTTTGTTGTCATTGCTTTTGGTGTTTTAGTCATGAAGTCCTTGCCCATGCCTATGTCCTGAATGGTATTGCCTAGGTTTTCTTCTAGGGTTTTTATGGTTTTAGGTCTAACATTTAAGTCTTTAATCCATCTTGAATTAATTTTTGTATAAGGTATAAGGAAGGGATCCAGTTTCAGCTTTCAACATATGACTAGCGTTTTCCTAGCGCCATTTATTAAATAGGGAATCCTTTCCCCATTGCTTGTTTTTGTTAGGTTTGTCAAAGATCAGATGGTTGTAGATGTGTGGTATTATTTCTGAGGGCTCTGTTCTGTTCCATTGGTCTATATCTCCGTTTTGGTACCAGTACCATGCTGTTTTGGTTACTGTAGCCTTGTAGTATAGTTTGAAGTCAGGTAGCATGATGCTTCCAGCTTTATTCCTTTTGCTTAGGATTTTATTGGCAATGTGGGCTCTTTTTTTTTTGGTTCCATATGAACTTTAAAGTAGCTTTTTCCAATTCTGTGAAGAAAGTCATTGGTAGTTTGATGGGGATGGCATTGAATCTGTAAATTACCTTGGGCAGCATGGCCATTTTCACGATATTGATTCTTCCTATCCATGAGCATGGAATGTTCTTCCATTTGTTTGTGTCCTCTTTTATTTCATCGAGCAGTGGTTTGTAGTTATCCTTGAAGAGGTCCTTCACATCCCTTGTAAGTTGGATTCCTAGGTATTTTATTCTCTTTGAAGCAATTGTGAATGGGAGTTCACTCATGATTTGGCTGTCTTGCTTTGTAACCCAGGCTGGAGTGCAATGTTGCAATCTCGGCTCACTGCAACCTCTGCCTCCCAGGTTCAAGTGATTCTCCTGCCTCAGCCTCCCAAGTAGCTGGGATTACAGGCGCCTGCCACCATGCCTGGCTAATTTTTGTATTTTGAGTAGAGACGGCGTTTCATCATGCTGGCCTAATTTATGTATTTTGAGTAGAGACGGGCTTTCACCATGTTGGCCAGGCAGGTCTTGAACTCCTGACCTTGTGATCCGCCTATCTCGGCCTCCCAAAGTGCTGGGATTACAGGCGTGAACCTCTGCCTGGCCTGCAATGTACTTTTTTTTTTTTTTTTAATGATTATTGTTCATTGTTAAATTAGTGGTAGCACAACTCATTAAATTTCCTTAGTGCTTATTATCTTAGTATACATGGAGCTTAACTATCTATGTCGGAAGAGACAATGATTCAACTTAATATGTTCGCTCTAGAAGCTAGTGTGATGGAAAATCATTTAGTTGCCAGCTTAGCACAGCTGCACAAACAGTTTTAGGACCCTAAGGGAAGGGTGTTGTTTTCAGTGAAACTCAGTAATGAAGAAAAGATGTTTTAGGGCAGGCATAGAGCCAGAGATAAGGTTGGCAAAGTTGGCAACTCTCACCCTCTCAGCATCACTTTTATACAAGGAGTCTGGGCTCTGCTGGTATTTCAGTGGTACTCCATGCCTGTCTTTCTCTTGATGTACTCCTCTTACCTGCTTCAGTTTCCCAGTACAGGTATGTTGTGTGAGAAAATGATTTTGTAGTACCAGTGGGAGTACTTGTTAATTGCTGTGACTGAAAGCAGAATTGACATCCTCTTAGTTGTAGTGGGAGAACATTGATCACAGACTTGGAAATGAGCCATCCTAAAGGAGGAGTGAACAAAGTAAGCAGCGAGATCTTGAGTCTTTAATTACCCAATGCCCTTGGTGGCTTGTGGCTCAGAGTGTGTAATTTTCTGTGGTTCAGAGCTGATGTATTGTGGTTGGATTGAAAAAAAACAGAGACGGAAAAAAAAATTCAGCAGGAAGCAGGGAAATGCCTCCATGATGCTGTAGTTCCCTTAAAAGTAATTCTCTTGTTGTTTTATGGACTATAAAATCTTTGAATACTTCATTCTTTCACAGATTGCTCTTCAAATTTAAGTGTGCCATCATAACAAGGAAATATTTAACAACAAAATGTCTTTTAATGTATCAGCTCACTGGGGTGTCTGCAACACTGTGCATACCTAATCGCAGACTGCTAAAAGAGAGGGAAGACGCAAAGAGCAGAGGGCAGCATGTTTAGGAACTTCCTCTGGTTTTTTTTTTTTTTTTTTTTTTTTTTTAACTTCTATTTTAGGTTCAGGGGTCTATGTGCAGGTTTGTTATACAGGTAAACTCATGTCATGGGGTTTTGCTGTATAGATTATTTTGTCACCCAGGTACTAAGCCTAGTACCCAATAGTTATTTTCTCTGCTCCTCTCCCTCCTTCCACCCTCCACCAGTAAGTAGGCCCCAGTGTCTTTTGTTCCCTTCTTCGTGTCCATAAGTTCTCATCAGTTAGCTCCCACTTATAAGTGAGAACATGCGGTATTTACTTTCCTGTTCCTGCATTACTTTACTAAGGATAATGGCCTCCAGCTCCATCCATGCTCCCGCAAAAGATGTAATCTCGTTCCTTTTTATGGCTTCACAATATTCCATGGTGTATATGTACCATATTTTCTTTATCCGGTCTATCATTGATGAGAATTTAAGTTGATTCCACATCTTTGCTATTGTGAATAGTGCTGCAGTGAACATTCGCGTGCATGTCTCTTTATAGTAGGATGACTTACATTCCTCTGGGTATATGCCCAGTAATGGGATTGCTGGGTCAAATGGCAGTTCTGTTTTTAGCTCTTTTAGGAATTGCCACACTGCTTCCCACAATGGTTGAACTTATCCAAAGTCAGAAGATTACTTTTCAAGCTTCTCTAGGTTTAACATACAGAAGGTGAGTGGATGAGGAATAAGTCTTGCTCTATTTCCTAGACTCAGAGGTGGGGAGAGGGGAATTTTAATGGCCATTGTTGATTTTAATTGTTTCTTTAATGTATTTTATGAGCTCCAATATCACAAAATACAAATACAAAATAACCTACGATACTAATATATTGACCTTGACATACTTTTATTATAGTGATTAACTCTCCAGTTAGCATAGGAAATGTGGAATAGTGCATAGGATTTAAAGTTAGAAGGCTGGGCTTCAAATATGGGCCTATATGCTTAATTACTCCGTTGCATGGAGGCAAATCATTTAATTACTCTATGCCTCAACTTATTTGTCTCCAAATAGACAGTATCCCTTTATTTGTCTCATGAAGTTTAAGACTTTTAAAGAAGTGTTTGTTTGACAGCACTTTTTAAACTGTAAAAGTTACACATAGCTATCTTATGCACTCAGCCTTTTCATAGAAAACTAAACATATGAATTAAATAAAAACAGTTAATTCTTACAACCTGTATGAGTATAAGCCCTTGGATATGTTAACCACTTGAATAATTGGCTTAATTTTTGCTTTTTGACATCTGAATGTTTTTCTCAATAAATGATTTGGGCCAAGCAATATGAATAATCGCATTTACGTATCATTTCTTGTCACAGGTTTTTTCTTGAATATTAATAATATCAAAAACATTCTGTTAACTTTTCATTATTTGGGACAAATCTTAACAAAAATGATAATTAAGTGGTCTTAATTATTTTTAAAAAATCTTTTACAGGAATGTAAGTGGAGCGCCTGTTATCTCCATTGTTAAAGCAGAGACCAAGCCTTATTCAGTTATCGTGTCAAACCCCCAATATGTCATTTCTGTTACAGGGTAGTTTCCAAAGAAATGGCTGATAAAAGAAGTTATTAATGGTTATTCCTTATTAACAAAACTGTTTATATTTATTATTTAAATTCATAATCACTGCAACCCTGAACATCACAAAATGGCAAGGTTTAAATGTCTTGATGTATCACCTAACACCTATCATCAATCTATCATTGGATTTTCCTTACAATCTTCTTATCAGCTGCTCATCCCATTTATTTCCAATCACTCGCTGTAGTGGGTAACTCTTTTCTTTTTGAGACAGGTAATAATTCCCTTTTTGTGGGTTTTCATTTATTCCCTTATTAGCCATACAAATTTGGTAAAAAAAAAAAAAAAAAGTTAAACTCTATGAACTTGTTTATTCCATTTTTAAAAATATGGAGTTAAAGCCCAACTTGTGTGTTTATTAAAGCAATCAAATGAAACAACATTGCCTAAAGTTATTTGAAAATGGATAGTTCTTTAAAAATGAATGTTTCATCATTGTATCATATTTAGACAGCTTTGCTGACTACATCATTCTAGCTTTTCTACTACTGATGCATTAAAACACAATGGCACATCCACTGTCAACCTTCCCTTCAATCTCCCAGGCATAGTGACATCTTTGTTTCATGTAACATTTTGTTAATGCTTTTACTATGTTTGTGTTACCTTGTATTAAAATGTATTAATTATTTTTGTATCCAAAAATAGACCCTGAAATCCTAAGTCTCAAAAATTATCTTATTCATATTTGTATCTCCAGCACTTAAAATACTGCCTATCACTCAACGTGTATTTAATGGATAAATGAATGATTCAATGGGTAAATGGTATGAAGATTTTTTTCCTCATAGCTCCTACCCAGTAATCTTAATAAAACCTCTAGTTTCAGGCAATTTTGAACTTGAAGACTTTTAAGATTTTATAGTTTTTTCAGCAATACTTTATCAAAATTCCATTGGGTAATTTTTGGTTCAATTTCTAATAAAATTGACAGGTCAGGCAACACTAACTTCTCAGTAAATCTGCTATGTAGCTGCCATAGTGTCATAGTCTGTTTAGGCTGCTATAACAAAATATCATACACTGTGTGGCTTAAACAACAAACATTTATTTCTCGTAGTTCTAGAGGTTGAGAAGTGCAAGATCAGTGCTCTGGCAGATTTGGTGTCTGGTGAGGGAACTGCCTGATATTTCTAAGGGTACTAATCCCATTCATGAGAGCTCTACCATTACGGCCTAATTATTTCCCAAAGGCTTCAACTCTAAATACCATCACATTGGGGATTAGGTTTCGACATATAAATTCTGGGGGGACACAGACTTTCAGTCTAGAGCATACGGTGTTAAAAGAAATTATTATTTGGTTTTATTTATCTACCAAAAAATATTTACATATTTACTATAAGCACTTTATGGAAGCAGTAATGAAGGAATAAATACCCTGCTCTTTGAGAATTTATTTAGTAGGAAATATAAGAAAAATACATGAGATCCATCAGCCACTGTGAATTTTCCTTCCTAGAGTTATAGTGTTATCTGTGTTTATCCATTCTCTCTCCTCTAACAGTGACCCCCTTCACCTTAACCTGATAGTACACAGACCAATTTGAAAAGGGTTTGAAACGTCGTTCGTTTGTCACCTGTATGCTACTAAAATTTTTGTGTTTTTTTTTTTGACACATATTTAAATCCCTGAAATACTCATTATTTGACAAGAGAAAGTATAGGGGAGAAAAAATGAGTAGACTGATGCCGGGAGTAAGTAAACTTTGAGCCCATGTCTCAAAATTATTTGTCATTCCATGTTACCGTTAGATGTTCACTTGAATTTACTATTTTATTGGCTTGGAATAGTTACATGTTCCTGTCTGTTGCTTCAACTAAATGAAAATCTAGTTGTAGCCAGCTTCAATTTTTATTAAAATTGGGAAGGCAATGAAAACAAAAAATAAGAGGAAGTGATAGTGTGTGCAACAGAACTCCATCTCTTGTGGGGCTCATTTGCCTCTAGTCCCTACCAGATTTTCATCTTACTAGAATAACCTCAAAATTTCCTCTTGCTATTACGACTGATAAAGTTTTCTCTTTAAAATGTGTGGGCTCTATATCTGTTAAAGTTGAGTTTACATTAAGAAGCTGCGGATACTGAAGCCCAAGTATGGTGTACATATAATAATTGAAACTGGAGCTCTGATGATCATCAATTTAGAGCATAGTGACATATCCTTCTAAACTCCTATAATAACAGAAGCAGTAGCAGTAATGCTATAATTGGATGTCCACACAGATACTATAGATAGCAAAAATCTAGGTTAGATGCACACTGGCATTCTCCTATAAAATCCTATGCTTAGCCTACATATCACCATGGCACTGCATTATAATTCATTGCTTTCCTCTAATCCACTCCATAGACCCTAAGCTCTGTGAGAACAGACACCTGCTCTGTTTTTCTTTTTTCTTTTCTTTTCTTTCTTTCTTTTGTTGTTGTTTTGTTGAGACAGAGTCTTGCTCTGTTGCCCAGGCTGGAGTGCAGTGGCAAGATCTTGGCTCACTGCAGCCTCAACCTCCCCAGGTTCAAGTGATTCTTGTGCCTCAACCTCCTGAGTAGCTGGGATTATAGGCACATGCCACCACTCCTGGCTAATGTTTTGTATTGCTAGTAGAGATGGGGTTTTGCCATGTTGGCCAGGCTGGTCTTGAACTCCTGGCTTCAAGCAATCCACCCGCCTCGGCCTCCCAAAGTGCTGGGACCACAGGCATGAGCCAACACGCCCAGCCCACCTGCTTTATTTTTTCAACTGGCTAAGAGATTAGCACACTGCCATCATTTGAGAACCTAGGAGCTGCAGTGATACTAAGTTCATGGACAACCTGGGTCTGAAGCCAGCATCATTTTTAACAGGACTAAGGAGCCACTGGAGAGTGAAGTCAGGCTCATCCTGCCTCCACTCTAATGAGCAGGAATGCATGTGGCCTGAACCCAGAAAACATATTTGTCTTTATATAGGTATCTGAAGGGACATTCAGTTGTATAGCATCCAGCATTGTGTCATGACCACCCTGCAGGAATGATGTCCATCTCCACTACCCAAGTCATTGTTTAGTCCCTGCCCAAGATACCTTTTTCGGACAGTGCCCAGCCTATACTGGCTGATCACTAATTATTTGCTGAATGCAACGAAGGAATGGATGAATGTGATATCTCTGGGCACTAAATCCCTGCATATTTTGGGGAATATTTTGTGATATGAAAGGAAATAAACAGCTCCTTTATGAGTGAGAATGCAGAAGATTCTCTCTGAATCTGAGCATTGGTTAAATATACTCGTGTTACAGTTGAATGAATGTAATGATCTTTCTATGGCAAACTGTCACAATGTTTAAGATTCAAAACGTATGCAGAGATAACATACCTAGAACAAGCTATAGCTCAATAAGTTCTAACCTTTATTTAAAATAGTTGCAGTGGATGGAATATGCTACCTTGGCTGATATGAAATTTCTTTATATGTTTAAATGCCATTCTTTCAGACTGTTTCACTCAGTAATATACTAAGAAGATCTAACCATGTTAATTCATGCAAAATGTATTCATTCATCTTGCCACTCTATTGTACTTACAAAAATGCATGTATTCATATAAATGCAACACAAGTTATATTTTTTATTTAATTAGGAATGTGTGATTGAATTCGTATTAGTAAAAATTCCCATAGGAACCAAATGACTAGAGTTTAATAAAGGAACTATTTCTCCAAAGTGTGAGAGGGTTTCAGCAAACCCACAAGGGGTGACGTAGTACCCCATAGCTGGCAACAGTGAAGAGCCCTACTCAGCCCTAGATCTGAAGGGAAAGAAAGCAGTTACACAAACTTTGAGAAGGTAGATAGAGAGAAGATAGAAGGAGGGGGCTGCCTGCCAAGAACTGTGGTCTTCATAGAGGGAAAATGCTGCCAAGTCAGAATGAACTTGCAGGGAGGCTGCTGACAAATACATAACTCAACCCCACCCTTCTAAGAAACCTCCCAGTTTCCGGCAGTGCCTTCTGCAGCTGAAAAATCAAGAGCTGGAAGTTAAGAGTGAGTCAATCGATGGTATCCAAACTGATTCATCCATCTCTCAAAGTACAGAATAAATGAAGAAGGATAGAGCGTGAATTTGGAAGTGGAAACGAGTTATTCAGCAGTTCGGTGATAGATAGATAGATAGATAGATAGATAGATAGATAGATACATAGAGATAGAGATATATTTATAGATATATAGATATATATGTGTGTGTGTGTGTGTGCATGTGTGTATGTAACTACATTGACATATTCGGAGAAGGGGTGATGGAGGAAGAGAGAGAAGAGAGATCTGTGCTATGCTATGAACTTCCTTATGTTTGCCTCCTGGACCTAAAGGATAAGAGTTTCTTCAGTGTATAATACCTAGGAAGTGAATTGCTGTGTCATCATCATCTTCACTATCAAAAGGCTTGGTAATGTCATATGGTTTTCCAAAGTATTTGTTTGAATGTGTACTTCAATCACCTGTGTATGACAATTCCTTTTGCAGCTTTAACTTTTTATAGTACTCAATATCGTTTGGTTTCTCAGACTTTCCCTTATTCATAATAAGTTTCAGCAACATTTTAAAAATCTTAATATCTGTTGAGTTTTCTTCCTCAGGGAACTATTGTTTAAGGTTCTTTTGTCTATTTTACTATTTTTTCTTATTTATCATCTACCTGTCATTAGATAGATAGAAAGGTCGATAGATACACATATAGATATTACTTTATCAGTCATACAAATTGGAAATAACTTCTTTATATTTTCATTCTCTTTACAATGTCTTTTATTAATCAAATGTTCTTAATTTTCAGGTAGTTTTTATGGCTATGGGTTTTGATCCTGTTTAAAAAATTCTTTTCTATGCAGAGTTCAAAGAGAACATGAACATTGTGCCACAGATATCAGGTCTTCTGCTTCATTATTTTAGACTTTGTATTCAGTTTAGATAATTTCTGTTGCTTTTTTTTTCCAAAATCATTCATCTTTCTTTCAGCTGTGCAGAGGAAGAGCTATGAGTTGTTAAGCCAATTGAATAAATTATGTTATTGTATATTTCTTTATTCCCTTTATTTTCTTTTTTTTATAATTTAGAGTTCTATGGTTTATAGAGTTCCATTTTTTTTTCTTTTATTCCTGCCTCTCTTATCTTCTTGTCAGTTTTTTTAGGGGTTTATCAATTTTATTGATCTTGTCAAATAACTAACTTGGCTTTGGTGAATTTCTACACCTGTTCACACGTTACCCTCCTTTGGCAGTAGATCTTTTAGCCTACTTACCCTTATTATTTTAAAGTCATCTATCTACTAGTTTGCTGTAATAGTGGTGGTTGTCTCTAATGCTCTTGCTCCCACTGAAAACTCTCTCTGCTATTGTATTCCATGGATGATTTTGTAGAAATCTGGAGTTATCTCTTCTTTAAATGTCTGGGATAGCCTTACTCACTCTCTACAGCAGTCTTGGCCTAGTGTTTTTTTCATGGAATAATTTTTCAAGCTTATTATCTCTTTGTTATCTCCATTATGTTGGTAAATTGCAATTTTCTTTTATCAGTAACAAGTAACATTTCAAATACTCAACATAAAATGTGTCAGCATGTGTTCTTATAACCTTTTAAATCTCTGTTGTAATTTATGTTCCTCCTTTCCATTTCTATTTTTAATCTATTCTTTTTTGCCTTTACTGTCCTTGCCACAAATATATCAATTTTCTTAGCCTTATCAAAAAACTACTTTTGGCTCTGTTGATTGTTTCTATTTTATGTTTGTTTTACATTTCATTAATTTCTCCTCTTTGTTACTTATTTTTCCCTAATACTTGCCAGCTAATTAGGCTATTTATTCCTTAACTTCTTATGTTAGATTTTTAGGTTATTGATATTTAGCTTGTCTTCTTGTTTGACATAGTTAAGGCTCTACATTAGTATGAACTGCTTTAAAAGCATATCATAAGTTTTATATGTATTATTGTTATTATATTAATTTTTTATTTCTCAACACTTTCTAATACCCAGTATTATTTTTATTTGATTCATGGGTTGTTTCAAAGTGTAATCTTTAAATTTCCAAGGATATGGGTGTTTAAAGTTATTTTTATTTCTATTAATTTAAAATGTAAATTCACTGTGGTTAAAGATTACAATCTGCATTATATCATTCCCGTGAAATTTGTTGAAACTCGCTTTTATAACCTACCACATAATCAATTTCTTTAAATATTCCATGTGTTCTTGAAGACAAATGAGAATAACTTTTTGATTTAATATCCTGTATATGTCTAGTAGATCAACCTTATTAATCTGCTATATTCTGACCTATGTTTACACTGTTGATCTATTAATTACTGACAAAAAGTGTACTGAAATCTTCCACTATAATGATATAATTGTGTATTTCCTCTTTTATGTCTGTAAATTTTTCCAATAGTTGTTTTGAGCCCATGTATTATATACAAAAACTAGAGAATTTGTATGTCTTCTTTGTCAATTGAAACTTCAATCATTATGACACAACCTTATTTGAGTATTAGTTTTTGAGTTAAGTCTATTTTGTTTGTTATAAGCTCATCTTTTTGTTAGCATTTGACTGGTAAGTATGATTCCACCCTTTCATTTTCAAACTTCTGCATTCTAATGTTTTGACAGTGTCTTTTATGCACAACATATGGCTAGATGTAGTAAATTCAGGACTAAATGTCTTTTACTTTCAACTGAATAATTTTTGCCATATGTACTTATTGATTATCTGCTCATTTTTATTTATTATCTTTATTCTGTTTTCAATATATCCTGTTTTTGCTCATTATTTCCTTTTCTTTCTGTCTTTTTTACTGAGGTTCTATTTTTGCCATCATTTATTTCCTTCTACTAGAGTGCAATTTGCATTCTTTATATATAATCTTTTAGTGTTTACCTTAGTTATTTTAAGCACCAAAGTCAAAATAGGTAAATTTCCTTTTTGTTGTGTTGCTTCTTTTTTAACATAGTGAGAAAGTAGTTCTCTCTCGCTTACACAAGCCATCAATTTTTCTCCTGTCTCCTAATCCTGATCAGGTGATAGGAAAGAAGCTCAGGGTCACCATATTTCTGATGTTACCATCAACCTGAAAAACTAATTCAATATTCATCTTCCAGTTTTACCACTTTCAGTTTATTTTGAAGTTGGAATTTTTAAAAAATCTTACCAGCTTAGGGATGTATACAGTTATTTTTGTGTATTTCATTCAGATTTGTGTTATAGCTCTTTAGGGTTGTTTATGGCATCTAATTAATCATATTACCAGAAACTCAATTCCCTCAGAAGAATTTTTTTTAAACTCCATTTGTAAGAATGGCATTTTACACATTTAAAATCTCAAACATAATATTTTCAATTAATCACTAACTTTTATTTCAATTTTGAAATATTAACATTCGTAAATTAAAATTACTCCAGGAACTATTATAAAATATTTGCTATGAGCTAGTCCAGGGCTTAGTAAAGTAATGCATTTCTGAATCCTTCAGGATACAGAATATCCTGTGTAACACTTCTTTGACCATGAATGGCCTTTCTGATTCCGGGGAGCATCAGAAAAATGAAAGGCATATTTATGAAAGTTAGAACTCAGAAAGTAAATGTTGATGATCTAAGAAGTAAGCAGCACTGCAGGAACTACTGGAATTACCACAAGATAGTCTTCCTTGATACAATTGAAAATTAACCATGTGGACTGGGGACATTAAAATAATGTCTTCAGACTGACACTTGCTCCGAGTTTAGGAAACTTTTGTAGATCTGCCCAATCTTTTGTGATTAAGGTTACTGCATTACTAATCCCCTTCTACTATTGAGCATGTAATAAGGATTTAGTGTAGACTTTTTGCTAGAATGATAGGAGGGTAACATTTTGCTCTAGTTAGTATTAGATGATACAAAATATATCCCATCACCAATCCCTATTAATTAGAATGCCTATTTCACCCTACAAGATTTTAAGCTCAGTACATTACATTCTTCAAGAAATGGATTCTGTGTTGCAGAAAAAATTGTGGAGGTAAGATCTGCCAAAGTTCTGGAAATAAATCCTAATGGATGGGTAGTTGGTCTGAAACCTAGCTGCTCCATGATTAATAAAACTGGTTGGCAACAAAAAAGAGAGTGCCAGAGATTTGTATGCCACATAAAAACTGCTCATTAAGTCAAGCTTCATGTAAAACTGATTTTGACAAAGAGTTTTATTTGCAGATATTCTGGCACTTTCTAATGGGAGTGCATAACAATTGTGAAAACACATGCATTCTCACATATATCTAGCTTTCTTTTCTGTCAAATGAATACAGACATTTAAATGGAAGGCTAATTTTCCTGAGGATAAATCAGTTCCATTACACTATAAAGTAAAAAACTTTAGTTGAGGCATTCTTGTTTAATTTAGGGCATACAAGCACGTGCAGAAGGCTTTTCAAATACTGCACAAAAATATCATAAAGAATTTAACTCAAAATATTTGAAAAAATTTGATTAGCTATACAAAATTTTTATATAAAAGAATGTTTTAAAATAAAGGATAAGCAGCACCAATAAATGTTTCATAAAAATGGATTCAGCTTTACTGCATATAGATACGTTAACAAAATAGTTGCTTAATTTGCTAAAAAATATTTCATTTAAAAATACTCAAATTCGGCCGGGCACGGTGGCTCACACCTATAATCCCAGTACTTTGGGAGGCCGAGGCGAGCAGATCACCTGAGGTCAAGAGTTCGAGACCATCCTGGCCAATGTGGTGAAACCCTATCTCTACTAAAAATACAAAAATTAGCTGGGCCTGGTGGCAGGTGCCTGTAATCCAAGCTACTGGGGAGGCTGAGGCAGGAGAATCACTTGAACCCGGAAGGCGGAGGTTGCAGTGAGCCGAGCCATTGCACTCCAGCCTGGGGGACAAGAATGAGAATTCGTCTCAAAAAAACAAAACAAAACAAAACTCAAATTCAAATTACTAAGCCAATATAATAAAGCAACCTATAAGGTAGGACTGTGACCTCATTTTTTTTGTATCTCAATTTCTCCTTCTCTGTGACTGAGATGTGTTCAAACATTTCATGATCTTTCTATCTGGTTTCTTGAATCTGTGAATTCAGGTACTTTTTCATGTGCTGTCAGGGTAATGAGTGGACTCCCTGTTACATAACTTAGATGATCATATGACCTTTGGGTGAATACAATCCAGGGGCACTCAGATAAACCTTGGCATTCTTAAAGGACAATGAGATGCAATAGCATACATTTTTGATAAATTAAACACCTAGACAAAAGAGATAAATCACCAATAAAGCAGCCCATATCAGGACTTTTTATTTGTTGTTATTAATTTTTGATTTTCCTGGAGTTAGAACATATTCAATCTAAACCTTTTATAATCATATTTCCATATCACAAATTAGCCTTTAACACATGCTTATGAAGTGAATATATAAACTCCATTTTTACTAATTTCAAAGTTTGGTGCAAATAAAAAGGGTAAAATCAATGAGGATTATATTTAGAAGGTGAATATCGGTAGAGAAAGAAATTTCATTTGTAATCTATGAGGATGTTGCAAGAAAGAATAAATAAAAATGAATGACACAACATTACTTGCTCATCGTTGACCCATGCAAATACAAGTTTTGCCTCTTGACATTTGTGTTTGTTCTTATATATGCTGTGTGTGTGTGTGCGCGCGCGTGCATGGGTATGCACGTGTGCACGTATCAAGATAGATCTAGATATAGCCAGTACCTCTGTTAGTATATCTGAGTGGTTCAAACATATTTTTATATTTTCTCTGATTCTACATGCTCCACTACCTATATTTTTAATATTTTGATTTGCAGATTTTTTTGTTTTCTTACTGATAGAAAAATTCCAGCCAGAAGGGCAATATATATCCAGAAAACCCCAGCTCAAACAACATCTCCTTTATAAAAGCTATATCCATTTTCTTAGTCAGGTAATCAAGTTATTCTGCTGTAATAAATAATCATTTATTATGGTGTGTATTCTTTTGTTTATGTTTTTCTTTTTGCTAAAGTTATAGATCAGGTTTTATTCCTGTTTGCCTTGCTGGGGAGAGAGGGACAGAGGCAGGATAGATTGAAAGAAGGAGAAATCAAACACTGCCTTGCACTTTCTAAGTAGTTAATTCGTGAATGGCAGCTTTGACTTAGTTATCCTATAAAGTGAAAGCTTGAATTGCCTTAAAACATATGACTGCCTCAGGAGGGGTCTCCAATTTTGAAAATTATTTTCTGATTACGTGATACCAATGACAGATAAACATCTACATGTATAAGACAAATTGAGCTACATATATATTCCTGAGACTTGGAGAGAACATTAGCAAAAACAGCTCTGTGTGTGGACATGCGTTTTATCCTAGTAGTTCTGCCAAGCTAAGCAATTTAACACCTTTTACTTTAAAAAAGCTTTTCATAAAAATAAATACATGTTTTTCTCAAAGAAAACATGTTGAAAAGGAAAAATAATCAGCTAGATTTCTCTATTTAGTTTGAATAATTAGCTGTTTGGCCGTAGGGGAAAATTTTAGGGGGATGGAGTAATTTTCTCTCTCTCTGGGGGAAAAAATTACCAAAATAGCACCTTGTTCTGATTCCGGCTGCTTTTGGAAGGGGTGAAGTCCAGAAAAGGTATGTGTATTCTACCAACATGATCTATGGGGGCGAAAAGGCTTTATGATGGTCATAAATCTCACAGCCTCTGTGAAAAAGCCCAGAACAGGAGCGTGATGCCATCCACCTGACATGTATAAATGATGCATTTTCCGCTAGAGCCACAGCTCATCTCCATAATCCACACAACTGCTGAGAAGACAAAGTGAGAAATGCAGTTTATCCGATGCCATAGCTGAAACAAAATAAGCTGCAGTTAATCATTTATCGACCTCCACAAATAATAATCCTGGAAAGTAAATACCAGCAGTAGACTGCAGTGATCTAAGGAATTTTGTGGTAAATGTTGCACTTATAAATAAAACCACGAACAACAACCAATTTTGGCATTTATATGAAAACATAGGTATTATACACTTCTTTTATTTCACTAGAGTTTCACTTTCAGGAATGAAGTTTCACCTTATATGTGAAACTATTAGAGTATTATAGTAAAAGAAGATTGATTTTTAAAACTTTAAAGGCCAAATTTTTTTAATGAACCCCCAAAACTCCCACATCAGTTGAATTTTATAACCAGAGTAAAAAATAAGTGCTTTAGAATTTCAATTAATTTGCTTATTCTGTAATGTGGACAGTTTATGATGCACGTATCACAGGTATTCTAATATCATTTTTGGCCTGTGGAAATGAGAGAGACATGATAATAAATGGAAGAGTCTTTCATAATATTGTATTAGTCCATTTTCACACTGCTATAAAGACAAACCCAAGACTGGGTAATTTCTAAAGGAAAGAGGTTTAATTGACTCACAGTTCCACATGGCTAGGGAGGCCTAAGGATACTTATAATCATGGCAGAAGGCGAAGGGGAAGCAAAAACCTTCTTCACATGGCGGCAGGAGAGAGAGGAGAAAGTGAAGGAGGAAAGGCCCCTTATAAAGCCATCAGATCTTGTGAGAACTCACTATTATGAGGACAGCATAGGGGAAACCGCCCCCATGATCCAATCACCTCTCACCAGCTCCCTCCCTGGACGCCTGGGGATTACAATTCAAGATGAGATTTGGGTGGGGACACAGAGCCAAACCATATCAAACACCCTGCCATTTCCTCCCTCCTTCCAATGTTTAATCCTCACTTCAGGTCTCTGAGACAGTGACCACTCAGGGAACCAGTGGGGAACTGTAAATGGCAGCTCTCTGCTTTTCTTCTTAGGGAGGACAGTTCTTCATCAATAAATTATTTTCCCCACAACACTGATACTCCTTTTCCCTTCTGTCAAGCTGTTGTCCCAACCTAACTGTCCTCTTATGCCACACTATTGAGGAAAGAAATGAAACCTGAGAATGCAAACAAAGAAAGTTGCTGACCTCATTTTATTCACTCATTAAATATATATATATTTAGATGAAATAAACTATACAAAATGACTTTCCGATTTACCAGCCCTCATAACTTTTAATTAACCTTTCCATATTAAAAAACATACCATTTTTTCAGAGAACACAGATATTTATGATTTTCATCCTCTCATCCATATTTAACACAGGAATATACATTTGATATAATGGAAAATTAGTAATATATATAAATACATACACACATAGAATGTGTAACATAGATATATATGTATATGGGTTCTTTTATTCATAGTAGTGGTTATTAACAGCATATTCCAATATCTTAGAATCTTATGATGGGAAGCAAAAACTCACATTTTGTCCAGTTAATGTAAATGTTTTAGACTTTGTACATAGTGTTCATCCTCTTATATATGTTAATGGACTGCTAGGCACCTTCACATTTCATTACTTGTGAATGAAACCAATTGGATAAACAATTGCAAAGATACAAAGCAAGTACAAAGTTCATTTTTGCTATTATCTGAAATCATTTTACACAGGAAAAAAATGAGCAGATATTTAAGTCACTTTAGATATAGTACATTGAGAAGACTTGGTTAAGCAAAATCAGTGATAGCAACTGATACAATCAGCTGTTTATCATCAAAGATATTTCTTTTTCTTGTAGAACTTTTAAAATCTGTTCTTAAATTGGTACTTTTGTGTAGATCTTTTCTTTTCTGTAGGTTCTAAACTGCATCAAGGGTGAGGAACAGGACCTAAAATCTGCTTTTGTCTCCCTCGGGACTTCATATGTGGTATTGCCACTTATACTTACAGATTGATAAATTACTTAAAAAGCACAGGTTTAGACCTAAGTCCATTCTTGTCTTGTCACATCATAACAGCAACGGAATCAGGCCTTTTCTTATTAGCATAATTGTGCTTCCTCACTCCTGCTGGCTCTGCAGGGGCACATGGATGTCTCCACCATACTGCCATGCCAAATACTCCAACACATTCTCACCCCTACTGCAAGCCACCTGCCAGGGTCATATCCACCATTCCACATGTCCCCAAGAATCACGCTTACTCAGCCAAGCACCATGTCCCAACCATCAGAACTTGGGCTATTGGCTCTTCTAGCAGGATTATTTGGTATAAAGGTAGAAGCTAAATTTGAAAGTTGTGGCTACCCTTAAAAACACAGACACACTATAGAAAGGTGAACCCTTGACTGAAGAGTAAATTTTCTATGAAGAGACTGCTGAAATACAGTCAATGAAAATAAACTCTTCAGGTAGATAAATCACACAGTAGAGAGAAGAAATCAGTCAAAAGACTGAGTTAGGTGGTCCACATACTCAAACAGATATTTGTATATAGCTGAGGTGATACGGTTTGAATGTGCGTCCTCTCCAAATCTCATGTTGAAATGTGATTCCCAGTGTTGGAGGGGGAGCCTACTGGGAGATGTTTGGGTCATGGGGGCGGATCCCTCATGAATGGCTTGGTGCCCTTCTCATGGTAATGAGTGAGTTCTCCCTCTGAGTTCACAGGAGATCTGGTTGTTTAAAAGAGTATAACACTTTATTCCTCCTCACCACATGACACACTGGCTCCTCTTCACCTTCTGCCATGATTGAAAGCTTCCTGAGACCCTCACCAGAAGCCAAGCATATGCTGGCACCATGTTTCTCATATAGCCTGCAGAACTTTGGACCAAAATACTTATTATTTTTCTTTAAATATATAAAACCTATATAGCAAGATGGCATCATCTGCTCAATCTATAGTGGTGAACACATATATTTGTTATATATTCTTCTGTGTTATATGTATGTTTGGAATTTAATTAAAAACCATCATATCTTGTAAGACTTATTCACTATCAGGAAAACAACATGTTGTTCAGGAGTGTCTTGTGTACTTACACATTTGCATATTTTCCAATTTTCTTCCTGTTACTGATTTCTAGTTTTATATCATGTGGCTGCAAAAGATACTTGATATGATTTTAATTTTCTTGAATTTCTTAAGACTTGTTTGTGGCCCAATATGTGATTGATTGTGGACAATGTTTCATGTACTCTTGTAAAGAATATATATTCTACAAGTGTTGGATGGAATGTTCTGTATATGCCTGTTAGGTCCTTTTGGACTATGGGGTTCAAGTATACTGTGTCTTTCTTTATTTTCTCCCTGGATTATTTATACATAGTTGAACGTGGGGTATTGATGTCCCCTACTGTATTGCTGTCTATTTCTGTATTCTATTCTGTTAATATTTGCTTTATATATTTAAGTGTTCCAATATTGACTACATATATATTATATGCATAATGTAGAAGTGTATTAGTTCATTCTCACACTGCTATAAAGAACTACTCAAGACTGGGTAATTTATAAAGGAAAAAGGTTTAATTGACTCACAGTTCCACATGGCTGGGGAGGCCTCAGGAAATTTACAATCATGGCAGAAGGGGAAGCAGGCACCTTCTTCATAAGGCAGGAGGAGAGAGAGTGTGTGTGTGAAGGAGGAACTGTCAAACACTTATAAAACCATCAGATCTCATGAGAACTGACTATCAGGAGAACAGCATGGGGGAACCACCTCCATGATCCAATTACCTCCCATTAGGTCCCTCCCTCAACACATGGGGATTATGGGGATTATAGTTTGAGGTGAGATTTATGTGGGGACACAGACCCAAACCAAATCAAGAAGATATAATTCTATCCTCTTGATGAATTGGCCGTTTTTCATAATATAATTATCTTCTTTGTTACTTGTTAGAGTTGTTGACTTAACATCTAGTTTGTCTGATACAAGTATAGCCATTCCTACTCTTTTTTTGGTTACTATTAATTCATGTGGAATATCTTTTTCCATCCTTTCCTGGTCAGCATATGTGTGTCCTTAAAGGTGAAGTGAGTCTCTTGTAGGTAGCACATAGTATCACCTTGTTTTTATTTTTTTACGTGTTCAGCCACTATATTTCTTATTATTGAAAATGTAATCCATTTACATTTAAAGTAGTTATTGATAGGTAAGAACTTACAATTTCCATTTTTAATCATTTTCTGAATTTTGCTGTTTTATTCTTCTGTTTTGTATGCTGACTTCCTTTGTGATTTGATTTTTTTTTTTTTTTTTTGTGATGGTATGCCTCGAGGTTTTTCTTTGTGGTTGCCATGAGGCTCAGGTAAAACATCTTATAATTATAACCATCTATTTTCAGGTGATTACAACTTAACTTCAAGTGCATAAAAGAACTCTACACTTTAACTTCTCCTCCCCCCAACATTTTATGTTATTGATATCACAATTTACATATTTTATATATTATGTATCCATTAACAAATTATAATAGTTATAGTTATTTTTAATGCTTTTATTTTTTAATATTTGCCCTAGATTTAAAAGTGATTTGTGCACCACCATTACACTATGAGTATTCTGAATTTGACTATATTCTTACCTTTACAGTTTTTATACATTCATATTTTCATATTGTTAGTTTGTGCCCTTTTATTTCAACTTGATATCATTTAGTTTTCTGTCTATATTTTTGTAGCTCACTGAACTTCTTTAAGGCCACTGATATGGTTTGGCTGTGTCCCCACCCAAATCTCGTCTTGAATTCCCACATGTTGTGGGAAGGATGCAGTGGGAGGTAATTGAATCATGGGGGCAGATCTTTCTTGTACTGTTCTCATGATAATGAATAGGTCTCACAAGATCTGATGGCTTTATAAGGCACAGTTTCCCTACACAACTCTCTCTCTTTGCCTGCCACCATCCACGTAAGATGTGACTTGCTCCTTCTTGCCGTCCACCATGATTGTGAGGCCTCCCCAGCCTTGTGGAACTGTGAGTCCAATTAAACCTCTTTCTTTTATAAATTGCCCAGTCTTGAGTATGTCTTTATCAGCAGCATGAAAACTGACTAATACAGTGACTATTTTGAATTCCTTGTCACGCAATTTGTAGGTCTCATTCTCCAACATGTTTCGCTGGATCCTTCATATTTAGCCATACTCCTTTCATAATCTCCACTTCTAAGTAATTGCTACCATAATTTGGTAAAAACTGCAAGTGGTTTGGAATCAGATATCCCTTGGTTCAAATTTAGACTCAAACACTTTTTACTGAGGATCTTGCACTAATCATTTCATCCCTTTGAGCCTCAATTCTTTCACATAGCAAATGCTGTCTACTAAATATGCCCTGACTGCTAGTTCCTATGCATGTCTTACAGCCTCCTATTATAAGTGCCTATAACTCTCTGCTTGAGGGATTTTTTAGCCTACAGAAACATGATTGGCCTGACTGTGGAGCACTCTGAAATTGCTGGTTGGTTGATGGGTCTGTAAGCAGCCCTGAGAAAATGATAGATATAAGTTGGAGGTTATAGACTTGGATTTCTTATCCCTTGGGTAGGATAACTATGAGGCATATTCAAAAATAACTTTCAGAAGTCCACACTAGGATTGATCTTCAATTACCCACACTGGTGACCTGCTCATTAATATACCCTTTAGTGGTGTTTTTCCCCTCCCTGTTTGACTTCCCTGCTCTCCAGCTGGTTATCTATTAGGATCAACTCCAAAATCAACTATTTGTACTTGAATCTTTATTTCAACCTTAAATTCTGGAGGGATACAAACTAAGACACCTGTAACTATGAATAATGAAAGTGACAATTACAACAAATAATTAATTGAACATTGAAAAATACATAAGTCATTGTAATGACCTTTATAATAATCCTCATGAGCCAATTTAGAAGATATTATCCTCCCAATTTAACAGATAATATAATTGAATCATCATAGAGAGTAAGTAACTTGTCAAATCACACAGACTTCCATGTGATAAACTAGAATTCTATTTCAGATCCTTGACCTCTTCAATCATTACACTCTATTTTCAGCTGGCGCATAGTAGAAAAAAATCAAGAATCTAGGATGGTAGAATTAGCCAGAATAAGGCCTTGTAAACCTTTTAATGACTTATTTTCATAAAATGGAAAGGAGAATTATTTAAGAACTTCTTTTGGGTTGGAGGCACTGAGATGAGGGTCATATTTGCATTGCATTGCTAGAAGATCACACAAGGGAAGCAAGATCACACTAGTTAGAGGCTATTGTAATAATTTCAGGAACAGTTAACTTTGCTAAGGAAATAGCAGTAGGAATGATTATACTTAATGATGCAAGGCAAGTGACAATGAGGGGAGATGAGACCTCCAAGCCTTTTAGGTTTCTGACTTAACTGACCAAGCACTAAGCACTACATTTGCTGACATGCAAGGCACAAGAAAAGAAACTACTTTAGAAGGGGTATAGGTATACTTAAGAAGTACAGGTAAACAGTCAATTATAATGTGGAGTAAAATGCATTAACATTGGTAAATACAAGGGCACTGGAGATATATTTGGCATCTAACTCAGTCCCAGGACATGATTGGTGAAGAGAGAGATATCTAAGCTTAGAAATGAAGAATGAAAAGGTGCAATCTGTATCCCTTCATATCCTATATGTATCTGTACTACATTTTACATCCAAGTGATTCACCTTCTGGTAGCTGCGTCTCTCAATTTTCGATACATTGCATTCTACTGTAATTTATTATTTAAAGTTTAGGGGCATTCTCCTCCTCAAAAATCCCTAAACAGCATTAATAATATTTATTGTCAACATCCATCCCTCTCTCCCTCTAATTTTCCCTTCTCCACTGACATTTTAAACAGTAAGTTCACATTTCACATGGAAGTTAAAATACCGGTCAGACACTGACAAGTATAGGACAGAAGCCTCTCAAATGTTTTTAAGCACACTTCAAGTAGAAGTCACAGGGAGAAGAGCCTGCCAGTCTACTCCTTCTATTCTAAAATTGTTCTTGGAGCTATAATTCCACATTGGGAGAGATAATGGAGTTTTCTCATTTATGAAGTGTCTGCCCACAGTACTCTGAAGACCTGGGTTTTGCTCCTCTGGAGGAAGTTTTACATGTCAGTGAAGAGACTCAGAGAGCATTGTTGGATGTGTTGAGTAAAATGATATACCTGGATATATGTTTGGGTCATGTCAACATCCCGTGTGTCCTACAGGATAAATTTCAGCCATGAGCAACCCTGGAACTAACCACATTTCAAAATTCAAACCTAAAATTACATTATTAATCAATTCCTGGGCAATGTATATGCTATACTAGTGTTGAATCGGGAATAACAGCTTCAGTACCTGTGAATATCTACCTTACATGGCAAAAAAGACTTTGAAGATGTGACTAGGAATCTGGAGATGAGATTATTCTGGATTATACTGGAACTAAATCTAACCACAAGCATATTTATAAGAGGAAAACAGGAGGATCAGAGTCAGAAAGAGGAACTATAAGGAGGAAAGCAGAGGTAAGAAAGGAGAGAAGATGCTACACTGCTGGAGTTGAAAATGGAGGAAGGGACCATGAGTCAGTAATTATAGTGGCCTCAAGTGGGTAGAAAAGACAACGGAAGGCCTGGCATAGTGGCTCATGCCTGTAATCCCAGCACTTTCGGAGGCCAAGGCGAGTGGATTACCTGAGGTCAGGAGTTCAAGACCAGGCCAAGGCGGGTGGATTACCTGAGGTCAGGAGTTCAAGACCAGCCTGGCCAACATGGTAAAACCCCATCTCTATAAAAATACAAAAATTAGCTGGGCATGATGGTGCATGCCTGTAATCCCAGCTACTCAGGAGGCTGAGGCAAGAGAATTGCTGGAAACCAGGAGGCGGGGGTTGCAGTGAGGTGAGATCGCACCAGTGCACTCCAGCCTGGGCGACAAGAGTGAAACTCCATCTCAAAAAAAAAAAAAAAAGAAAAGAAAAGAAAAAGAAGTGGATTTTCCCGTAGTCTCCATAAGGAAAGTAGGCCTGTTAACACCTTGATTTGAACCCAGTGACCCCAATTTCAGACTTCCAACCTCCAGACCTATAAGATAATAAATCTGTGTTTTGTGCCATTACTTTTTTGGCAATTTGTTACAGCAACAGTAGGAAAACGATACCCTTAGTAAACAACACTATCATTTATGGAAAAACTGTAGTTCAATTGTTTTGAAGGAAGTCATTTTATTTGCATTGAGATGTCCTGATTCTGGAATGCAATCAACCAAATATTAATAACAACCATTAATTCACATAGTTTTTCATGGTTTCAATTTGTGTTGCAGATGAAGGAACTAAACCACGCCATAATAAAACTAAATAAAGGATACAATAAAGTTACAGAAGAGTGTCTTCCAGCCTTAGATCTATGTTGGTTCAATAGGGTAGCCACTCAAATTTAAATAAATTAAAAATAAATTAAAAATTGAATTCCTCAATTATACTAAGCCATATTTCAGGGGCTCAGTAGCAATATGTCATTAATGGCTTCTGTCTTAGAAATCACAGATTACAGAATATTTCCATTGTACTGCTTTGGAGAATCTCTCTCTCTCTCTTTCTCTCTCCCTTTCTCTTTCATTTTTAATTTGGCCATAGAATAGCTCACAAGTTCTATCTTCCAGAAGGGACACTGAAATCTTAGAATTGACAACACATTTACACTTCTTGTAATTTCACCTTTTTATTTAGGAAAAAACCTAAATAAAACCAGCAAAGTATAAAGTATCATGACTTTCTATCTCAGTAAAGAAGGAATTGATAATCTGGAAAATCAGGAACCAACAAAAATGTGTAACTAACATTTAAGAATGACGAAGCACTTTTGAAAAATTCAAAACAAGAACTGAAAAAGAAGTAAACAATCATTGTAAATTAAAGAACAAGATTAAACTCTCTCTCTCTCTCTCTCTCTCTCTCTGTCTCACACACACACACAAGTACATATGCACCCATATACAGTTTTCCCTCCCTTTTGGGGGGAAGAGGTCAGAAGATAATTTAAAAACACATAAACAACCATGAATTATACTCCAAAGAGAACTCATTAGTTTAACTTGTCCTGGTTAATTGAAAAATTTACCTGTAGTTAAATAATCAAGTGAAACCAGGATCTTTTAAGGTCTAAAGGAATTAATACTGACTCTTGGAATTATGCTCTTAGACCTTAAACATAATTCCAGTGCTAGTATTTTTACATATAAGATTGTTGTTGAAATTACATGTAGGGAAATTCTGTAATGATGGAGAAGTGGACAGAGCTAATACTCTGCTTAAGTACTAAGGCTTTTTTGCAGCGTAATAAGATTGATATTAAGGAAGTCAATACATTGTGATAATACAGAAAACTTATTAGCAGTTTTAGAGGAAATAAAGGATACACATAAAAATGCTTCAGGCTGTCAGAAAAGCTGGATGATGATAGAAATATTGATCACAACCGCCTAAATTGATGACTACAATGTCTTGAGAAGGCAGTGGGGTTTGAGGCTTGGAGAAGGGGAAGCATAAAGTTGTTCTCAGGCAGGAGAGAGAAATTTTGTAAGGGAAAAGATGCATACTTGCAATAACTAAGATGGATATGCTAACAAAGGACCCTGAAAGACAAGACAGAAGCAGCCTGTCACCCATACTGCACAAACTCCCAAAGTCTTCTGCAGAAGCTATAAACAACTTAACTGTTTTGGGGGATTTTTGATGACCCATCTGGCTCCCCAACAGCAGAATACCCTAACTGGTGCAGGTTGCCAGGTAACCAGCATCTGACTCAAGAAGAGGAAAACAAAGTTGGCTATTCTAAATGTCTGCAGATTCTTCTTTTGTCATTCTCATATTTAGATCCTGTTTTTGCTTTTTGTAGATGAGATCAATATATGCATTAGTTTCCCTTGTATACAAGTAAATACCATGCTAGTAATATATATTCCTTGACAAAAGAAATTATTCCTTCACAAAAAGAATGAGGTGAGATGGAGTTTAGAGGAGATCTTTGGCTTATCAGGCCACCATTAAATCAGAATACGCTCCAGATCCTTGAAGAAGATGGGTATAATCCTCTTTAGTCACAGAGCCTCCTAAAATAGGCCTTTGCCTGTTCAATTCCCTCTCAAACTTAAAATGAGCTCAGAGTTTATGTGGAACTGGGTACCATACAACTTCATTACCCTCAAAGGATAAAGTCCGGATTTCCCTGCACAGTGAAACGACTCCCCACTGCTTTTTTTAAAATAAACTTTTTGTTTTAGAACTGTTTAAAATTTATCAAGAATTGCAAAGATCATCTATGTTACCATACATCTAATCTCTCCTACTAGTAACATCTTACATCAATATGGTATATTTGTTATAATTAATTAGTCAATATTGATACATTATTAACTAAAGTTGGTGCTTTTTCAGATGTCCATAGTTTTTACCTAACAGTGTTTTTATTGTTGTTTTTCCAGGATACCACATTACATTTAGTCCTCACGTCCTCTTAGGTGCTTCTTGGCTGTGGCAATTTTCTTAGATATTCACTGTTTTTGATGACCTCGACAGTTTGAAGATTCTTGGTCAGGTATTTTGTAAATGTCTGTCAATCAGGATTTGTCTGTTGTGTTCCTCATGATTAGAGTGAGGTTATGTGTTTTGGAGAGGAAGACCAAACAAGTAAAATGCCATTTTCTTCACTTCATACATATCAACATGACTTCTCACTGCTGAGGTCAACCTTGATTACCTGATTCAAGTGTTCATTGGATTTCTCCACTGGAATGTTTTTCTTTTCCTCCTCTTTTCATACCGTACCTACTATTTGGAAGGAACTCCTTACGTCCAGCACACACCTAAGGAGTGGGGAGTTATGCGCCATCTAGTTGAGGCCAGAATATCTATATAAATTATTTGAAATTCTTCCTCATAGAAGATTTATCTATTCTCTTTCATTTATTTTTAATTCAATTGTTTATCTATACAACTATGGACTCATGGATGTTTATTTTGGATTATAACCTAATACCTCTTAATTTATGTGTTTCTTAAAGTATTCCAATTTTAGCCATTAGGAGGTTTTCAGTTCCTGTTTACCTTTGACATACTCCCATCAACATAGGGTTGTTTGTTTACTTTGAGCACTTCCTTACTTTCTGGCATTGAACCATTCTCTGGGCTCTTTTTGTAGATCAAAAATTGTCTGGGCTCTTTTTACTTAGGTCAGCAACTTTTGCCTCCACCCATTTCGGTAAGGTTATTGTGGATTCCCTGCCCCAGTCCAAGAATCAGCCATTTCCCCAAGGATCCCTAGCATTTTTTTCTTTGTACTAAGGTATTAGAAACCAAGACCTGATTACTAAGGTACACTTCTCGCTACTGTGGTATCATTGCTTAGGCCCTCTGAGCAGACAGAGCAAGGGAATATAGGTATGTATACTAACCCATGTACATACACATATCTTTAAATATTTCTATATGTGAACACTGGTATGTATATTAAGCATGGGTTCAGACTGATGTCTCCCACTTTAATTCATTACCAGATGAACCATTCTAGCCTCTTTCCTTGCTTATCTGTGTCTGTACCTTCCCACTCCAATAGTGAGAAACCTGGCTCCCACAATCTATAATTAATTTACTTAATTGTTTAACTCCAGTATGTATATAGTAGTATCAGAATTATTAACCCAAACCCCCATGGGAAACAGCAATTTCAACTACAGTACTGTTTATGCAGTTTTTTTTTTTTTTTTGCCTTTACTATTGCCGACTAGATGCATTTCCAAATTTACTTAGGTCAGCAACTTCTGCCCCTACCCATTTCAGTGAGTTTATTTCATACATTTGTAATACAGTTAGAGTCTTTCATCACAATCTGGATTTCACACCCAACAAGCCTTATGTATCTGCAATAAATCCCACTTCGTTGAGGTGTATAATTCTTTTTATACATTATTGGTTTGGATTTTCTAATCTTTTGTTGAAGATTTTTGCATCTCTGTTCATGAGAAATGTTTGTGTGTAGTTTCCCTGTTTTCTTACATCTTTATCTGGTTGTAGTAATGAGATAATGTGGGCCTCACATTCCCTCTGCTTCTATTTTGTGGACAAGATTGTGGAGAATTGATATTTCCTTCTAAAACGTTTGCTAGAATTTATCAGTGAAACCATCTGGGTTTAGTGTTTTTCTTTTTTGGAAGGTTATTAACTATTGATTCAACTTCAAGAGGTACAAGCCTTTTCAGATTATCTATTTATCTTAGTGTATATTTTGGTAGTTTGTGTCTTTCAAGGAAGTGGCCAGTTTCAGCCAATTTATCAAATCTGTGGACATAGAAGTACTGTTAGTATTCTTTGTTATCTTTTTCATGAGCATAATCAGTAATAATGACCTTTCCTGCATTTCTGGTATTGTTACATTTTGCTTTCTTCTCTTTTTTTCTTGATTATACTGCCTAGATGTTTAGAAAATTAATTGATTTTTTCAAAGAATCAGCATTTGATTTTTAAAATTTTTCTGTTGTTTTCTTATTTTCATTTAATTGATTTCTGCTCTAATTTGTATTATTTATTTTCTTTTGCAAGTTATACAATGTTGTTTTTTAATTCTTATGGATACATAGTGGGTGTATGAATTTATGGGATACGTGAGATGTTTTGATACAGGCATGCAGTGTGAAATAATCCTATCATGGAGAACGCAGTATCCATACCCTCGAGCATTTATCCTTCACGTTACAAACAATCCAATTATACTCTTTAAGTTATTTTAAAATGCATAATTAAATTATTGACTATAGTCACCGCATTGTGCTATCAAATGGTAGGTATTATGCATTCTTTCTATTTTTTTTGTACCCATTAGGCATCCCCACACCACCGCGCAACCCCCCAATACCCTTCCCAGCCTCTGGCAACCATCCTTCTACTCTCTATGTCCATGAGTTCAGTTGTTTTGATTTTTAGATTCCACAGATTAGAACATGCTATGTTTGTCTTTCTGTACTTGTCTGATTTCACATAACATAATGATCTCCAGTTCCATCCATGTTGTTGCAAATGACTGGATCTCATTCTTTTGTATGACTGAATAGTACTGCATTGTGTGTATGTACTACGTTTTCTTTATCCATTTATCTGCTAATAGACATTTAGATTGCTTCCAAATCCTAGCTATTGTAAACAGTGCTGCAACAAACATAGGAGTGCAGGTATCTCTTTGATATACTGATTTCCTTTCTTTTATGTATATACCCAGCAGTGGGATTGCTGGACCATGTGATCCCCAAATATCTGAGATGATCTCAGTTAATTTATAAAGTTTATTTTGCCAAGCTTGAGGACGTGCGCCCGTGACACAGCCTTAGGAGGTCCTGAAGACATGTGCCCAAGGTGGTCAGAGCACAATTTGGTTTTATACATTTTAGGAATGTGATGATACAGGAGCTAGAAAGAAATTATTTAGGCAGATAGTGATGGCTGTTGCCTTGGCAGAACAGCCCCTTCTAACAAAAAGAAGCCCCCAAATCACTTCTTTTCTAACAAAAAGCAGCCTGAAAAATTGAGCTGCAAACATAGATAAGCAAGCTGGAAGCTTGCGCGGTGGAATGCCAGCAGCTGTGTCAATAGGAAAGGGGTACCTGGGGGCCAGGCATGTCCAACATGGAGTCTCCATATTCCCTTTTTTTGTTACCACATATACCGTAAAGAAATGGGCAACGTGGCACAGCTCAGGCAGAGGACCCACTTGCATAATGAAAGATTAGGGTGGGGGCAGCCAGAAATTTGTGTCCTGTGCAAATGACACACCTAGTCCTAACCAGTTTTTCATGTCCTGTGCAAATGGCACATCTGGTCAAACCAATTTTTTGTGCCCTATATAAATCAAACACCACCTCCTCACCAGGCATCTATAAAACCCCCTGCTTTTCACCATACATCTGACAACCCATTTCTCTGGGACCCCACTCTGCAGCAGAGAGCACTTTCTTTTGTCTACTAAATTTCTGCTCTTAACCTCACTCTTGTTGTGTCCTCCTCGTTCTCTGTGGCTGTGAAACCATGAACTTTGGGTGATACTCCAGACAACGAGGCCGTTTCATTGAGACATCAATCAATGTATGGAAGATGTACATTGGTTCCATCCAGAAAGGTGGAACAACTCAAGCAGGGAGGGGGCTTCCAGGTCACAGGTAGGTGAGAGACAAAGGGTTGCATTCTTTTAGGTTTCTGATTAGCCTTTCCAAAGGAGGCAATCAGATATGCATTTATCTCAGTGAGCAGAAGGAAGACTGAATAGAATGGGACCAGGTTTGCCCTCAGCATTTCTCAGCTAGACTTTTTCCTTTAACTTAGTGATTTGGGGGTCTCCAAGATTTATTTTCCTTTCACAACTATATGGTAGCTCAATTTTTAGTTTTTTGAGGACCCTCCAAACTGTTCTTCAGAGTGTTTGTATTAGTTTATATTCCCACCAACAGTATACAAGGATTCCCTTTTCTTCACATCCTTGCCAGCATTTGTTATTGCCTGTCTTGGGATATAAGCCATTTTAACTGGGGTGAGATGATATCTCATGATAGTTTTGATTTGCATTTCTCTGATGATCAGTGATGTTGAAAACCTTTCCATATGCCTGTTTGCCATTTACATGTCTTCTTTTGAGAATGTCTATTCAAATGTTTTGCCCATTTTTGATTGGATTATTAGATGTTTTCCTATAGAGTTGTTTGAGCCCCTTATATATTCTGGTTATTAATCCATTTTCAGATAAGTAGCTTGAAAATAACTTCTCCCACTATGTGGGTTGTCTCTTCATTTTGTTGATTGTATCTTTTGCTTTGCAGAAGCTTTTTAACTTGGTGTGATCCCATTTGTTCATTTTTGCTTTGGTTACCTGTGTTTGTGGAATATTGCTCAAGAAATCTTTGCTGAGACCAATGTTTCGGAGATTTTCCCCAATGTTTTCTTATGGTAGTTTCATTGTTTGAGGTCTTAGATTTAAGTCTTTAATTCATTTAGATTTGATTTTTGCATATGGCAAGAGATAGGGGTCTAGTTTCATTCTTCCGAATATGTATATCCAGTTTTCCCGGCACCATTTATTAAAGAGACTGTCTTTTCCCCAGTGTATGTTCTTGGCACCTTTTGTCAAAAATGAATTCACTGTAGGCATGTAGATTTGTTTCTGGGTTTTCTATTCTGTTCCATTGGTCTATGTTCCATTGACCTTCTTAATTCCTTATCTGGTATTTCAAAGATTTCATCTTGGTTTGGGTCCATTGCTGGAGAGTTAGTGTGATCTTTGTTTTGTCATATTACCAGTTATTTTTCTGGTTCCTTCTCACTTGGGTAGACTATTTCTTCTAAGTATTCTTGAATTTATGTTTGATTTGATTGTGTTTCTTTTGTTTGTTTGCTTCTAATTTATTTTTCCCCCTTAAGGATAAGACTTTAATGCTTATAGTTACTTATAGCCCAATTTGGTTTTTGGTGCTTTCAGGGTGAAGACTCTATAAGAGTTCTTTGGTTATAAAGTTCTTTGTATGATGGCTTTCTCATATACTGGTTGCAGTAGCACTGTGCTCAGTGTGTGACCAAGTTCATTGTCTCCTATGCAGTTGGAATGCTAGAGGTCTCTTAAAGCTTATCTCACATTTCTCCATGGCATTTACTTTTTTATTTATTTATTTTTCCCCAGTATTTTATTTACTTGTTTGATTATTCAGGCTTTAGGCCAGTAGGGGAGGTGTCCCTGGGTAGGAACCAGTTATAACTAAAGCAAGTGAGTAAATGAAGTCCCAGGCTTGGCAGAAGTGGCTGGAGGAGCTCTCAGTGAGTTGCACTGAGGTCTTATCAGGGGGAAGGGTTGGAGCCACCTCTGCTCCCCTGACAGGTGAGCAGGAAAGTTATCCACCTCTCAGACATGCTCTTGTCCCAGTGCTCTGGCTATTCAGATCAGACAGGCACCTCTTTTCATCTGAAGGAATGTTGATGTTCCAAATAGAGAGGAATTGTGACTCTGTCTCTCTCCTGCAAGCCTGAACCTGGAGGGTGCGCCTCCTGTGGGGATGCAGTCACCTGATGTGTTCCAGAAAGGCTGTCTAAAGTGGCACCCACACCAAGCTCCCATAGGAGAAGGCCCAACTGTGACTATGGTGGTAGACAAGGGGGGAAAGACTTCCTCTTCTCCAAGAACTTTCATGTGCACCAGGGCTGTCTGACTGTTGGGATAGAGCCAAAGACTTTCCCCCCTGAGCCCAGCACTTCAACTGTGTCTCTGCTGAAGTAAGCTTTCCAGCAGTGGAAAGATCTAGTGCTTAAGGTCTGTCATCTGGATTCTTTTGTCCCATGGGGTGTTCTCTTGATGTACACTTCCACTTCCCCTAGGAGTGGGAGTCCCTGGGAGCCAGACTACTGTGAGTGTTGTTGCTCCTCTGAGTCTAGCTGCCCAGTGAAGTTGCCATACTCCAGAGTGGTGATGGAAAATGTCTGTAAGGGATCTGGTGATGTGACCTGACCTCAAGTTTCCCAGCAGTGGGTAGCAGCACCAGTTCTAATAGGAGTGGCAGGGGAGCGACGTAGACTCTGTGAAATTCCTTGGTTATTGATGGCCTTAGCCTTAGTGTGTTGGATTTCTTGACTACAGTTATAATAGTAATGAACTGGCCAAGTGGACAGACTCAGGACCTTCTGTTTAGCCAGAGTGGTGCAGGCAGTGGTGATAGCTCAGATCTCGAAGCAGTTTTCTCCTTCTTCAGCACAGTGTTATACTACCAGGAGATATTGTAATGGACTGTGTTGGTTGGCCTCGCTGTGGTGGTAGCAGTAGCAGTGGGATGTTTGCTTGCCTTATGTTTCAAGGGGGAGGGGTGTACTCTGGTTTCTCAGGCAATGGGCAGGGCCATGTAGCTCCCAAGAGATTCTGTCGATTCTGTCCTTTGTGTTAAGCTACCACGGCGGTGGCAGGACAAAGCCAGGTGGGGCCTGGGTTGGGTGTGTTTGCACAGGAGTGGGTCTCAGGCCACTGGGTTGATGTTCCAGAGAGGAGCATTGCCACCTCTGCTGCACAGAAGAGTTTGTGCAGGGAGTGGGGAGTAGCAAGCAGTGGTAAACCCCATAGTTCCCATGCACGTGGCAAGGAGGATCCACTCCCACAGTGTTCCACTGGCAGCAGTGAGCTGAGCTCCAGTCAGCCTGTAATCAGAACTTGCCACTACCTGGAGTCATAAGCTTTCCCCTAGGAGACTGCAACCAAGGCTTTCAGGCCACACCTCTCCCTATAGCTGCAAAGCCCTGTGCCCAGTTTCTGCACCCATGACTCCTGTACACGTGACCCCTGCACTCACAGGCTGCTTTTCACTCTTCTCTGCCCTGGCCTTGGCCAAGGGAGCTCACCCCCACCTGAGGTTATATTGTGAAACCCCATTAGGAGCTTCTTGCAACCTGCAACCACTGCCTGAACTTTTTGGCTGTCCTCTGCAGAGTCCCCTGTGAGGAATAGTAAGGAATGGCTGGCTGCCTTTGATCCATGGTGGGATCTGGGAGTACATACAAGGAACTTCCGGCCACTGCTCCTACTTTTATATTCCATGACCTTCCCCAAGTCAGTTCCTTCGCTGGTTGGAGTTAGGGCCTTCCCCTTCAGGGTCCCTGGTGGGAGTGTGTATCCCCGAGGCAAAGTCTCCCCACGTGCATGGGAACTATGGGGCTTACCACTGGGGACTCACAGCCCTTCACCTTACTCACAGTGTAGACTGCAGCCTTCTGCCTTATTCAAAGCATCCTTAGATTCCTTTGTTTTTTCTGTTCAGTTACCATGTCGCTTCTTGAAAAAAAGTTCACAGTGTGAAATTCTACACACTATTTTGTCCTTCCAAGTGGGAGAGGTATGCTAGCCATGCCTCTAATCCACCATTTTGGAAAAAAACAAAAACAAAAAACAACTTTGGTCCATTTGTTCATCAGATTATTTTGTGCTAATGAGTGGTTTGAGTTCATTATATATTTTGGATATTAATCCCTTGTTAGTTATATAGTTGCAAATATTTTCTCCCATTTGTAGGTTGTTTCTTCACTTTGTTGATTTTTTCCTTTGCTATGAAGAAGCTTTTTACTTGATATAAGCCCATTTGCTTATGTTTGCTTTTGTTGCCTGTGCTTTTGCAGTCTTAGCCAAAAAAATCTTTGCTCAGATCAATGTCGTAGAGCATTTTCCAGTGTTTTCTATTAGTAGTTTCATAGTTTCCAGCCTTACATTTAAGTCTTTAATCTATTTTGAATTGATGTTTTATATGCTGTAAGACAGGGAATGAGTTTCATTCTTCTGCATATAGATATCCAGTTTTCCCAGCACTATTTATTAAAGAGAATGTCCTTTCTCTAATTTATATTCTTGGCACATTTGTTGAAAATGAATTGGCTGTAAGTGCGTGGATTTATTTTGGTGTTCTTTATTTTATTCCATTGGTCTCTGTGTCCGTTTTTATGCCAATATCATGCTGTTTTGGTTACTATAGCTTTGTAGTATTTGGGAAATTCAATTGGTATCTAGTTTAATTTCAATAATCAATAAATTATACAAAAAATAAAGATTCCTTTGAAAGTAACAAAAAAATTGGGACCTAAAAGAGAAAAACTTTGAATAAAATAAATAAAACTTTGCTGATAGACAAAAAAAGTAGATTTATTAATCAATGGAAAGATAGAATATTGTACTCTATTGTTCATATATTAATTTTCTGCTTTAATTTAATCCCCATCAAAATTCATTTTGAGAAGCTAATTCATGAATATAGGGGCAAACAAATCCCAAACAAAATATTAGCAAACCATACTACGTACAGGATAAAATAATTGTAACATATTATGACTAAAATGAGTACATTTCAAGATTGTAAGAATAGTTTAACATTATAATATATGTAAAGATCATCCTCAACAAGAGCTGATTAAAAGAGAAAAGCAATATCCGTACCTCAGAGTTGCAGAAAAATAATGTCATAAAATTCAGCATATCTTTGATTTCAGTAAACTAGTAATATAACTGAACCTCTGAACTTGATAAACAGAATCAACCAAAAAACTTGAACAGACATCCCTCATAATAAAAAAAAATTAGAAGCATCCTCTTAAAATTTAGAAACAAACAAGAATGTCAATTAGTACTGCTTCTAATCATTATTGGACTGGAGATCTTAGTGCAATAGAAACAGAAAAGACATTTAAATATGTGTGTGTGTGTGCATGTGTGTGTGTGTGTGTTTATCAGAATAGAGAGAAAATATCATTATACAGTGGATATTATTATTAGAGTTTCTACAAACAAATATTATAAATAATAAAATTTTAGTGAGTTGCCTGGCTATAAGATCAACATAAATCAAGAAACAGATAGAAGCATAATTTAAAAGAATGTACCCTTTACATAGCAATAATAACAACAAGATTCACAGAAAAAAGTCTAATAGAATATGTATTAAGATGTAAGTGTGAAAAGCCACCCTTAAAATCTTTTAAACAAAATACGTAATTATGTGTTTCTGACCTTGGGATAAGAAATAATTTACTAAGGATAAACACAAATAAGTTCATTCAATTCAACTAAATCAAAATTAAGAACTTTGTTCAATGAAAAAAAATAAGAAAAGTGAAAAGAAAATACAAGCAACAATCAGAAAGAAGAAAACTATAACACATGTAACTTACTAAAGATTAGTTCTTAAAATGTAAAAATTCTCCTAATTGATGAGAGAGCAATAAACAAACATCCCACCTTCCTTCAATAAAAATAAACAAAACACATGAAAAGGCCTGTCACAATTATGGCCAATACATACTATGTGATCAGAAAAATGAAAATTATGATCTTGCCTTAAACTGGGTTTTCCACATAGCTACTACTTTATTAGAGAATTCAATCCCAGATAGTAGGAGTGAGGGATGGAGAGAATGGAACAGGGAAAAATGAGAGTCAATATGAAGGTGTATTAAGGAGCTAATTGCAGCTAAGTATGGCTGATTACTCCATCTTATAGGATTGCCTTCTGAGAAGTTGTTTTACTGCATTTCAGGTCATTCAATCTTGGGGGTGAGCAGTGGAGAGCAGAAAGATGTACCCAGCAGTTCCCATATTACCTAGTCAAAATTCATCCCATGGGGCATATGCATGGCCATAGAGCAGAGTCCCATAGCATCCCACATCTTGGCATCAACTTGGAATCCCCAGGCTGTAGAAAGTATATGGGGAAACATGCTATTATTTCGTACCTGCTTGAAAATGCTATAAGGGTACACTGGCTGTGTAGCATCTGGAACAAGAGATTGGTTGAGAGAATCTGAAGTGGTTCATAAGGTTTGTCTGACAAAGGCACTAGGTACCATTTTATACCTGCTGTATTATCAAAAATTAAGAAGTCTAGCTACATCAATTGTTGGAAAGGATGTGAAACAATGAGATTGCATTATTTTTTGCTGGTAGGTATTATATATATCACTGGTATACTACTGTAGAAAACAATTTAGATTTTTTCCTTGTAAAGTTGAAAATTCATTTCCTATGACTCAGCAATTAGTCCTAGGTATATAAAGTGGAAAAGTTCTTGCTTGTGTTCACCAGGAGACATGTGAAAGAATGTTCACAGAAGTGAATGTTCACAGAAGCACAATCAATAATAGCAAAACCTGAAAAAATACAAATGTATAGGAGATAAGGGATAGAAAATAAGTATATTTGGGGGTATCATCACAGTACGAAACATACAGCAGTGAAAATCAATGACTTCCGGCTCCATAAAACTATATGACAGGAACTTAAAAACATACTATTAAAGAATTATAAAGCAAGTTCCAGAACTTTATATAGTTTAGCCATACATACATATAATAAAACTATTTGGAAAAAAATACAAATGATTATTACATACCAGATTCAGTGTAATTGTTACGTGTGTGTGTGTGTGCGCGCGTGTGTGTCTGTGTGTATGTGTGTGTGACATGGGTAAATTTAAGTTACTGGTCATGTTTGTAAGGGTAAATATTAATAGAAATATAATGAAAAAATAGTTTTCTCTGATTTACATCAGGAAAAGAATCCTCCTCCCCTTCAAAGCATTTTCTTTAGAAAACTTGTAAATTCTTTCCTTTCTCCTTTGAGATATATGTACATCTTATTAAAAACCTAAATAAACTTCTTTCTAGATTTATAACCCAGGAATATCTTTCTTAGGAACCTAGGTGCCATGTCTTTGGAATATAATCATCAAAGATTTTGTTTTCTTTGGGAGAGTGGGCTCCTCACTTCAGCTTGAGTCTAGCTCAAAAACTACCTCCTATCATAAAGACATTAGAAGTTTATTTTTCCTTTGGATAAATCCAGTTAGCTAACACAGATAGTCACTCCAACTATCAAGTGAATTTGAGATGAACTATGTGGGACAAACATTGCAGTCAAGTCCTCTTACTTGAGACTAGTTATTTTTTTCTCCTTAGAACGTTGTTATAATGAGTTGTGTCTGCTTAACTATAGAAAAGGGTGAAATTTCTTTCTGTCTTTGCAATCTCTTTAACAGATTACCTGAGAGGCACATGACATTTTGGTTTAATGCTTACTCAATAATAAAACTGCTTTCTTTCTCTTCTACTTTTGTTGGAGAGATTTTCTGAGTGGCAGGAAATTTTGTTGGAAATTATATTTCCCTAACAGGTTCTCCTTTTGGATTTGGGTGTTAAGTTCATGAGGATTCATTATATCATTGTGATGCTTAACTTACAAATACACACACACAGGCATACACACAGATATGTATTATTTGAATGTATCACATAATATTTTAAAACATATTAAATAAAATTTTTGAGCCTGTACAAAATAATCTTTCAGAGTTGAAGTTAGCCAGCTTATAATTGTTTACAGCAAATATATAAAATTAAGTTTTAATAATCTTAATATGTAAATCTTATATAAATTAATGTTTTAAATATGCTGCTAGGCTGTCTGAGGTTAGGACATGATCTTAGCAAGGCAACTCCCTTTGGTCTCTGACATTTCCTAGGGATGAAGGAATTGAGATGTGAACTGTCAACAGCCAATGCTCCTAGCCATGGGGTAAATGAGTGCTTCAGTTCTAAAGAGGGATCTGAGGCATGCAGCTGCATCTTTTTCCTGACAAGATAGCAAACTAACATGTCTCTGTCCTTCAAGCTCAATTCAAAATTTGCCACAGAAACAAGAATTATAAGTCACAGAAACCAACATAAGAAAAGGCATGTGAATAGTTTTGTAAAACTGAAATTAAAGGTAAAAAGAAAAAAGAAAAATAATGAAAATAGAAAGAATTAGCTAAAATTACCAGAGCAATCCAAATATAATAGTATTCAAATAAAAGTAAATGTTTTCCTAGCATTTCTAGACACAGAACACTAAGATTGGATTTTTAAAAAAATCAAAAATGTCTACCAAGATGTACCCAGAAATGTTGGAAATAAAAGGCATACACAAAGAATTCTAGATGCATATAATACCTAGGTGTGCAAGGTAAACCTCTGAAACTAACAGAATAAACCATAGGAGAAGTATCGTTTTGCTTGGAAGATTCAGAAGAACATCGTCAAGGTAATAAGATCCAGAATATCCAAGCAAATCCTGAATGTAAGCAGGAAAAATAGGTAAAGGATGGATAATTTGTATATAAATAGCTGTTCATCATTGATCACTCAACAAAAATGCAAATTAAAAGAGATGCTATTCAACAATCATCAGATTAATAATATTGGAAGTTGGCAATATAAAAGTTTTGTAAGGATGAAGAGCAATGAGTCCCTGTTTGGAATCTGAACTGGTAAAGGCTTGCTGGAGAGTAATAGGACAATACTTAATGCAATTAAGTATGTATATTTGTTTTCAGTGGTGGGTGGGTGGAGAACCTCCCTTCTGAAATGGGAAAATTGTTTTTTCAGTCTGGCATAATGTAGAGTCTTCTTTAGAATTCTCTTAATAACTTGGCAAAATCGCCCATTCTGTTTCAAGCTTTTTTAGAGGTATTTGTAGGAAAATGCAGCTAATTTATAGTGACTTAACCAAATAACGGTTATCTTCTCCTTCTCTGAAGACCTAACTGTGGGAAGAACACACAGGAACAGGAAAAGAGGAGAGAGAGAGAGAGACACCGTTATAACATTAAGATACACTAATTAATCCTATTAGTAGACAGAATGACAGATTTGAATTTATTTACTTCTCATGTGGTTACTTGCATCATTAATATACCTGAGGAGTTACGACAGTAATGACAATAAATATACTTTTGGGACTAGATAAGTAATTGATATTTAATTTGACATGTACATGTATTTAATATCTAGGTAATAGTGAATTTAAGCAGAGGAAATTTTTAAAATTTACACCATGGTTTATTATAGTTTCAATAGTCTTAATCAAAATGTGTATCAGTCTGCTTTCTGGAGAACTCTAAATAAAAATGCATTTGGATTTTCATAATTTTCTAATGAACTTTAACTCACAAAAAGTCAGCAGATGTTTTCTAAACCTTCAAGGATAAAAAATAGATTTCTCTTTTTAAAGAATCAATTTTATAAGTAAAAAGTAAGCATATACCCCAGATTCCTCTGACTCATAACAAATCCTGAGTAATTAGTTCCTGGTATCTACTTAGTTTTTAAAGAATATGACAACATTAGTAACATGAGTTTACAGTCACTGAATACACACCTTAATTTCGTCTCAAAAATGTCACATCCCCTTTTTATTTGTGAATAATGTAATTTTACAGATTTCAAAATATCTAGATAATAATGACAGTTCAAAACCATATCAGAGGCCAAGTTTCATTCGCCAAATATGTAACTGTGTTTTCTATTTTGAACAGCTTACATGACTCAGAGTTCAATAATCATTAGTGAATTTCATCCTATCACTTTTCAAAAGATATCGTTAAAGTCATAATGAAATCTCAGGCCAAATAGATACATTTTCATTGCAATTTATTATTATGTAAACAATTGTTTATGGTGATATTTGAAATTGTTTAATAAATCCATTTATTTAATAATTCCCAAAGGTGACTTGGAATGGGTCTTGTCCTTCAATTTGATAAAAAGAAATAATTGTTTGATTTATTTTAGATCTATGGGAAATTTAGCATCATTTTAAGACAATGATCTTATGAAATGGAATACAAATCATCCTGACTCATGATGATTCAGTTTATAATTTTTTGACTTGAAGAATGGTGCGAAAGTGATGTACACCCAGTAAAAACCATACCTCAAAGTTTGATCTTTTACTGAGCTAGGGATATGCAGCATAATACCCTTTTGCAGTGCTGGTCAGTGGCAGGGAGCCATGGCTCCCAGTCAGCCATGTGATTATGGGTAAACAACCCATACTCTACAGTGTAGTGCATTGCCAGCATTTCTTGGATATTTTGTTTTGTGTTTAGCGTACCATCACGTGTATAAAACACCCATCTGTGTCTCCTGCTTATGGTGAGAAGAAGAGGAAGGTGATTACTCGAGATAAAATGTAAGACAATTGCCCAGCATGAAGGCAGCAAGCCAGTAATGGCCACTGCACATGAGTTATAATTTCCATAATCAATGATCATGACCCTCTTAAAGGATAAGAAGTGAATTAGTGATGCAATGAAACCATCGTCATCCGTTAAATCCACTGTTATTATGAAAAAACCAGCCAGGCCACTTGAAATTACTTGCCATGTGGTGGAAGACAAGATTCAGAACCACATATCTCTTAGCCTATTCATGAGCCAGGTAGGCAAGAAGTCTTTTCAATAGGCTAAAAGTGAGTGCCAATGATCCTACATATATGGAAGTGTTTATAGCAAGTCATGGGTGGTTCCAACTCTTCAAAAGGCAAGCATAATTTTCATAAAGTGAAGGTCAGTGGTGAGGCAGCAAGTGCCAATACTGAATGTGTCAAAGCTTTTAAGGAAGAACTGCATAGGATAATTGTGGGTAATAAATAATTACCAGAACAAATATTTAATGTTAATTAAATGACCTTTTTCTGGAAGTGTATACCAGAGTGTATGTACAGATGTGTCTTGACTTACAATGGGGTTACCTCCTGATAAACACATCATAGATTGAAAACATCATAAGTCAAAAATCTATTTAATACACCTAACCTATCAAACATCATAGTTTAGCCTAGCCGACCTTAAACATGTCCAGAACAATTCCAGTAGCTTCCAGTTAGGCAAAATCATCTAACACAAAGCCTACTTTATAATAAAGTGTTGAATATCTCTCATGTAATTTTTTAATACTGTACTGAATGTGAACAACAGAATGGTTATATGGGTACTCAAAATACGGTTTCTACTGAACGTGTATCATTTTCACACCATCCTAAAGTAAAAAATTGTAACTCAAACCAGTATAAGTCGAGGACTGTAAATTCATCAAGAGTCCAAGACAATGCCAGTATTTAAAGCATTCAAAAACTGTGTAATACTGGTTTTAAGCTGAAATGTTACAGAGTTCAAATTAAAGCCTTTCCTCATCTACCACTCCAAGAATCCTAGAGCATTCAAGAATGTGAGCAAGCATATTCTTCCTGTTTATTAGCACCTTGGCGAAAAAGCCTACATGACATCCGCATTGTTTGAAGACAGGTTTTTGAATTGTTTTATTCTTCAGGGAAGAGAATATTGTAGGCAAAACAATGTCATATTCAAAATCCTTCTGATTTTAAACAATGCTCCAGGGCACCCACAGCATATAGGTGACATGAATCTTGATGTAATGAGTGTGTATTTGCTGTGAAACACAACCACACTCTTCAACCAATAGACCAAGGTTTAATTGCTGCATTAAAAGAATACTATTTATGCCAAACATTTTCACAGGCTACTGAAGCTACTGAATATGGCCAAACACTTAAAGAGTTTTGGAATGGTTTTAAGATTCTAAATGTTATCTGGAACATCACTGCAACATGGGAAAAAGTCACACAGCAGTGCATAAATGACATTTCGAAGAACATTTTGAAGACATGTGAACACATTCAAAGGCTTTAATAAAAATTCCACTGTTGATGAAATAGTAAGTAACAAGATATCGGTGCTTAAGAAACAGCTAGAATTGGGCATTGATGAAATGGTTATTTATGAACTTGTTGGCATTGATGCTGGAGAGCTTTCCAATGAGGAGCTGATCAAACTGGAGGAAGACAGAAGTAAAGAAATTGAAGCAAAGGAAGAAATTGTACCCGAGGCACCAAGAAAATGTACAACAAAGAAGCTGTCAGAGGTGTTTGCTACTGTCAGCAATGGCATGTTCATGTTAGAAAAAGTGGACATCAATTATGAGAAATTCACAAGACATCATGGGCAGAAACAGGATGCTTTTGCTCGCTATAGGGAAATACATAATGAAAAGAAGAAACAAACTGTACGGTCAAAACTTGACATCTTCCTGGAGAACACTATGCCTGCTAAACTATCACCAAGTATTGATGCCCCAGTGCATTCTACCAGCTTTTCTAGAGCCTCATCAGAAGATAGAGAAATTGACGACCTAGGCACTGCAGTATTCCCATAATCCAGCAATTAATTTTAGTTAAATGCATCAAACATTCTGCAGGCTCACTATGCTTTCAGCTGTATATGTTAATAGTGAGTACCCAAATTTTCACTTTCATTACAGTATTCAATAAATTGCATGAGAGATACTCAGCACTTTATCATAAAATAGGCTTTATAGTAAATGATTTTGCCCACTGTATGCTCATGAAAATGTTCTGAATATGTTTAAGGTAGGATAGGTTAAGTTATTGATGTTTGGTGTATTAAATGCATTTCCAACTTAAATATACTTCCAACTTAAAATGGGTTTATCAGGAGGTAACCCCATTGTAAGGTAAGGAGCATCTGTACTGATTTATAAAGCATGCACACAAGCACACATACAATTTAATCTGATTGAACCTTTTGTGAATACCTGATCATTGAGGAACCAAAACAATGTTTATGGTGAAATTCTGTGCTCCATGCAGAATATCACAGATGTCTTGGGTTTACCAATACCATAAGTTGTTTCATTTTTCACTAAGATGATTTTTTTCTTACAGAACAGGATTATGTTGCAACAAAGTTTTATTTCCAGTAGTGTTGATAACAAAATATATCTTTCCTGATATCTTAGATAAAAAATGATTGTTGGTATAACAAATGAAAGAGATTAAAGGAAAAGTAAGAATGATCGCTTTCCTAGCAAAGAGGAGCTTCAAAGAGTTGGGGAAGAAACTAGAGCACAGTTTTTGTGATATTAAGGATATATAAAATCCAGTCCCAGTCAATCATAATGATTACAGTTTTTAAAAATATATGACATGAGCAAATGAGCTAAAGTTGATTTTAGAAATACATTTGAATTAATACTAATAGAATTAGATTTAATACTTGTTTTGATTTTTTTTTTTTTTTTGGACATGAGTGTTGCTCTGTCACCCAGGCTGGAGTGCAGTAGCACAATCTTGGCTCACTGCAACCTTCACCTCCCGGGTTCAAGCAATTCTCTTGCCTCGGCCTCCTGAGTACATGGGATTACAGGCCCACGCCACCAAGCCAGGCTAATTTTTGTATTTTTAGTAGAGACGGGGTTTCACCATGTTGGCCAGGCTGGTCTCGAACTCCTGACTTCGTGATCTGCCCACCTCGGCCTCCCAAAGTGCTGGGATTACAGGCATGAGCCACCGTACCCAGCCTAGTTTTGATAAATTTTTTATTACAGTGTTAAAAAACCTAAGCATTTACTACAGTTAAGTTCTGGCACCCAAATTCAGCAGGTCTCATATTGTAATTGGTATTTGCTTTTTAACTTCCTTAAATGACTTGTGTCAATTTTGTTCAAAAAAATTGAAATTGAGTTTAAGGAATGAAAAATAAAATAATTTTATGCAGGTAACTCTCTAATAAACCAAAGGATCAAGTAAATATTAAAAACTGACAAAGCAGAAAAAGAACTTGTATTAAGGAGATACTTCTCTTTAGGTCTCTGTGTTAAACTGGGATTGTGAAAAAATTCCTCAAGGAAATTCTTAGGCAGAAAAATGATAGCTTATTACCTAGGTTAGGGGAAATGAAAAAAGGAGCAAGGCCAGGGTGCAGGTCAAAAGGAGAAGCTAGAGAAATTTACCTCAATATTATTTTTGATTCCCTTATTGGTATCTGTAACTTTTCTCAGGGCCCTCATGAAACTCAGAACAAATCTTTAATTCCCAAACATTTTATACTTTCCAGCTTCCATGAAAATCTATATAGGCAGACTTCAAAGATATTGGAGATTTGGTTCCAGACCACACCACAAAGCAAATGTTGCAATAAAGTGAGTCACACAATGTTTTTTGTTTCTGTGCATATAAAAGTTATGTTTATATTATATTGTGGTTTATTAAGCAGCATGCAATAATTCGTTTTATGTCTTAAAAATGGACTTTCTTGCTAAAAATGATGATCATCTGAGCCTTCAGTGAGTTGTAATCTTTTTGCTCGTGGAGGTTCTTGCCTCGACGTTGATGGCTACTGACTAATTAGGGTGGTTGTTGCTTAAGATTGGAGTGGCAGTGGCAATTTCTTAAAATAAGAAAACAGTGAAGTTTGCTGCAGTGATTGAATCTTTCTTTTATGAATTTCTGTAGTACGTAATGGAGTTTGATAGCATTTTACCCACAGTAGAACATCTTTCAAAATTGGGGTCAAGTCTCTCAAACCCTGCCACTGCTTTATCAACTAAGTTTATGTGATATTCTAAATCCTTTGTTGTCATTTCCACTATGTTCATAGCATCTTCACTAGGAGTAGATTTTATCTCAAGAAACCACATTCTTTTTTTTTTTTTTTTTTTTTTTGTGATGGAGTCTCGCTCTGTCACCAGGCTGGAGTGCAGTGGCACGATCTCAGTTCACTGCAACCTCTGCCTCCCGGGTTCAAGCAAGTCTCCTGCCTCAGCCGCCTGAGTAGCTGGGACTACAGGTGCATGCCACCATGCCCAGCTAATTTTTGTATTTTTAGTAGAGATGGGAATTCACCATGTTGGCCAGTATGGTCTGGATCACCTGACCTCACCACTTTCCTTTTTTTATGCACAAGAAGCAACTCCTCATCCAGTTTTATGATGGGATTACAGCAATTCAGTCACATCTTCAGGCTCCACTTCTAGTTCTAGTTATCTTGCTATTTCCACCACATCTGCAGTTCCTCCACTGAAGTCTTGAACTACCTTAATTTATTCATGAAGGCTGGAATCAACTTATTCCAAATTCCGGTTAATGTTATTTTGACCTCTGCCCATAAATCAAGAATGTTCTTAGTGGCATCTAGAATGGTGAATTCTTTCCAGAAGTTTTTCAATTTACCTTGTTCACATCCATCAGAGGAATCACTACCTTTGGCAGCTATAGCCGTATGAAATATATTTCTTAAAAAATAAGACTTGAAAGTCACAATTACTTTGCTATTGTGAATAGTGCCGCAATAAACATATGTGTGCATGTGTCTTTATGGCAGCATGATTTATAGTCCTTTTGGTATATACCCAGTAATGGGATGGCTGGGTCAAATGGTATTTCTAGTTCTAGATCCCTGAGGAATCGCCACACTGACTTCCACAATGGTTGAACTAGTTTACAGTCCCACCAGCAGTGTAAAAGTGTTCCTATTTCTCCACATCCTCTCCAGCACCTGTTGTTTCCTGATTTTTTAATGATTGCCATTCTAACTGGTGTGAGATGGTATCTCATTGTGGTTTTGATTTGCATTTCTCTGACGGCCAGTGATGGTGAGCATTTTTTCATGTGTTTTTTGGCTGCATAAATGTCTTCTTTTGAGAAGTGTCTGTTCATGTCCTTCGCCCACTTTTTGATGGGGTTGTTTGTTTTTTTCTTGTAAATTTGTTTGAGTTCATTGTAGATTCTGGATATTAGTCCTTTGTCAGATGAGTAGGTTGCAAACATTTTCTCCCATTTTGTAGGTTGCCTGTTCCCTCTGATGGTAGTTTCTTTTGCTGTGCAGAAGCTCTTTAGTTTAATTAGATCCCATTTGTCAATTTTGTCTTTGGTTGCCATTGCTTTTGGTGTTTTAGACATGAAGTCCTTGCCCATGCCTATGTCCTGAATGGTAATGTCTAGGTTTTCTTCTAGGGTTTTTATGGTTTTAGGTCTAACGTTTAAGTCTTTAATCCATCTTGAATTAATTTTTGTATAAGGTGTAAGGAAGGGATCCAGTTTCAGCTTTCTACATATGGCTAGCCAGTTTTCCCAGTACCATTTATTAAATAGGGAATCCTTTCCCCATTGCTTGTTTTTGTCAGGTTTGTCAAAGATCAGATAGTTGTAGATATGCGGCGTTATTTCTGAGGCCTCTGTTCTGTTCCATTGATCTATATCTCTGTTTTGGTACCAGTACCATGCTGTTTTGGTTACTGTAGCCTTGTAGTATAGTTTGAAGTCAGGTAGCATGATGCCTCCAGCTTTGTTCTTTTGGCTTAGGATTGCCTTGGCGATGCGGGCTCTGTTTTGGTTCCATATGAACTTTAAAGTAGTTTTTCCCAATTCTGTGAAGAAAGTCATTGGTAGCTTGATGGGGATGGCATTGAATCTATAAATTACCTTGGGCAGTATGGCCATTTTCACGATATTGATTCTTCCTACCCATGAGCATGGAATGTTCTTCCATTTCTTTGTATCCTCTTTTATTTCACTGCAAAGACTTGGAACCAACCCAAATGTCCAACAATGATAGACTGGATTAAGAAAATGGGGCACATATACACCATGGAATACTATGCAGCCATAAAAAATGATGAGTTCATGTCCTTTGTAGGGACATGGATGAAATTGGAAATCATCATTCTCAGTAAACTATCGCAAGGGCAAAAAACCAAACACCGCATGTTCTCACTCATAGGTGGGAATTGAACAATGAGAACACATGGACACAGGAAGGGGAATATCACACTCTGGGGACTGTTTTGGGATGGGGGGAGGGGGGAGGGATAGCATTAGGAGATAAACCTAATGCTAAATGATGAGTTAATGGGTGCAGCACACCAGCATGGCACATGTATACATATGTAACTAACCTGCACATTGTGCACATGTACCCTAAAACTTGAAGTATAATAATAATAAAATAAAATAAAATAAAAAGAAAGTCATAATTACTTATTGATCCATGGGATGCAAAATGGATGTTGTGTTAGCAGGTGTGAAAACAACATTAGTAGCCTTGTACATCTCCACCAGAGCTCTTGGGTGACCAGGTGCATTGTCAATTAGCAATAACTTTGAAAAGAATCTTTTTTTCTGAGCAGTAGGTCACAACAGTAGACTTAAAATGTTCAGTAAACCATGCTGTAAATAGATGTTCTGTAACCTAGGCTTTGATGTTCTATTTATAGAGCATAGGGAGAGTAAAATTAGCATATTCTGAAGGGCCCTAGCATTTCAGAATGGTAAATGAGCATTGGCTTCAACTTAAAGTCACCTAGCTGCATTAGTCCCTACAAGCGCGTCTGCCTGTCTTTTGAAGCTAGGCATTGACTTCTCTCTAGCTACAAAAATCCTAAATAGCATCTCCTTCTAATATAAGGCTGTTTCGTCTATATTGCACACCTATTGTTTAGTGTAGCCACCTCCACCAATGATTTAGCTAGATCTTCTGGATAACTTGTTGCAACTTCTGCATCAATGCTTGCTGCTTTACCTTTCACTTTTATCTTATAGAATGGCTTCTTTCCTTAAACCTCATGAACCAACCTCTGCTAGGTTCATACTTTTCTTCTTCAGCTTCCTCACTTCTCCCAGCCTTCATAGAATTGAAGAGAATTAGGGCTTTTCTCTAAATTAGGCTTTTGCTTACAGGAATGTTGTGGCTTGTTTGATTTTCTATCCAAACCACTGAAACTTTCTCCGTATCAGCAATAAGGTTGTTTTTCTTCCTTATCACTTATGCATTCACTGAAATAGCACTTTTAATTTCCTTAAGGAACTTTTCATTTTCATTCACAACTTGGCTGTTTGGCACAAGAGGCCTAGCTTTCGGCCTGTTTTGGCTTTCAATATGCCCTCCTCACTAAATTAACCATTTCTAGATTTTGATTTTGTGCAACACTTCATTTCACTTGAACACATAGGCAATCGTAGGGTTATTAATTGTCCTAATGTTAATATTATTGTATGTCTAGGAATACAGTGGCCCAAGGATAGTAAGAGAGATAAGGGCACTGCTGGTTCATGGAGCATTAAGGACACACACAACATTTATTGATTGTTTATCATCTTATATGGGAGTGGTTCATGGAGACCCAGAACAATTGCAATAGTAACATCAAAGATCATTGATCACAGATCACCATAACAGATAAAATAATAATGAAAAATTTTGAAATATTTGGGAGAGATACCAAAGTGTGACAGAGAGAGATGACGTGAGCACATGCCATTGGAAAAATGGCGCTGATAGGCTTGCTTGATGCAGGGTTGCCACAAACCTTCAATTTGTAAAAAACTCAGTGGCTGTGAAGAACAATAAAGTGAAGCACAATAAATCGAGCTATGCCTGTACATTCTTTATGCCATTGCTCAGATAATGTCAGACAGTGGATACTCTAGGCTGCTTAGACCACACAGTCCTTGTAATCCTTAGCTGTGCCTATTTAGGACCCCAAATCAGAAATTCCATTTAAGATAAATGACTTAAAATACATAGCTGTTTTGGACAACTTTAAAAATATTGTATTCTGAGTAATAATTCAGAAGTTTGATCCAGCAAACCTCGTGGTTTATTTATCCCTTCATTCAGTTAAAATGTATTGAATGACTACTTTCCTCAGAAACTGAATATCATAATCAATGCACTATGGTGAGTGTTTATACAAGATATATATTGTTGAACTATCATCAAAGATCTTGGTCCTACATGAAAAGTCTGGAGAATAGATAGTATTTGCATATTTTACATTAATGTAAAATATTTAACATGTATATACATTATTTTTATTCTTGATTTTAACCTATGTTTTGATTAAATAATATATTAATTTTCTATTTCTACTGTAACACATTACCACAAAATTACTGCTTAGAACACAAATGCATTATCTCACAGTTCTGGAGATCCAAAGTCTAAAATGGGTATTACCAAGCTAACATCAAGGTGCTGGCAAGTCTGTATTTCCTTCTGGAGGCTGTAAGGAAGAACCTATTTTCTTGTTTTTTCCAGTTTCTAAAGGCCCCCTTCCATCTTCAAAGTGGCCATGGCCAATGGAGTCCTCAGATTGCATCACTCTAATTCTGCTTCTGTCATCACATCTCCTCTGACTCTGACTCTTTCCTCCTTTCCTCTTCCATAGATTCTTATGCTTACACTGGACCCACCTAGATAATCTAGAATAATCTCCTTATTTTAAGGTCAGCGGATTAGTTAATTCCCTTTGTCATATAACCTAACATATTCACAGGTTATGAGAATTAAGACATAGGCATCTTCGGGGAGCCATTATTCTGCCTACCATAATTAGCCAACTACTAGTTTCAATTTTGTCAGATAAAAAAGATAATATTATGGCTAAGTTTGGCCAATTACTTTGCTCACATCCTAACTCCAAACAGTGATGTCATTCCATTCATTAATCCTAGACCCTCCAAAACCACAACAGTCAGAATTGATGTCTAGTAATTTGGTGTCATCAGAGAAGTAATTGGCTTCTCCTCCTTCAAAGGTGGTCTACTGGGGACCTAGGAATTTAATGTGAAATTTAAGAGAAAAGAAGGAGAAGGAGAATACTTATTCCTACTCATCTTTCAATCTTTAACTGGTCAGTCTTTCCAGTCTTTCCTTGAAGAGGTGAGACAAATTTATTAGAGTAAGCCCTAATGTTTTAATTATATTCCCAAAGCCATTTATAGAACAGAGAACAGATCATATGTCATGTGTGACCTATTTATTAAGAAGTCAATTAGGGAAAAATACTCATTATTGACAGTATAAAAATAAACTCAATGCTCTTTCCATGTTTTAAAATTATCTCTTCCTTTTCAACTCTTTTATTTTCATCTTTGTTGTTTATTTGTTTTATATTTAACAAATATCCCTACTTAAAAGTGGCTACTTAAAACACCTTAACATTTTTATTTGGAGCTCTGAGAAAATAGAGTTCAAAACTTTGTCTGGGGCCAGGCATGGTGGCTCACGCCTGTAATCACAGCACTTTGGGAGGCCAAGGCAGGTGGATCACCTCAGATCAGGAGTTTGAGACCAGCCTGACCAACATGGTGAAACACCATCTCTACTAAAACTACAAAATTAGTGGGGCATGGTGGCACATGCCTGTAATCCAGCTACTTGGGAGGCTGAGGCAGGAGAATCGCTTGAACCCAGGAGGCGGAGGTTGCAGTGACCCGAGATCATACCATTACACTCCAGCCTGGGTGATAAAGTGAAAATCTGTCTCAAAACACAGTAAAAAATAAAAAATAAATTAAATGGCCATTATGTTATTAATATAAACTTTAATAGCTGCATAAATAATTTATAAGGATTTGTTTTAACTGAGTGTGTTAGAGAAGAAAATGGATTACTGAACTGTTATGAATGCGATTAAAATGCCCAGGCCACTGTTCTCTCAAAAAGAGATATTTTGCTACACTTTAAAAAAGGAGGTAGATAATTTCAGAATTTGGAGCACTCTGTGGGATAAGGCACGGAAGGGTTAGTTGCAACAGAAGAGGGATTAGGCAGCTTAAAAATAATTGATTTGAAAGTGAAACTTATAAGTAAATCTTATTGGTAAATTGAAAATTTCTCATCCATTTTCTGTCCCTGTCTTCTACAAAAATGCCAAGTCATTGAAGAATTATTGAATATTTGAGAATTAAATTGAATTCATTCCAACATAGAATGAAAGTTAAATTCCAGACAATATTATTTTATTTTACATTTATATCACTCAATGTGATAATTTGTTCAAAGCATGTATTTCTACTTGATAATATATAGGGCTATGTTTAGAATTTGTACGCTAAAACCATTCATTATTTTCTACTTATATGGCATTTTCTAAGCCAAAACTCTGATAGGTATTTTGTGTGTGAATTTCATACCTGTTTATCGATGATTAAATAGACGGAAATGAGCCTTTCACTATCTCAAATGGCAGCCTACAGGTTGTTAACAAGATAAAAAGTGAAAACCTCTGTCAGTTGTTTAGCACTTCCCAAATAACTAGGTAAACATTAAAGTGTGCATGAAATATTGGCATGATGTAACAACTATTATTTATTTTTCATTTGGAGGATTTGGCTTTGTGTAGTTAGTAAGTCAATAGTGATCAATGAACAGAACATATGCCTCTTGATTACTGGCTCAAAGCTATGAGCAATGGCAGTTAGTAGCACTAAAATTGAAGATATACACTAAAAGTGATTTTAAAGACATAAGTAAAGGACATTCATTTCATCATTTAAAAAATAATGAGAAATGTAAAATGACAAGCAGGAGAATAAAGCAAAACCCGTAGGATCTATTCCATTTAAAAAAACACTTCTTACTTAAATATGCACAAGTAGATCAGAGAATAGAACTAAACATCAGTAGCAAACATGTGGACTTGTTTTGATGGCCACAAAGAGCAGAGTGCCCAGAATTTGTGAGATGTCTTCTTTTTCACTCAGTTCCTTCACATTCACCACAGTGCTATTTTAAAATCTAATTTCAGAGAAAACTTTGATGCTCATTACTCAAGCTGTAGAGTGAATTAGGTCAGTGTGTTACTATTACTGTTATTTGTGGAGGTAAAATGCCTCATCGTTGAAAGAGATCAGCCTTAGAATCAGAAGGATGTGCATTTTAATCCCGATTATGCCATCTAATCAGCTGGGGGAACATAAGAAAATTTATTTACTTCTCAGAACCTATTTATTTCTGAAAATAAGGTCTGCTTTGTAGCAACATTGTGATAATTAAATGTAAATTTGAATGCTTAATTCTTACATAAGGATTCAGTAAATGGTAGCTATCAATACTGTTATCTAATATTATCATTGTTATTCTTATTGTATCATTCTACCTTTAGTTATTGCAACCTCAGACAATTTGTTTATTCTATGATTGCCTTAGTCTCCAAATATGTAAAATGGGGATAATAACAATATATATTCACTGGGTAATGTGAGGGTGAAATTAGTTAATATATGGAAATCACATCATAGAATTCTCTGCACACTGCATGTACAATATAAATGCTAACTATTTTTATTCATATTAGAGGAATTACATTTTATAAGCATCAGTGAGCAGATTGGGGAGGTATTTGAGAAGTATAAAAACTCATACGCCACAAACATTGATTCGTTTTATTTACACATTATGCATATCAGCAGCCAATTGTATGGTTTTTCATTCCTGCATCCATATAAAAAATGTCCTAAAAAATCAAATACATGGAAACAGAGAGTAAAATAGTGGTTAACAGGAGCCGGGGAGTTCAGGGTGGGGTGGGGGTGATGGGAAGATATAGGGAAGATATATGCGAAGGTTTCTTTTTTAAAAATTTTACTTTAAGTTCCATGATACATGTGCAGAACATACAGGTTTGTTACATAGGTATACGGGTGCCATGATGGTTTGCTGCACCTATTGACCCATCCCCTAACTTCCCTCCCTTGTCCCCCACCCCCCAACCAGCCATGGTGTATGTTGTTCCCCTCCCTGTGTCCATGTGTTCTCATTGTTCAACTTCCACTTATGAGTGAAAACATGCGGTGTTTAGTTTTCTGTTCCTTTGTTAGTTTGCTGAGGACAATGGCTTCTAGCTTCATCCATGTCCCTGCAAAGGACATAATCTCATTCCTTTTTGTGGTTGCATAGTATTCCATGGTATATGTGTACCACATTTTCTTTATCAGGTCTATCACTGATGGGCATTTAGGTTGGTTCCGTGACTTTGCTATTGTAAATGTTGTTGCAATAAACATACGTGTGCATGTGTCTTTATAGCAGAATAATTTATATTCCTTTGGGTATATACCCATTAGTGGGATTGCTGGGTCAAATGGTATTTCTGGTTCTAGATCCTTGAGGAATTGCCATACTGTCTTCCACAATGGTTGAACTAATTTACATTCCCACCAACAGTGTAAAAGCATTCCTATTTCTTCACAGCCACCAGCATCTATTGTTTCTTGACTTTTTAATAATCACCATTCTGACTGGGATGAGATGGTATCTTATTGTGGTTTTGATTTGCATTTCTCTATTGATCAGTGATGTTGAACTTCTTTTCACATATTGGTTGGCCATGTGAATGTCTTCTTTTGAGAAGTGTCTGTTCCTATCCTTTGCCCACTTTTTGATGGAGTTGTTTGTTTTTTTTTCTTGTAAATTTGTTTAAGTTCCTTGTAAATTATGGATATTAGACCTTTGTCAGGTAGATAGATTGCAAAAGTTTTCTCCCATTCTGTAGGTTGCCTGTTCACTCTGATGATGGTTTCTTTTGCTGTGCAGAAGCTCTTTAGTTTAATTAGATCCCGTTTGTCAATTTTGGCTTTTGTTGCAATTGCTTTTGGCATTTTTGTCATGAAGTCTTTGCCCATGCCTATGTCCTGAATGATATTGCCTAGGTTTTCTTCTAGGCTTTTTATGGTTTTGGGTTTTACATTTAAGTCTTTAATCCATCTTGAGTTAATTTTTGTATAAGGTGTAAGGAAGGCATCCAGTTTCAGTTTTCTGCATATGGCTAGCCAGTTTTCCCAGCATCAGTTATTGAATAGCAGATCCTTTCCCCATTGCTTGTTTTTGTCAGGTTTCTCAAAGATCAGATGGTTGTAGATGTGTGGTGTTATTTCTGAGGTCTCTGTTCTGTTCCATTGGTCTATATGTCTGTTTGGGTACCAGTACCATGCTGTTTTTGTTACTGTAGCCTTGTAGTATACTTTGAAGTCAGGTAGTGTGATGCCTCCAGCTTTGTTCTTTTTGCTTAGGATTGTCTTGGCTATATGGGGTCTTCTTTGATTCCATATGAAATTTAAAGTAGTTTTTTCTAATTCTGTAAAGAATAGCAATGGTAGTTTGATGGGAATAGCATTGAATCTATAAATTACTTTGGGCAGTATGGCCATTTTCACAATATTGATTATTTCTATCCATGAGGATGGGATGTTTTTCTATTTGTTAGTGTCCTCTCTTATTTCCTTGAACAGTGGTTTTGGTTTGTGGTTCTCCTTGAAGAGGTCCTTCACATCCCTTGTTAGCTGTATTCCTACGTATTTTAATCTCTTTATAGCAATTGTGAATGGGAGTTCATTCGTGATTTGGCTCTCTGCTTGTCTATTGTTGGTGTAAAGGAATGCTTGTGATTTTTGCAAATAGATTTTGTATCCTGAAACTTTGCTGAAGTTGCTTACCAGCTTAAAGAGTTTTTGAGCTTAGATGATGGGATTTTCTAAATATAAAATCATGTCATCTGCAAACAGAGACAAGTTGACTTCCTCTCTTCCTATTTGAATACCCTTTATTGCTTTCTCTTGCCTGATTGCCCTGGCCAGAACTTCCAATACTATGTTGAATAGGAGTGGTGACAGAGGGCATCCTTGTCTTGTACTGGTTTTCAAAGGGAATGCTTCCAGGTTTTGCCCATTCAGTAGATATTGGCTGCGGTTTTGTCATAAATAGCTCTTATTATTTTGAGATATTTTCCTTCAATACCTAGTTTATTGAGAGTTTTTAACATGAAAGGATGTTGAATTTTATCAAAGGCCTTTTATGCATCTATTGAGATAATCATGTGTTTTTTGTCTTTGGTTCTATTTACGTGATGGATTACGTATATTGATTTGCTTATGTTGAACCAGCCTTGCATCCCAGAGATGAAGCTGACCTGATTGTGGTAGATAACTTTTTTGATATGCCACTGGTTTCGGTTTGCCAGTATTTTACTGAGGATTTTTGCATCGATGTTCATCAGGGATATTGGTCTGAAGTTTTCTTTTCTTTTTGTGTCTCTTCCCGGTTTTGTATCAGGATGATCCTGGCTTCATAAAATGAGTTAGGGAGGAGTCCCTCCTTTTCAATTGTTGGAATAGTTTCAAAAGGAATGGTACCAGCTCCTCTTTGTACTCTGGTAGAATTTGGCTTTGAAACTATCTGGTCCTGAGCTTTCTTTTTTTGGTAGGCTATTAATTACTGCCTCAAATTTCAAAACTTGTTATGGGTCTATTCAGAGATTTGGCTTCTTCCTGGTTTAGTCTTGGGAGGGTGTATGTGTCCACGAATTTATTTATTTCTTCTAGACTTTCTAGTTTATTTTCACAGAGGTGTTTATAGTATTCTCTGATAGTAGTTTGCATTTCTGTGAGGTCAGTGGTGATATACCCTTTATCATTTTTTATTGTGTCTATTTGACTTTTCTCTCTAGTCTAGCTAGTAGTCTATCTATTTTGTTAATTTTTTCAAAAAAAAAAAAAACAGCTCCTGGATTCGTTGATTTTTTAGAGGTCTTTTCGTGTCTCTATCTCCTTCAATTCTTCTCTGATCTTAGTTTTTTCTTGTTTCCTGCTAGCTTTTGGATTAGTTTGCTCTTGCCTTTCTAGCTCTTTTAATTGTGATGTTAGGGTGTCAATTTTAGATCTTTCCGGCTTTCTGATACGGGCATTTAGTGCTATAAATTTCGCTCTTAACACTGCTTTAGCTGTGTCCCAGAGATTCTGATACATTGTCTCTTTGTTCTTATTGGCTTCAAGGAAATTCTTGATTTCTGTCTTAATTTGATTATTTTCCCAGGAGTCATTCAGGAGCAATTAAAATTGTTAAGTTTCCATTCAGGAGCAAATTAAAATTGTTTAATTTCCATGTAATTGTGTGGTTTTAAGTGAGTTTCTTAATCCTGAGTTCTAATTTGATTGCACTGTGGTCTGAGATACTGTTTGTTATGATTTCCGTTCTTTTGCATTTTCTGAGGAGTGTTTTACTTCCAATTATGTGGTCTATTTTAGAATAAGTGCCATGTGGCACTGAGAAGAATGTATATTCTATTGAATAGGGGTGGAGAGTTTTGTAGATGTCTGTTAGGTCCACTTGATCCAGAGCTGAGTCCATGTCCTGAATATCCTTGTTAATTTTCTGTCTCGTCGATCTGTCTAATATTGACAGTGGAGTGTTAAAGTCTCCCACTATTATTGTGTGGGAGTCTAAGTCTCTTTGTAGGTCTCTAATAACTTGTTTTATGAATCTGGGTGCTCCTGTATTGGGTGCATATATATTTAGAATAGTTAGCTTTAGTTCCCTTTACCATTATGTAATGCCCGTCTTTGTTGTTTGTGATTTTTGTTGGTTTAAAGTCTGTTTTGTCAGAGACTAGGATTGCAACCCTTGCTTTTTTTTTTCTTTCCATTTGCTTGGGAAGTTTTCCTCCATCCCTTTGTTTTGTCTGTCTTTGCACATGAGATGGGACTCCTGAATACAGCACAGCAGTCTGTTTCTTTTAATTGAGGCATTTAATCCATTTACATTTAAGTTTAGTATTGTTATGTGTGGATTTAATCCTGTCTTCATGATCTTATCTGGTTATTTTGCACACTAGTTGATACAGTTTGATCTTTATAATTGGTGTGGTTTTGCAGTGGCTGCTATCCATTTTTCCTTTCCGTATTTACTGCTTCTTTCAGGAGCTCTTGCAGGGCAGGCCTGGTGGTAACAAAACCCCTCAGCATTTGCTTGTCTGGAAAGGATTTTATTTCCCTTTTGCTTATGAAGCTTAGTTTGACTGGATATGAAATTCTGGGTTGAAAATTCTTTTCTTTAAGAAAGTTGAATATTGGCCCACAATCTCTTCTGGCTTGTAGAGTTTCTGCTGAGAGGTCCACTGTTAGTCTGATAGGCTTCCCTTTTTAGGTGACCTGTCCTTTCTCTCTGGCTGCCCTTAACATTTTCCCCTTCATTTCAACCTTAGAGAATCTGATGATTAAGTTTCTTGGGGTTGATCTTCTCATGGAGTATCTTAGTGGTGTTCTCTGTATTTCCTGAATTTGCATGTTGGTCTGTCTTGCTAGGTTGGGGAAGTTCTCCTGGATAATATCCTGAAGTGTTTTCCAGCTTGTTTTCATTCTACCTGTCTCCTTCAGGTATTCCAGTCAATGACAGTTTTGGTCTTTTAATGAAATCCCATATTTCTTGGAGGCTTTGTTCATTCCTTTTCATTCTTTTTTCTCTAGTCTTGTCTGCGTGCCTTATTTCAGCAAGTTGGTCTTCAAATTCTGATATCCTTTTTTTCAATTTGGTTGATTTAGCTATTGATACTTGCGTATGCTTCACAAAGTTATTTTGATGTGTTTTTCAGCTCCATCAGGTCATTTATGTTCCTCTCTAAACTGATTATTCTAGTTAGCAGCTCTTCTAACCTTTTATCAAGGTTCTTAGCTTCTTTGCATTAGGTTAGAACATGTTCCTTTAGCTCACTGTAGTTTTTTATTACCCATCTTCTGAAGCCTACTTCTGTCAATTTGTCCATCTCAGCCTCTTTCCAGTTCTGCGCCCTCACTGGAGAGATGTTGCAATAATTTGGAGGAGAACAGGCACTCTGGCCTTTGGGTTTTCAGTGTTTTTTTCATTGATTCTTTCTCATCTTCGTGAGTTTGTCCAGTTTCAATCTTTGCGGCTGCTGACCCTTGGATAGGGTTTTGTGGGGACCATTTTGTTGTTGCTGATTCTGTTGTTGCTTTCTGTTTGTTTTTCTTTCAATGGTCAGGTCCCTCTTCTGTAAGTCTGCTGCCATTTTCTAGGGGTTCACTTCAAGCCCTATTCATCTGGTTCGCTCCCGTGCCTGGAGATGTCACTGAAGGAGGCTGGAGAACAGCAAAGATGGGTGCCTGCTCCTTCTGGGACCGCTGACTCAAGGGGCACCAATCTGATGCCAGTGGGATTGCTCCTGTATAGGGTGTCTGAGAACCCCTGTTGGAGGGTCTCACCTAGTTGGGTGGCATGGGAACAGGACCCGTTTAACAAAGTACTTTTACTGTCCCTTGGTGGAGGGGGTGAGTTTTGCTAGGGGAAAACCCATTTGTCTGGGCTGCCTGGATTCCTCAGAACTACCAGGAGGAAAGGCTAAGTCTGCTGGTCCACAGAAACTGTGGCCACCCCTCCCCCTAGGGTCTAAGGCCCAGGGAGATCTGGGTTCTGTCCCTGAGCCTCTGGCTGAAGTTATTGGAGTTCCTGCGGGGAATTCCCACCCAGTGAGGAAGGATGTGTCAGGGTCAGTCCTGAAGAGGCCCTCTGGCTGCAGTCTGCCACAGCGGGTGTGCTGGGCTGTGGGGGGCATGTCTTGGGACCAAGCTGTCCAGCCTCCCTGGCTCCAGCAGGGGAAAAGCATGGCCTGGAGCTATAGAGATGAGTGCCACCCTTCTCTCGCCCAGAAAGTTTAGCTTATTAGGCAGTTATCAGTCCCAGTGCTGGCTGCTGCTGCCCCTCCCCCAAGGAGCTCAAACGGCTTAGACAGCAGGCAGCCTCAGCTGTGGCCTGGTCACCCCTCCCCGCAGGAGCTCGGTAGGCTTAAGCAGATTCCAGCTGATAGGCTGTTGAGAATCTGCGTGACTCCCGGGTTGGGATGCTAGGCCCCGGTGGTGTGGGTTTGCAAGTGGGATCTTCCAATCCGTGGGTTGCACAGTTCTGGGAAAAAAGCACAGTTTCCCTGGCTGGGTAGCACACTCACTCACTGCCCCCTTCATTGTGGGAGTGGGGGCTCCCCTGCCTCTTGTGGCTCTCAGGTGGGCCACCCCTCACCACACTGCTCTTCCTGCCTCTCCGTGGATCACGCCAGCCTCCTAGTCAGTTCTGATGAGAGAACCTCCATAGCTTGGTTGCTGGTAAGGATTCACACGCTTATTATGGTTTTTCTCAGTGGTAGCCTCAGATCGCCGCTGTTTCTAGTCAGCTATCTTGGCCCTACCCCCTGGGAAGATACTTCTTATCCCGTGTTAGAATCTGAGACTCTAAGGTTTAAAATAATGAGTTCTTTCACCTTTGGTATCTGGTACTTTTTTTTTTTTTTTTTTTTGACGGAAAGTCTCGCTCTGTTGCCCAGGCTGGAGTGCAGTGGCACCGTCTCAGCTCACTGCAACCTCCGCCTCCCGGGTTCAAGCGATTCTCCTCCCTCAGCCTCCTAAGTAGCTGGGATTACAGGCATGTGCCACCATGCCCAGTTAATTTTTGTATTTTTAATAGAGACGCAGTTTCTCCATGTTGGTCAGACTGGTTTCAAACTCCTGACCTGATGATCCGCCCGCCTCGGCCTCCCAAAGCGCTGGGATTACAGGCGTGAGCCACCGTGCTTGGTCAGAATTTTTTTTTTTAATATTCTTTATTAATATCTAATCTCATCTGAATGATTATACACTAAGTATATATAAATCTTTAAGTCACTTGAAGATGAAAATCTTATGGAGATGAGATTAAGCGCACTTGTTTGCAGTTGAGATTTAATTTCGGAGCTTAATGAGACTTTCTCCACTAGATCTACAATGTTTTCTTTTGAGTAGATAGGAAATTAAATATCTCACAACAATCAACATTGAAGGAGTATCGTACTTTTACAATGATAAAGGAAAGCTTTTACTAAATGACTTGTCGAGTATTGGCAGATAGTCAATTTAAATTTCTCAAATTAACAGGAAATACTCATTTGATTACTTTGTATAAAATCCAAAAGGGATATGTGGAATGATAGAATATGTGTTTGATTCCTTTTAAGTTTCCTGTAGGAAATTAATATTATTGTTGGTCATAAAAGAAGGTGACTTGCATCATTTTTGTATTGAAGAGTTGTCCAAATTATTTTCCTTATTTTTGGGAAAAGGATTTCAGGGCTTCCAATTTTTTAAGTTATATATTTAAAAATAATTTTTTTAAAAAATTTTAGATTAAAAGGGTGTATGTTCAGGCTTGTTACATGCGTATATTCTGTGATGCTGAAGTTTGGGCTTCTAATGATCCCGCCACCAAAGTAGCAACAAAGTACTTAGTAGAGAGTTTTTCAGTCCTTGCCAGACTCCCTCCCTTTTTTTTTGGCGTCCTCAGTGTCTATTGTTCCCATCTTTGTGTCCGATTGTACCCAATGTTTAGCTCCTACTTATAAGTGAGAATATGCAGTATTTGGTTTTCTGTTTCTGTATAAATTCACTGAGGATAATGTCCTCTAACTGGATCCATGTTGCTGCAAAGGACAAGATTTTGTTAGGAGCAGCAAATTTGATGAGTCTGCAGCAAATTCGATCCTTGCCTCCTCAGAGGAAAGAATATTCAGCTAAGGGACAGAAACAGGTTTAAGTCAGAAGGAGAAACTGAGGCAAGTTTTAGAGCAGGAGTGAAAGAAAGTAAAGTACACTTGGAAGAGGGCCAAGCAGGTGACTTAAGAGATCCAAGTGCCCCATTTGGCCATTGCCTTGGGGTTTTATACATTGGCATGGTTCCAGGGTTTGTGTTTCTTCTCCCTTCATTCTTCCCTTGGAGAAGGCTGTCTGCATATATGGTGGCCTGCCAGCACTTGGGATGGGCCGCATGTGCAGTGTGTTTATTGAAGTTGTGTGTATGCTCACTCGAGGCGATTTTCCCTTTTCAATCTAGGATTCTTAGAGGGAGGTCATATACTGGTTAAACTCCACTATTTTGCCTCTTAGTGTGCATGTTTGAGCCTCTTCCCCCAACTCTTGAGATCTTAGTGGGAAGCTGCTGATCACCAGCTTCAGCTGTTTTCTATCTATTGGAGACTGTCTTTCCTTGGTGCCGGCTGTGACCAATTATTGTTTTAGTGAGATTGTTTAACAACAACCCGATCATCACCTGATGGTCGCCTGACATTCCTGAGTGGGAGGGGAGCTCTCCTGCTCTGCACATATCTGCCTAACTACCTACTCTAACAATTTCATTCTTTTTATGGCTGCATAGTATTCTGTAATGTATGTATGTGTGTGTGTGTGTGTATATATATATATATATATATATATATATATAGTATTTATTTTATCCAATCTATCATTGATGGGCAACCAGGTAGATCCCATATCTTTGCTATTGTGAATAATGCTGTGATAGACATACAAATGCATGTGTCTTTTTGGTAAAATAATTTATTTTCCTCTGTGTATATACTCAGTAATGAGATTGTAGGGTTGAATGGCAATTCTAGTTTTAGTTCTTTGATAAATCTCCAAACTGCTTTCCACAGTGGCTGAACTAATTTACATGCCTACCACCATTGTATGAATGTTCACTTTTCTCCACAGCCTCACCAGCATCTGTTATTTTTTTTACTTTTTAATAATAGTCATTCTGACTGGTGTGAGATGGTATCTCAGTGTGGTTTTCATTTGCATCTCTCTGATGCTTAGTGATTTTTTTTATGTCTGTTGGTCACTTGTATGTCTTTTGTGAAGTGTCTGTTTATGTCCTTTGCCCACTTTTTAATGGGTTTTTTTTCTCATTGATTTTTTTAAGTTCCTTAAAGGTTCTGGATATTAGTCATTTGCTGGAATCATAGTTTGCAAATATTTTCTCCCATTCTGTGGGTTGTCTATATAATCTCTTGATAGTTTCTTTTGCTGTGCAGAAGCTCTTTAATTAAGTCCCATTTGTCTGTTTTTGATTTTGTCACCTTTGTTTTCAGGGTCTTCATCATACTTTGCAGAAGCCAACATCTACAAGAGTATTTCCAAGGTTTTCTTCTAGGATTTTTATAGTTTGAGGTCTTATATTTAAGGATTTAATCCATCTTGAGTTAATTTTTGTATATGGTGAAAGGTAATGGTACAGTTTCATTCTTCTGCATATGGTTAGCCAGTTATCCCAGCACCATTTGTTGAATAGGGAGTTCTTTCTCCATTGTTTATTTTTGTCAACTTTGTTTAAGATCAGTATGCAGCTTTATTGCAGGAGGCTCTATTCTGTTCCACTGGTCTATGCCTATATTTTTGCACCAGTACCATGCTGTTTTGGTTACTGTAGCCTTTTAGTATAGTTTTAAGTCAGGTAATGTGATGCCCCCAGTTTCATTCTTTTTGCTTAGGATTTCCTTTGCTATTCAGGCTCTTTTTAGGTTCCATGTGAATTTTAGAATCGTTTTCTAATTCTGTGAAAAATGATATCAGTAATTTGATAGGAATACTACTGAATCTGTAGATTGCTTTGGGCAGTACAGACACTTTAACAATATTCGTTCTTTGAATCCATGATCCATGGAATGTTTTTCCATTTGTATCATCTATAATTTTGTTTAGAAGTGTTTTGTAGTTGTCCTCATAGAGATGTTTCACCTCCTTGGTTAGATGTATTTCTGGGTAGTTTGTGTGTGTGTGTGTGTATGTGTGACTATTGGCAATGGGATTGCATTCTTGATTTGGTTCTCAGCTTAAACATTATTGGTGAATAGAAATGATACTGATTTGTGTACATTGGTTTTGTATCCTGAGAGTGCTGAGTCACCAGTTCTAGGAGTTTTTTCATAGAATCTTTAGTGTTTTCTAGGTATAGAATCATGTAATCAGTGAAGAGAGATCATTTGACTTCCTCTTTTCCCATTTGAATGCCTTTTATTTATTTGTCTTGCCTGATTGCTCAGGCTAGGACTTCCAGTACTATGTTGAATAGAAGTGGTGAGAGTGGGCATCTTTATCTGTTCCAGTTCTTAAGGGGAATGCTTCCAGCTTTTGCTCATTCAGTCTGATGTTGGCTGTGGGTTTGTCCTAGATGGCTCTTATTTTGAGGTATATTCTTTTGATGCCTTGTCTCTTGAGGGTGTTTATCATGAAGGTACGTTGGATTTTTTCAAAGGCCTCTTCTGTGTCTACTGAGATGATCAGATGTTTTTTGTTTTCTATTCTGTTTATGTGGTAAATCACATTTATTGATTTGTGTATGTTGAACCACCCTTGCTTCCCAGGGATTAAGCCCACTTGGTCATGGTGAATTAACTTTCTGATGTTTTGCTGGATTTAGTTTGCTAGAATTTTGTTCAGGATTTTTACATCTACGTTCGTCAGGGATAGTGACCGCAGTTTTCTTCTTTTGTTGTGTTTTTACCAGATTTGGGTGTAGGTGTTGTGTTTTTGCCAGATTTTGGTTAGGGAGGAGTCCCTTCTGCTCGATTTTTGGAATAGTTTCAGTAGGATTTGTACCAGCTCTTCATTGTATGTCTGGTAGAATTTGGCTGTGAATCTACCTGGTCCATAGCATTTTTTGGTTGGTGGATTTTTTAAATTACTGATTCAATTTCATTACTCATTATTAGTTGGTTCAGGATTTCTGTTTCTTCCTGTATCAATCTTGGGAGGTTGTGTGTTTCCAGGCATTTATCCACTTCTTCTTGATTTTCTAGTTTGTGTGCATAGAGGTGTCCATAATACACTCTGCTGATCTTTCGTATTTCTGTGATAACAGTTGTGATGTCACCTTTAATATTTCTGATTGTGCTTATTTAGATCTTCTCTTTTTCTTTATTAATCTAATTATCTATCCTGTTTATCCTTTCAACAGACCAACTTTTTGTCACAATCCTTTTTATGGTTTTTTGGGTCACAATTTCATTTAGATCTGCTCTGATTTTAGTTATTTCTTTTCTTTTGCTAGCTTTAGGTTGAGTTCTTGTTTTTCTACTTCCTCTAGATGTGATGTTAGATCATCAGTTTGAGATGTTTCTATCTTCTTTATGTGGACATATAACAATATAAACTTTTCTCTTAGCACAGTTTTTGCCATATCCCACAGGTTTTGGTATGTTGTGTGTCTATTTTCATTTTTTTTTCAGCGAATTTATTTCTCCCTTAATTTTTTTGTTTACTCAAAAGTCATTTAGGACCAAGTTGTTTAGTTTCCATGTATTTGTGTGGTTTTTTAGAATTCCTTTTGGTATTGATTTCCATTTTTGTTCACTGTGATCACAGACGATGCTTGGCATGATTTCAGATTTTTTTAATTTATTAAGACTCACTTTGTGATTGAGCATGTGTTTAATCCTAGAATATGTTCCATGTGTAGATGAGAAGAATGTACATTCTGTAGTTATTGGGTGGAGTATTCTGTAGATGTCTATCAGGTCTAATGGGTCAAGTATTGAATTTAAGACTAGAATTTCTTTGTTGGTTTCCTGCTGCAATCATCTGTCTAATGTTATCAGTAGGGTTTTGAAGTCCCCCATTACTGTCTGTTAAAGTCTTTTGTTAGGTCTAGAAGTAATTGTTTTATGGGTGCTCCAACGTTAGTTGAATATATATTTACGTAGTTAAGTCTTCTTGTTGAGTTGAACCCTTGATTATTACATAATGCCCCCTTTGTCCTTTTTTTTGTTTCTATTGTTGGTTTAAAGTCTATTTTATCTGCTATAAGATTAGTGGCCCCTCCTCTTTATTGTTTTGAATTTGTTGTGATAAATCTGTTGCCATCCATTTACTTTGAGCCTGTGGGTTCCACTACATGTGACATGGGTCTCTTGAAGACAGCAGAAGAATGAGTCTTGCTTTTTAAAATCCAATTTGCCACTCTATGTCTTTTAAGTGGAGCATTTAGGTCATTTACTTTTTAGATTAATATGGACATGTGTAGTTTTGTAACAACTTGTTAGCTAGTTGTTCTGTAGTCTCAACTATAGAGTTGCTTTTGGGCTTTGTGGGTTCTGTGCTTGCATGTGCTTTTATGATAGCAAGTACCATTATTTTGTTTCCATGTTTACAACTCCCTTAAGTATCACTTGTAAGGCTGGTCTGGTGGTGATGAATTCCCTTAGTAATTGCTTGTTTTGGAAAGATTTTATTTTCCCTTCAGTTATGAAACATAGTTTGTTAGGATATGAAATTCTTGGCTAGCATTTTTTTCTTTAAGAATGCTGAGGCTGGGCGCGGTGGCTCACTCTTGTAATCCCAAAACTTTGGGAGGCCAAAGGGTGTGGATCACGAGGTCAGGAGATTGAGACCATCCTGGCTAACACGGTGAAACCTCATCTCTACCAAAAATACAAAAAATTAGCCGGGTGTGGTGGCATGCACCTGTAGTCCCAGCTACTCGGGAGGCTGAGGCAGGAGAATCGCTTGAACCTGGAAGGCGGAGGTTGCAGTGAGCCGAGATCGTGCCACTGCACTCCAGCCTGGGCAACAGAGCAAGACACCATCTCAAAAAAAAAAAAAAAGCTGAAAATGGGCCCCCATCTCTTCTGGCTTGTAAGATTTCTGCTGATAAATCCACTGTTAGTCTGATGAATTTTCCTTTATAGGTGATATGACCCTTTTCTCTTGCTTCATTTACAGTTTTTTCTTTCGCATTGACCTTGGATAGTCTGATGACTAAGTGCTTTGAGGATCATTGTCTTATACAGTATCTCATAGGAGTTCCCCAGATTTCTTCTAGCTGTATGTCAACCCCTCTAGCAAGATTGGGAAAATTTTCCTGATTTATATCTTCAGATATGTTTTCTAAGTTGCTTATCTTCTTTTCTTCTGTCTCAGGAATGCCAATAAGTCATAGATTTGGTCACTTAATATAATCCTATATTTCTCAAAGGCTTTGTTCATTTTATTTATTCTTTTTTCTTTAGTTTTTGTGTTTTTAACTGAGGCAATTCATAGGACCAATCCTTGAGCTCTGAATTTTTTTCTTCTGCTTGGTCTAGTCATTTGTTAAGGTTTATGATCATATTTTGAATTCTTAAAGTGAATTTTTAAATTCCAGACATTCCGTGTGGTTCTTTCCTAATGTAATTATGTTGTCCTTTCAAATCTTGGGTCGTTTTTCTGGCTTCTTTGTGTTGGATTTCTCTTGGATCTTGTTGAGTTTCTTTGCCATTCATATTCTGAATTCTATATCTGTCATTTCAAACATTTGACTCTGGTTATGATACATTGCTTAGGAGTTAATGGGATCCTTTGGAGGTGATTAAACACTCTGGCTTTTTGTATTGCTGGAGTTCTTGTGCTGGTTCCTTCTTATCTCAGAGAGCTGATGCATTTTTTTTTTTAATTTGCTATTGTTAGGATGAGGCTTCTTGATGTCTTATTCTTTTCTCCCTTGGGGGTATGACTGCGGTATATAATGTGTATGATCATTTGGCTTTATTTCCGGATGCTTTCAATGTGCCAAGGCTCTGTACGGGTTCCATGGTCGAAGTTAGGTTGGTGCAGTGGCTTTCTCAGACATTGCTTGTTGCAGCAATCTAATTTCATTTGTTGGTGTAATTTAGGCTGCTTCCAGGAGATGGCGCCAGCAGGTTGAGGCAAGGCAGAGGCAATGGCGCACAAAAAACACCGTCCCCTAGGGCGCATTCACCTTCATTGTGGGTGGAGCCGCTGAAGAAGCCCTTGGAGAAGTGGACTCTTAGCCCACACTCCTTGGGTCTCCACAGGAAGAGTCGCTGCTGAGTCCATGACCGTGCACCGAGGAGGGTGTTGGGGGGGTTGAAAGAATTCCCCTTCTCCACATTCGTTCCTGCCCTTTGGTGGTGCCCCCTTCAGTGGCCAGCGCCATGTTTGCATTTCCTTTTACTCAAACTGGGCTTTGGCGGGCTGTGCTACCTGGTCCCTTAAGGATGATCCATGTTGAGGGGTAGATTTCCAGGGGAGTAGAGTCTACCTCCCTTCCACTCCTCAGAGCTAGTGGGGTACTGTCCCCCAACTGACCAAGGGAACCAGCTGGGGCATCCAGTAATGACACATACAGAATGGTTCCAGGTTGCAAAGCTGTCCCTGGTTGCAAGTCTGGCTGCCCAGGAGAAACTTCAGCTTCAGCAACTTCCATCACTCTCCAGTCCTGTGATGGGAGAGTGCTTAATTCCATCACCTACTGCTGAGGCACTCTCCACACTCACTGCTCAATTCTGGCTGTGGGGACTCTCCCCCAATTCCAGAGGAAGCACTCCAATCTCTGGCCCCAGACTACAATGCCATGTCACCAAACAGTGCCTCTGAACTCTCAAAATGTTGCCAGCTGTGGGCTTGTAACTACAGAGGGTGGGACCCCTCTCAAGCAAGCAATGTGGGCAAAAAGCTGTGGAGAGTGTGGTTTGTATCTCAGTCTGACAGCAGTGTGTTGCAGAGCAGTGGGTATTGTCCTAGATGTGCATGGGATGGCCTGGTCTCCCGCTCCCTCCTTGGCTGGGCAGTGGCTGCAGCTACATCAAAGCTTAGGCCAAAGGCAGGGTGCAGCCTAGAGTTAAACTCCCAAAATGGTACCTTGAGCCTTGGGCCAGGGAGGGTAGGATACCACCTGGGCAAGCAGCTTGAGCAAGAAGCTGTGGGGAGTGTGGTCCACTCACATCTCAGTCTCAAGAGCAGCTCCTGGCAGAGCAGCAATACTCTCCCAAGCGTGAATGAGCGAGCCTGTTTTCCCCTGTCCTTCCTTGTAGCACTGCAGTGGCTGCAGCCATGTCCATAAATCTCTGGCATCTGGGTTCTCAAAATGGCTCCCAGCTGAGGCTGCTCCAGGCTTGGATGTGTGTGGGATTCTGTATGGGTTCCCTTTCTGGAGCAACATCTCTGTGCAATCTTTATGCAGCTCCAGATGTCAGGCACAAGGCCCTTGTGGGTCAAGGGTTTCTCCCATAGCCAAGATCATAAAAGCCTGTTTCAGAGCCCTGGGTATTTCTCTCTTGCTGTTTCCCTGTGTCCAGGAGCCACTCTTAGGTCTCAGCCAGTTCCCAGCGGGGCAAGCTGCCTTGAACCCTGTCCTTATGTACTTCCAGTGCTTCCCATCTCTTCTCTGGTGAATCCAAGTGTTCTCTCCTAGACCATCTGGTCAAAATGTGTCTACTTACTATTCTGGCTCTTCTCTGTGGAGGAGGCACACGCTAGAAAACAATAGGAAAAGCTTAATGTTTTAAAAGTAACAGTTTTAGCATTTAAGATAAGCCAAACATTACCGTAATTATCTCACTTTATCCTCACACCAGCCCTATTATTAACACTGCACAGTATTATTTGGATTTTGTTGAGTAAGACACTAAAACTTAGAGAACTTAAATCGTGTGCTCGTGGTCAGTCAGATGTTAAGCTTGGCAGAGTGAGGGTTTGAATCAGGCCTGCTTGTATCCAGAACCTCCATTCTTGACTATCAGAGTACAGGTTATATGAGGCTGCTAAAGGAACATGATGAACCAAAACAGAGTCTGATGCAGCCATTGGGACTTTCAGAGAAATGGCAATGGAGAGAGTTCTTGTTTGGCCAGCTCTTCTTTGATTATTCTCTTTAACCTATGTGGATGGGGTCATAATGGATGACGTAGTCTTGCGCCTTAGTTCATTTTGTGCTGCCATAATCCCACAGACTGGATACTCTATAAATAACTGAAATTTATTGATTTACGGCTCTAGAGACTGGCTAGTCCAAGAACAAGGTACTGGTATCATGTAAGGGCTCTTGCTTCATCATTCCGTGATGGAAAATGGAAGGGCAAACAGAGTTTGAGAGAGAGAACAAGAGGAGGCCAAACTAATCCTTTTAGAAGCAACCCACTCCTATGATAATAAACCCACTCCCATGATAATGACATTAATCCGTTCATAAGAGTTGTGCCCTCATGACCCAAACACCTTTTATTAGGTCTCACCTCCCGACACTACCACATTGAGGATCTAGTTCCCAACACATGTACTTTGAGGAACACATTAAAACCATAGCACTTTGTATCCTTCTCATTTGGAGAGACATATGGCTATTTATAAAAACTAAAAATTATACAATTAAGATGAAAGTGAGCTATAGTAGATATAATGGTTTATTAAAAATCAATTTTTTTTGCTGGGGGGAAGATATGTTGAAAGAAAGGCATTGGGGCTGCCATGTGCCCTGGAGCTTTTACAACTAAAGCTATTTCTAAAGACACATTTGTGTAGACATTGGAGGTCCCCATAGTAGCTTCAAGCATGGTAATTTTCTTAATACCCACAATCTGATTCACTGTCGTATTATTTAATCCACCATGAGCACAATTCTGGGGCACTGTTGTTAATTTTGTAAGGTTGAAAATGGATACAATCAATTTTTATTAACAATAGGTAATATTTGTTGAACGTTGTATGGACTCTTCTAAGGTATCTATATGCTGCAGAAATATGAAGACCAACTATTCAGATCTCTATGAGCCATAGAAAAGAAAATATACAGGACAGCAAGATAAAGGGTTTATTTTGTAGCTAAGTGCTACAAAGTTTCTCTATTGCCTCTAGGATATCAAGCAGTACAAATCAATTTTGTAAGTATTAACAACAGACCTGCTTCTCTTGCAGTTTAATGATTTGTATTATGGGTTACCTTTTTCTCTCAGTAATGCAAAATCCTCTTAAGCAGTACTTGTTTAGCAAATTTTGTCAGCATGATGACAAGGCAGTGTGAATGTGCACTGAAAGAACCCTGCAGTTTTTAAATATTCAATAGTTAGTCAAGGTATAATTTAGTCTCGCTCTTGAAAAATCCATAGAAGAAATTACCAAAAATGTCTTACTTTGTTTGTTCTCATAGTTTTCTCCTAAAATAGCTTGCACTTACTATGATCATCGATAGAATATAACCTTCTATTCTGATTATTACTATCATAAAATGGTGAACGTTTTATTTCATATTCTTTGGAGAATTCCAGAAGTTTAGGGACACACAGGTACAATTTTCTTCAAGGTGCATATTTTTTAAAGTGAGGTACATTTGAGGGTGACTGAGAACTAGAACACCACAGGAGGTTCAGGGTGAAGAGTCCCATGTCTATAGCTATCATTCAGCTTGAAAGTCAGATTGACAAAACAACAACAACAACAACAACAACAACAAAAACACTAAAAGTCCATTCAACATGGGAACTGAAATAATCCCTCAAACAAATAGGAAAGTTCTCTTCCAAGCCTAGATAGTCATTCAATAATTCCGTTTTAAAGCTCCAGCATCTGTTCAGTATTATATGTCAGTAGTATGTAGCAGATGTTGATAATGTCCCGCTCATATCCCTTTGGCATGTGACACTTCAGTGCATATCAGCAAGCTTGTTAAAAATGTTCATCTGTGTTAAACTGGGAGAATGTTGGGTTGAACAGAACACTCTTGCTGGTATAATCATTTAGGCATTTTAAAGGTATGGGAAGAAAATGCATACAAGCACTATGGAGTTGGCTGGTTACCACTAAGTTGTATTGACATCTTACAGAAGGATAATGAGAAAAGGAAGGGGCTTACCAAATGAATGTTATACAAACCAAAAGAACTCTTTTGTAGTTGACAAATACAAACGGTCCTCCATATTTGTGAGTTCCACATCTGTGGATTCTACCAACTAGGGATTAAAAATATTCAAGAAATAAAGGATGATTGCATCTGTACTTAACATATACAGACTTATTTTCTTTTCATTATTCCCTAAACAATACAGTATAACAACTATTTACATAGCATTTACACATTTACATCGTATTAGGTATTATAAGTAATTTAGACATGATTTAAAGTATATAAGAAGATGTACATAAGGTATGTGAAAATACTACACCATTTTTTTATATAATTTCAACTTTTATTTTAAATTTAGGGAATGCATATGCAGGTTTGTTACCTTGATATATTGTGTGATGCTGAGGTTTGGGGTATCACTGATCCTGTCACCTAATGTATTAGTCCATTCTTGCATTGCTATAAAGAAATATCTGAGCCTAGGTAATTTATGAAGAAAAGAGGTTTAATGGGCTCACAGTTCTATAGGGTGCATAGGATATGTGGTGCCGTCTGTTTGGTTTCTGGTGAGGCCTCAGGAAGCTTACAAGCACGGTGGAAGCTTAAGGCGGAGCCAGCATATTACATGGTGAGAGAGAAAGCGAGAGAGACAGAAGGTGGAAGTCCCAGACTTTTGTAAACAACCAGATCTCACATGAACTAACTGAGCAAGAACTCACTCATCACCAAGGGGATGGTGCTAAGCCATTCATGAGGGATCTGATCCCCATGATCTAATACCTCCCACTTAGGCCCCACCTCCAACATTGGGGATAACATTTCAACAGGAGATTTGGAGGGGACACAACTCCAAACCATATCACCCAGGTAGTAAGTATAATACTCAAGTTAGTTTTCCAACCCTTGTCCCCCATCCTTCCCCTGCAACTAGTAGTTCCCAGTGTTTCTTTTTGCCATCTTTATGTCCATGAGCATCCATTGTTTAGCTCCCACTTGTGAGACATGCAGAATTTGATTTTTTGTTTCTGCATTGATTTTCTTAGGATAATGGCCTCTAGCTGTATCCATGTTTCTGCAAAGGACATGATTTTGTTCTTTTTTATGGCTGTATAGTATTTCATGGTATATATGTACCACATTTTCTTTATCCAGTCCACCACTGATGGGCACCTAGGCTGATTCCTTGCCTTTGCTATTGTGAATAGTGACACCATTTTATATCAGGAACTTGAGAAAGTGTGGATTTTGGTATCCATGGGGTTGTTGGAATCAATCACCCACGGATACCAAGGGATGACTTCTTATTTTTCTGACTAAGACTTTCACAACCCCAGCCTGAGAAGGGTATGATTACTAGAGGCTCAGACTCCCTAGAAATGTGGGGTTTAGGCACACCTCCATAGCTGCCACAGTCTACCTTTCGTATCATACAGATCCACTTTTGTACAGATGTTCAGGGAGCAGCTCTTTCATAATCCCCATGTCTTCTCTTCTGAGAGGAAACTTCCAAGAAAGAGGTTAATGGGACAATATATAGCCACCTAACCTATTATTTGAGGCCCCATTATCCCCGTTAGTTACAATAAACCAAACTCTGTGACAGTCTCTATGATAGGTCTATGTCTTGATGCAATCCAGTTTAGCAATTTTTTCTTTTATTATTCATGCTTTTTGTGTCCTCAGAAATCTTTGAGTACCTCAAGTTTGTAAGGATATATGCATGTTTCCTTCTGTAAGATTTATGGTTGTAGACTTTACCTTTAGGTTTCTGATCTATTATAAGTTAATCTGTTTGTTTAGTGTGAGGTAATAGTTGATTTTTTATATGAATATCAAGTTGATCTAGCATAATTTTTGACAGTACTTTTCAAAGAATCTAATTAGAAAAATAATCTACCTCTATCATTACTACTGCTACTAAAGCAATAACAGCTTTCTTTGGTGCCTTACTATTGTCAAGGAAAGATGGCAAGTTCTTTATATATGTTATCTCATTTTTAATTTTTGAAATCAGCATGTGAATCAGTTTGACTTTAAATACTATGACTGCCTACCACTGAGGGTAAAACTTAGAGCTGTTGAGTCCTTGCTTATTGCTTTTCTATAAAACCAGGTTGACTTTCTAATAGATTATTTAAAGTATCAGATAGCAAATTAGGACAACTCTAATAAGGAAAATAAACACTCGAATGAGGACCATGTCCTGTCATTGTTCTCAAATAGTTTTTATGATGATTACTAAATTTAAAATACTATCAAAAGTGTGATTATTAGGTATATTTTTCCTTTCATTAATAATCCATATTATAATATCTTAGATAGGTTTAGAATTAATCACTTAAAACACATTATCAGAGGTTCACATGTATTTAACAAAGTTTTGTTATATACACAAATTCTATGAAACTAAGTCAATAATCCCCATGTATTAATTATGTAAAAATGTAGTGGCTGGTTTTTCCTATACCTCTATAAATTGCAAGTATATATTGATAATACTGTAATAACTATACCACTGAAATTCAGTGGAATATTTTCAACATTTATAAATGCAATGCGGTTAGTAATATTACTAAAGGTGAATTTAAAATTGACTTATTTTAGGCAAGCAAACATTAAATACAGTAGAATCACGTTAACATTTTAATCCAATATTTATTCACTTTCTTAGCAATTAAGTTCAAACATTGCTCCCATTATTATATTTTGCATGATGTAAATTAAATCTCACCCATCAATTTTGCTTCAAGAGAATGCCTCACTGAGCAAGCAAGATGGTTTATCACTGAGCATTCAAATGGTTTATCATAGCTTATTATTACTAAGATTTGTTGTCTTTTTCATTTTCTGAAAATGTGGTTTTATATTCAACAGGACAAAATTGGTTCATTCAGATATTTAGTTTTGATTTTTGTAATAAACCATTCATGCATTATTTAACTTTTTTCCAGACAATTACCCTGGTCGGAGGAATACATTGTGTGTGACTCTAACACGATCAAGTTTGCCTGGTAGCTGTACTCATAAGGCCAGCGCCAGCTTTATGTGGAGAAACAGTAGATATCTGCCTAAAGAGCCATGACTGAAATGTTTCACATAGTCCTCTCAGTCCCAGAGCATTTCCTTCATCAGCTTTCATGGGATACCTGTGGATTTTCCTATGCAGAAATTCCCATCATTATACCAGTATTCATTGTTTAGACAACAAAATCAAGGACATATTCTCTAGAATTGTGTTGGCCAATTGAAATAGCTACTAGCCAGGTATGGCTAGTTAACTTTAAATTAATTAAATATAATTACAAATTCAGTTCTTCAGCTGTAGTGATCACATTTCAAGTGCTCAATATTCACATGTGGTTGGTGGCTACCATATTGGACAGTGAAGATCATTTCCATCACAATAGCAAGTTCTCTCAGACAGCACTACTCTAAAAGGTCTAGAAAGCATCTATTTAATAAATTAGCCCTTGAATGCAATTCAAGTTATATTTTATGAGAGCTGTGGATATATCTAGCATTATGTATGCTGGGTGAAGGCATAGATGTTATTATTTGTTAAGTGCCACAGCAATCCTTATTGATAGGTGCTGTTCTCATTTTAGAGATGAGAAAACAGAGACTGTGCACAACACAAAAGTAAATGACAAGCTGATTCAAGCTCTTCTCACCAAAACCTGCTGCCTCAAAAAGTGAAATGTACTCAAAGACAATCCTTAAGAGTGAACATGAGAGAAAACTACACCCTAGCCAGAGCTCAATTTGGAAGAGTTTCTTCCCTTAGGTGAGGACACTAAAATAACAATTGTTATGGCTGGAAATAATGACAAAGGGGATGGAGGGAAAAAAAACAAAACAAAACACTGAAACAAAGGGCCCTATCCAGAGGGAACGCTTGGGTATTTTGTTTTTTCTCTAATATATTCAATACATACTATATTCTATCTTAAGGCAAAATTTGATACATGTAAAACTTTTATGCATTAAGATAACCTTCATAAGTTTATTTAAAGAATGGGAAAATGGGAACTACTTAAATGTCTGATTTCATTAGTTAATTAATAACTAATTTCATTAATGAAACTCAACAGAATGTTATCCAACCCCTGGAAACAATTGTTTGGAAATTGATATAATAATTCAGAGAAGTACTTTGATGTATCGTTGAGATCAAAAGGTAGTGCTAATTCAATAAATGTGTATACAATAAGGATGACAACATTGAATGGAAAGACATAAAATTCTAACAGTTTGAACCACTGAGTAGATAGAATCTATTTTTACCTTTTATTGTGCAATGCTTAGCAATTACATAAATTGTACAATTAAAAATGTTTAATAACCTTGAGCAAGAGGACAATATGGAAATAGCCACAAATTAAATGAAGAGAAGCAGAAGTTTGAAGACTTTCAGTTAAAGTCCACCTGACATAGAATAAGCAGCTTTCCCTGTGTATTCACCAGACACATACACATGACATCTTCCAATCTATGCATTAGTGTAACTTAAATATTTATTGGAAAAAAAATCCTGGAACTAATAAGCAATTATAGCAAGTTTGCATAATATAAGTTTAATATACAAAAGTTAATTACTTTCCTATGTACCAGCAATGAACAAGTGGAACTTGAAATTAAAAACAGAATACCTTTAGGGCATCCAAATTGGAAAAGAAAAAGTCAAATTATTCTCATTTGTAGATAATGTGATCTTATATTTGGAAAAACCTAAAGACCCCACCAAAATAACAATTAGAACTGATAAACAAATTCAGTAAAGTTGCAGGATGCAAAATCAACATACAAAATCAGTAGCATTTCTATATGCCAACAGTGAACAATCCGAAAAATCAAGACAGTAATCTAATTTACAATAGCTACAAATAACATAAAATACCTAGGAATAAATTTAACCAAAGAAGTAAAAGATCTCTACAATGAAAGCTATAAAACATTTATACAATAAGTTAAAGAGGGCACAAAAAAATAGAGTACTATGCAGCCATAAAAAAAGAATGAGACCATTTCTTTTGCAGGGCATGGATGGAGCTGGAGGCTATTATCCTTAGCAAACTAGTATAGGAACAGAGAACCAAATTCCACATGTTCTCACTTATAAGTGGGAGCTAAATGATGAGAACTCATGGACACAAAGAGGCTAACAACAGACACTGGGGCCTACTTGAAGGTGGAGGGTAGGAGAAGAGAGAGGAGCAGAAAAAGTAACAATTGGGTACTAGGCTTAGTGCCTGGGTGGTGAAATAATCTGTACAACAAACCATCATGACACAAGTTTACCTGTATAACAAACTTGCACATATACCCCTGAACCTAAAATAAAAGTTTAAAAATGTAATTTCTAAACTAATATTCTTTTTCTAGCTTTAGGAGTCACTGTAGTTCTTCCTTAATGTTTCTGAAATATGTCAATCCCTCTATTATTTCAATTAGGCCTTCTTGAATTTATAAGCTTTTCTCTCTGATTTAAGTTGTCATTTTGTTAGTATTCTATACAAGATAATGAATTCAAGAGACACTGAAAATTTGTCTCATAAGAGTTATGTTTTAAAGGTATAAATAATCTCTCAGTGCTAATTTAAAGCTTTCCATCGAAAAACAATTTTTTTTTTCTCTTTTTTAACACAAGCTCTCCTGCTCATGGTATTATTTGATTTAGCAGTTCCGATTTCACCTAGAAATAACAATGCTTATTGTTAGACACATACCTAGACACACAGAAGTTACAACACTGCCCTGTCAGTGCTCTTGAAACTAACTGTATCATCACTGGACCAGGGATTTGTATTAGTCTGTTCTCACACTTTTCATAAAGACATACCTGAGACTGGGTCATTTATAAAAATAAGGAAAAAGGTTTAATTGACTCACAGTTCCACATGGCTGGGGAGGCCTCACAATCCCAGCTGAAGGCAAATGAGGAGCAAAGTCGCGTCTTATATGGCAGCAGGCAAAAGAGCTTGTGCAGGGGAGCTCCCCTCTGTACAACCATCAGATCTTGTGAGACTTTTTCACTATCACGAGAATAGCATGGGAAAAACCTGACCCCATGATTCAATTACCTCCCACCAGGTCCCTCCCATGACACATGGGAATTATGGGGGCTAAAATTCAAGAGGAGATTTGGGTGGGGACACAGCCAGACCACATCAGGATTCTTAAATTTCGTAGAATCTAGACATTTTATTATTTTTGCTTAATCACTACATTAATTATATTTGGAATTAAATATGTCATTTTTTCAAGCTAAGATTGCTTTAGTTATAACTGCATAGCTGCAATCTTTGAAAGTATTTTAAACACCTTGCTAACATCCTGTTTATGTCATCACCAGAGGTTGTAAGGGTGATGAGAAACAAATGAAAGTATACTTTTCTTGCAGAAATGAAAAGAAATGAAGCAGTGACTTGTACAAAATAAAGATCCACAATTAAAAGTGGCATGTAGTACTAGCTACAGCCCATGAGCTCAAGGTTACAGTGAGCTGTGATAGTGCCACTGCACTCCAGCCTGGGCAACAGAGCAGGACCCTGTCTCTGGGGGCAAAAAAAAGTTGAGGGCTGTATCTATTAAACAGATGTATATCTTGAAAGCTCAGCAACTTCTGCAGTGATATAATTTGGAATACTAATATGTAACCTGTTTGAGTTTATTATACTGCATTTTGGTAGGAGAAACAAAATTTTAAGGAATAAATTAGATCTGATGGTCTGGTTTCCAATGCCAATAAATATGTGATGCTTTTATATTATTATTCGATGTGACGTCTCTGTTCATGAAAACTCCTTTTTGTTAATATTGACATTCTTTCAATGATTTAATGGTTACACTTTATTTCCAAAATAGTTAGTTCAAGGTCTTACAATAATGAAGTAAAATACCAAGGTATTCAAATAACACTTATCCTTGTATAAGACAGTATTTATAAGAAATACCATTGGCATTTGGGTTAAAACAAAGAAAAAAAATACGTAGAGGTTAATGAGTACTTCTAGACTGGAAAGCACTTGTCCCACAAGACTGGCTGAGAGTCAGACAGGCCTTACTGGAAGGAGACAGTGTGTAGAATCCAACCAAGCAGGAATATTTCTTCAGCCACTAGATAGATGAGTAAGAAGGAGTTTGATTCCAGAAAAGCAAATAAATGCTTGGCAGTATATACTTATATACTTTGAGTAAGGGTATGGCCTTCTTACTTAAAGACACAAAAGCATAAAGTAAGGTTAGGGAGCAAAAGACTGTTGGAGAATAGAAGAGACTAGAGACTTAACTTCCAAATTTAATATGTGGACATTGTTTGGATTCAAGCCAACCAACTGTAAAAAGATATCGTTGAGATAATCATGAAAATGTAATACAAATACAATATGAAGTAAGTTTTAAGGGACTATTGCTACATGTATTAGATGTAATATGCATATGTGTGTATATATAAGTATATATATACATGTATGTATACATTCATATTCATGTGTGTATGTGTATATGTTTCTATCAGAGACACATACTAAATTATTCATGGGTAAAATGATATGATGTCTGGGATGTGCTTTAAAAGGGGGCAGATAAATGAAGCAATGAAGAAAGATTGGTCTAATACTGATAAATGTTGATGTTGATGTTGACTAATGGATACGTAGGGCTCATTATATTATTTCTATGTATGTATTTGAAATTTTCAATAATAAAATGTTTTGATTTTAAATAAAAAGGATCAATAGGCAGTCCAGTAGGCAGGGAGTAGTTCTGTCAGACACTAACTAGGCAGAAAAGAGGTTGATTTCAGAGATTGCCCTACTCAGGCAGATAAATGCAGAATAATCAGCCTGGTCACCAACGTCCAGAATCTTGGGATTCTAATAGTCAGCAACGTCAGCAAGAGGAATCAAATTAACTCATAAGGCAGACACTGTTTTCTCTGTGTTCTTTTTCATTCTGCCTGTTTAAGTGGGCAGCCTGGGTTCTACAGTGCCCATTGTACCTAAGGGGCCTGATCTGATTCCTGTCTCTTCTCAGAGACAAAGACTGGGAGACTGAGACACAAGAATTTTCACTCAGGATCAGATAACAAATTTTCATTTGCTTATTTAGAGAGAAGAAGGAAAAGAAAAATCTTAAAAACATTTGTACAAAAATGCAATTCATAGTATGGTTCTTTTATGGTTATAAAGACTAAATGTGGCACATAATGCAAATATTCAATAATTGCATGTGTTAATTTATAGAGAAGCCAGAATGGGGGAGGCAGGAGAAGCCTCTCCTTGATTCATTTTTATTGCCAGAAAATACAGAACTTTATAAAAGTCAGATCTGTCCTCAAGATAAACTTCGATGTCTCATGAGCTCTCAATTGAACATCATAGGGTCCTAATTAATTTCCTTCATAAATCAAGTCTTATTTCTGACTTTTGCCTCTCAGTTTTTAATATCATTATCATTCCAGTCATTCAATTTCAAAATTCCAGAGAGACCTGTCACTTTTCCTTCACAAACAAATCTTCTAATGAGATATTTCTTTAATTGGTCCCTTTTTTCTTATATGTACTGCTACTGTGCCAAATCAGGCTATAATTATCTGTCTCATGGACATTTATATGTGTCTGCTTATCTGAAAATCTTACTGCCCTTTTCACCTCATAAAACATTACTTCTCTAAATAATAGTTATTTCATATTTCCTATGTGTCTAGTCTATTTTCTTTAAATGCCATGGATTAGAAGTGATGTGTGCAGCTTAAGTGTTATCTCAACTATGATTAAGTCACTTGCCTCGGATTTCCTTCTTTCCCACTGGATGGAAATGGCAGTGACCCCAGGTACTTTGGTAGATACTGATTAAGGATGGCTGAGCTACACTACAATCCTGGGTTCCTGGATATTCTCATGCAGCAGCATTCGTTTACTTGTCCTGGACTTCTTTATATAAAAGAATAAAAGACTTCTAACTTATTTGAATAAAATGCCATCTAATTGAGCCATTGGTTTTGAAGAGGACTCTTTGTTAGTTCAATCTGTGCCTTAACAAATAAAAAGAGCAAAGTTATTTTTGGCAGAGCAATACCATGATAAACACAGCTCAACGTTTTTTAGGAAAACCAAACTGTGAAAGAAATCCTGTTAAATGCTGAATGTTGCTGAGTTTTAGGGAGATTTATTTGTCAGCAATGCTTAGAGCAGTCTCCTGCTAAGAATCTCACTCTGAAGGCTAGGAAGAGTGTGTGGAGCAGGATGAAGAAAATGGGTGAATGGGTAAAAAATACACATAGGAAGTGTAAGTTCTAGTGTTTGATAGCACAGTAGAGTGACTATAGTTAACAATTTATTGCCTATTTCAAAATAGCTAGAAGAAAGGATATTGAATGTTCCCAACACAAAAAAAATGATACACGTTTGAGGTGATGGCTATCCTGATTACCTTGATATGATTCTTGCACATTGTACACAGATATCAAAATATCACATGTATCCCACAACATGTACAATTGTTAGGTATCAATAAAAAGCAAAACAACAGATAACATAAATGACGAATGTGGGTTCAAATTTTACACAAATATTGATAGAAAAAATTTTACCTAAGAGATTTAAAGGGTAAGCTAATCTCACATATCTGTAATTATCATATGCCCCCAAAAAGTATAAAGGGAAATTAAGGCTTAAATTCTCACTTTAGGTATTCAAACATCTGTAAATAAATTGTATTAAATCGTTTCAAAACTTAAAAAGACAAATGCCAGTGTGATTATTGCACCATGAGCATTATAAACTGAGCATGTCCAAAATTAACCTCAACTTCTACACTTCCATTCATACCCCACTGACCTGAACTTAACCATATGACCCCATCCCAGCATAAATTTAGGAGATTCTATTACTAAAAGCAAAAAGTTATAATAGACATGGAGGAGAACTAGCAGTCTGTGCCAAATCTCTATACCAAATAGAGTATATATTTCTAAACTGTGCATTCACTTGGTTTCATGTTCCAATGTCAGGCTACTTTTCAAGAGTCAAAGGATTCAACTCAGTTTCTAATGTGTACCTCATATTTTCCTAGCTCTTCCAAGTCTGCTAGAAATATGCTGGCAATATTATTTGGTTTTCTCCAACCTTGACCCACGAAAATTTTCTATGAAAATTCTGCCGATTCTTCAAGACTCAGACCAAATTCTGCTCTCATGAAGCTCTCCTAGGTCCTTTTCACCACACTTTAATTGCATATTCATCCATGCAATAAGCACTTTTTGGGCATCATCTCTATGCCAAACCTTGGATTAAGTATTACAGAGTTGTAGATGAATGAGAACAATTTTCTGTCTTGGACATTGTCTCTCTCACTCTTCTATATCTTCTTGTTTTATTTCACATGCTAGTTGTCACATTCTATATTTAATTGGAATTATTTGTTCACATAATCAATTTTGGTTTCATCAACTCCTTGAGGCCAGGAAACACAGTTTGGTTTTTTCATTCTATTGCCATTTAACAAAGGACATTACCTATTGTAGTCACTGTTTGAATTAACCAAGAGAGTGAGTGAAATTATAAATCATATTGTCAGTATTCTCCAAAGCATATTTCATATTACAGTTCTATGACTCACTACTTTTTAAACTGACTTTGCCTCATAATATCATATTATTTCCACTCAAATTTGTTAGCACTGCCCAAATTAAAGTAGGCTTTTTGGTTGAAATCTAGAAATATTTTTTCAATCAAATGGTTCCTGAGATAACATAAAATAGATATTTCAAAATAGAATAAGCTGGGCTTTTGGCACATTAAACACAGACATGTCTTTCTTAGTCCCCCTGACACCTCATTAAAATAATAGGACATAAGATAGCAATGTGTAAGGCCACAATAGTGAAGAGCATGGGGGTAGAGCCATCAACAGACAAGAAATGAAACAAATATCTGTCAAATGGACAGCATATTGCCTTCCATAATGCTGGCAGGCCTTATCCAATCAGTTAAAGGGCTGAATAGTACAAAAAGGCTGACCCCTTCCCCAAGTAAAGACAATTTTTCCTCACTGATAGGCTTTGAACTAGGATACAGGAATTTTTCCTGCCCTCTTACTTGAACTGGACCTTTGGTTCTTCCTTGGTCTTGAATCTTCCAGCCTTTGAACTAGAAGTATACCATCAGCTCTTCGGATTCTTACGCCTTTGAACTCAAACTGGAATTTAACTCTTGAGTCTACTGTGTCTCCAGTTTGCTAATTCACTTCAAAGACCTTGGACTTGCCAGCTTCCATAACTGTGTGAGCTGGCTTCTTATAAATCATAGATATGGAACCAATAAGATGTGTGTGTGTGTGTGTGTGTGTGTGTGTGTGTGTGTGTGTGTGTGTGTGTGTGTGTGGTGTATGTGTGTAGACATACACATCCTGTTCCATATCTCTGGAGAACCCTGACTAATACAGAAAGCAGAAGGTGATTTAGAAATTCATTTAGAGTAATGGAACAAGAAATAGAGGTTTAAAATATTTGACAGGGAGGATAAGATGAGTGAAGGAGTTGAGATTACTGGTATGAAACTGACTGGGGAGTGACACCAGCAAGATAGCCAACCAGAAGGCTTTTGTGTTTGTTCCTCCCCAAAAAGATAGCCCAAAAGACAAACAACTACATTTTGATGAAAATAACTAAAGGAAAGCACCAGTGTGCATCAGAGGAGTAGCAGAAACCTGGTAGAGCACAGAAACCCAGGATGATTACATGGAGAAAGAAAGAAAACACCTGGCCTCCATCACCCCATCCACCAGCCCAAATCAGCTCAGGACCAGGAGGGACTTCTCCCTGTGGAGAAAAGGTAAGCAAGAGTACTTCAGCAGCTCCAATCAATACCTTAGACACCTATGGTCCTTACCACTAGGGACCCCTACAGTCCTCACATACACTAAGCCCAGCTGAGGGAACTTCCTGGAGTCCACACAGCCATGCTCCCCACAGAGAAACAGCCAGCAGTGCCCCACTCGCTGTGGCCCATTGGGCTACACCATCTTGGAACTGGAACTACTGCTGGAGTGTGTCCTGCTCCAGGGGTGAGTGGCCACAGCACCCTTCCACCCGTGAAGCTTAGCTGCCACTGAGCCATCCCTGCCTGGTGGTCTGCTGTACCTGAGCCAAGCTACTGCTACACCCTACCCCATGGGGCCAAGCTGCTGTGGAGTTGGTCCATCTACCCCTCCCAGTCACTACTGAGCCTTGCCTCTCAGGGCCTGACCTAAAGCTGTACACTGCCTTCCAATGAAACAGTGCATTGGCAGAGCCATTCTATCTGCCCCCTCTACTGCTGCTGCCCCCCATCCCCTGTGCCTGAGCTGATGCGGCACCCTGCATCCTGGGGAAATGATGTCTTGGCCACCCAGAGCAGTCATGCCCTCTCAGTGCCTGAGTAGAAGCTGTGCCCTACCTCCAGGGCAGTAGTACCTTAGATGCACAGAGCACTCATGCTCCCCTGTTCCTAAGTGGAAGCAGCACCCTGCATCCCAGGCAAATGGTGTCTTGGCTGCCCAAAGCAGTAATGCCTTCCAGGTCTGAGCTGAAGAGGTGCATCACCTCCTGGGAAACCAGTGTCTTGGCCGGGCCAAACAGACCCACATCCCAGAGCAGAACTGACATAGTACCCCATGTCCCAGGGAAACAGAGCTTTGACTGAGCTAAGAAACCCTGCCCTACAGGCAAAACAACTCTAGTTCCCTGCTTCCCTGGAACTAGAGTAGGACCCTAGAAACTTGAGCTTTTGAGACACCCTTCTACCTGGGAAGTGGAGTCATGATTGTGCTGCTTCCTGCCCCCCAATGGCACAAGCTACACTCTACCATTCCGAGATCCTTCCCACCACTACATCTGGACTCAGAGAGTTTGAGATACTGCTGTGTCCCATCATCTAAGGATCCAGAGTCACCACTAAAAGATGCAGGATGAAGAACCAACACACAAAATTATGTAGTGTTTCTACACACTAACAGTGAACTATATGAAAAGGAAAGCAAGAAAGCAATCCCATTTGCAATAGCTACAAAAAAGATACCTAGTAATAAATTCAACCAAAGTGATAAAAGACCTCTAAAATGAAAACTATAAAACATTGATGAAGGAAATTTAATAGGACACAAATAAGTGGAAATATAACCCTATCATAGTTAGTAGAATTAATATTGTTGAAATGTTCATACTGCCCAAAGGAATCTACAAATTCAATGCAATTCCTATCAAAATACCAATGACATTCACAGACATAGAAAAAAAATCCTAAAATTAATATAAAACTACAGAAGACTGAACAGCCAAAGCAATATTGAGCAAAAAGAACAAAACTGGAGACATCACACTACCTGACTTCAAAATATGGTAATCAAAACAGCATGGTACTGGCATAAAAACAAACACATAGACTAATGAAACAGAATAGATAACCCATAAATAAACATGTATATCTACAGCTAACTGACTTTCAACAAAGACTCCAAGAGCACTCGTTGGGGAAAGGACAGTATCCTCAAAAAATGATGTTAAGAAAATTGGGTATCCATATGCAGAAGAATAAAACTAGACCCCCATGTCTCACATAAACAGAAATCAAATAAAGATGGATTAAAGATTTAAAGGTAAGACCCACTAACTATGAAATTACTAGAAGAAAACATAGGAGAAATGCCTCATGATGTTGGTCTTGGCAAGGAATTTTGGATAAGACCTCAAAAGCATAGGCAACTAAAACAAAAAGAATCAAATAGCATTACCTGAAACTAAAAACTTCTGCACAGCAAAGAAAATAATCAACAATATGAAGAGACAGTCTACAGAATGGGAGAAAATATTTGCATACTATACATCTGACAAGGGGTTAATATCCAAAATTTTATAAGGAACTCGAGCAACTCAATAGGAAATAATATAATTCAATTAAAATCAGCAAAATATCTGAATAGACATTTCTCAAAAGAAGATATAAAAGTAGCAAGCAGGTATATGGAAACCTCTCAGAAGCACCAATCATCAGGCAAATGCAAATCAAAACCACAATGGGATATCACCTCTCTCTAGTTAGAATGACTATTTTAATAAAAGACATAGGTGTTGGCAAGGATGTGGAGAAAACAGAACTTTACACACTTTTGGTGGGAATGTAAATTAGTATAACCATTATGAAAAACAAAATTGAGGTTCCTAAAAAAATTAACAATAGAATTACCATATGATCCAGCAATCCCACTACTGTATATATGTACAAAGGAAGTGAAATCAGTATGTCAAAGAGATAACTGTACTTTCATGTTTAATGCAGCACTATTCCCGATAGCGAAAATATGAAATCAACCTGTGTCCATCAAGAGATGAATGGATTAAAAATGTGGTATATATACACAATGGAATACTATTCAGCCCTAAAAAGCAATAAAATCCTGTCATTTGTATTAACATGAATGAACTTGGAGGACATTATGTTAAGTGAAATAAGAGACACAGAAAGACAAATACTACATGATATCACTTATGTGTCGAATATAAAATGCTGATCTCAGAAGTAGAAGGCAGAAGAGTGGCTACTAGAGGCTGAGGAGGGTAGGGGAGAAGCGAGGAAGGCATGAGGTTGGTCAACAGATATAAAGTTAAAAGTAGACAGGAGGAAATCGTTTTGGTGTTCCATTGCACAGTAAAAGTGACTGTAGTTAGCAATAATGTATTTCAAAAAAGCTAGGAAAGGGGATTTTGTATGTTCTCACTACAAAGAAATGATAAATATTTGATGTGACGGATATGCTAATTACCCTGATTTGATCATTACACAATATATATATGTATGCAAAAAGTAAATTATACCCCATAAATATGTAAAATTTTGTGTCAAACATAACACTGTAAAAAATAAATAACAAAACTGACTTGGCAAGATAAGAAATAGAGGGTGTGGGGTGGTGTAAATAAGCTAGTTGCTTATCATCAATAGAGAAAGCCAAGACAAATATTAAAGTCAATAAATATAAGCATTATTATGTAATGTTATTTAGAAATAGGACAGCAGCCATAAAAGGACCTTCAAGCAGAAAATGTTCAAATTGATTATTTCTGGGGAATGAACCAAACAAGGGATGATTGGGGACAGATTATTGATTATATTAAACACCTTTCTGTACTATTTTATTTAAAAACGTGGATGTATTACTTTGGCAAAATTATAAAAAGGTGATTTTTGTTAAAATGAATAAAATACCGAATTTCTTTTTCATAAAAACAAACAAAGCATCAAATAAGGCTATAAATTCTAATTTTATTTCTCTATATGCAAAATTCATTTTCCTATTATTAAAAAGCAAGTTGTCTCTTTGTGTAGTGAATGGAAGGCATATATATCATTTCATGTGAATCAACACATTTAATATGCAAGGAGATTATTTTTAACTTGTCCAGTTGCTCACAAGTAGTAAGTGACAGACTAAGGAATCATGCACCTTTTCTTGTGACCATAGAGCAGACGCTCTGAAACTATTGCCTTGAAAGGGAAATTGAGGAAGGCAGTGTAGAGACTGAAAAGGAGCGTTATAAAAATCATAGACATGGAATTAATTTGGCAATGGTATGAGACATTGATAGTTAAAACAGAAGTCTCTTGGAAAATACTGAATGAAAGGTTCTGGAGAAAATTATGACTCTTTCTCATGCATGCACCCTCCTGCCTCTTCCCTGAATCCATCCCACACCTACTGTCAAAAAGATAGTGCTAAAACAAAACTATGAGTATTACAATCTGGGTTCCCATACTACCCTATGAGTAGCTTTATCCATCACTTACTCTGCTATACCATAGGTGCCACTTCAATTATCTGCCTCCCAAACCAGATTGTAAAATATATAAGGATGGGAATATATTACATTTATGTTTGTATCTTAATGCCTAACAACACATCTTGTATACAGCTTGTACTCAATAAAGACTGGTTAGATTATTAGAATAATTATGTTTAGGCTCAGACTGCCCAAGATATCTCTGCTCAATTAACATTTATTTAGTGTTCATGATGTGCCATGTACTGAGGTACGGTCACTGTCTTTGGGAAGTTCACAGTTTAGAACTAGAGAAAGTCAGATAGACAGACAGACAGACAGATAGAGCACAAATACAGTTGCTCAATATTGGGAGAGTTAGGAAAGGAAAGAGACTATCTTTGAATGTCAGTGGTTAAAAAGAGTGAAATGGTACCAGCACTGTTGCTTTAAGGTATTGAGGACTCTGCAAATCACATTTTAATATGACCTTAGTAGGCAGGACACTCACTGGACAGTGTGTCCTTAAGTCATATCATTCATTCAATACAGGAAGAAATAATTATCTAGGTTTCTACATATCTGTCATTTGGATACATTGGCTTTATGCTGATACATAATAAATTTTGTTTTCATTGGTCCCTTGGTTCTTTTTATCCTCCTAGAAGCATAGTTTAACAAGAAATAAATTCTGGTTTGATCAGTTGATAAAGGGTTTCTCCTTTTTGTTTTCACAAATATCCTTGGAGAAAATGTCCACAGGGTAGTAAACTGTGTGCCTAGCTATATGCAGGTTTCCTGGAACTCTTCCGAAATATAAGGCAGCTTATATTAATGATCATTGCTAGTCATGTTTTTTTCAATTATGAAGGGGTGAACAACTTGAACTGTGATACTCTAAGAGTATACTTTATGATGGTGCCAAGTAAATGGGGAAAAAATAAAATTCATTCAAAACAAAACCCATTAAAAATTAAGCAATCTTTTTGACAAATATAATTAATTTCCATAATGTTACATAAACAGTTGAACTGCAGTATCAAAACCAATTATCTTACTAATTATCCAGATTAAATATAATATGAAAATTTCACTGTGACTAAGGAAGTCTGTTTTAATCAGTTGGGTTACTTTTCATAGGTTTTCTCAATAAGCTGAATTATATATTAATGATATGTCTTAGTCACATCCTTCTAAATCATATCTATATCACAAATGTTTCATGTTTTCCTTAGTTATTAAATTAATTGTGACCATTGACTTCACTATTTCTCAAGCTTTCAAGTTCTTTTTAATATTTATACTCAATTAGCCCAATCTATACTTATATCACCAAAAAATCCAGTTATGTGCTTTGCACTGTATTTCAAAAATTAGATTTTCCCTGTGGTCTTGAACATAAGCCTTTTTTTATTCCAGAAAATTATGCTGGGAACCTGCCTCTGGAATCTTAAAATATTCATAACTTTAATAATTATTTATTTTCGTTGAACAAAATTATACATATTTATCATGTACAACATGTTTTGAAATATATTTACATTGTGGAATAGCTAAATTAAGATAAATGAAATTATTTTTTGTGGCAAGAACACTTAAAATCTACTCTCTTAGCAATTTTTAAGAGTATGATACATTGTTATTAAGGATAGTCACAATGTTGAACAATAGATCTCTTGAATTTTTTTCTCCTATCTGATTTTCTATCCTTTGGACCAATATCTCCCCAACCTTAGCCTCTGGTAATCAATATTCTACTATTTATTTCTATGAGTTCATCTTTTCTAGATTCCACATGTGAGTGAGATCATGTAGTATTTGTCTTTGTATGTCTGGCTTATTTCATTTAGCATAATGTCCTCCAGGTTCATTCATGTTATTGCAAATGATGAGATTTCATTATTAAGATTGAAAAGTATTCCATTATGGATATATATCACATTTTCATTATCCATTCATCTGTTGGTGGACACTTAGATTGATTACATATCTTGGCTATTGTAAATAAGGCTACCATGAACATGAGAGTGCAGATATACCTTCAAAATACTGATTTCATTTTCTTTGTATATATAACCAGTAGTGGGATTGCTGGATCACAGGGTAGTTCTATTTTTATTTTTATTTTTATTTTTATTTTTATTTTTGTAGATCCTCCATATAGTTTTCAATAATGGCTACATTAATTTACATTCCCACCAACAGTGTGCAAGGGTTCCCTTTTCTCCATACTCTCTCCAAAACTTATCTTTCATCTTTGTGGATAATAGCCATTCTAACAGGTGTGAGGTGATATTTCACTGTGGTTTAGATTTGCGTTTCTCTGATGATTAGTAATTTTGAGCATTTTTTTTTCATATACCTAATGGCTATTCGTATGTCTCCTTTGAGAAATTTCTATTCAGATCTCTTGCCAATATTTTAAATGGGCTGTTTTCTTACTATTGAGCTGAGTTCCTTATATATTTTGGATATTAACTCCTTGTCAGATGTATAGTTTGCAAGTATATTCTCTCATCCCATAGGTTGTCTCTTCACTCTACGGTTTGTTTCCTTGGCTGTGCAGAAAATTAAATTTGACATAATTCCATTTGTCTAGTTTTGTTTTTGTTATCAGGCTTTTCGACTCATATCAAAAAAATCATTGCCCAGATCAGTATCGTGGAGCTGTTCTCCTGTGTTTTCTTCTACTAAGTGTATCGTTTCACATCTTACATTTCAGTCTTTAGTTCATTTTAAATTGACTTTTGGATATGGTATGAGACAAGGGTCTAATTTCATTCTTCTGAATGTGTGTATCAAATATTCTTAACACCATTTATTGAGGAGACTGTCTTCCCCATTGTGTGCTCTTGGTACCCTTATTGAAAATCAATTGACTATAAATACGTGGATTTATTTATGGGCTCTCTATTCTGTTCCATTCATCTATGTGTCTGTTCATGTGGCAGTACCATGCTGTTTGGGTTGATGTAGCTTTGTAGTATATTTTGAAGTCAGATAGTGTGATGCTTTTAGCTTTGTTCTTTTTGTTTAAGATTGTTTTGGCTATTCAGGGTCTTTTGTGGTTCCATACACATTTTAGGATATTTTTTTCTCTTTCTGTGGAAAATGTTACTGGTATTTTAATGGGGATTGAATTGAATCTGTAGATTTCTTTGGGTGGTATGGACATTTTAGCACTATTAATGGTCCAATCCATGAGCACAGAATGTATTTTCCTTTACTTGTGTCCTTTTAAATTCTTTAAAATTACTGTTTCATAGTTCCCAGTATATGGGTCTTTCCCTTTTTGGGTTAGATTTATTCCTAGTATTTTTTTATAGCTATTGAAAATAGGCTTGTTTTCTTGATTATTCTTCAGGTAGTTCATTTCTAGTGTATAGAAATGCTACTGATCTTGTATGTTGATTTTGTATCCTGCAACTTTGCTGAATTCATTTATTAGTCCTTACAGTCTTTTCATGGAATCATTAAGTTTTTTTAATACATAAGATTATGTCATTAGCAAATAGGGACAATTTAACTTCTTGCTTTCCAATTTGGATACCTCTTATTTCTTTCTCTTGCCTTATTGCTCTAGGCTAGGACTTCTAGTGCTATGTTGAACAGAAGTGGTGAAAGTCGGCATCCTTGTCTTGTTTCTTAAAGGTAAAGCTTTCAATATTTTACCATTGAGTATGATGTTAGCAGTGGGCTTGTAATATATAACTTTATTATGTTGAGGTACATTTCTTCTTTGCCTAATTTGTTGATAATTTTTATCGTGAAAGGATGTTGAATGTTTAAAATTGCTTTTTTCTGCATTGCTCAAGATGATCATATGGTTTTTGTCCTTCATTCTGTTAGTGTGGTGTATCACATTTATAAATTTGTGTATGTTGAACCATCCTTGCATCTTGCATCCCTGAGATAAATTTAACTTTACCATGGTGCATAAGCCTTTTAATGTGATGTTGAATTTGATATAATAGCATTTTGTTAAGTAATTCTTCATCTACGTTCATTGGGGATATTGGCTTGTAATTTTATTTTTTCATAAGTGTCCTTTGTTTGGCTTTGGTATCAGGGTAATACTGGCCTCATAAAATGACCTTGGAAGTATTTTTTTCTTCAGTTTTTGGGAAGAGTTTGAGAAGGATTCTTATTCTTCCTTAAATGTTTGGTAGGACTTAGCAGTGAAGGCATCAGCTACTGTGCTTTTCATTTTTATCACTCACTCAATTTCTTTTTTACTGTTTCTTCCCGATTCAATCTTGGTAGGTTGTATGTCTAGGAATTTATTCGTTTCTTCTAGTTTATCCAGTTTGTTGGCATAAAATTGTTTATATTAGTCTCTTATGAGTCTTTATATTTCTGTCATCAGTTATGTCTCTAATTTCCGATTTTATTCATTTGAGCCTTCTTTTTTTCTTTTCTTTTTTTTTTTTTTTGAGACGGAGTCTCGCTCTGTCGCCCAGGCTGGAGTGCAGTGGCGCGATCTCGGCTCACTGCAAGCTCCGCCTCCCGGGTTCACGCCATTCTCCTGCCTCAGCCTCCCGAGTAGCTGGGACTACAGGCGCCCGCTACCACGCCCGGCTAATTTTTTGTATTTTTAGTAGAGACGGGGTTTCACCGTGTTAGCCAGGATGGTCTCGATCTCCTGACCTCGTGATCCACCCGCCTCGGCCTCCCAAAGTGCTGGGATTACAGGCGTGAGCCACCGCGCCCGGCCGAGCCTTCTTTTTTTCTTAGTTGAGTTAGTCAATTTTCTTTATCTTTGAAAAAAACAACTCTTAATTTTGTCAGTCTTTTCTCTTGTTTTCATAGTCTCTATTTCATTTATTTCTTCTCTGATCTTTATTATTCCTTCCTTTTGCTAACTTTGTGCTTAGTTTGTTCTTATTTTTCTAGTTTATTAAGGTGTAATGTTAAGTTGTTTATTTGGGATCTTCATTTTTTATGTAGACATTTATTGCTGTAAACTTCCTTTTTATAACTGTTTCTGCTGTGTTCCATCAGTTTGAGTATGTTGTGTCTTCGTTTTCATTTGTTACAAGATTTTTAAAAATTTTCCTTTTTAATTTATTCATTGACCCATTGGTTGTTCAAAAGTACGTTGTTTTATTTTCAGGTATTTGTGATTTTTTAAAAAAATTCCTCCTGGTATTGATTTCTAGTTTGATACCATTGTGGTCAGAAAAGATACTTGATATTATTTCAATCTTTTAATATTTGTTAGGACTTATTTTGTGTCCTAACGTATGATCTCTCCTGGAAACTGTCTTGTGTGCCCTTGAGAAGAATATTTTCTTTAGCTGTTGGATCGAATGTTCTATATATGTCTGTTAGGCCCATTTGGCCTAAAGTGTAGTTTAAGTCCAATGGCTTTTTATTGATTTTCTGTCTGGATGATCTGTCCTTTGTTGAAAGTGGGGTCTTGAATTCTCCTACTGTTATTATTTACAGTCTATCTCTTTCTTCATATCTATTACTATTTGCTTTATATATTTAGGCATTCCAATGTTGGGTGCATGTATTTATAATTTTATATCCTCTTGGTGAATTGACCACTTTGTCATTATATAATGCTCTTCTTTGTCTCATTTTATAGTTGTTGACTTAATATATATTTTATCTCATTTAAATATTGCTACTCTTACTCTCTTTTGGTTTCCATTTGCTGCAATATCATTTACCATCCCTTCACTTTCAGTCTATGTGTGTCCTTACAGGTGAAGTGAGTTTCTTGTGGCAGCACGTATGTGATTTTTTTTAAAAATTCACTCAGTCACTTTTATATCTTTTGCTTGGTGAATTTAATTTATTTACATTGAAGGTAGTTATTGATATGTAAGGACTTACTACTGCCAATTTGTTAATGGTAATTTTGAAGTAGCTTAATGGTCACTCAGTAGGAGCACAGGACTGCTTAGAATACTTTGCATCTCTTTCTTTTCTCCTTCACATAGTCCATGTCTAACAATACTTATGAAGTTTGGCCTCAGTCTGTGATACCCCTACCCCACTCCACAAGCATGATAATGAAATATTGCTAAGGCAAAAATGCTATAATGGGTAGGTTAAGTTTAAAGACAGTATAGAAAAAGATCTGCTTGGCATTTTTAAAGTTGAATTCTAGCAATCTGTAACCTGCTAAAGTAAAACTATAGAAATATATTTCATAGAAAAACTATAATCCAGGTTCTTGATCCATATATTTTTATGATTAGGAACTAACCTCATACACTTTTTCTACTCAAATGAACATTACCTGTACCACTGAAATTCATGCTTTGCTATTATGCTCCCAATTATTTGACTACTTCTTGCAGCCATTTTCCAAATATAAACTTTGTCTTAATTTACCCAGTTCTTCTGAAAAGCCAAAATGTGTAACAGTAAGATCAATACTTGTTAATGCGTTATCAGCTCATTTGAATCATGCAGCCTATCACTGAGCATGGATATGAAATACTTACTGTGTTCCAGATGCTGTTCTTGGCATTGACACAGGATTCATGAAAGTTTCATTATCAAAAGATTTATTTGGAGAAGAGGACTGTTTTGATTTTACTTTGTTTTGTTTGCAGAGATGGTGTTTGCAAATATATTACAGGAACTGTTTTAGTGAAAAATAATCTTAATAGGTTGATGTAAAAATTACTGCAATCCAAAGCATTCAGTATGGAACAAGTACCTCAGGCAGCAAAGATCACTCATGTTATACAATGGACTGGTGAGCCACAGAAAGATGTAGATTTTGAGATTTGCTTCTCTGTTAAAAATATTGTTTAAAAACCCTTAATATCAGAAAAAACTAAATTAAACTTGAAATTACATTTAAATGTGAGGGAAAGCAGCTCATAATTAGCATAAACATTTGGAGTAACTGCCTGTAGATAGTTATTCTCTCCTCTTAGCTTGACTCCCTAAGTCTAAATCATCAAGCCTGACCTGACCACTTTAGAGATTGACAATAGATGTAGAGAATAAGAGTCTAGTTGGGTGTCTAAAAATATTCACTTCATAAAAGTCAGAACTAGATTTCCAGGACACAGACCTAGAAACCATATTTCTTTGTTTCTCCTTCCCCTATTTTTCTCTGTCTCACTAGTGATTTTGTTAATTAACACTTTATCCAAGTATTATATCTCTTAGAGGCTCAGGAGAGTGTGAAATTGTCCTACTGGTAATGACAAAGATGAAGGAGAATATTAGTCTTATAGCTGTTACTCTACATCTAGACTTAATATTTAATATTTTAGAGACTACTTCTCTGGTGACAGAAAAATATGATTCTATGGCAATGATTCTCAAAATGTGATCCTTAGACTAGCTGCATCACCATTACTCAGGAAAGTGTCAGAAATGCAAATTATTGAGCCCTATTCCAGACCTAGTGAGTCAGAATATCCGGAGCTGGGGCCCAGTAATCTGTGTTTTAACAAGTTCCTCCAGTGATTCTCATGCACGATAAAGTTTGAGAACCACTGGTCTGTGCAACTGCTATGTTGCATATGAATATATTATTTGGTGATACAAGAAGGCTTAGGTTGAATTATTGGTTAGTAATTTATATTGTAAACCACTGCCTTAGAATGGAAAGCAGACTAGTTCAAGTCCATGGGGCTCCATCATTATTGTATTTCATTACACAGCATGTAGGTCTGTTGGCACAGAAAGAACTAATTGTCTTAGTAAATACAAAAGAAGGAAATGCCAGCTGGTGAGTGGCAACGCTTGTTTGAACAAAGGCTTCCAACTAAAACTGCGCTCAGTAGTTAGGGTTTTAAATGCCATCATATTCATTCTTGATATTTTGCATAATCTTCAAGAATTATTATTTTTTCTTTGTCCCTGTCTTATGTCATAGTGATCTCAATCAGTTCATTTACCATTGTGGTTTTACCATGTTAGTGTTATTTCTTCTAAATAATGCTAATTAGTAGTATTGCTAATTTTGATGCCAAGGCAATATTGTTGCTGAAGAGAAAGTAGGAGTTCCCTGAATGAAGGTAAAGGCAGAATTTTATTCTTACCCTATGAATTCAATTTGTCATACTAGAAAATTCAGCCCTGTTCATTTCCTCCTCTCTCACTCACCACAAGTGATCTGTTGTTAGGTCCTGTGACTTTTTTCTCAGCCTTCTCCATCCACCTTCTGCATTTCATCTCCTTTGCCACTGCTGTGATTCAATTGCTAATCATCTCTCAACTGGTTGACTCAGTCCAGAGTCACAGAAAGGATTACTGTATCTATAAAATCCCAACTATTTCACGTGTCTAATTGCCATTCTAGCTTCTAAAGTGAGCTCAGGTACTTCTTTATTGCTGCTGTTACCATAAGCGAACTGAATAGGAAAACCAACTAGGTAGATTGTGATGGTTTTGTTCCTTAAAAATCTCCCCTGCCCCCCTGACAATATACTATATTAATGATGATTGCACTAATTCATTTAGTCAAAAATTTTTTCTTATGTGTCAGGAGCTGTTTTAAACATAAAGATAACAGTAGTCAACAAAGACAAACATCAGAAACACTCTGCTTATAGAATTCATAATGTAATGATAGTAATGAGTGGATGAAGACATACTGTTATATCTATATCTATAGCTATAGCTATATCTACATATATACCCACATCTACAGGTATATTAATATCTAGCTATCTGTCTATTTTGTTATTTTTGATATGATGGTGAAGTAGGTCTTCTGATGTGGTGACATTTGAACAGAGACCTGAATGAAGTGATGAGGATGCCTTCTGGCTATATGTGGAAAAAGTGTTCCAGTATAGCAATTGAGGAGCCTGGGGGAAAGAAAGGAGAGTGATATGAATAAAGAGAGATAAGGAAGGGGCAGGGCGGAAGAAGAGGTCAGAGGTAGGAAACATCACCAGGGACCATGTAGATTATAGTACAGGATTTAGGTTTTATTTTAAATGAGATGAGAAACTTTTAAGGTTTTGAGAAGAGAGATGATATAATGTGGTTGATATTTTTAAAGGATAACAGTGGTAACTGTGAGGCAGAGACTATAGACAAGCAGGAGTTGAAGCAAGGAGACCAGTTAAGAGACTATTTACAATAAAACTTACAAGATTTGATGATGGCATGAACCAGTGTGGTAGGGGTAGAAGTGATGTTATTTCCTATTGGATTTAACGCGGTGAGTAGTGAGGGACTGGCAGGAGTCAAGGATAAACACAAAAATTTTAGGCCTGAGCAAACTGAAGGTGGAATTGCCATGTGCTGACACAGGGAAGGGCTTAGAAGGAGAAAATTTGCTGGGGAGAGGAGAAAGGGGATGTGGTTGACGAAACAAGATTTTAGCATTGAATGCATTCTTGGGGATACCTACTGGAAATCAAATTAAAATAAGCCATAAATTATTTTTTTGAATATCAAATGTGTTTTATTATATATTATATATATAAATATATATATTTATATAATATATAACATATAAATATATATATAATATATAAATATATATAAATATATAATATATAAATATATATAAATATATAATATATATTATATATATAATTATATATAATATATATTATATTATATAATAATATTATATAATATATAATATATATTATATAATATAATTATACTTTAAGTTCTATATATAGAACTTTACTATTATTATACTTTAAGTTCTAGGGTACATGTGCACAACGTGCAGGTTGGTTACATATGTATACATGTGCCATGTTGGTGTGCTGCACCCATTAACTTGTCATTTAATATTAGGGATATCTCCTAATGCTATCCCTCCCTCCTCCCCCCACCCCACGACAGGCCCCAGTGTGTGATGTTCCCCTTCCTGTGTCCAAGTGTTCTCATTGTTCAATTCCCACCTATGAGTGAGAAAATGTGGTGATTGGTTTTTTGTCCTTGCGTTTGCTGAGAATGGTGGTTTCCAGCTACGTGTCCCTACAAAGGACATTGACTCATCATTTTTTATGGCTGCATAGTATTCCATGGTGTACATGTGCCACATTTTCTTAATCCAGTCTATCACTGATGGACATTTGGATTGGTTCCAAGTCTTTGCTATCGTGAATAGTGCTGCAATAAACATACCTGTGCAGGTATCTTTATAGCAGCCTGATTTATATTACTTTGGGTATATACCCAGTAATGGGATGGCTGGGTCAAATGGTATTTCCAGTTCTAGATCCCTGAGGAATCGCCACACGGACTTCCACAATGGTTGAACTAGTTTACAGTCCCACCAACAGTGTAAAAGTGGTCCTATTTCTCCACATCCTCTCCAGCACCTCTTGTTTCCTGACTTCTTAATGATCGCCATTCTAACTGGTGTGAGATGATATCTCATTGTGGTTTTGATTTGCATTTCTCTGATGGCCAGTGATGATGAGCATTTTTTCATGTGTCTTTTGGCTGCATAAATGTCTTCTTTTGAGAAGTGTCTGTTCATATCCTTTGCCCACTTTTTGATGGGGTTGTTTGTTTTTTCTTGTAAATTTGTTTGAGTTCTTTGTAGATTCTGGATATTAGCCCTTTGTAAGATGAGTAGATTGCAAACATTTTCTCCCATCCTGTAGGTTGCCTGTTCACTCTGATGGTAGTTTCTTTTGCTGTGCAGAAGCTCTTTAGTTTAATTAGATCCCATTTGTCAATTTTGGCTTTTGTTGCCATTGCTTTTGGTGTTTTAGACATGAAGTCCTTGCCCATGCCTGTGTCCTGAATGGTATTGCCTAGGTTTTCTTCTAGGGTTTTTATGGTTTTAGGTCTAACATTTAAGTCTTTAATCCATCTTGAATTAACTTTTGTATAAATTGTAAGGAAGGGATCCAGTTTCAGCTTTCTACATATGGCTAGCCAGTTTTCCCAGTACCATTTGTTAAACAGGGAATCCTTTCCCCATTTCTTGTTTTTGTCAGGTTTGTCAAAGATCAGATAGTTGTAGATGTGTGGTATTATTTCTGAGGGCTCTGTTCTGTCCCATTGGTCTATATCTCTGTTTTGGTACCAGTACCATGCTGTTTTGGTTACTGTAGCCTTGTAGTATAGTTTGAAGTCAGGGAGCGTGATGGCTCCAGCTTTGTTCTTTTGGCTTAGGATTGACTTGGCAATGTGGGCTCCTTTTTGGTTCCATATGAACTTTAAAGTAGTGTTTTCCAATTCTGTGAAGAAAGTCATTGGTAGCTTAATGGGGATGGCATTGAATCTATAAATTACCTTAGGCAGTATGGCCATTTTCATGATATTGATTCTTCCTATCCATGTGCATGGAATGTTCTTCCATTTGTTTGTGTCCTCTTTTATTTCATTGAGCAGTGGTTTGTAGTTCTCCTTGAAGAGGTCCTTCACATCCCTTGTAAGTTGGATTCCTAGGTATTCTATTCTCTTTGAAGCAATTGTGAATGGGAGCTCACTCATGATTTGGCTCTGTTTGTCTGTTATTGGTGTATAAGAATGCTTATGATTTTTGCACATTGATTTTGTATCCTGAGACTTTGCTGAAGTTGCTTATCAGCTTAAGGAGATTTTGGGTTGAGACGTTGGGGTTTTCTGGATATACAATCATGTCATCTGCAAACAGGGACAATTTGACTTCCTCTTTTCCTAACTGAATACCCTTTATTTCTTTCTCCTGCCTGATTGTCCTGGCCAGAACTTTCAACACTATGTTGAATAGGAGTGGTGAGAGAGGGCATCCTTGTCTTGTGCCAGCTTTCAAAGGGAATGCTTCCAGTTTTTGCCCATTCAGTATGATATTGGCTGTGGGTTTGTCATAAATAGCTCTTATTATTTTGAGATACATTCCATCAATACCTAGTTTATTGAGAGTTTTTAGCATGAAGGGCTGTTGAATTTTGTCAAAGGCCTTTTCTGCATCTATTGAGATAATCATGTGGTTTTTGTCTTTGGTTCTGTTTATATGCTGGATTACGTTTATTGATTTGCGTATGTTGAACCAGCCTTGCATCCCAGGGATGAATCCCACTTGATCATGGTGGATAAGCTTTTTGATGTGCTGCTGGATTTGGTTTGCCAGTATTTTATTGAGGATTTTTGCATCAATGTTCATCAGGGATCTTGGTCTAAAATTCTCTTTTTTTGTTGTGTCTCTGCCCGGCTTTTGTATCAGGATGATGCTGGCCTCATAAAATGAGTTAGGGAGGATTCCCTCTTTTTCTATTGACTGGAATAGTTTCAGAAGGAATGGTACCAGCTCCTCCTTGTACCTCTGGTAGAATTCGTCTGTGAATCTGTCTGGTCCTGGACTTTTTTTGGTTGGTAAGCTATTAATTATTGCCTCAATTTCAGATCCTGTTATTGGTCTATTCAGAGATTCAACTTCTTCCTTGTTTAGTCTTGGGAGGGTGTATGTGTCCAGGAATTTATCCATTTCTTCTAGATTTTCTAGTTTATTTGTGTAGAGGTGTTTATAGTATTCTCTGATGGTAGTTTGTATTTCTGTGGGATCGGTGGTGATATCCCCTTTATCATTTTTTATTGTGTCTATTTGATTCTTCTCTCTTTTCTTCTTTATTAGTCTTGCTAGTGGTCTATCAATTTTGTTGATCTTTTCAAAAAACCAGCTCCTGGATTCATTGATTTTTTGAAGGGTTTTTTGTGTCTCTATCTCCTTCAGTTATGCTCTGATTTTAGTTATTTCTTGCCTTCTGCTAGCTTTTGAATGTGTTTGCTCTTGCTTCTCTAGTTCTTTTAATTGTGATGTTAGGGTGTCAGTTTTAGATCTTTCCCGCTTTCTCTTGTGGGCATTTGGTGCTATAAATTTCCCTCTACACACTGCTTTGAATGTGTCCCAGAGATTCTGGTATGTTGTGTCTTTGTTCTCATTGGTTTCAAAGAACATATTTATTTCTGCCTTCATTTCGTTATGTACCCAGTAGTCATTCAGGAGCAGGTTGTTCAGTTTCCATGTAGTTGAGCAGTTTTGAGTGAGTTTCTTAATGCTGAGTTCTAGTTTGATTGCACTGTGGTCTGAGAGACAGTTTGTTATAATTTCTGTTCTTTTACATTTGCTGAGGAGTGCTTTACTTCCAACTATGTGGTCAATTTTGGAATAGGTGTGGTGTGGTGCTGAGAAGAATGTCTATTCTGTTGATTTGGGATGGAGAGTTCTGTAGATGTCTATTAGGTCCGCTTGGTGCAGAGCTGAGTTCAATTCCTGTATGTCCTTGTTAACTTTCTGTCTCATTGATCTGTCTAATGTTGACAGTGGGGTGTTAAAGTCTCCCATTATTATTATGTGGGAGTCTAAGTCTCTTTGTAGGTCTCTAAGGACTTGTTTTATGAATCTGGGTGCTCCCGTATTGGGTGCATATATATTTAGGATAGTTAGTTCTTCTTGTTGAATTGATCCCTTTACCATTATGTAATGGCCTTCTTTGTCTCTTTTGATCTTTGTTGGTTTAAAGTCTGTTTTATCAGAGACTAGGATTGCAACCCCTGCCTTTTTGTGTTTTCCGTTTGCTTGGTAGATCTTCCTGCATCCCTTTATTTTGAGCCTATGTGTGTCTCTGCATGTGAGATGGGTTTCCTGAATACAGCACACTGATGGGTCTTGACTCTTTATCCAATTTGCCAGTCTGTGTCTTTTAATTGGGGCATTTAGTCCATTTACATTTAAGGTTAATATTGTTATTTGTGAATTTGATCCTGTTGTTATGATGTTAGCTGGTTATTTTGCTCGTTAGTTGATGCAGTTTCTTCCTAGCCTTGATGGTCTTTACAATTTGGCATGATTTTGCAGTGGCTGGTACTGGTTGTTCCTTTCCATGTTTAGTGCTTCCTTCAGAAGCTCTTGTAGGGCAGGCCTGGTGGTGACAAAATCTCTCAGCATTTGCTTGTCTGTAAAGCATTTTATTTCTCCTTCACTTATGAAGCTTAGTTTGGCTGGATTTGAAATTCTGGGTTGAAAATTCTTTTCTTTAAGAATGTTGAATATTGGCCTCCACTCTCTTCTGGCTTGTAGAGTTTCTGCCGAGAGATCAGCTGTTAGTCTGATGGGCTTCCCTTCATGGGTAACCCGACCTTTCTCTCTGGCTGCTCTTAACATTTTTTCCTTCATTTCAACTTTGGTGAATCTGACAATTATGTGTCTTGGAGTTGCTCTGCTTGAGGAGTATCTTTGTGGCGTTCTCTATATTTCCTGAATTTGAATGATGGCCTACCTTGCTAGGTTGGGGAAGTTCTCCTGGATAATATCCTGCAGAGTGTTTTCCAACTTGGTTCCATTCTCCCCGTGACTTTCAGGTACACCAATCAGACGTAGATTTGGTCTTTTCACATAGTCCCATATTTCTTGGAGGAATAAGCCATAAATTATTGGAGTCATTAATTCAGGTAGGAGATTTTAAAATATACACCTTAAGTCCCATTGTTTTCTAAATTCATTTTTTATTGTATAGTGTTGTCCAATATTTTTGTTTTTATTACAAATCAAAGCTGCTCATTCCTCAAAAATACAATATACATATGTATAAAAGAAAACTAAAAATTATTATCATCTATTCTTTCCAGAGGTATCCGTTGTCAACACCTGAGTGTATATATTTCCATGTCATATGTTATATGCATATATTAGTTTAAACCATATGAAACTACTATTCAATCTTTTCAACTTACACAAAATTATGTATTTTATCCCAATATATAGAAATATTAACACTTCATAAAAATGGAAATGTGCAGAGCATGCTTATATATGCAATTGTCAGGTGCTTGAATTATTTCAGCTGATACTATTATGTTTCACATGACAGGAAAAACCTGGCTGAGAGGAAAAAGTGGCTGACAATTAATTATAATAGTGAAAATGGTAGTGTAAAACACTGTGAAAAACTTCTATAATATACATAGATCTATAAAAACTTAAGGATTACATAGGAGCCCAGATTGACAGAAGGCATAAGTTCTGAGATCTACTGCACAGCAGAGTGACTGTAGTCAATGATAATGTATTGTGTATTTTAAAATGAGATTAAATTTCATATATCTCATAAAAATTATAGGTAAGCAAGGTGATAGAGATGTTAATTAGCTCAATTTAATCATTCTATGTTGCATACATATATCAAAACATCACATTTGTATCCTATAAATGTATATACAATTATGATTTGTAAATTGAAAATGTTAATTTTAAAAGGTAGAAAAATACCATTACAGGTGAAAAAATAAAAGGTCCCATGCTACCTCAAAACTAACAACAGACAAAATACCCAGGGCTAATTATTTCTTAAATGACTTCATTTTTTAGAAAGTTCACAGCAAAATTAAGAGGAACGTACAGGGATTTTCTGTCTACTTCCTGTCCCCCATAGATGTATTGCTTCCCTCATTATTAACATCCCCCACCAAAGTGGTACATTTGTTTACATTTGATGAACCTGCGATAAATTATCATTACTGAAAGTCCATAGATTACACTAGGATTCACTCTTGGTGTTGTATATTGTATAAGTTCAGACAAATATTGTATAATGACCTGCATCTATCATTGCAATATCATACAGTGCATTTCCACTGCCTCCAAAATCCTTTGTGCTCCCTCTATTCATTCCTCCCTCCCACCAACCGCTGACAACCACTGATCTTTTCACTGTCCCCAAAGTTGTGCTTTCCATGTCATATAGTTAAACCTACAGTATGTAGACTTTTCAGATTGGCTTCTTTCACTTAGTAAAATATATTTACGTTTCCTTCATGTCTTTCTGTGGCTTGATAGCTCATTCCTTTTTATCACTAAATAATACTCCACTGTCTGGATGTACCACAGTTTATCCACTCACCTATCAAAGGACAGCTTGGTTGCTTCCAAATTTGAGCATTGTGAATAAAGCTGCTATAAATATAGATGCCAGTAAGTTTTGAGGCAATTTGTTATGCAGCCCTGGTAACTTATATAAGGTGTTAAAAGATTATATTCAGGAATCCATCTCTTATTCAACTCTGTTTTCTTCTATATTGGCTTCAACTGCAAGCAATTCTCTTCTGGTATTAGCTTCAAGTTCTCATTTTCTTTCTTATTATAGTTGCAGCAAAAGTTTCAAGCAGAGGTCTGATTAGGGTAGCTTTGGACCAGTTAATAGTGCCTGGGAGAGGCAGTGTTTTAATTTATTCAGGACTACAGAGACTGTTCTGAAATTGAGGTTGGAAATTCTCCTCTGAACCACACAGGCAAAAAGTGAGAGAAGGGTGGCTTATCTAAGGGAAATCAAATTCTGAAACCAAAATGTGAGGCATATGTGTTCAGACAAAGACAACATATTTTAGCTACAGAAGTTTCAACTATAAATAAAGAAGAATGGGGTGTTGTATACTAATAATTTTAAGATATTAAAAATAAAATGGTAAATTGTCTTTACTTCTAAGGTTATAATTAAGGAAATAACTTATAATTTTAAGTTGAAGAGAAGGAAACAGAGATGCAAGCAGAGTAGTGAGTCATTTGGAAATATTTTTCAAATCTCACTAAGGATTTTAATAACTGAAAACAAATAAACACCACCCCTCAACTGTTAAAGTACATATTCACTCATCTCAATGGCTTTTTTATTTACTGTGTTTAGAAAAGCAACACTAAACAAATTGGGGAATATTTGTTGGTGACCAAGCATGATGTGGATGAGATTGAGATTATAGATTTAATACTTCCCTGGGTCGATTTTGGGACATGGTCAATAATCTTAGCTATATATATCACTGTTCTTAAGGAAAGCAGGAAAAATATGTATAAGCTAGTACATTTCTGCTTCAGGAAAAATTACCCACAGTGGATGTCACAGAGTTATTTGAGGATTAAAGGTAAAATTACAGCAAGCAAAATTACTTTATAAACCATCAATCACTAAATTTAAGAGATTATTACAGTGATAAGATACGCTAGTAAACATATAGAAAATGCTTGTCCTTTCAACTTCAATCCTTTGTTGTTTGTTGTTGTAGGTATTATAGATTTGTTTTTATTTTGTTGTTGCTTTACAAATGAAACGAATAGAAACCTAAATTATACTGTGGGGCAAAGAGAAAAATAATTTTCAAAAAAAGTTTTTGTCTTGTTTTTAAATGTTAATTCGAATGTTTTCTTTCATTAAGGATGATCTTGGCTTGAAATAGGGAGTTTTACAAACTCTCTATTTCACATTTCTCTGTATAGCATCATAAGCACATCTATATTTAGTGTTGGGTATGTGCAAAGCATTATGTAAAGTGTTAGAAGTACTAACTTCTTATAGTAGCCAGATAAATACCCTACTGTCAAGGAGTTTACACTATAGTAGGGTAAACTGCTAAACTATTTCCAACTAGATAGTAAGTATTATAGGGCAGTACCCATGTCATATTTATTTCTGTAGGTTCCAGATCACTTAGCATCATGCTTTGTTTGTAGAATAAGTTTATTAATGCAAAGACAACTAAGACTACTCAAATATCAATTGTGGTACAGATTGCAATGCCACAGAAGCTCAAATGTCTCTAAGCTGGCAAAAGAAGTAGGAAATTTGTGTAGAAGTTGAATCACAAGTTTGTTTTATGGGTATAGAACTGGAGAGGACAAATAGTGTTTACACAAATATCACAGCAACCCCAAGAGTATATGTTGTCATTTATATTTTTTCAGATGAGGAAATTGATGTTCAAAAAGCTTCCAAAATAAAGCTTGATCAATATCCCAGGTTGTAATTGTTAAAGCCATTGCTTCAAACATTTTCTTACTTCCAGGTTAGCAGAAAGAAAGTAGGTATGGAAGTGACAATGAATACAACAGTTTCCCCAGAACATAGTTCTTTTAAGGGCAATAGAAGCCATCCATTTTAGAGCATAGTTAAGAAATAGTTAAAGGAAAGGTTGAGTGACATGCTAAAAATTCTTTATTTTATAAGCAATAGAAAGACATTAAAGATTTTTGGGTATTGTGTGACAAGTGAAAAACAGTGATTTGCAAAAGTTAATTATCCTTGATGTTGGCAATGGCCAATAAATGAAAAAGTCTAACGCAGGGAAACGAATTAAGAGAATGTTACAATATATCATGTATGAAGTGGTGAGTGCCTAAATTACAGCGTACAAAATTCTTCATTCCTCACATGCCCCTTGCTTACTGTCCATAAACCAAATATTCCAGTTTAATAATAACTTTGCTTAAGGATACAACTGATCACTTCCCAGGATACACAAAATAAATTATATTTTTCTACTATTATTAGCATCTTACATTAATATGGTTCATTTATTACAATTGATGAACAAATATTAATACACTTTTATTAACTAAAGGCCATAGTTTACATTAGAGCTCAATCTTTGTATTGTACATTTATGGGTTTTAACAAATATATAATGCCATGTATCTGCCATTACAATACCATACAGAATAATTTTACTGTCCTAAATATCTTCCATACCCTGTCTATTCACCTCTCCCTTCCTCCTTCCTGCTGTACCACGATAATCACTGGTCTCTTTATTGTCTGTATAGTTTTGCTATTTCCAGAATGTCATATAGTTTAAATTGTAGCCTTTTCAAACTTGTTATTTACTTAGCAGTACTTACTCAAGGTTCCTCCATGTCTCTTCATAGCTTGATAGCTCATTTATTTTTATCACTAAATAATATCTCATTGTATAGGTGTACCACTTTGTTTATCCATTCACCTCTATTGTGACATCTTTATTGCTTTCAAGTTTTGGCATTTATACATAAAGCTGTTATGAACACTTGTGTGTAGGTTTTTGTGTGGATATACATTTTCAACTCACTTGGGCAAATACCAGAGTACAATTAATTATTTGTATGGTAAGATCATGTTTAGCTTTGCAATAAACTGCCAAACTGTCTTCCAAAGAAGCTATACCATTTTGCATCCCCATCACCATCTTTATATGTATAATCAAGATTATTTTTGAGATTTTTATCATAGTTTTTATAATAATATACATTTTTGCCTAAATGAGTTTTTGCTTTGGCCATTTTACAAAATTTCAAATCACTAGTATTAATTGAGAAAAAGCTATTCTCTCAAGTTATACATTGTCTTCATATTAGTTTCATAGCTTTTAAACTATTGATGCAGTCTCTCGATTTAGAATGTAGAGCAATTTAGGAAAAAATATTAAATACTGATGTAGCTTATTTTTAAAGGATTTCTCTGGTTGATGGGTGGAAAGTCAACTCTATAAGTACAAGAGCAGAAAAAGACCAGATATAATAGAAGAAGTAGGTATTCGATGATCATAAGATCTAGAGCATTAACTCTGGAGATAATGTGAAGTGCTCAGCTTTAGAATATGACTTGAGGCCGGGCGCGGTGGCTCACGCCTGTAATCCCAGCACTTTGGGAGGCCGAGGCGGGTGGATCATGAGGTCAGAAGATCGAGACCATCCTGGCTAACAAGGTGAAACCCCGTCTCTACTAAAAATACAAAAAATTAGCCGGGCGCGGTGGCGGGCGCCTGTAGTCCCAGCTACTCGGGAGGCTGAGGCAGGAGAATGGCGTGAACCCGGGAAGCGGAGCTTGCAGTGAGCCGAGATTGCGCCACTGCAGTCCGCAGTCCGGCCTGGGCGACAGAGCGAGACTCCGTCTCAAAAAATAAAATAAAATAAAATAAAATAAAATAGAATATGACTTGAATGTAGAAGCAACAGGACGTAGTGATAAAATGAATGTGGAAGGTGAAAGAAAAGACTGATGATGACATTTGTAATATTGGCGTGAGCAATTAGATTTTAACTGAGGCATGTAGGGGCGAGGGTCTTCAGAAGGGTCAATAATTCAACCTGGACATAAGATATATGAGATAGCTATTAAACATTCAAATGGAGAGATGAGTAAGTATTTGGATTTAGTAGTCTCAAGTTCAGTAGAGTTCATAAGAATCTAAATTTGAGAAACGTTGGCATATGTAAAGAAATCAAAGCCATGGGACAGAATTAAACCTAGGAATTGAATATAAACTTCTTCCTAATACTGTACTTATGGTTCCAAGTAAATTCACTTATGATCAAAGAAATTTACCTTATTATGGATATGGCTAGCAATGGATGTGATGGAAGTGACTCTTCTTATACTATGGCTTGGATGTTTCTGTTTTCTTCCAATTGTCAGTATATCTCAAAGTTGGATCTCTAGCCATTTTGTAAATATATAGATGTCCTGGGTTCTCTTATATTGTCTTTCCCCCTCATTTCTGTTGGAACAATTTGGGTCTACCCTTCAGTGTTTTACCTTCTGCAAGAGTGTACATTAAAAACAGTGAACTACTTCTCATTGGCTAGTCTATTAAAAGCAGAACCTATTCCTTATTAACTCAATTGCAATAGTGTATAACTATTGCATATAATTGCAATAATAGTATAACTCAATTGTTGCTAATAGTGTATCATTAGTATGTTTCTATAAAACATATTTTTCCAATGTTGTCTTGATTTTTAGATCTATCAAATATATTTCCAATGTCTTGATTTTTAGATCTATCAAATATGGAACAATAAAATGTTCAAACTGCTAAATTTCAGGGGTATTTAATGGGAGGACAATTTATAAAGGTGTGGAGAGTCTGTTAGGAAAGTACAAGCACTATAGGGCACAATGTTACTAATCCTATGCCTAAAGAATGAGAGTAGAAAGAAATTTCCAGAACCCAGAGACAAAGAGCTGTGTGAAGAAGGGCAACTGACAGGAGCAAACAAAGTTGGGGATTTGCAACCAGCTTAAGCTGATCTGCAAGGAGGAGGCAGAAAGAATAAGCACCCTGATCTCATTTGTCTCCCAGTTTCCTACCTGTGGGTGTTCTTAATATTTAGGACTCTCCATGGGTGCCACTATGCCCAGCTAATTAAAAAAAATAATAAATTTTAGAGACTGCGTCTCGCTATGTTGCTCAGGCTTGTCTTGAATGCCTGGCCTCAAGCAATCCTCCCACCTAAGCCTCCCCCGTAGCTTGGATTACAGGTGTGATCCATCATGCCAGCTCTGTTATTTTAAAGAAGAAAAATTGCTCTTAACTCTCCTAGTCTAAGAGGCTTTAACCCTGTCCCAGGCTAAAAACAACTTCGGCACAGACATTTGGTGAAGTGGAGGGAGCTGATAGTGCCACGGAAATTGACAGTGCCAAGGCTAAAGGGATATTTAAGATGTGTAGGCCCGGCGCGGTGGCTCATGCCTGTAATCCCAGCACTTTGGGAGGCCGAGGCGGGTGGACTACCTGAGGTCGGGAGTTTGAGACCACCCTGATCAACATGGAGAAACCCCGTCTCTACTAAAAATACAAAATTAGCCGGGCGTGGTGGCACATGCCTGTAATCCCAGCTACCTCGGGAGGCTGAGGCAGGAAAATCTCTTGAACCCAGGAGGCGGAGGTTGCGGTGAGCCTAGAGATCACGCCATTGCACTCCAGCCTGGGCAACAAGAGCGAAACTCCGTCTCAAAAAAAAAAAAAAAAAAAAAAAAGTATAGCAGAAGGTGCTTATAGACAATATATTCAATCACATGGCTAGTTGCAGAAAGGAAAACTATGGCCATTACATATTTTATTAATATAAACCAACTTTCATTCTCTCACTGTTTTGTATGTACACCATCTATTTGGTTATTTAACTTAAATGTTAAAATAAAAAATATTATAAAGTGATAGTGACTAAGCTAATAAAGGAGCATGTATTTTCCAGAGATGAATAGAGTTATTCATGGGCAAGGTGACCACATAATTTATTTTTATAACTTGGAAAATTTAAGATATAAGGGGATGATAACAAAATTATAAATTAAAAATATTTATGTCAGTGAACTTCAAAATTAGTTCTGTTCAAAAATTATTTTCTATAATGACTTCTCAAAAGTCATATATCTGCATACATTAAAACAATTTTATTCATATTCTGAACATTAACATATAAGTGAAATAATTATTCTTGTTAAATATCCACATACTTCTATCAATTTTTAAATATATGTTGCTAATAGTGTGTCATTAGTATTTTTCTATAAAACATATGTTTCCAATGTTGTCTTGTTTTAAACTTTTTCTAAGATATTTGCAACTTCCTCAAAGTTGCATTTAGTGGCTAATAAATTTTGAATTGATGAGAATTTCAAATGCCTTGTCTCTGTAAACTTTAATAATTTTAATTGAGAAAAGTATCTCTGTATAGGTGCTTAGTTGCCTGGTAAGCTCAAGCTAAATTTGCTAAATGGGAGATATTCTCAAGGATATTTATTCATATTGCAAAGCATAAATATTTAATTCAAAATATTTTATTTTTTATTCATACTAAGAGACTTTCTTTGACAAATATTTTACCAGGAAAACTTACAAAATAAGTTGCTTCTATTCATGATGCTTTTTAATTATTTCATTGGATTTAAAGACCATATAGTCATATTCTTTCTATTTATCTCCTTTTCAGGACAGAATACAACTTTTTCAATTAAAAATATGAGCTCCATTAAAATATTCTTCCTACATGTCTAGATTTCCAGGCACAATTATAAAATGTCAAAATTAGATATCATATTACATGTAAGCTCTTATGGTTTATTGTTTCTTCTTTGCTTTTGTAAAAATAAATTTTAATAATTTGTTTATAAGCTTTTTAAAAATAATTGCAGTTTGCAAACAAAGTTCTTTTTTGCTCCCTTTTGTGACAACTGTGATTAAAGCCTTCATACTGATTTTGAACAAAATGCAGCTGAAACTTAGAAGAATCATTTAGAAAAACATTGTTCAGACAACAAATATGGTCAATTGATACGCAGTAGTGATGGTTGAATAATTAGATATCCATGTGCAAAAAACAAAAAAAAGTAAGAGAGAGAGAGCTCCCACACATACCTAGCACCATATACAAAAATCATTTCGACATGGACCCTAGATATTAATTTAAACCCCAAATTATAAAACTTACAGAATAAAATATAGGAGAAAATTGTTATGGCCTAGGATTAGTAAAGATTTCTTAGGAACAACACGATAAGCACATTCCATAGAAGAAAAAAAATTGGACTTCATCAAAATTCAAACACGATTAAGAGAATGAAAAGCCAAACCACAATTCTGATAAATTATTTGTGTCCATGGTATATGTAAATTAAAAATATGTAAATATATATTCACTCTCTATAAATGTACATATATATACACATACATTCTCAAACGCTAAGAAAACAAGCCAGTAAAAACTGAAAATGGGCAAAAGAGCATACGGACACTTATCCAGAGAGGAAAAATGGATGCCAAAAATGTGAGTATGCTTATCATCATTAGTCATTAGGGAAATGAAAAATTAAAACCACAATAAGATACAAATACACATGTACTAGACTATCTAAAACTAAAACATCTGACCATACTAAATGTTGGCAAGTATATGAAACAGGGGGAACTTTTAGTCACTGAAGATTGGAATGTAAAATAGTACAGCCGTTTTGAAAAAGGTTTGGAAGTTTCTTTTTAAAATTGTTTAAGATGTACAATATGACATTTTGAGATACACATACATATTGAATTTATTACTACAGTCAAATTTACATATCTATCTTTCATAGGAATTTTTTTGTGGTTAAGAGCACCTAAAATTTATTCTCTCAGCACATTTTCAGTATATAATGTTATTAATAATAGTCTTCATGCTGTACATTAGATCTCTGGACTTATTCATCCTACCTAACTGCTAATTTGTATCCTTGACCTACATCTCTCCGTTTTCTCCCCCATCCCCACCCCTTGTAACCACAGTTCTACTCTCTATTTCTATTTATTCTACCTTTTCTCTTTTTAGAGTCCACATACAACTGAGATCATATACTATTTGTATTTCTGTGTCTGGCTTAGTTCACTTAGCATATCCTCCAAGTCCATCCATGTTGTCACAAATGGCAGTATCTCCTCTTTTAAGACCGAATAATATTCCACTGTATGTATGAATCACAATTGCTTTATGCATTCATCTGTCATTGGACACTTAGGTTGTTTCCATATCTTGATTATTGTGAAAAATGCCATAAAGAATATGGGAGTACAGCTATCTCTATGGAGTGCTGATTTCATTTCATTTGTGTATACACCCAGTAGATGGACTTAATTTTAAAAACTGATACTTTTAATTTTATTAAAGAGATAAATTAGTTGTTAAATAAATGCAGTAAAATGTCATATATATTTTTTCCAAAAAATACATATTAAATACCTTATTAAAATTGTAGATTTTAATTCAATAAAACATTTTTATTAACTTTAATAAACAGTCATCCATCTACTTTTTCTCTGAACTTGTAGTATGGGTTTCTGAAATAATTTGGAAATATTGAGGTCCACTTGCCGATGAACTTGCTTCCTTATTTGCAAAATATGATAATGAATTATCTTAACTGCCAGGACATGATTGTTGTGACTATAATGTGACAGATTATAGAGAAAGGCCTAAATAAAAGAAACATCCTACAGAAATATAAAGCATTTTATCACAAAAATAATCAAATATTTGTTCCATATTTTTTGAGAATCAAAAATTATTAATCAAGAAGAGCAAACAAACCCATCTGGATTTTTTAGGATAAAGATCAGTTTATATGACAAAAACGAAAACACACATGGATAAAAGTAGACAAAAGCATATTTATTTCTCAGATGAGCTCAATAGGCTAAAGGTGTGGCTCAGCTCAATCATGGTATACAGTGGTGTAGATACTTTCGACACTGGTGTAGCATCATTCCCTAGCATATAGATTTCTTCTGCATGGTCATAGTTGTTCACTGCCTCATTTGGCTTTAACCAAAAGGGAATAGGAAATAGGGAAAGTTCAGATTCAGAAAAAATTGTTTACGCTTATATTTTATTAGCAAGAATTTAGTTGAGTGTCCAAACATGGCTACCTACAAAGGAGGCTGGGAATATTGTCTTCAATTGGGTTAGCCTATATGACCAGGGAGAAAAGTACAACAAATTTAGAGGAGAAAACTACCAGTCAGTTGCATCCCCCTATGCAGCATATCTGACCACTTCATATTTACTATGGAATTCAGTAATAATATTAATGAATTTCTTTGTATTCATGATGTAATTGACTTTGTGCCTAAGTCATACCGTTTATCTTTTACTCTGTGTGGATTTTCTTTACAGACTATAATTTAGTATAAGATAAAAAATAATTTTGACAAGTCTTCTGCATTTTATAAGGATTTTATCTCTTCTAGTCACAAAGGAACTCTGCTCCATCATCAGATGTCTTGCTTCTCAATATGGCACTGTGTAAAACTTCATGAGCACTATGGAATAAATTAATGGTTGAAATTGGTTAACTTTGATGGCATCTGTGAGGGATACAAAAAAAAGGAGAGAGTGAGGAGAGAATGTCTGAGCTATTTCAGAGAAAAACACATTTTATACAAAAAGCTTGTCATGCAACTTACAGATTTGGCAAAATGCCCAAGAGGTAGTTTAACATGCGATAGTAATGGGAGGTTGCTTTAATACTGCTCATGAAGAAGCAATTTCTTTGTTAAAGGGCTTTCCAATTGAATGAGTATGCCCTGTGCATACCGTAGGAGGCCTTCCTTTCCTAGGAACCCATGTTCATTGCTTAATGCATGTCTGGAGACAAACCTAAACTTGATTTTCCAAGGAAAAACAATCTTAGCTGTAATTTGAAAAATGGACTTAATATATCAACCCATTAAGCCTTTCATTATTATTAAGTATTATTGCTAGGATTAGGAATAACCTTATACTATTCAAAACTCCCTCTGTTACAAGAAGCATGTGGTTTGGGACAGAAGGTCTCAAATCTAATTTCAAAATTTCCATGGTTAGTGTAAATTACTTTGGGCAGAAAGGTGGTAGCAGAGTTCCTATGAAAGATATTATTTTAAATGTCATGGAGAGAATTGATAATCAAGGTTTGTAACATAAAGTTTCTTTTGGCAGATACAAGAATGAAGAGAGGCTCTATAAATTCCCTAAGATCTTGTGTCTTATTCCTACATAAGGAATTAATAGTAAGTGAACAGTTTGAGGAACTTAAAAAAATAATTCCTTAATGATTTGGAGAATGAAAAATAATGAGATTCAAAAGAATGTGTTAGAGTCATTAAGCAGATATTTCAGAAATTGTGAAAAATAGAGGACGTGAAGTCATCATAGTGAGAAACCAGATATGTGCTTATTTTTTAAAAAAAAAATTTACAAAAATGTATCATAGATTCAGACAAGTACACAAATCTTAACTGTGCAACTTGTTAAATTTTCACTAAGTAAACACATCCATATAACCACTGCCAAGATCCAGAAGTAGAATATTACCATCACCTTTGAGGCCCTCCTTGTACCTACTTCCAGGCTCTAAGTGCCACAGTAAAAGTAACCACCATCCTGCTTTCTAACACCTTCAACAAATGTTGCCTGGTCTTGAACTTTATATGAATGAAATTATACAATATATAGTCTTTGTTTGGCATCTTTCACTAAATGTTATGTTGATACTTATTGATGTTAATGGTGTGTAACAATAATTTATTTCCTTTTGTTATGTAGTGTTCAATTGTATGAATATTTCACAGTTTATTCTTTCTAGAGATGATATGCGTTTAGATTGCTTCCAGTTTAGATCACATATGAATAATACTGCTATGAACACTTTTGTGTCTGTAGATAGATAGATGATTGATAGATTAGATAGATAGATGCAGGTACACACATTATTTTGGGTTATGTATACTTAGGAGTTGAATTTATTTGTCATAGAGTGTACATATGTTCAGATTTAGGAGATATTGACAAAGATATTTCCAAAGCAATTGTACCAGAATAAACTCCCACCAGCAATATATGAAGGTTCCAGTTACTCCCTATCCTCAACAATCCTTAAAATTGTCAGGCCCCTTGGTTTTAGGCATTCTGATTGGCATGTGATTACAACTTCTTCTGTTTTAAAATTCATATGTAAATTTGTATTTAAGCATATAAGAATAGGTTAATTCATATATGATTTAGGGGCAGTAAAATTATATAATATCACTAAATATAATAAATCATTGCAAACGTCAAGCATTCTGCACTATATATGAATATATATGTATAGAGAGATTTCAGTTTGTGAATTATTGACATGTTACCTTAATAGCAATTTATTTTAGTGGAAATTTTAAGACCTTCATTATCCTTTATTTAGGAATCAAATGAAACATTTTCTACATTTCCATTTGACTGAATCGGTTATATCATAAAATATAATCAAATTATTGAAAGAATCACTTTAAATTAATAGCACATGCTGAGTTTCTATCACAAAATTTGGTTCAAGTAGTTTATGTTCCTTTCCGTTTAAGGAGTTGAGTCATTATGCTGCAATAATGAGAAATTAATAGATTTTTTAAGTTCTGCAAGCAACAAAGATCTTACACTCCTACATTATTCTTAATTATAAAATGTTATGGCTGATTTCCTTCAATGTTGATCTATACAACAAAGGTACAATTTTAAATGGATGTAAACCTTTCACTAAGACACTCGGAAAATTTAATTTCTTCTTTTTTTATTTTATTTTATTATTATTATACTTTAAGTTTTAGGGTACATGTGCACAATGTGCAGGTTTGTTACATATGTATACATGTGCCATGTTGGTGTGCTGCACCCATTAACTCGTCATTTAGCATTAAGTATATCTCCAAATGCTATTCCTCCCCCCTCCCCCCACCCCACAACAGTCCCCGGAGTGTGATGAATTGTTCAGAAATTAAATAGCCTGCAATTTAAGAATCATAGATTTCCTGCTAAAGAAATAGTTGATACAAAAACTAAAATGTCCTTATAGCTCACTACCTCCAGACCTTCTTGAGAGAGGGAGCTGGTCTTCAATTATCACTGTTTTGTAGGTATAGAAAATAATCTAAAAAATAGTAACAAGGCTTCATAAATGTTTCTTTCATTGATTTTATTTCTTAATATAACATAGTCTGATAATAAGGTGGATTAATCTGTACAAGTTCTCAAATGATCTAAGGTTGGAGGCACTGAATATAGAAAATGAACCCACAGGTTAGAACTCAATAACATTCATTTACCCTTTAAACAACTGGAGAAATCCATGATCACTCTGTTTAAGATGACTATCTTATTGCCAGCTGTACAATGTTTTATCTGCTTTGTCAAGAATTAAACTCTAACCCTGTTGGAGCAATTTAAACTCGATCCTAATGCTTTCCTCTCTGTAGCATGCCCTTTCTCATGTGACTTTGTAGTTTCTCTAGAGGCAGAGTTAACTTTCTTCTTGATTTGGGCTCAACTATATGACTTGCTTTGGCTAATATGTTTTAGCAGAAATGATGCAACCAAAATCATGAAACCTACTTGGTTAGTAGGGCTATGCTCTTGAAATTGTGCCATCACTATGAGAAGAGAATGGGTCTCAAAAATGAACTTATGTTGAATAAAATGGAGCCCAGTATATAGCCAGGAATCATGCCCAGCAGAACTTGAAATTTGAAGCAGCCACTCAGATGATTAAAGGAGTGATTACCCAATCCACAGTTAACCTCCATACCCATGTATGTGGTATGTGTAAAAGTAAATCTTTATGGTTGCATGCCACTAAGTTCGTTATATAGCATTGTTTTTGCTGTAAGTCATTGATATAATTCTTTTTTTTTTTTTTCGAGATGGAGTTTCGATCTTGTCACCCAGGCTGGAGTGCAATGGCTCAATCTCGGCTCACTGCAACTTCTACCTCCTGGGTTCAAATGATTCTCCTGCCTCAGCCTCCCGAGTAGCTAGGATTACAGGCGCCCACCACCATGCCCAGCTAATTTTTGTATTTTTAGTAGAGACGGGTTTCACTATGTTGGCCAGGCTGGTCTCGAACTCCTGACCTCAGGTGATCCACCCGCCTCGGCCTCCCAAAGTGCGGAATTACAGGTATGAGCCACCATGCCCAGCCTCACTGATGTAATTCTTAAAGGCAGACACTTTGTTGAATTTGAGTTTGTCCATAGCTTTTATCTAAATGCATATAGTAGGTGATCAAAAAAAGATTATGATATGAAATATATGAAAAGAATTATTTTCAAAAGCTCAAGCTTTGAGGACTTCATTTTCTTCTCAGTATTTTATTTGCTGTTACTTTATTATTTTATTTTTTATAATTTCAACTTTTATTTTAGATTCAGGGGATAGCATGTGCAGGCTTGTTACATGGGTATATTGTGTGATGCTGAGGTTTGGGGTATGATTGATCCCATCACCTAGGGACTGAACATAGTACCCAATAGTTAGTTTCTCAACCCCCACCCCTTCCCTGCCTCCTGCAACTATTAGTCTCCAGTATCGTTGCCATCTTTATGACCATGAGTACCCAATATTTAGCTCCTACTTATGAGAGAACAGGCAGTGTTTGGTTTTCTGTTCTTCCATTAATTCACTTAGGATAATGGCCTCCAAATGCATCCATATTGCTGCAAAGGACATAATTTTATTCTTTTCATGGCTGCGTAGTATTCTGTGGTATATATGTATTATGTTGTATTTATATAGTACACCATTGATGGGCACCTAGGTCCATTCCAGGTCTTTGCTATTGTGAATAGTGCTGTGATGAACATAGGAATGCATATTTTTGGTATAATAATGTATTTATTTATTTTTTGATATATACCTAGTAATTGGATTGCTGGGCCAAATGGTAGTCCTGTTTTAAGCTCTTTGAGAAATCTTCAAACTGCTTTCTACAGTGCCTGAATAATTTGCATTCCCGCCAACAGTTTATAAGCGTTCTCTTTTCTCTGCAGCCTCACTAACATCTGTTGTTTTGGGACTTTTTAGTCCCATTCTGACTGATACGAGATGGTATCTCATTGTGGTTTTGATTAGCATTTCTCTGATGATTAGTGATATGGAGCATTTTTTCATATGTTTGTTGGCTGCTTTTATGTCTTTTGAGAAACGTCTCTTGATGTTTTGCCCACTTTTAATGGGGTTGTTCTTTGCTTGCTGAATTGTTTAAAATTCTTATAGGTTCTGGATATTAGGCCTTTGTCAGATGCATAGTTGGTGAATATTTTCTCCCATTCTGTAGGTTGTCTGTTTACTCTATTGCTAGTTTCTTTTGCTGTACAGACGCTCTTTAGTTTAATTATGTCTCACTTGTCAATTTTTGTTGCAATTGTTTCTGGGGACTTACTCATAAATTCTTTCTGAAGGTTGATATTCAGAATGGTGTTTTCTAGGTTTTCTTCTAGGATGTTTATAGTTTGAGGTCTTACATTAAAATCTTTAATCAATCCTGAGTTAATTTTTGTATATGTTGAAATGTAGTGGTCTAGTTTCATTCTTCTGCATATGGCTAGCCAGCTATCCCAGCACCATTTCTTGAATAGGGAATCCTTTCTCTGTTGTTTACTTTGCCAGCTTTGTTGAAGAGCAGTTGGTTGTAGGTGTGCAGCTTTATTTCTGGGTTCTGTATTCTGTTCCATTGGTTTATGTGTCTCTTTTTGTACTGGTTCCATGCTGTTTTGTTCACTGTAGCCTTATAGTATAGTTTGAAGTCAGCTAATGTGATGCCTCTGGCTTTGTCCTTTTTGCTTAGGATCGCTTTTGCTATTTGGGTTATTATTTTTGTTCCATATGAATTTTAGAATAGATTTTCTAATTCTGTGAAAAGTGACATTGGCAACTTGATAGAAATAGCACTGAATTTATAGATTGCTTTGGGCCATATGGCCATTTTAACAATATTGATTCTTCCCATCCATGAGTGTGGAATTTTTTTTATTTGTTTGTGTCATCTATGATTTCTTTCAGTAGTGTTTTGTAATTCTCCTTGTAGAGATCTTTTACTGTTGTCAGTATTTATTATCAACATTGATACTCAGAAAAGCTGAAAGAATAGTACAGAGAACACCCATATACCCACCACTTATATTTGCAAACCTAACCTAAAAGTTGAGATGCCATTTACAATAACCAATAAAATAAACAATCTCATAGAATGTTCATGCACTTTTCCCCCATACATTGTGGTTATCACTTTGTATTATCATTTATTACATTCCTTAAGTAACTCAGAAAAAAAAAACAGATCAAGGCTAGTATGCTAAAGGATAACTATTTCAGGGCTTATCATTCCATCCACTATACATTGTGTAACTATAAATAAAGGCTCAAAGGTGTTTAAAACAAAGAGGTTATGAAGTTGAGGCAAACCTGGGCTAAACCACTCAGCATGCTATACACCTCTCTCATGCTATGTGCATTTGTGTTCTTTGTTGTACTGTTGAAGCACACCAAGTGTGCATTTAACTCATACTAATTTAACTACATACACTCAAAAGGGAAGAATGGAGGAATAAGAGAGAGAAGAAAAACAATTAAAATAGTGGCAGTGATTCGGTAGTTATTCCATTCAACCAAACATACAGTTAGATAGAAGAAATAAGTTCTGTTGTTCAGTAGCAGGATAGGGTGACTATAGTTTGCAACAGTATATTGTATACTTCAGAATATTCTGAAAAGACTTGAAATGTTCCTAACACATAGTAATTATGAATACTCAAGGTGATGAATGCCCCAAATTCCCTGACTTGATCATAATGTATTCTATGCAAGTATCATATACTCATATGTACTCCGTTAATATGTAAACTACTATGTATCAATAAAATATAAAAAGTAAAAAATACATATTTTCATATAGTATAACCTTTAAATATAAGCAAAATAGTTCATCTGTTGCCAAACTGAAGAAAGAGAGCTCTCCTAAAGGAAGAGCTAGAGAAAAAGCTATCTGTGAGATGGGATGTCCAGACAAAATCAACCCCCACAATTCTAAGGATGATCAAAGGTAATTTTGACTTCAAATGATATTGTGTACACTGATGTTAAAATCTAAGTCTCATGAAAAATTAATTTCAGTCCCCTGAAATGAAAATAAAACCTCCAACTCTCAAATGAATTATGAAGTATCCAATCTATCACATAGAAATAAGATTTATTAAATTTTATAATGAGTTAATATTTATCACATACTGCTACTATATGAATCATAGTTTTACAGTTTACCATCTGTAAAACGATTTCCAGTAGTTATTTGCCTAAGTTTCTTATCTCCTGTACTAGAATCTGGACGTTTTGCTCCCTTTGCATCGCTCAGAGCAGTAGAATATTTCACTGCATAATCTTGTGAATGAACAACTAAATAAATTAATTAAAAAACATGAAATTTAAACAGATACCTGAACACTTGGGAATATAGATACTATGGTTTTATATTATGCTAACTCAAAATAGAGTCAGACAAATTATGTTAAAAACAAAAGAGGAAAAAGCAGTGTTCTATAACAGCTATGACACATAGGAGATCTAATCTGATGAAAAGCAAATCTTATTTGAATCATTTAATTGTAAGGATTGACTTGAAAAAGTATAGAACTAAAAGAAAATACTACAATATTTTATAATGCTAACATTTTTTGACTTCATAAAACAATCCTATGAGGCAGGTACTATTCTTATCTTCATTTTATAGATGAGAAAAGTATCATGTGAAGTTAAGTAATTTGCCTAATGTCACACAGCTGATGTTATTGCTGGAATTTGAACCCAGGCAGGCTGGCTCCGGTCTGTATGTAGAATCTTTTTGTTACAGTACCTAGTATAGGTATATGACACTAAAAACTTAGATCTACAAACGTTTCCCCTTGTTGCCCTGTTGGGAGTGAGAATTCTTATATGTATGAATTAGATTGTGAATATCAACTCTCATTTTAAGAAATATATTCCCAAAGCAATGTACTTGGCCATGAAATAATAATTTTAAAAAGGAAAAACCTTGGGAGGCATTTCTGAATCTAACACTATATGAGGAAATAATGCACAAATCAGCAAAATCAATCAATTCTACATTGTAGAAGCAGCTTATAAGAAAATAGATAATTCTTCGGTACCAACAATTGATCAATAAATGTTTTATGGATAAAAAACAAAAGCAGTCTTTATTGTAACTGTAACTGTACTGAAGTCCAAATAAAAATGTAAATGTTGTGATAGTCTTTCTCAGCTTTATCATTAACATTTCATGTAACAAATTGCTTCTTGAACACATGTTCTATCTACAATTTATCTGGAAACATCTTTATCTATTGTGGTTTACTATCGTTTGGATAGATAAAGACAAGCACCCCAAGAATGAATACAGGCTGTATCTTGTCAATTACTTAGGAAAGGCCTGATCACTGTGTTCCCTTTACATCTGGAAGTAGGTATGTTTCTGTACTTTTCTATGTGTGTTAATAAATTCATATTTTCCAGTGCTCATTCTAATGAAAATTGGGGCTGCCTATTTCCCATTTGTTCCTCTTCTCAAATATGTTTTGTCCTCTTCTCTGCTGTCACTCCTTTCCTATGATTGAGTAGGAATAGTAGAATTCGAACTACTAAATAAATATTTGTGAATAATGAATAGTATCACATAAACAAAAATCCTTAAACCCCAACCACTTTACATGCTGATTTTCTAGCTTTCAAACATCATAATCCATGACTACTTTTCTAATTGATTATATTGACATCCAAAAAGATAAATTCAATCCAGTGAATCTTCTGATTTTATTTGGGGCAATTTTAATACAACCCAGAACTTTCAGTGAGCTCCACGGGACCTTTACTACTTCTTTTAACTTTAAGACTGACAGAATTATCTGGAATTTGATTCAGATTAACTCAGCCAATAAAGTTCTGAGGTAAAAAATAAGAGTGTGGTTTATTCCCCATAAGCCTAAAAGACATGTATTTTGTATTTTACTAGTAGCACTTCCATTCAGACCCCTGATATTTGGTAAATCTTTTATTTCATTTTGATAAGCTGTAAAATTACAACAAAAGGCCACTTTCACCTTAATTACAATATACAGTTAGAATTTGTTAAATATAATTTCAATATTAGGTAAAGGTACAATATTAAAAGGTCAAATGTTACTTCCACTGCTTGCTTTTTAAATAGCCTGTGTCCCCAAATAAGCAATCACATATATCAGCAAAGACACATTTATACTCTAAAAAGAAACTTCCACAATTAAAATACCTAAGCTTTAAAACTTCCAGAGGGATGGTTTCTAATTAGGAGGAGGGGAACATAACACTTTCATAGGTAGTAAGAAAAGTGCCTAACAAAGGATTTTAGCTAATCCTATGTGAGTGGAAATTTCAGTCAAGAGAAAAGAAACCTCATAAAAAAGACGTTGAATAGAAAAAAATAAACTTTTTTTAATGCTATAGGAAGGAGAAATACAGTAACTTTCCAAAATTTGACACATTTGTCTGTGTCACCAGATTATAGGGCAAACAGGCTATATGCGTCTATCAGAGTCAATAAGAAAACACCTTTTTAACACCTCCCATGTGATATGACCTAGGTCAGTAAAATTCAGACCTAAGGAGGAGACATCCTTTTTTTTTCAGATGTGAGTGGGAAAATACTTTGCAACACCATTGAGGTCATTATGATGAAAGTGATTAAAGGTGATCTGGGGCAAATATAACAACATAGTTTACTGACTGACGGTACAGAGTTTTAAGGTTGAAATAGCTGTATTTGATCCTGGTTCTCCTATATTTGTCTGCATGGCCATGAGTAAATTATGCAGCCTTTCAGGTCTCATCTTGCTTCTCTTTATATAATACCAAAGAAGTAGTAGACTTCTTATAAGGAATAAACAAGATTTTGTATGTGAAGCTCTTGGGACAGTGTCTATGATGCAGCAGAGCTGTAGTTATGGGTTTGAGATGTTAACAAGTCTCATAAGACAAAATTAGACTTTACTCTGATGCTACATTTACTTAGTTTCATAGAACAATTCAAGGCTGGAAATACAACAGGTAGATCATCAGCATCTCATTGGCAGGCCCAGCATCTATCCAAGTTCACAGATTCTTTTTCCCTGTTATTGTTCTACAGCATGAGCACCAAGGTGCCTGTGGGTCACCTTGAAATACAAAAGCCACAAGCCCATCTCCTTATTAATCTTTTATACGGTCCCAGTCACATAGGCCAGAGTCCTGCATGCCAAGGCAGAGCTCTGTCAACATAGGCAGTTTCCCACAACAAAGGGGGAAGACATAGCTTTTCCCATTTATCTTTACTGTTTGCAAGGAAACAATGATGCAGATCCACAGATCATTCTCTGTAAGGTCTGCATCAGCCCAAACCTGATGATAATCCTTGATTCACAGTCAAGAATGTAGAAAATGTTCTAAAAATGTTGCCTTAGCAAAACAGGTAATATTTTAGGTGAGTTAGTGTGTACTCTCACGGCTAATGAAGGGTACTGACAATAACACATAAAAGTGAAGACTGTGGAAGAATTTAAATTATCCATTGAGTATTGAGATAGTAACTGTATGCTGAAAATAGTAGGAGTTGCTTTTTTTGTCTGATCAGTATCCACTTCCTCTTTATTCTGGTAAGAATATACTATTGCAGTTTTTCTTTGTGAGGTTCATTCTTTCTTCAATCCCATGTAGTTCTGATGGGTTGACCCACGCTTCTATCTAATGGTAGGACTTGCATCACAAACATCTGCCCCTGTGGTTAATTCAGGACTGACATGTGACTTAAGCTAGGCCAATGAGTATTACCTTGGATTTTTCCAGAGACATTACGAAAGAAAAAATGTTTTTCAGCCATTAGTTTGTCACAGTAGCACTTCCTGGGAGAGTGTCAATGAACAGATACCAAATGGATAAAGCCTACCTGGGAATAAAGGAGACACAGAGAAAATCAATTACAAAAGATGAAAAGAAGATAAAATCTGAACTCTCTGGAATTTTCGAAAATGTAAGTCAATAAATTCCCTTTTTATTTTCAATTCAGTTTGAATTTGATGTCTGTTAAATGTAGTCTATAGGATTCTTGACTAATACAGGGCATGAATTGGATGGGGAGATGCACATGGAAAGAGCCTGCTTAAAGAGAAAGAGCAAAATCCATAACAAATAATTCTAGCAAGTATTTGCCAATGTAGATCAATTCCATACATGTATCAATGGCTGAAAGAGGTGGTCTGAGAAGGACTAGGACTGAGGTTGGAGAGAGGGTCAGGTAAACCATTTATTGAGAATAGACACTTATGAATGTCCCCTGGCAGATATGAACAGTCTATTGTAAAGCAAAGATGAATTGCAACAAGCTTAGTTCCTGGAAAAGATTGGCAAACCTTTGGCACACAAGACATATCCAGTCTGTTGCCCAAGACATAGGACTTGGCTTCTTTCAGGAACCAGAAATCCAGTGGGGATGGAAAAACCTGGGGTTATCCCAGAGACAGAGGCAGAAGCAGCCAGAGACCAGAGGGAAGATGAAACTGACATTTAAGAAAACTTCCTGATTGTGTTAAAAAAAATTCTCATGGATCCAGTGTGAGCAGTGTGGAGATGAAGGAGGAACATGGCTGGTATTTGGGGAGGGACTACTATGGGGCAGGCCTTGCTAGTTTACATTACTAGGAAAATATAAAAGATATTATTTGTTTCCCAAAATTACTGGGTAAGAAAATAGAAGGCCAGTAGAGCTAAAAGATTTTTTAAATGTTTGCCATTCAAATGAAATAAATACTTTTATTGAATCCAGTAAAGTTGTAGGATACAAAATCAACATACAAAAATCAGTTGTTTCTCTATTCACTAATAATACACTATCTAAAAAGAAAATTAGTAAAGCAATCCCATTAACAATAGCATCAAAAAGAATAAGGAAGTGAAGGACTTGTACAGTGAATCTCTGAAACCATAATAAAACAAATTTTAAAAGACATGAAAATATCTCCTGTTCATGATAGGAAGAATTATTATTGTCCAAAACAATCTACAGCCTCAATGCAATCCCTATCAACATCCCAATGACATTTTTTCCAGAAATATAAAAAACTATTAAAATTCATGTGGTACCACAAAAGACCCCCAAACAGCCACACAATCTTGATAAAGAAGAACAAAGCTGGAGACATCACACTTCTTGATTTCAATATATATTACAAAGTTACAACAGTGAAAACAGTAAAGTACTGGCATAAAGACAGACATACAGACTAATGGAATGGAATAGAGAATCCATAAATAAACACACATATATGGTCAACTGATCTTTAATGAAGCTTCCAAGAATACCCAATGGAGAAATAATAGGCTCTTCAACAAAGGGTGCAGGGAAAATTGAAAATCCAGCTGGAAAAGAATTAATTTGGATACTTGTCTTACACCATACATTTTATTCAAGTCAAAATGGATTAACGACTTAAGACCTGCAACTGTAACACTTGTTGAAGAAAACACAGGAAAATTCTTCATGACATTGGTCTTGGCAATGATTTCATAGATATGACACTAAAAGCACAGGCAACAAAAGCAAAAATAGATAGTGGAACTAAGTCAAGTTAAAAAGCTTCTGCACAGCAAAGCAAACAACAGAATTAAAAGGCAACCTGCGGAATGGGAGAAAATATTTGCAAACCATATAGCAGATAAGGGGTTAACTGCCAAAATATATAAAGGACTCAATAACAACAAAAACAAAACCCTAATAACCCAGTTAAATGGGCTGAGGACTTAAATAGACATTTCTCCAAAGAAGATAGACAAATGTTCAGTAAGTATATCAAAAGATGCTCATCATGACTAATCATCAGGGAAATGCAAATCAAAATTATAATGAGATGTCACTTCACATCTGCCAGAATAACTACTATCAGAAAAGTCCTCTAAAACAAAAGACAAATGTTGGCATGATTATAGAGAAATTGCAACACTTGTACACTGTTAGCAGGAATGCAAAATGGTGCAACCACTATGGAAAACGATATGAAGCTTCCTCCAAAAATTAAAAATAGAACTATCTTATGATCCAGCAATCCCACTTCTGAGTATTTAGCCAAAAGAACTGAAATCAGGATCTCAAGAAGTTATTAGCACTCCCATATTCACTGCAGTACTATTCGCAACAGCCAAAATGTGGAAACAACCTAAATGTTCATCAAGGGATGAATGAATAAAAAATACAGCATATGCATACAATCGAATATTACTCTAAATATACAGAAGGAAACCCTGCTATATGCAGTAACATGGATGAGCTCTGAGGACACTATGCTAAGTGAAATAAGCTAATCAAAGAAGGGCAAATACTACATGATTCCACTTTTATGAAATATCTAAAATTATAAAATTTATGGAAGCAAATAATAGAATTTGGGGTATCAGAGATTTGGGGAAATGGGGAGTTGCTAATCAGCTATGCAAGGTGAATACATTCTAGAGATCTGCTACACAACATTATTCCTGTTAACAATATGGTATTGTATACTTTAAAATCTGTTAAGAGGGTAGATCTCATGTTAAATGTCTTACCACAACAAATTTTTAAAAAAATGAGTAACATAGTTAACAGCAAAAAAGCAGTGATTATATATTTTTTAAAAATAGTAGAAAATGGGACAATTTCTCTTAAGGACAGTCTCATTAGTGGAGATGTTATGTAGCATTAGATATTCACATAAAAACATCAAAATTTTTAAAAAAGCAGTATCATATATATAGCAATAAAATATTTCTCTTATTGGTTAATAGAAAATATTGATGACACAAAAATATACTAGAGACTTAAAATCAAACTTGATATAATACAAGTAAACATTACAGGGTTATGTGATATATTCTGGTCAGGCATTTCTGTAAATTAGGTAAAATGAAGCGTACATATACAAAAGTATCAGTATATAAAACATCATTCCTAAAAACTGCAGATGATTGAAAGTTAAGCTGTTCTTTAATAGTCTAATATAATTTATTCACAATTTACTACATGATAATGTTAACAATAAGCATATAGTACTTAATGAGGGCTCACTATGAATATGTTGAGTAGTTTCACATATGTTTTCTAATTTATTAAAAGAATTCCCTCAGGCTCCAGCACACTACAAGATCAAATGGCATCATATTAAAAGTAAAAACCTAGATTTCCATGGCTCTTACCCCCAGTGCTTATAAAGGACCTCCACTTACCTGCAAAAATCTCACGCAGTTATATCTGAGAGTCTGCAGGTGTGAACCTATGTATGTTCATTTAAGTGCCTAAAGTTGCTGGGTACCTTCATAGTCGCAGGCAATGGGCATACTATTGAAAACTATTTATTTTCAGGCACTGCGGGACACTCTGTTATTCCTCCAGACATCCAGAGACAAAGTCTCTCCTAGTCATCCTCTGGGTGCCATGTCCTATTTCTGTTAGGTCAGACATCTAGAATCGTCACTGAGCACTACAAATGAAGCCTTGACACACTTCTGTTGGCAAAGCTGTTCAAGACTGGTGCAGTGAAGTAGTACAGTGAACCCTTAAATCAGAGTCTCTGGGTCTACCTGCCTACTGTGGCATGTGCTTGTTCACTGTTATTAGTATACTGCAAAAGATGAAGCATCTGATAAATGTTGTCTTCTCTGCTGTGTTTAAGTTCCCATTCAACCAGATATTTGGCTCTTTGTTCATGCCAACTTGCAAAAAAGTAACTGACAGCCATGTATTAGCAATGAATTGGCTGGCCATCAGTTCAGTGTTGTTTTGGGGATACTGCCAATGCAATGGCTCAAACTCCCCATAACCGACCCGATACTCTAGCCAGAGATTTTTAAAAAATTATATGTTAGAGATGCTCTAAGTTTGCGTGGAAACAAACATGAGAGTATTTTCTCCATCTATTTAATATAACATTGAATCAGTATGTCATTAGCTCTGCCCTGGCCACCTCTAAAAGTCACCATATTGAGAAAGCTCCTCAGCTTACCTTCATGATAAAATTAAAAGCTTAAAGAAAAAGAAGGAGGTTGTTTCTCCTGTTAAGAAAATTAAGGCCTGAAATGATATTTTTAAATGCCTATGCAGTTTAGAATACAAAAGCAGTCAAGAGTAAAATGAAGAACCAGCAAGGATCCATCCACAAAGGAGCACTTGCCCAAGGATCTGCATCCCTAACATTTACACTCATTAAGATTTGAGAAACAATTTGAGGCAGTTGTTACCAACCCTTGCAGTATAGTAGAAGCATCTGGGGGAGGATTAACAAACACTGTATTCTGGATCCCAGCCCCAAATCTCTGATGTAATTGGTCTGGCACAGAGTCTTTCTGCTCCACAGGTGATTCTAATATGCAGTGAACGTTGAGAACCACTGTGACAGGGGAATATGATATTGATTGCTGAAAACATTTACAAAGGTGTTTTAAAGGCCATTTCTCTTCTGAGAAGAAATGTGAAGAAAGTGTTCATCAGTATGGCAAAAGAAACTGGGGAGGTTTTTCTAGGAGAAATAATGGTGAATATGAAAACTCAGAGGCAAGCCTAAGACATGAACTCTCAAAAGTAATAAGGTTTGGAATACAGAGGTTTGTGAACATGACCGGGTGGAAAATAGGGACGTTTAGATAAAAGTGAATAAAGAAGTTGAGTACCTTACTACCCGGAATCAGGAAATTAAATTCAAATTGAGAGCCAATTAAGAGCCATCACAGGAGTCTGCAAATGGCAGTGGCATGATGAAAGCCATGTTTAAAAATGAAAACGTTGGCCGGGTGTGGTGGCTCATGCCTGTAATTCCAGCACTTTGGGAGGCTGAGGCAGGCGTATCACTTGAGGTCACGAGTTCGAGACCAGCCTGGCCCGCATGGCAAAATCCCATCTCTAACAAAAATACAAAAATTAGGTGGATGTGGTGGTGCGCGCCTGTAATCCCAGCTACTCGGGAGGCTGAGGCAGGAGAATCGCTTGAACCCAGAAGGTGGAGGTCGCAGTGAGCCGCATTGTGCCACTGCACTCCAGCCTGGGTGACAGAGTGAGACTCTGTCAAAAAATAAATAAATAAATAAAAAGAAAAAAGAAGAAAACATCACTAATAGCATAGCAAGGTAGTCAATCCAATGTATGTTTTTAAAAAACCACCTCAAGGGAGCTGCATTTCCTTGTTTCTCCCTAAAAGGCATTTTAAGCTACAACAATGAAATAAATATATCCGCAAGGAAACTGTGTGTAGGATCATTAAATCATCTAATATTTAACAATGCAATTTTATTATGTCTGTTGAGTTAGGCCAGATTACAATTGTTAGTATATGTTTAAAGATTGATGAAAATGAAGATTTCAAGTTAATTTGACTTTTTTGCCAACAAGCAGGGCAAAGGATCCATGTACCTGCTCGTGACGCCATGAAACCTGAGTTGTTCCTTGGCAAGCAAGTATGCTTGAAGTTAGATTGCCAGAGTAAGCAGGAAGTGAGGACTCTATCATGTGAGAAGAGCCAAGAACCATGGACTCAGTACTTTTAAAATTATTCTGCTTAAGGTTTTTTTTTTGTACATCAGCATTCAAAGATCCCCTTCAATATAAAAGGACATCGTTGCAGGACCACAGTAACATACTTTCTTGTTCTAATTTTTACTTTGTTCTTGGGACAGCAGTGGGCCTGAAGACTACCAACTATACCTGGCAACAACCAAATCAGGAATGTGTTCTGTTGAACCATTGGGTATGTTAACGGTGCTTGTCAATGGAGCTGAGTAGATTCAGATAAGGGGATGCTCTGTCTAAGAGCTAATCAGTGACTGGATGATTAGTTGAGGTCATTCGGTTTAGGTGTGGTGCTTCTAACCTAAATATGTCAAATTAAAAGTCTTTAATTTGGGACTTACAAAACAAGGATTTGAGGAGAACCCAAAAAAAATTTTGGTAGAATCGTATGAAAGATGTATTAAATAGCTAAACTTAGCACTTATATAATTAATTGTAACAAATTTGGCCCAGTTATTGTCAGACTCTGCCAGGTTTCCAAGGCTTATATTCCCCTTTCCCAACATATGAGACAATTTGCCTTCTACCTGATGCTTCAAATTTTAAGACATATTATGACCTTATGTGGTCAGAGTTCCTTAAGCTATAATCCTTGACCAGCTGTATTAAAATCCTCGAGCTTCTTTCTCCAAAAATGTGACTCCTTGGTCCTATCAGAGACCTCTTCAGTCAGAACATCTGGTGGATAGAGACCATTAATATCCATTTGTCTATGTTATCCAAATACCAAAGTTGAAAACCACTGCTCTGGTAACTTTCAAATATAGTACTTCCTAAAGTCAGGGAGTTGTATACTAAGCAGGAGTTTTATGCTACCAGCCTAATACCAGACTGGGTACCAGCATTTGGATACTGATGTTCTAAGGCCTGCAGGTATCACATCCCCACTTGACACAAATTCCTCCTGGTCCTGTTGACCAGTTTTGGTCCTCGCCTAGTATTAAAGTCACTCTCCCAGACTATCACATATTTTGGTTGTTAATAACCCCACTGATGCTAAATCTCAGTGATTGCTATGGCCTCCACTAGCACATTGTCAGCTTCTAACAGTTCTTTCTCTATGGTCTGGGATGGAAAATGATACAATATTTCAAGATACTGCTGATTATGGTCTGATTAGCAGTAATGAGACAGAAAAGAATAAGGAGAGCCACTATCTCAAAGTAGACATACCCATTTGAACAGGCATATTCTAGAGGGCAAACTCAATTATTAGCTTAGATAGGAAATCCAAGCCCTAGGGTGTGGGTGAAGGATCAAAGTGGTTTTTTTTTTGTTGTTGTTGTTGTTTTTAGTATTTATTGATCATTCTTGGGTGTTTCTCGGCGAGGGGGATTTGGCAGGGTCATAGGACAATAGTGGAGGGAAGGTCAGCAGATAAACATGTGAACAAGGGTCTCTGGTTTTCCTAGGCAGAGGGCCCTGCCGCCTTCCGCAGTGTTTGTGTCCCTGGGTACTTGAGATTAGGGAGTGGTGATGACTCTTAAGGAGCATGCTGCCTTCAAGCATCTGTTTAACAAAGCACATCTTGCACCGCCCTTAATCCATTTAACCCTTAGTGGACACAGCACATGTTTCAGAGAGCACGGGGTTGGGGGTAAGGTTATAGATTAACAGCATCCCAAGGCAGAAGAATTTTTCTTAGTACAGAACAAAATGGAGTCTCCTATGTCTACTTCTTTCTACACAGACACAGCAACAATCTGATCTCTCTTTCTTTTCCCCACATTCCCCCTTTTCTACTCGACAAAACCGCCATCGTCATCATGGCCCGTTCCCAATGAGCTGCTGGGTACACCTCCCAGACGGGGTGGCGGCCGGGCAGAGGGGCTCCTCACTTCCCAGACAGGGCGGCCGGGCAGAGGCGCCCCCCACCTCCCGGACGGGGCGGCGGCCAAGCGGAGGCGCCCCCCACCTCCCGGACGGGGCAGCTGCCGGGCGGGGTCTGCCCCCCACCTCCCTCCCGGACTGGACAGCTGGCCGGGCGGGGGCTGCCCCCCACCTCCTGGACGGGGCGGCTGCCGGGCGGAGACGCTCCTCACTTCCCAGACGGGGCGGCTGCCAGGCGGAGGGGCTCCTCACTTCTCAGATGGGGTGGCCGGGCAGAGACGCTCCTCACCTCCCAGACGGGGTGGCGGTCGGGCAGAGACACTCCTCAGATCCCAGATGGGGTCGTGGCCGGGCAGAGGCGCTCCTCACATCCCAGATGGGGTGGCGGGGCAGAGGCGCTCCCCACATCTCAGACGATGGGCGGCCGGGCAGAGATGCTCCTCACTTCCTAGACGGGATGGCGGCCGGGAAGAGGCGCTCCTCACTTCCCAGACTGGGCGGCCGGGCAGAGGGGCTCCTCACATCCCAGACGATGGGCAGCCAGGCAGAGACGCTCCTCATTTCCCAGACGGGGTGGCGGATGGGCAGAGGCTGCAATCTCGGCACTTTGGGAGGCCAAGGCAGGCGGCTGGGAGGTGGAGGTTGTAGCGAGCCGAGATCAAGCCACTGCACTCCAGCCTGGGCAAGATTGAGCACTGAGTGAGCGAGACTCCGTCTGCAATCCCGGCACCTCGGGAGGCCGAGGCAGGCAGATCACTCGCAGTCAGGAGCTGGAGACCAGCCCGGCCAACACGGCGAAACCCCGTCTCCACCAAAAAATACAAAAACCAGTCAGGCGTGGCGGCGCGTGCCTGCAATCCCAGGCACTCGGCAGGCTGAGGCAGGAGAATCAGGCAGGGAGGTTGCAGTGAGCTGAAATGGTGGCAGTACAGTCCAGCCTCGGCTCGGCATCAGAGGCAGACCGTGGAAAGTGGGAGACGGAGACGGAGATGGAGAGAGGGGGAGGGGGAGAGGGAGAGGGCAGGATCAAAGTGTTAAATGTAGGGATGGTACTCCAGGGACTCTTTATTGGAGGATTCAAAATAAAACTGTGCTGATTTCTTAATTGCTGGCAATGGCAATGGAAGAAACAACAGTCAACATTGGAAAATCAGGATTGACAGATTTTGGGATCATGTAATCTTAGAAGTGGGTAACAGAGTTCCAAGTATTGGTCTTTACTATAAGGGCAGAATTCCACCCAATTGGAGTGAATTTTTTTTTCTTAAACTTCATTTCTTATAGAAGCTACCAAGTCAATAACTTACAAACAGGCAACCCCTCTTTGGCATATGATATAGGGACATATCTTAGAACCTACCGGAAGAAAGGGTGACTTGATGGGCTGGAGCCTCCTAAATCTCTCCTCTGTTAGGTTGAGCCTGAGGCTGCTTATCAGAATTATCTTCAGAGCATCTTTGTTATTATTATTTTGTTGTTTGTATACAGATCCAGAAATCCAAGAAGCATATAATGAGAATCTCCTATGTTTTGTACATTTTAAAACTGCACTGGTCATTCATATGAGCTACCAGTCCTAAAAATCAGAATCAGGCTGAATCTGAAAGGGGTACAGGGCAATGGGCAGTAGTGGTGAAAGTGTCAAGTGGATGTAGCTATTGGGCCAATCAAAATAAACCTCTGGGCAAAGTGCTATTAAGAATATTAATCCTTAAGAAACATAAAGCAATTCTTTTTTTCTGGTCCACCTACTCCCTTGAATCATAAAATGTAAATAAAAAGAGTTCTGCTTTGTATTCCAAAATTGTGGAGGGTTGAGAATTACTGCAATCCCAGGAACGGGGAGCCTTTTCAGCACTTTTACCTTTCTCTTGCCCCTGCAAATATAGGTTACCTTGACACACAAGATTTTGTTTATACCCTATGGACCATTACACATTTAAGTCTGTTATTCAAAAGAATTTCCTACTATGAAAAATCTCTGAAACATCTAAAGAAAGTAATTTTGGCATTTTTCTATCATTCAAAAATTGATAAGTGATTCACTTCTCACCTCCCAGTTATATTATTTTAGATGAGAGAATTTTGTTATCAGTGATTCTTTCATATCTGTTCAGAAAACCCATTACAAACAACCACAGGAAAGCAACCATCATCTCTCTAAAAGTGAGAGTAAACACAAGGCTTAATTTGTTCATGTGCAGTAAACAGTTTATTTTTGAAAGCAGAACCTAAAGTGATTTTATTTCTTTGTGGTCATTTTGATCTCCCCAGCTGAAAGATATTACTGAGATAAGAAGCGTCAAAACCTAGCACCAAGTAATCAGAGTTGAAGGAATATAACTTTCTTTGGCATTATTGTCTTAAATCTTCTTTGGCTCGGGATAGTAAAGCTTGTACCCCTTACGGGCTTTCTTCTGAGATGGCTTGAGATATGAATCAAGCCTGTAGAGACTTTAGTAGCCAAATAGTGAAATACAAAGATTCAGTTGGTAATTAGGTGCTTGGGATTCAGATCTTGCTGCCAAATGAGGAAAAGAAGGCACAATCTGTTATATTGCTTCTAAGTTGTAAAGGCTAGGTCACTTTGTGATTATGTTTGTCAGATACCCAAGATCATTATCACCATGGAAAAAGACAACCAACTCCAAAACAGCTTTGATCAGCAGGAGTACACACCATGGATCTGGGACTAGAGAGGACATCATATCCCTGAGACCAGAGTGGCTTTAGAGTGGGAGTTTAGTATTGCTAATTGGCTCACTATTTACTGAGGGATACACCCACCACCCTCCTGTTGCAACATGCACTCAGACTAGTAGAGCTCTTGTATGCATTGTCTTTTTCTTTTAAATGAAAATATTAATTCTATGAAAGATGGTTTCACAGCAGGTATAAATATCTAAAGCTGTAGTTCTTTACTGATGCCAAGGAATCCATACTATTTGTTGTTTAAATTGAAAGTCAGTTCTCTTGTGACTGTACCTTATTCAGTTATATTTTGACTTTGACAGACAGTATTTTTCCTCATGCAACCTTTTCTGAAGCTGAACAGACAACCTCCATAAACAAATAATTGATACTTCTCTAGAAAATATAAGCCTTAAGGTACAATATTCTGTCTTTGGAAATAGTAAAAATATATACAAGGAATAAGCTGGTTTATAACAAGAAAGCCAACTATTATTTCAAATCTCCAGACTAACACTTTCACCTTTTCACTTTATTCCAGATAACTGCTGCATGAAGGTAAGTATGGGGGAAAAAGGAATCTGACACAAACTTGGTTTCTAGTGTACTCTGGAATGAGATGATCAGTGCTGGATCGGACCCTGATCCAACTTGGGTCAACCATGCTCTTTTCCATGGGAATTTTAAAGTCAGACTGAGAGAAAGAATGGCTAACCCTGCTAAACATAAAGTCAACATCTATGAGTTGTTTTCGACAAATCATCTACCATATATTTTTTCTTTAGGAAAATCAGGGGAAGCCTATCTCAAAGGCAAAAACAAAATAAGCAAACAAGCACAGAGTGACAAACAAGATGTGCAAAAGGAATACCAGGGAAAACTGCTTATAGTTCACTTCTGTGTTCTGGAAAAATCCCTGACTCAAAGTTCATTGAGATACCTCTGAATCCTGATATTAAATATCACCCCCACATTTTGTATGTATAGTCTAACGCAAGTAATGCAGTTTCCCTGACTAGCAACAGCAATCTTTTCTAATCATTAATTTTAAAATGTGGAAAAAAAGATCTTACTGCTAGTGATCAAAAATGTAAAATCTCTGGTAATAATAAACTTAATACAATGTTATAAATGATATGGGATTTTATATCAAAATATAATTACTAAAGTATATAAAAGATATGCATAAATGGAAAGAGGTAATCAATTTCTGTGTGAAAAAGACTCATATAAAGACAAATTCTCATTCACTTAAATTATATTCTGGATAAATTATGGCTATCTTTTAACTTAACAAAATGATCCTAAACTTCTTTTTGAAAGAATTAACAAAAAAATTAGAAGAAGGTAACTTCCAGTGCTGTATATTAGAATCTATATTAAAATGCTAATTATTACAATACTGTGGAAAAGTGCAGGAATAGAGAGATCTCTGAAACATAAAATCCAGAAACAGATCAAGTTTTACCTAAACAATTACTGTTTAATTAAGAAGGATAATCTAATAAATAGGGCTTGGTTAAATTATTATTTTTGGAAATATAAATTAAAATTGGAGCCATATATGCAACTATACAACAAAATCAATCCCAGGTAAATTAAATACAGAAATGTAGTTAAAAATCACACACGTACACAAATTAGAATAATGTATGGTTAAATATTAATTTGATTCCTGGTCAAGGAAGACCTATTTAAGTACAAAAGTAAATAAATAAATAGGAAGGCCTAGCTGGAGGAATCAGGCAAGAGAAAGAAATAAAAGGCATCCAAATAGGAAAAGCAGAAGTCAAAACATTATATCTCTCTTCACTGATTATATGATTCTGCACCTACAAAAACCTAAAGACTCTGCCAATAAGCCTCTAGATCTGATAATTTTAGTAAGATTTCAGGATACAAAATCAATATACAAAAATAAGTAGCATTTAAATACACCAACAGTGTTCAGACTGAGAGTCAAATTAAGAACACAATACCATTTACAATGACCACACAGAAAATTAAATACCTAGGAATACAGCTAACTAAGAAGGTGAGGGATCTCTAAAAGAACTACAAAACACTACTGAAACAAATCAGAGATGACTCAAATTAATGGAAAAACATTCCATGCTCATGGATTAGAAAAGTCAGTATCATTAAAATGGCCATACTGCCCAAAGCAATTTACAATTTCAACACTATTCCTATCAATCTATGAACATCATTCTTCACAGAACTAGAAAAACTATGATTAAATTCATATGGAACCAAAAAAGAGCTGAAATAGCAAAAGCAATCCTAAGCAAAAAGAACAAAGCTGGAGACATCGGGCTACCTGACTTCGAACTATACTGTAAGGCTATAGTAACCAAAACAGCATGGTACTGGTAAAGAAAGAGACACATAGACCAATGGAACAGACTAGAAAACTTAGAAATAAAGCCATACATTTGATCTTCAACAAGGTCAACTAAAGCAATGGTGAAAGGACTCCCTATTCAATAAATAGTGCTGGGATAACTGGCTAGCCATATGCAGAATAATGAAACTGGATGCTTACCTTTCACTACGTAAAAAAATTAGCAATGAAGTATTCTAAAAATGTGTCAAGTGTCTCTTTTTTCTATTGTAAGTTCTGTTTGATTCTCAGTAAATATTATGGAGTAATGATTTGGAAAAAAGTCATTAAACACTATTGAATGAAATATGGCTCATAACAAAAGATGACAGTACTTACCAAAATAAATAACATGGTAGAAATGCAAAAAAAAAAAAAAAATTAGCTTAAGATGGATGAAAGATTTAAATGTAAAACCTCAAACTAAAAATCCTAGGAGAAAACCTAGGAAATACTCTTCTTGACAGTCTTGGCAAAGAATTTTTGGCTAAGTCCTCAAAAGCAATTGCAATAAAAACAAAATTTGACAAGCTGGACCTTAATATTCAACCATACATTATTCTAATTTGTGTACATGTGTGATTTTTAACTACATGTCTGTATTTAATTTACCTGGGATTGATTTTCTTGTATAGTTGGATATAGGGCTCCAATTTTAATTTATGTTTCCAAAAATAATAATTTAACCAAGCCCTATTTATTAGATGATCCTTCCATATGGCTGTTTGTTGGGCATGTAGATCTATGGCATTTAGGGATTCTTGCATTTTAGTTTTAAGTTGCTTTATGTCTGCTGTTAAATTATCATGTAAGGTTCCCCAGAGGTGTTGTTTCACCTCATCCCAACTACATATTGATTGATTCCGTGGTAGAGAGGTGACACAAATATGCTTATGTTCCCAGTCGCAGTTTAATTGCTGTTGGAATGCCAGTGCATCTTGTCGTTCCCCTACATATTCCAAGGCGCCTCAAGGGCTTGCAGACGTGCAAGAATTTTTTTATCTATACCCTGCTGTAGGAGAAGTTCATTAGACACATTTCTGGCTAAGCTATCCACAAAGGTAGCTGTTTGTACCAATTCAGTAATAGATGCAACAGCAACACTAGCAGTGGCTAGGATGACTATGGCTGAGACTTATAAAGGCTATAAGTGTACCTATGAATCTTTTGTGTCTGACCTGGGACAGGGCTCACTCTAAGGTGGCAAGAACAGATGAACCTTGCCAATCAGGTGTCAAATTGACCGGTAGTAATGCCTCCGATTGTCTTCTTAATACCATGACACTAGTAATATTTAAATTAGATATATTGTAATTAGTGATACATGAGGCGAACCAAGTCTGTCCCTGCACTCAGGTCACAAACGTGGAGTTTTGGGGTATTATGGAAATACTGGTTTCCATAAGGAAAATGTATGGATGGGAAGTGCAAATCAGGCATTGAACTGTGTAATTACGAATAAAGGTCATACTATAATTGTTACTGGAATTTTGATATTTCCTATGCCAGGTTTTAAGGGTGGTGCTAAGATGTCCCAGGCACCATAAAGTGTCTTGGAGAGGCATGGACTTAATTTGGGGTCTGGAATATCCCATCCCCCCATCAGCCCAAATCATAGGGGAATGGGATGTGCCTACGAAACTGTGATTGATGCCACGATGGATGCGGACATCAGTATGGTTAGCCTGCAAGTGGCTGTGGTGGCTCCAGTCTATGATGTTATAATCGCCTAACTGGAGGCTATGGGCTTGTCCCCTATGACAGATCTCCCAGCCAAAGTGGAATCCATTACTTTCCTGCCTTTGTTCTTTAGCACAGGGAGGAATGTCGGGAAAGTGGCATTGGTTGCGTTGCCTGGTTTGAGGCTACCTGCAACCAAGAATGTTAAGGCATTTCCTTTGCCATGATGTAGCTATAATTATGTTTAGGCAGGTACAGAGTAGGGGTTAGAACTTTTATAACTTACACACAGTGGGAGGATAGTGAAGTGATATGTAGTGTTACCTGGCATCTTAGTCCAATGTGTGCCATTAATGAGGGACCCTGCTGGGGGTATGTCAATCCCTCCTAGCCAAGTAGTCACATTGTTAGAGGCTGGGAAGGGGGTGTCCGCCCAAGTAACAGGGTGAAAGAAGGGCAGATCCAGAAGATGGGCCCAATAGAGGTAGCAGGTACGGGTTGCAGGCAGAGTGAGAGAATAAGAAAGGTTAATAACCTATGAGAGTTGCAGTGTACAACAGAAAGCATAGCAAGGAACAAATTATCTGGAGTGAATGGCATCTGTGTCCAGAGCAGGATTCACTCAGCCTTCTGAGTTGTCATCTTCAGCATCCCCCAGGTAATATCCAAGGTCTGTGTCATCCAAGGAAGCCGCATCGTCTGGGGCTGTGGGTCCTGCAGGGTCATTTTCTTCATTTCTGGTACCAGGTTGGGTCCTAGCCACACCACAGTATGGTTTGGTGTGCTGTCCAAAGCGGACCTGAGGGGGTGTGAACACGAGCATATTGTCTTCCCCATGTTAACAAATCATTTGGACCACACCATACATTACTATTTACATCTTTCCAGAAAGCCGTGGGTTTTGTGTCTTAAGGGGGTTTTACAAAATGCTTTTCTATGGCTGATTGAAATTTATCTAAATTTAAAAAGTCAAGGGTAAATAAGGCTTGTGCCAATAGTGTTATAGGGTCCTTACTCATATTCCCCCTTTTTTGTTTTCTGAGTACATTTTTAAGGGTGGGGTGGACATGTTCTACTATGGCCTGTCCTTGGGGGTTATACAGGATGCCTGTGGAATGTTGGATGTTCCATGTGTGACAAAACTTGTGAAACTGTGAGCTGGCATAAGCCGGACCATTATCAGTTTTAATTTCTGTGGGCCATCCCATAAACGCAAAAGTTAAGATGTTTAATGATATATTGGTCAGACTCTCCAGGAAGAGCATAAGCACTAATTAGGTGGGAATAGGTATCACTGGATATATGTACATATCTTAGTTTTCCAAATTTAGGGATGTGTGTAACATCTGTTTGCCATAATTGATTAGGTTCTAGTCCTCTAGGGTTAACACTTGTTGAAGGAGGGGATGTGCCTGTGAGCTGGCAATCTGGTCACTGTAAAATAATTTGTTTAGTCTTTGGGTAAGTTGAAATTGTTAAGTTTCTCCAATTTTAGTGGAACAATTGATGCGATTGGGTGGCTTGGTCAAGCAGTGACGTCATAACCGGCAGGTCTGCTTGATCATTGCCATGAATTAGTGGACCGGGAAGCAAGCTGTGGGCCTGAATGTGTGTAATAAAAATAGGATATGTACATTGATCCAGCAATTGCTGAAGTTGAAGAAAAAGTCCACACAGGGTGGGATTGACAGTGGACTTAATGAGGGCTGTCTCAAGGTTCTGCAATAAATAAACAGAGTAAGCAGAGTCACTAACAATATTGATATGCTGAGCGGAAAGGGTTTCTAGGGCCAATATTAGGGCTTTAACCTCAGCTCTCTGAGTACTAGTAAATCCAGATTGAGTGAGGGAGTTATGCGGTTCCTACCAAATAGCTGCTTTTCCATTTTTACCAGAGCCATCAGTGAAAAGTGTTAAAGCGTTAGGTATTGGGGAGTGAACTACCTTTGTAGGTATAACTATAGGAGTATGAGATAAGAACTGGAATAGTCAGCGGGAAGGGCATTTTATATGACCCGCATATTCAGAGTGCTATCTGAAGGTTTAGAGATAGGGGCAGGACTGCTTCAAATTGTTTACTTAAGGGTATTCTTATGACATCAGGGTCTTAACCTAGCAATTGATTGCATCATCTGCGGCCTGTATAGATGACTTTACTAAGTAGCTGGACATAGGGAGATAGTGTTTTAGTCCAGGTATGTGAGCAAAAAACCCATTCCAGGAAATGTAGCCCTGGGGCCATGTGTCCTATTAATCCTGTTGGGGAACGTTTAGTAGGAAATACAAATAATTGGACTGAATATCACGGGTTTATGCGATCTAGTTGCCTCTGAGAAATAGTTTGCTTTATTTCCTCAATTTCCCTTTTTGCAGCGGGGGTTAAATACCTGGGAGAGTCCAGGGCTGCATTGCCCTTTAGCATAGAAAACAGGTTCTGTAATTTATCAGTAGTTATGCCCAAGGTGGGGCGAAGCCAGTTAATATTGCCCAGTAATTTTTGATAATTATTTAAGGTGTGTAAGTTGTCAGTGTTCAGTTTAACCTTTTGAGGTCTTACTGACTGGGAAGTTAGTATGTATTTAAGATATTTCCAAGGAGAGGTCATTTGTCTTTTCTAGGTGCTATGATTAAACCTTTTAACTGTGTATTCTTTTTGACAGAGGCATATACATTTGAAAGTATTGGCTCTGTTGGGGCTGCCAGTAAGAGATCATCCATAAAATGGATGATCTTGCAATTAGGAAATTCTTTTCTACTGGGGAGCAAAGGCTGATTTACATCATACTGACACATGGTAGGACTGTTTAGCATTCCTTGAGGAAGTACTTTCCAGTGAAATCTGCGAGCTGGCCATTCATTATTGACAGCTGGTATTGTAAACACAAATTTTTTTCTGTTCTGTTTTGCAAGGGGAACAGTATAAAAACAGTTTTTTAAGTCAATAATGACAATGGGCCAATCTCGAGGAATCCCTGCGGGGGGAAGGGAGCCCCTGCTGAAGGGGCCCCGTAGGTTGCAAATTAGCATTGATAACATGTAAGTCATGCAAAAGTCTCCATTTACCAGATTTTTTGGGAATGACAAAAATGGGCGAATTCCAAGGACTGTTTGATAGGTTTTTTTTTTTTTTTTTTTTTTTTTTTTTTACTTTAAGTTCTAGGGTACATGTGCACAACATGCAGGTTTGTTACATATGTATACATGTGCCATGTTGGTGTGCTGAACCCATTAACTCGTCATTTACATTAGGTATATCTCCTAATGCTATCCCTCCCCACTCCCCCCACCCCACGACAGGCCCCGGTGTGTGATGTTCCCCACCCTGTGTCCAAGTGTTCTCATTGTTCAACTCCCACCTATGAGTGAGAACATGTGGTGTTTGGTTTTCTGTCCTTGCGAAAGTTTGCTCAGAATGATGGTTTTTAGCTTCATCCATGTCCCTACAAAGGACATGAACTCATCCTTTTGTTTGATGGTTTTATATGGCCAGCTTTTAATTATTCCTAAACTAATTCATGGGCTCTTTGTAATTTCTCTCCCTTTAAAGGCCACTGCTCTACCAAAATTGGATTATGAGAGAGCCACGTCAGGGGCAGGGAAGGAATAAGTGGCTGTTATTAGAAAGGGGTCAGCAGAGTGACCCCCTCATTGGGCTAATAGGTCCTGTCCCCAAAGATTAACAAGGATGGGCATGATTAGAGGTGTATGACTGCTTTCCTTCCCTCTGAATCGCTACATGTTAGGGAGTGCGTGCTCTTCTTGGCTGTATGTGCTTCCCCAGTCCAACAATTTTTTTGTTTCTGAGTGACCCACGGCCAAGTTTTGATCACTAATGATTGAAATGTCTGCCCCTGTGTCTAATAAGCCAGTAAAATTTTCATTTCCAATTTTTAAAGTAATCATGGGTCTCTGATCAGTGATTAATTGGTCCCAATATACTCTTGTGGCTCCTGTGCTTCCAAAATCTCCTTCTCCCCTTTCCTTTCCCTGGGCGCTGGGGACCCAGGATGGTACAACTGGTAACTGAGCTATTTTAGATTTAGGGGGAAGAATATGTAGACCTTTACATTGCAACATAACTAATATCTCACCTTGATAATCACAATTACCCTGGTGAGCACACTGATTCCTTTACTGGATATGCTTGATCACCCTAGGACTAATCCCACTGTTCCCAGAGGCTGTGGGCCCCAGATTCATATTGCAACCCTTTTAGGGTCTTCTCCTCCTTTTAGCACTAATTCATTGGGGCAGAGTAAGTCCAGTCCTGGGCTCCCTGAGGTGGCTGCTCTAAGAGAATTGTGGGCCTCCCATCTGACCAAGGAAAGCCGCTGGCATTGCCCCAGTTTGGAGTGGGGCTTATGGCTGGCCCTGCATTAAATTTCCCACTTGATTACTTAGGGGGTTCCCATTTTTATCAAATTTAGACTTGCATTGATTTGTCCAATGTTTCCCCTTTTTACATTGGGGGCATATAGAGGGGGGTACTTTTTCTGAGTTACTTTGGTCTTTACTATTGGGGCATTCCCGCTTCATATGACCTGGCTCTTCACACAGAAAACAATTTGGGTTTTTCTCCCTTTTCACGTTAGGAGACTTTAATGCCATAGCCAATATTCTGGATTTGTGTGTTTCAGTCCCCACCAGCTGACATGCTCATATAAGTTTCTCAACTGTAGCTGCCTTTCCTCTGATTTCCTGCATTGCCTGCTGGCAGTCTACATTAGTATTTTCATAAGCCAACTGCAACAATAAGATATCAGTGGCCTGTGCATGATTGTTTTTTAATTGCCTGGGTTAACCGATTGATAAATTCAACAAATGGCTCCTGAGGCCCTTGTCGAATATTTACAAAAGATACCTGTTGAATTCGGCATTAGAGAATTTGGTCCGAAGCCCTGAGAGCACACAAAGACACTTGTGCACAGGCCTGGGGAACAAAACTTAATTGTTGTTGCACATTCACATAGGGACCACTGCCCTGGAGCATAGCAGCCATTATGTTTTGCCTGGCAAATTGAATCCGGTTGGCTTGTTGTTTGCACAACTCATCATATTCTGCCTTCCAAAGGAGGTATTGACTGGGCTCTAAAGTTGTTTTAGCTAGCACTGACCAGTCCCATGGGGTCACATGGAAGTAGTCTGCTGTGGTCTCAATTAATCCTTTCATAAATGGGCTAGTGGCTTCTTTTTCTCTAATGCTTTTCCTTATCTCTTTATAAGTATTGCCTTGTTGATCTTGCATCACCGGGCAGGCCAAGAGCTCCCCTTCTCATGCTGCTTGCCTAAGACAGGGTTCCATAACTGTAGTGTATCCCTTGTCTTTTTTCCGATGTGTTCGGGGAGGGGGCTCAGGGAAAATCTTTTTCGTCTTTTGTATCTTTACCCGGTAACAGCAGGGCTGAGGGAGGAGGAGGAGGTGGTAAGGTAGGTGATGGTTCTTCCTCCCTTCCCTTTATAGGCTCTTCTGTGTAGAGTAGGGCCAAAGCAGTCCTAAGGCCCATAACGTTAAAGATGTTTACTGGGACCCGTTGCCGTTGTGCAGGATGTTGTTTAAGATTTCTCCCCACTTGCTCCCAGAGCTCTAGGTCTAGCGTACCTTCTTCTGGGAACCATGGGTTACAGGAAACAACAGTTTGCATAAGATCCCTTAATTGAGCTTGAGAAACCGAGGCTCTGCTAGCTTTAAGCAGCTGTTTCAATACTTTTATATACTGTTGCTGTTATCTGATAACTGTTGTCCCATGATGAAACCCTAGCTTGAAAATTCCCTCAAACTTGGAAATCCCAAGTGGGCACCAATGACTTACTGACTGCACAGTCTCTTCACCTTCATTTTTGAGGGTTCTGTCACGATCCGTTGCAGTGATCCTCACACAGGGCACCAGCTGCCAGGTCCGTCCCGCAGACCCTGGCTGAGCAATGGATGAAAGGAGTACTCAGACACATGTATGCAGTGTAAGAGCAGCTAGGGGACTGCCAAAGAGTGAGCAGTTTTAATAAGCTGCAGCGCTTGCTTTTATTTAGTACAGACATAATGCCGAAAGCCTGGATCCAACGTAGTCTGTGGGTAATTAACATTGTTCCCCCTTTCTGGGAGCAGTCTCACGTGCGGATGATCAAAGGTCGGTTCCTGGTTAACATAAGTAAACAAGCCTGTTTATGCTAAATTTCCTTACACTTCCTTGTACCTACTCCTTGCCCTCTGCCTCAAGGTAAGAGAATGACTGCCTTCAGCTTCTCCCCCGATGCTATGCAGAGCCTTCTGACTTTTCAGAAGGTTTGTGCCCTTTCCCTATGATTTCTCCCACCACTCTGACCAATCTCCTACAGTTGAATGTAATTGTGATAGTTAAAAATAGTTATTAGATTATCAAATAGTAATAATAGAAGCTCACAATATTACAAGGAATGGTAGATTATAAAATAGCATTCATGATAGTCTATAAGAGTTTAAATTATAAAGTTGTTCAAATAAATGACTAGACGTATACAGACCAAAACTACAGTTATAGATAGATTTGGATGGTGAGATTTTTGTTTTATTTTCCAAAACATTCCAAATTTCCCAGAATTAAAAGAAAACCAGAAAAAAGTACAATCATGCCAATAGAAAAAAATAAGTTAAAAAATAGTAACAATATCAACAATTCAAAACAATAAAGCAAAAATGAAAGAGATAAAGTAGGCAGGAAAAGTCATTCCAGACACAGGACCCATGTACAGAAGTACTAAAGTAGGAAAGTTTGAGATATTCTGGAAACTCCAAGCAATTCCATGTAGCTAAGACACAGGCTAAAAAAGGGATAATACCAAAAGATGCAGTTCAAAAGGACCTTGTCCTAGCATAAAAGAGTGTACTAGTTTCCTGATTATGCTGTACTGAATTAGTACAAACTCAGAGCCTGCCATGAGGTGTTTGCTCTGGAGATACATTGGTGGTGGGGAGACCAGTTATAAATGTTACGTTAACAACTCAGGGGTAAGTAAGTTTTTAACTGGCCTGGATAAAATTTCATTTACACAGAGACTTGTAGAACATGAAAGAATGGAGGGTAAACTGGTGTCTTCAAAATCAAGGATGAGAGAGATTACCTACCTCACTCCTTTCCACAGATCCAAAGCCCGTGCTTAGGGCAATGCCTTGCATGTAGCAGGGGCTCAAGAGATTCTTGTTGAGTTATACTTGCTGAGTTACAACTTGCTGATTTGACCCAAGCAATAATTCATTCTACTTTTCTAAGTTTCTAGAGTTCAATGATACCATCTCAGATTTCCTTAAATCTGTCTGAACCTTTTAGTTTAGCATTTGGTCAAGCAAAACAATGTTGTTTCACCAACTATGTTGACATATTATTCTGTTATTTAGATTGACCTGTCATATTAGCCACTATCTAGTTGGTGAAAGCGTGGTATTCTATGAACTACACCTTTGAAAGCTTGTTTCTATAAGCAAACTTTCATACTATGCGGACTCTCCATGTAGATATGGCTGATATTTTGCCAGGTAGATATGACTAAAACCTCTGTTCTCTTTTCTTTTTTGTACTTTTATTATGGCTTCAGGAACAAGTACTACATAATCATAAAGGGATTTATTGAGTAGTTGTGAGGTTACTAGAATAACAAAGAAAAAAACTTTTCTGTATATTTTGCATAGGCTTACTTCCCTCTCCAGTATTCTGATATATCATAAAATTTTGAATAGTAGTCAGAGTTTGTTATGTCAATTGCTAAAATGAATAGTTCTGTTATTTTAAATGTAGCTGAACCTGAATAAAGTATAAAAAGAGCAGAGCTCAAAAGTTCAGCATCTTAGAAACATTACGTGAATATTTAAAATAAACTCCATGCTATTTCTCATCTTAGTAATTTTAGAATTTATTCTGAATCATCTTTACATTGAGTACATAAGTATAATATGCATCCTCAAGTAATATTAATGAATGATACTTATACTCAAGTTATGTCAAGATTAGATATATTAATGACAAAGACACCAGAGAATATTTTGTATGACAATAGAATGATCTTATACAGCAGAAATAGCTGATAATTCAGGAGAAAGGAGGACTCACTGCAAAAAGAATATCTTAGAAAACAAAATGTAAATGAGATAAAGAGATCATGTGGAAGGTAAAGCATTTTGCCAGGTAAGTGCAGTATGAAGGGCAAGTAAGTTAGTAATGGCCAGAGACTTGCTACAATTGAAGGACTCCAGAATATAAGCTAAATAATAAAGGAAGTGAGTGTATGGGGGGTGGGATTGTGGGTATAGAAATATTAATGTAATATAAATAGATTGGAGATTTAGGGGTCATTGAGAAATAACGGAGTGAAGATAGGGAGTAGGCTAGACGGACTGGCAGGGGTGGTCACAGTTGTAATTATAGTCATGCACAACATAACAATGTTTGGGTCAACGACAGACCACATTAATGAAGGTAGTCCTATAAGATTATAAAGGAGCTGAAAAATTCCTATGCCTAGAGATATCGTAGCCATTTGTAAAGTCATAGCATAACATATTACTCATGTATTTGTGATGATGCTGGTGTAAACAAACCTACTGCCCTGCCAGTCATATGAAAGTATCACATATACAACTATGTACAGTACATAATACTTGATAATAAATTACTATGTTACTGGTTTATGTATTTTACCATACTATACTTTTTTGGTTATTTTTGTGTGTAGTCCTACTGATTTTTTTAAGTTTAACTGTAAAACAGTCTCAGGGAGCCCCTTCAGGAGGTATTCCAGAAGAAAGCATTGTTATCGTAGGACATGGCAGCTCCATGTGAGTTATTGCCTCTGAAGACCTTCCAGTGGGACAATATGTGGAGGTAGAAGACAGTGACGTTGACATTGATCCTGACGCTGTTTAGGCCTAGGCTAATGTGTGTGTTTGTGCATTTGTTTTTAACAAAAACATTTAAAAAGTAAATAAATAGAACAAAGCTTATAGAAAAAATATTTTTGTACAGCTGAACAATGTGTGTGTTTTAAGCTAAGTTTTATTAAAAAAGAATCAAAAAGCTAAAAAAATTGAAAAGTTTAAAAAGTAGAAAGCTTAAAGTAAGCAAAAGTTAAATTTGTTTTAGAGAAAGAAAAATATTTTTATAAATTTAGGGTAGCCTAAGTGTACAGTATTTATAAAGTCTATAGTAGTGTATAGTAATGTCCTGGCCTTCATATTCACTCACCACTCACTCACCCAGAGCAACTTCTAGTCCTTCAGGCTCCATCCACAGTAAGTACCCTATATAGGGTACCATTTTTAATCTTTTATATCATATTTTCGCAGTATCTTTTCTGTTTATTTATGTTTAGAGAAACAAATACTTGTCATTGTGTTACAACTGCGTACAGTATTCAGTAGTCACATGCTATAAAAATTGGTAGCCTAGGACCCATAGGCTACACCATATAGTCTAGGTGTGTAGTAGGCTATACTATCTAGGTTTATATAAGTACACTCTATGATGTTCGCACAACTAAATCGCCTTACTGATGCATTTCTCACAATGTATTTCCATCATTAAGTAACTCATGACTATACAAGATTACACGATGAGCTTCCTTAATCTGAAAATCTGACACCTGAAAAGCTCCAAAATCCATAACTTTATGAGCAGTGACATGACACCACCATGGAAAATTCCACACATAAGTACTTAATATAAACTTCGTTTTATGCACAAAATTATTTAAAATATTGTATAAAGATACCTTCAGGCTATGTGTATAAGATGTATATGAAACATAAATGAATTTCATGTTTAGCCTTGAGTCCCAAGATATCTCATTATGTATGTGCAAATATTCCAAAATCTGAAAAAAATCTAAAATCTGAAACACTACTTTCTGGTCCTAAGCATTTCAGAAAGGGATACTCAACCTCAGTACTACTATTCTGAGTGTTAAGTGGGAGAAATAGGTGTCCTGGGAGCCTAGAACCAGACAGACCTAACAAAGTTTGCAATGTCAGGCAGTCTTCCTAGCAGAAGTGATGTTTAAGCTTAGCCTTATAAGATGCGAAGGGGATAGGTTGAGAAAGTTGAAAGTGTTATATTTAGAAAGAAGGCCTTGATCTGTTAAACTTAAGGTGCATTGGAGCAGTTAATTAATTTATTTATTCAAGTAACAAATGTTTGAGTGTCTTCTATGTTCCAGGCACCATTTAGAGGTAAGAAAGAGTAGGGACAGAAAGAGGTAAAGCCAAGGATGGAGAGTTTGGGGAAGCCACAGTGTAGGTCTTGGATAAGGATTTCAACTTTTACAGGCAAAAAGAATCCACTGAAATAACTTGGACAGTAAAGGAACAGATTTGCATTTTTTCCATTATAAAAGCTATACATGATTATGGTTTAAAAATTAAAGGTTAAAGTAAAAAAATAAGATATTCCCTTTTTCTGGTTATTTATCCCACAGACATAAAACTATTGATATTTCTATTGTTTCCTTACAAATAGACACACACACACACGTGTATTAGTTTCCTTTACACAAATGTAACAATACATTTTTATGTAACTTGCTCTTTTAGATTTATTTTGAACATTTTTATATTAGTACTTACATATCTACCTCATTTATTTAAAAATTTTCTTGCAGTATTTTATTTAATTTTCCATCTGTTTCAGACATCTAGGTTGCTCCCAGTTACTTGCTGTACTATTTCCCGAGGGCTGCCATAACAAAGTACTACAAATCAAGTGGCTTAAAACATTAGAAATGTATTGTCTCACAGTTCTGGAGGATGGAAGTCCAAATTCAAGGTGTCTGCAGGGCAATACTCCCTCTGGAACCTGTAGGGGAATCTTTCCTTTCCTCTTTCTAGCTTATGTTTATTTGCCAGCAATCTTTGGCATTCCTTGGTGTGCAGCTGCATAATTCCAATATTTGTCTTTGTTATCACATGACATTCTCCCTATGTATTTCTGCCCAAACTTCCCTTTCCCTGTAAGAATAGCAGTCATATTGAATTAAGAACCTAGTGTACTCCAGTATGACCTCATCTTAACCAACTACATCTGCAATGACCCCATGACCAAATAAAGTCACATTCTGATTACTGGGGGTTAGGACTTCACATCCTTTGGTGGGACACAACACATAACTCTAATAGAGAATGCTGCTAAAACCATTCTTGTACACATTTTTTCCAATTTATGCAGTCAGTGCATTTATGAAAACACTAGTAAGAATCAAAATGTAGCCAGGAACTCAGCACTGTCCCTATCCATACCTCCTCCTAATCGCTAACCTTTCCGACTCCTATCACAATTAATTTTATCTTTCTGAAGTTAATATAAATGGAATCACATAGTATATTCAATTTTGTTTTTGATATATTTGGTCCTTTGAGGTTCATCCATGCGATTAGTTTCTGCACTGTTTTATTTGTACTGATACATGGAATCAGTTCTCAAAGTGTAGTCTGGGCACCCTTGGGAATTCCCGAGACCCTTTCAGAGAGTCAGTAACATCAAAAAACTATCAATCATCATCAATATATGTTATTTGACTTTTCATTTTCTTGTGAGTATATAGAAGTTTCCAAACGCTATATAACATGTGATATCAAAACAGAATGAATGCAAAAGCAGATACACTTCTTTCACTAAACCAGACATTGAATAGATTTGTAAACTTGTAAAGCAATGCCACTCTCTCCAATAATTTTATTTTGTTTTGGAAAATAGCCATTTTTCATAAAATGTTATTTATTTTAACATGGAATGAGTGGGCTAGAGGATAATTCTTTGAATCTCTTCTGTTTCTGTACTTTCTTTTTTTTATTTTATTATTATTATACTTTAAGTTTTAGGGTACATGTGCACAATGTGCAGGTTAGTTACATATGTATACATGTGCCATGCTGGTGTGCTGCACGCATTAACTCGTCATTTAGCATTAGGTATATCTCCTAATGCTATCCCTCCCCGCTCCCCCCACCCCACGACAGTCCCCAGAGTGTGATGTTCCCCTTCCTGTGTCCA